>NC_000015.10:45776874-46401874 GCF_000001405.40 Homo sapiens
TGTCCTTTCTGAAGCAGGTTGTCACATTTCATCACCACGGCTGGTTTTCTATTTCAGTCTCTGTCTCCTAAAGCAGCTGTATGCGGGCTGAAGTGAGATTCAGGACGTGAAACAGAGGATGACATGTGTTGCCTCAAGTTAGAAGCCTTTACCGAAAGGTTTAAAGGTCCTCTCTGTCTTTGTTTGCTTGTCTGTTTAAATAAGAACATACACTATTCTCCCCAATGTCCTCCTTCCCCCATCCCTCTCAGCTCTTCCAGTCCATCAAAACTGACAGAATTTGAAAATGATGACCTCAGTCTAGTTTCTTGCCAGTAGTCATTCTTTATGCCAAAGCTGAATGTAGACACCTTATTTATCAGAAACTTTGGTGGATTAGATGGTAAAAATGTATTAAATTTATGCTTTCTGAATTTTGGGGGTTATTGTTTAGATTCCAGAATCATAATAGCAAGTTAAAGGAGCAAGAGAACAAAAGAAGCCAAACCATGCAAACAGCCCCAAAGTAGGGAAGGGGGTGAACATGCTATTAAACCCAAGTGCCCTACAAGTAGAAGGGGAGGATAACAAAGGATAAAACATGAAATTCCTAAATTACCTCAGTGTAATTTGTGGGAGATTGTGCCTTGGAATAGGAAAAATGTGAATTTTTAAAAAGTGGCCCCATTTAAGTTTGGCAACCTCTTATCTGCAGTTACTCGCCCAGTGGCATGGGCTAATTTAAGTTTGGCAACCTCATATCTGGAGTTACTCGCCCAGTGGCATGGGCTAACCTGTGAGGGGTGAGGCGCTGTCTTGGAAGTATTCCTGGAACCTGAGAGCCATTTGTTCACCCCAAGAACCACAAATCCAAAAACACACAGACAATCAAACAAAACCGTCTAGGTAGGGCTTTATTAAATGAGTAAAGAGGGCGTTGATTAATACACCTGGAAGGATGCATGTCCTCACACATAATCACCAGAACACAAGCATCTGTGAAATCTCTTCCTGCTCAGAGGATGAAGGCTCTCTCAGTGGCGTGGGTAGGAGTTCTCAGGCTCAGCATTTTGTCTGAATGCAGCATGAATAGAAGGCACTTACCGCAGGGGCACCCACCAGGTGCATCTGTGTGTAGCAGGATGGATGAATGGTTGAGTGAATATATAACTCACTGTCAGCCTGTAATAGCATCTAGTGACTGCTCTTCTGGGGTGGGTTCGTGCAAGTAACCCCACAGGTACAAGTCTTTTATTTGGAGATCAGGAGGTCAGGAAGTAGCAATTGATCACAAAATGGTTTTCTCTGAAATCAGTTATTAAAAATAAACTGTTGCCATCACAAACTTTCTCATTTTAAGTGGAACTGACACTATGACCAAATAATTGGTCTTAATTGCAGGCTTGGTGTCAGATTTAATAAAACACTCAAACTGCAAATCCGTTAAAGATACCGCTAGTTCCTCTCTTTCACAAGATAGAACTTTCATATCCTTTAGTACCTGATAACTGTTGCTTGTATTTTTCTTTAATATGATATTTCCTGCTTTTTAATAAAAGAGCTGTCATTTCTAATAAAAATTGAAAAAATCATCCAGGGAAATAACACAATCATCGGTATAATAAGCTGAAACATACCGCATAAACATTCATCTTCAAAAACTTCAAATAGAAGCTTGACCCTAAGCTGGACATTGTGCTGGGTTTGTAACTTACCATGGAAAGTGGGAAAAAGAGTTGGAAAGAGTCCTCATCTCTGAGGTTCCTGAGGACCCCTTGTCTTCAGAAGGCCTCCCCCTTAACACGAATAGTGAATTTTTAAAATCTTAGCTGACTAGAAGCTAAGCACCCTTTCTATTTTTGAAGAAATGGAAATGGGCTCCTTCTTTTGTGATCATAGGGTAGAGTGAATTTGCAATATTCTACACCTCCCTCATTAGAATTATATACATCCAGGCCCTTTGTCTTGTGACTTTGCAGTGCCTCCCATTACAGTGAGGAGAGTGTATTTCTCTACTCTACTGATGTTGGGATTGGGCTCATGACTTGCTTTGGCCCATGGAATACAGGTGGAAGTGGTAGTATGCCAGTTTGGGGCCAGGGCCTCAAGAAGCATCATCATGTGTTTCAGCTTGTGCTCTTGCACTAATGACATTGTACACGAGAAAAACATGCCCCTTATAGTCTCTGGCCCAAGGAGGATGAGAGACACGTGGAGCACACTTGATCCAGACCTGTAGTCTGAAGCAGAGCTACCATAGCTCACCTGTAGTGAGACAGAAGAATAAATGCTTGTTGTTAAAAGCCCTTGAGTTTTGGGGTGGTTTGATATGCTGCATTATTGTGGCAATAGCTGACTGTTACAGATATCTAGCAAGACATAAGGTGGGCCTATGACCTAATTGTGGCCAATCAACTATTTCTGATTGAATCCTTAGAACTTGAAGGAGAGGGGGCCAGAGAGCCATTATTCCTAGTGGCTGTGACCAAGTTAGAGTCAAGGAGCATGGTACTGTTTAGGGGTAGCAAAGCCCTGCAGAGACATGGTTGATGGCTAGAGTCAACAGTGCTAGTGCTGGATCCTGAGCAGATTGTTCTTAGGGTAGGGTCTTCATTATGTTTCACTGCACTTAGTGTCCACTCACACCTTGTTTGCCGGGCTTTCTGTGATTCTTTGAGTTGCTCAATATCCTTTGGGTAAATTCCTTTTCTTCTTATGTTTACCAGTGATACCTTTCTTATTTGCAACCAAGAACCCTGACTAGTACACCATGAATTGGGAAGCAACTTGGTTCTCTCATGATTATATCCCCTTTGCATAGCCACATAATACATGTAACACAGTCTTAGATTATCTCATGTAATCTTTCTAACACACCTATCCCTGGTAAAGCAGGGTGGTTCAGAGCTGGCATCTCACACTACAGGACTTGCTGTCTCTGCAAATTATCATCTTGTTGGGCAAATCACTTAACCTCCCTGTGCCTTAGTTTCCTCTTATCAAATTAGGGATAAAACAATACATACTATAAACAGTTTGTGTGCAGCTGAAAGGCATTTAAAATAATACCCATTCCATAAGTTCTCAATAAGTATTAACTGTATTAGCAGTAGAGATGATGATGATGAGATGATGAGATAATGAAGGTGATGATGATGACAATTGCTGTCATCTGTGATAGCAATGATTTGTGATGCTTGTTCTAACTCACACAGATGTAAGTGGTCTAGAGCTGGGATCTACCGTCTTCTCCCAGCTTTCCACCATTTCAAAGCTTTTTATGCATTAATGTAATATAGTGGTTCTGAATCTTTTGTCCTGCCTAGCTCACGTGTCTACAGCACTCTCATGGCCATGCCCAGATTTTGAAAATGCTCTTTTTATGCCATGTGATAGGCGTTCAAACTAATGTTCCTTTTGGTAAGCGTAAAAAGCTCAAACCTCACCTCTTTTCCTAACATTGTATTCAGATTCCTCTATTCCCCACCCCCATGTTCTCATCTGAGAATTCATGCTGAGCACTTTACTGCTTCTGAGGGAATTTGTATTTTGTGTGTTACACTTCTTAGGGGTTGGGGTGGGGAGAAGACTGAGAATGATTATTAGATAATCTAGTTGGAACTACAGGGTAGTGTTTTAACGATGGTAGTAGAAGTGTGTCCTGAGAGAGGACATTGGAAGATGTGCTTGGAACCAGGGGGCAGCAGAGGGAAGCTCTGGGTGAGGCACCAGCATTTCAGGATGAAGGAGTCCAGAGAAATCCTCACTGCTCCAACATTTTACCTAAGATCTGCCCTGGCAACTGTTTGAGAATGCTGCTGGCACCAAGAAGATTATCGTATGTTTGAGTCTCAGCCCTAAACTCAGGTGTGTGGAATGTCAGTTACTCTATAACCTATAATCTAGAGCCGCTTTTCCTCTGATGGTTTTTTAGTATTTGGCTGTTCTGAAGATTCCTCCTCTAACCCTGCCCCCTTTGGCTTCTGCCTCATGGGCCTGGGTCAAGATTCCAGGTATTATTACTATGTCTTTGTCCTGATGGTCCTTTTGGGTGCTGGACTCTGTTACTTCCTGAATATGCTGGGGCTCTGGAAATCTTTGCTGAGTTCTGGGCCCTATGCCTCGGGTGCCACACTCCCTGCAGCATTTCTCTCAGTGTCTTGCTTCTTTCTTGGCTCCAGTGCCAAAAAGTGGTATCTAGATCCCTGTTGATTGGGAACACAGCCCTCTCTTTCCACTCCTATTGCATCTCAGAGTCCTTTTCTAGTCGGGGGAAGGGGAGGGTATTCTTGCATGTTTCTGCTGTCTTTTGTCTCCGCTGCCCCTCTCTAAGACTCCTTCTCTGCTCCTCTACTTTTCTTCCTGCTTCCTCTGGAAACCCATGGAGTTCTCCAGGGCTAGTTTTATGTTTTTGAATAACATACCTTTTCTGGGGCCATGAGCAGGGAGCTCTACTACTGCTTGAATAAAGGGCAGAGTAAATATGGGGAATTCTTTATACCCATTGGTTAGTTATTTCTAGCCACATGAGTGAAACTAAACATGACCCTCTGCAGATTAGTGGAAATCAGCTGTTATCACCACCAGTCAGTTCCCAGACAAGTCAATTTGCTCTTCTGTGCCTCAGTTTCCTCATTTGCAGATAGTATTTCTGCCACTCTTTAAGCTTAAGGCATTGTTATGAGGATGAATAGATTAAGAGATATAAAAATTCTTTGAGAAAGATTAAAAAACTCCTACTACAGATATCTGGAATTAGTAAATGACAGCCTCAGGACTCAGATGAATGCTGGAATATTTTGTGTTGACTGTGGTATTTCAATTTTGAATTTGTGGAAAAATATAATCACTGAGGAGATGGCAAGGGAAGTGAAGAATGAAAACGAAACCTCATATAAAAAGATAATAATGATGGTTCTTATCTCGACATCACCTCCAAACAGCCCGTTTTCCTCCCATCAAACAATTGATGGGCAATAAGATTGTGCTTATTTGCAGTTAAAGTGATGGCGATGTTGACAATTAAGTGTACATGCGGAACCAAATAATGGAGCAGTCCCATTTTATCACCAGTGCTAGCCATTTTCTCCACAGGGCACAAAGAGCATGTGGGACAGCCCTGTGCTCTGTATGATCTGCATGTGAAACGCGTCCTCTCTCCAGCAGGGACGTGACTTGGTGGGGTCAGGAGTTTGCATTGAGACACAGTGGGTCTGCTGGACACTGAAGAGTCCCTCATGGTTAACTGCTCTGCACTTGGCCTCATTCCTTTCCTCTTCATTTCTTGGATTTGCTGAAGAAGTGTCTGACAGGCAAGAGTCCTTTCCTGCAGCTGTTATCCTCAGACTGAGGAAGTTTTTCACATTCACAACCACTTGGTTCAGGGATTTTTCAACCAACGACCTCGAGACTGCAGCCCTTCAGTTTACGGACTAATAATGGCCACAAATGCAGCAACAATAGGGTAGAGAAAGCACTGCAGATGCTAATGATGCCCCGTCCCTATCCCCTCAGTTTAACTGGGCTCATTGATAGCTGTGAGAGACAGCTGCCAGCATGCTGACAGCTTTCTACCTATACGCACCTGTTTCTCCTTTGATCTGCCTTAAAGGGTGCTTTGGCACTGCTCACACTTGTTTTGCCACTGCAGGCCAACCTGGGAATGCATGTGTTTGAGTTAATATTCTCAAACAGCGGATAATCTCAGTAGGGGGTGGGTCAGTGGCTAAGTGCCCAGCCTCCAATCTTTTAGTGAAGCAGTTCTCAAAAGTGTGGCCCCTCGACAACAGTATCAGCCTCACCTGGAAACTTGTTAGAAATGCATGTCTCCCCCACCCCCACCTCTTGACAGGGAAACCCTAATGATGGGGCTCAGCAATCTGTGTTTTCACAAGCCCTTCGGGTGATTCTGCTGCACACTCAAGTTTTCCAGCTACTGCTCTAGGGGGATGATTCTGAGCTGGCTTCTGCACATTTTCTCATGGTCTCTGGGGGTTTGAGCCTCAGTTGCTCATAGTGGTTACTGGGCCACTAGCATACCTTCTATTTACTTTTCTCCCTTCTCTGTCTCACTTTCCCCACTTCCTCAGTGGTACTTCTAAGGACCATGTCCCAAATAAACTACTGCATCCAAACCCTTTCCTCAGGGTCTGCTTTAGGGACATTACAAGCTCAGATAGAAAACCACAATCTGGAAGGTCTACCATGTGTAGGTGCTTAACACAAATAATCTCATTTAATCCTCACGGATGAGGAAACTAAGCTCCAGTAAGATTAGTTAGGCTGTCCAAGGTCACCACTTTTAAATTTAGAGTCAACTTTTAAATCCGTGTTATACTGACTGTAAAGTCCCCACGCATTGACAGCTGCAAAGACAAACAACTCATAAATATATACTGGTCAGGAGCATGAGTTTTGGAGTCAAATTTGTGTGTATGTGAAAATCAGTTCTACCACTTCCAAATTATGTAACCTTGGGCAATTTTCTTTACCACTCTGAACTTTAGTTTTTTTTTCTGTGCAATAATAGTCATGGCCACCTCACAGTAGCACCAGCACTCACCATGGTATTCATAGCATAGCATCATGTCCATGGGACATAGCTAAATGCCCTTTCATTTGATCTAAACATCAACACCTAGAGATAGGTGTCATTTTCACCCTTGTTTTAAAGAGAAGGAAAAGGAGTAGCCCACATTGCTCTCCCAACTCTCTCCTGGCAGGTTCCTGAAGACCTTCAGATGATTCTTGCTTAGTACAAATGTTAATGTATAGTCATACTTTTAGATTTCATCAGGAATATTCTGGTGAGATGAGTGTTGTTTTCTTGCTAAAAGGAGAAAAGTGGGTACTTAGGAGCATCGTGTGATCTTAGCAGGCAGCTAGGCAGGAGCATCAGGACTGCCCTCGACAGGTGACTCAGCACTGCTGTTTACACCAGTAGACTCCTGAGCCCCGGCCACAGAGACAGGAGCTTGGAGCCGGAAGGGATCTTCATAATCATATATTGTAATTGCCCAGTATTATGGATGAGAAGGAAGATGCAGAGGAGTTAAGGACCCTATCCAATGGGACTCTGAGCAAACTGCAGCATCACAAAGGGGAAGGCAGACCCAGGTAGGCATCTGGGCTCTATTTCTTGGCCTGTGCCTAGGGGATGTGACGTGCTTCTGCTGTGTTAGTAAGTTATTAAAATCCCAACACAACACACAGCATACCATCAATGTGGCAAAACTACTTTCATTACCTTCATTCTCACTTCTAAATCCCAATAAACAACTCTTAGAATTCAAGATTGCCAAAGGCCCCACCAGTCTGAGCCTCAGTGTCCCTGGTATAAACAAAACATCCCAGTAGCAATTCCTTTCCTAGGTCCCCTGAAGTTCTTTGTCTGAAGAGCCAATGAAACTTGTGTTTTCTGGCTACTTTTTCACAGCCACTCAGACCCTGGCTAAATTCTCCAGAATTGCCCCAAATTGGAGAGAAGAAAGTTGCCTAAAGCCCAGCAGGGTCCTGTCTCTCAATTTTATGGCCCAAGACTTTTAAGAGAGTATCCAATGTCCATCTCTGTCTGAT
This sequence comes from Homo sapiens, assembly GCF_000001405.40. Classification (NCBI taxonomy): domain Eukaryota; kingdom Metazoa; phylum Chordata; class Mammalia; order Primates; family Hominidae; genus Homo; species Homo sapiens. The sequence goes on from NC_000015.10 coordinate 45,784,429, forward strand.
TGGGTGTCTGGTTCCCAGAACTGCCACATTGCACATTGATGGGTGACTCTGGAGATGTACTGGCAGCGGTCATGCTGGTTCTCAGTGTAGGAGACAGAAAGACTTTCTCTCGACCCTCTGAAGGTTTGGAAATTGAGTCTATGAAAACTGACAGCTAGACTGATTAACAGGAGAAAAGTCATACAAATTTATTACATGCATGGACTCATTACAGGAAAGAAAAGTGACTCCTCAATAACCCAATGAAATTTAGAAGCTTGTGTACCCTTTTTATAGGGAAGAGGGGAGCAGGAATGTAAGCAACTTACGGGAGAGTAAATAATTTTGGGGAGAAAATACATGGGCCCAAAGAACAGGTGATAGCCTGTGAAAAAGTCCACCTGGGTGTGCTGTTAGCCTCCAGTCATCTTTCCTGTGATATGAGTCAGTCTCCCCTGGATGATGACATTTTTGTGGAAGGGATCCAGGACCACTGAATTCTTTCTGAAAAATTCAGTCTCAAGGAAGATAGGGAAGTTCAGAGAAAGCCTCCTCCTATATTTGCTGTTCCTAAAGTGCCCTCGCTTTGAGGTAATTAGCATAGTAAAGCAGCACATTTTGGGGTACATTATCTGAGCCCCAGCAATGACAAAGACTGAGCACGTATCCCTCCTCTTTGAGGCAGGCAGGATCACAGGAAGAGAGGTACCAGCTGCTACAGAAAACAACAGAGCCCCAACCCACCCTTGCCCATGCAAAGTCCTGCTGCTCATGCTTAATCCAACCCAGTTACCATCCTCACTCCCTTTTGGGCCTTGAGCAATAAGAAAGCTTCCCAAATGTTCCCAGGGCCAGGTTTACTTCTGTTGGGGTGTCAAAGCGTAATTAATTTGTTCTAGAGTAGTGTATAAGTTGGGACTATAGTGCTGGAATTATTAATTTAGTTATATGTTATATAACATTACAAATTATACTGAAAATGTACAGACTGTTAAAACATTTTATCTATTTTTTTTTTTGAGGTGGAGTTTTGCTCTTATTGCCCAGGCTGGAGTGCAATAGGGAAATCTTGGCTCACTGCAACCTCCGCCTCCTGGGTTCAAGCGATTCTCCTGCCTCAGCCTCCCGAGTAGCTGGTATTACAGGCACCCGCCACCATACCCAGCTAATTTTTTGTATTTTTAGTAGAGGTGGGGTTTCACCATATAGGCCAGGCTGGTCTTGAACTCCTGACCTCAGGTTATCTGCCCGCCTCGGCCTCCCATGTTGTGAGCCACCGTGCCCGGCCCCATTTTATCTATATTTAAACAAAGCCAATGCCATTTGAATATATCCTACCAACAGAGAATAAAAATCATATTTCTATATAGGAATAAATATACATCAAATATTATATATACCATCAGAAATCCTATCAGAGAGAGAACTAAGGAGCTTCAAGGATGCATTTTAAGATAGCCAGTAAAGAGGTGGGGCGGATCACAGCATAAAATATTATTGAATACAAAGGAAATAAGAGCCATTTATGGCTTCACCATTTATAAATTTGACCAACCCTTTTTGAATCCATTTCTATTTCCTGCCTGCACCTTCTCCTGTGGGTAATGAATTCTACAAATTTATTACCTGCTGTGAGAAATAATACTCCCATCAGGTGCACTGGAAAACCAGCTTTTCCAGCCGGGGAAGGTGACTGAACTTGCTGCCACTTATTTCCGCTTATTAAGTGTGGCAGGGCCATTTGTGAGGTGGAGGAATTTTTTGACAAATTGTGTCATTGTGATGCATCATTTTCATAAATTATGTTATTATGCAGATTTAGGAAGCATGAGCAATTGGTATAATTTTATCTTATGAACATTGAATTGTATTTCCACCTTTGAAATGACTGCTAGAGAGTGTAGAGCAAAATTGATGGCACCCGTAGCTTGTGAGTAAGACTTCACAGTGTGCACTTTTGTGTTAGTCTCACTTCTGACCTTTGTGTTTTTCTTTGGTTTTTCTTTTCTCATCTACTTTGAATTTATATTATCTTGCTATATTGTATAAATATTTCTGAGATGCGATAAACCCTTTTGAACATGAGAAGAGAAATTAACAAAGGTGAAACAGAGAGATGCAGACAGACACACAGAGATGGAGGGAGACAGAAATATGGAGAAGAGACTAGTAACAGAGGGAAGGAGAGAGAGAGACAGGGATGGAGAGGAATCCAGGAGAGGAGATGGGAACAACACAGTGATTTCCTTGTGGGGCTTATGGAATTCCTATTGTTATTAACTTCATAAGCCTCATAAATATAACATTCTTGTTGATTATTCCAAAGTTTTGAGTTTCAGTATATTGATCTCTGAATAATGCCCAGCAAGCCATAAAATACATTAATTACTCAGCCAAACAAGAAAGCCCATCAATAGTCCTGTACAAGCAGAATACGTGCCCCATATTCTACTGTATTAAAAAAAATTAAGTCAGACTAACTTAGGTCCTAATTTTGTTTTTTAAATGTAGCTCTGGCAAATGACATCCTGCTTGAGGCTAACCTTCACAAAAAACAGTTCTGGTAATAAAAGGATCATGGACAGATAAGACGCTGGGCAGGAGAGCTTTTTTGATGACTTTTTTTTTTTTTTTTTTTTTAACCATTTCACTCTCCTTTCCCCCTCCTCTTGTTGCTTATTAAATTTTTTTTCTGGGCTGGGTGCGGTGGCTCATGCCTGTAATCCCAGCACTTTGGGAGGCCGAGGCGGGCGGATCACGAGGTCAGGAGATGGAGACCATCCCGGCTAACACGGTGAAACCCCGTCTCTACTAAAAATACAAAAAATTAGCCGGGAGTGGTGGTGGGCGCCTGTAGTCCCGGCTACTCGGGAGGCTGAGGCAGGAGAATGGCGTGAACCCAGGAGGCGGAGCTTGCAGTGAGCCGAGATTGCGCCACTGCACTCCAGCCTGGGCGACAGAGTGAGACTCCGTCTCAAAAAAAAAAAAAAACAAAAAAAAATTTCTGGTCCCTTTCTTGCACAGGTTCCCACTGCAGGACTCAGACTCCTTTCTTTCCTTTAAGACTCCAACGCAGGCCACCTCCCCTTGAGTACCCCAAGAAGCTCAATTCTATTCACTTTTTATGCAGAGCAAGTTGGCTTTCTGCACCGTACTAGACCCTAGTCCTTTTTGCCCACGTATTCAAAGATTCATCAGTGTGCTACAAAGCTCATCTTAATGGTTATGATTCTTGGTTGTAAATAATAGAAGATGATTCTGGCTAATCTAAGCAGAAAAAAACTTACTGAAAGGCCATAGTAACTCTCAGAATCAAAGGAGAGGCTGTTGAACTGTGCTCAGAAAGTAAGCAGGAGCTAAGGGAAGTCAGCAGCCAAGAACACAAGAATGGTCCAGTTGGGATGTTCCTGTGGGCACCGCTGGAGATGGACACTTGCTGCTGGTGGCACTGCTGTCACCATATACATCGTGACAGCCACCGCATCTTTGATTTCATTACTGCAAATTGTCTGTCTGAATCTCAAAGGAATGATGCAAAAACCAAACTGGACTGGCCTAGCCTGGGTCCTGTGACTCTTCTGCAGCAGGTAGAGAGTGGGGACAGGGGACAATTTCTCTTCCACCACTGCATGTCCTGCCTCCTACGAAGAACCATACCATGGGGAGGGATTTCCCCCAATCTAGAAGGAGATATGAATGCTGGGGAGACAAAAAGAGGGGAGAATGCTCTGTGGAGGCTTCTGCTTTGGGCCTTACTGTTTAGCATCACATGCGGTCCTGCAGGGTTTGGAAATTACTCTGAAGGAGGTCAGAAGTCATTGGAAGGTTTAGAGGAGATGAGGGCATAATCCAACTTATGTTTAATAGAATTACCTGCATTCTGTGTTAAGAAGAGATTTGCAGGGACACGGGCAAAAGCAGGAGGCCAGCTGGGCCTTTCTTCAAAACTTTTGGGGGAAGAGTACATTCTGTTGGGATTTCAAATATATATAATATATATAAGAAATATATACGTACATATATATAAAAGAAATATATGCGTGTGTGTGTGTGTGTGTGTGTGTATGTATATATATGTATGTGTGTAGGTATGTATATATTTAAATAGAGACAGGGTCCTGCCATGTTGCCCAGGCTGGTGTCAAACTCCTGAGCTCAAGGGATCCACCCACCTCGGCCTCGCAAAGTGTTGGGATTATAGTTGTGAGCCACTGTGCCTGGCCTCTGTTGGGATTTCTAATGGTGCCACATCCCTCTGCACTCTTACTCTTCTCTCTAACCTGATATTTTTCTTGGCCTATGGAAATGATGTGCCACATTTAAAAATAACCATTCTGAATCTGCTTTCATTTGGATTTTGTGATTTCCCCGAAGGATTTGGCCATTTTCCAGTCTGGCCCTAGGAGTCAGTGTTTTAGATAATCAGATAGGCTCACCATCTTGGATACTGAACAAATGGGTAAAATAGATCCTTGGACACCAACTCAGCCAGCCCAGAAAGAGATCATCCTCTACACATAAACATGAAGGACGACCATTTTGGAGACATGCAGCTTTCACCCCAACTTTCATGCTTATAAGCTCAGTATATGGAATTCCTAGCTCAGCAGTGGAGTTGAGGGCCGCCTCTTTCAGACATTTTTAATCAGCCAAATTACTTGTGAATTATTGTTTGATTACCATTTTACTCAAAGTGTTTTATTTAATGCTTTTAACCTTGAGTCCCTTGGCTGGCTTCCCATCTGCTAGTTTTCTTCCATGCATTGACCAATTAAGAATTAACCTGACTTCTCACAAAATCTATCCTACCTCCCAAGCTTGGCTCTGCTTATTCTCTTCACTGTATCATGCTTTCCATTTTCTGAATGTGCTTGTTCTCTGGATGGTTAGAATTTCACATTAGTTTAGTGTTTTATGTTCCCTAAGTTTTTATATGCAACAAATGTTAATTCCCTTGAGCTTTTGTCTTGAAAGCCATCCTGAGAGAAGTGGCCTTTAAGTTTGGGTGGCTTCTTTTATTTTCCTTTATTTCCCTCTGACTATAGCTCTCTTCCACTTTCTTTAAGACATGAGTTACTTTCTTAGTTGGCACAATTCTACATGTACTTTAATTTTAGTTGGGATGAAATAAATGGATTTTGGGAGTGGATAGAGGAAGAAGTTTATTAGTTGTTTGATAAATATACGTTGACATGATTTTTTTTTTTTTTTTGTACTTGAAGTGTTTTGGTAATACTTTTCTTAGATGGAACCTACTTTTTCATGACGAGAGATTATGAGAGAGAAAACTTCATTGGTTGAGAGCAGAGAAAAGACGATACCAAAACATGCCTTTAAAATCTATTCTGTGTGTGGACCTGTGCCAGGAAATAGTGTAATACAAGACTATAAGCAGGCCACATTTTGCCAAAGTAAGTTTTTAAAAATTCTCGTGAAGAAAATTTTATTTCCCTTTGGGGCTACATTCTTGACTAAGAGTGTGACATTAAAAAATCATGTATATAATCATCAATATTTATAAAAGAAAATTATTATAAAATTAATTATGTAAAATAAAAATTTTCCAATTTCTATATAATATTTTAATATAGTATATATATTTAGTACAAAAAGGCTTATATAATACAAGACATTTATAACCTGTAAAATATAAATCTATTGCTTTATAAATAACCCAAAGTATATAACTTAATTCTTGCATGATTATTGAAGCTAATGCCTATTTTGTTTGCTTTCTTATTATTTAGAATATTTGTAAAAATAATTTTAATGACTCAAAAACAAGAGCTGAGATATGTATCAGGAGAAAAGAAGATATTTGTGCTTCCATCCTGGAACAAAGTCATTTCTACCAAATCCAGAGCTAGACTACATTGCAGACACTGAGTAAATCATTGCTTTGTGTTGTAGACAATAGTGATGGTCTGTCTTTCACGGAACACCATGTTTACAAACAAAAACATCTCTCTCTTTCAGGTTATAGTAAGACAGGTTAATTCACATTCTCTTAACTTTTAATGCTCCAGCCAGCTCTGCCTTATTGCAAAGACCACTGCATCTTCTCTGTAGAGAACACTAGACCTAGACCATTTATTTATTATATCTCCACCACCACCCCCTAGTGGCAGTCACCCTCATCTCTATCCTGGATGACTGCGATAGTCTCCTAATTTTCTTCTTGTTTCTACTCTTGTTTACCTTCAATCTATTAGCATAATCTTAAAACATGTAGATTAGATGTCACTCTCAGGTTTAAAATTTTCCAATGGCTTTTCGCTGAACATAGAATGAACTCCAAACTTTCTCTTGCAGTCATCAACCCTGCACAATCTGGTCTTCCTTTTTTCCTGTGCCATCTGCCCCTTGTTCAGTCTGCTCAGCTCTCTGACCCTTTCTTACTGTTAGGGCTCACCAAGCTCTCTTTTTTGTCTTGGGAACTCTGCACTTGCTGCTCCTTCTGACCCTCTGCAAGGAATTTTCTTCTCCCAGCTATTGCTGTGGCTGGCTCCTTCTCGAACTTAAGGTCTCAACTTAAATTACCTCCTTGGAGAGTCTTCTCTGGCTCTGCCTAAAACGACCTGCTCTCACCATTCCTGTTATTCTCTGTGACACATATTATAATCAGTAATTATTTTTCCTATTTGTCTATTTTGTTTTTTATCTACCATTAGGCTATAATAATACCAGCTAACTTTTATAGAGTACTTGCTATGTGCCAGGCAATGGTGTTTAACATGATTTAACTTGTTCGTCCTAACAACACTATAAATTAGGTATTCTATTATCACCATTTTACAGATGGGAAAACCGAGGCATAGAGAGGTAAAGTATCTTGCTCAAGGTCACACAGCTAGAAAGTGACAAAGCCAGGGGTAAACCCAAGTGGCCTGGCTCCAGCACTCGGTCTCTCACCTTTATGCTCTGTGGCCTCCATGATGGCATGTCTGCCTTGCTTACTATTATGTGCCCTGTGCCAGCACAGTGTGTGAGGCAGGGTGTGGCAGGGACAGTTTTCCGGCTTAATATAGGTGAAAATCAGCCGTATCCAATGAACCCCTGGGCAGGGAGTGGTGGGGCACTGAACACTAATGCAGAAGGAGAGAGGATCCAGGCAGATCAGCTTCCTCTGTCAAGAATACCATCGTTGTTGGAAAGGAAAAGTGGCTGAGTCAGCTCTGTGTCCATCACTCAGATTTATCTGACATCAACCTCCACTGAACTTATCTGGGGCCCCATGCAGAGCAGGGGTGTGCAAATTAGTGGTGAAAGAGATGTTTTATCCAAAGGTGTGTAAAAAATCAAGGCACAAGCTGCATTGTTTTGGGCCATCTCTGACAGAGGAGATAAGCTTTCTTCTCTGCTCACTTACTCTTCTCTTTTGCTGAAGACCACCATCATGAAGGCTTCGCAGCATCGGTGCAGGTGCCAGGAAGGGGCATCAGTGACCAGTGGAGACTGTGCTGAGGTCAAGTGGAGTGGGAAGCTCCTGCAGTCTGAAGGAATCATGTGTAAGCAATTTCCTGAGCACAGCCTTCTCTCTCTCTCTCTCTCTCTCTCTCTCTCTCTCTCTCTCTCTCTCTGTGTGTGTGTATTTGCAGAGTCTGAGATCTAACATGAAAGGACTGGGGGCCAGAGTGGGCTTTGAGTTAATATTGTGACTATGACTTCATTGGTGTCCATAGCTGATGAAGCCTGGGGAAGCTTTTTACTGTAAATCTTCCATTCTACAAGCATTTATTCAACACACACTTACTGGATATCTACTATGTTCCTGGCACTGAGATAGGACTGGAGATACTGAGTAGCAATGATTCCTGGCTTCAAGCAGGTTACAATGTAGAGGATACGAAACATAAGAAAGTGTGATAAGTGCCAGGGTAGAGAGAAGTATCAACATTCCAAAGAATGCTTTGGAATTCCCAAGAACGCAGCACGTAATTCAGAGTGGGGATGTGAGGGGAAAGGCAGAGGAAATATTCTAGGGACACAACAGTTGATCTGAGTCTGGGAGTGTGAACAAATCTGGATAGACAATAAGAGGGTAAAGAGGCTTTGAGTAGAGGTACCAGTGTGTACCGAGTTATGAAAGAGTGAGGGAGCATGGGAAACCACAGGCACTGAATATAGGTAGGAGAGTGGGGTGTTGAGATGTGATCCTAGATAGGTAGCTGGGAGCTGGATCATTGGCATTTTTATGGGTTTGGATCTTATCTGAGGCCAGTAGAGATCCACAGAATTTTTTAAGACCGAGAGGTGCTATTATTAGATTTATTTTAGAAAGGCCAGTGTGGAGAATTGTTTGGCCGAGACTAAGACTGAAAGGAGAGGCCAATTAAGAGACTTTGCAGTAATGCCGGTGAAAAAGGGTGGAGGCTTAACTGAGGTGGGACAGTGGACTGGAGAGGAGGGGAGTGATTCTAGGGAATTTAGGAGGTAGAATCCACAGGACTTGGTGACTATTTGGATGTAGGTGTGGGTGAAAAGAGATTTTAAGATTGTTACTACATTTCTCATTTGGTTGACTTGGTGCATGGGTGGTACCACTTACTTAAAAAGGAAAGACAGAAGAATAATATGACTGTGTGTGTGTGTGTGTGTGTGTGTGGCACAATAATTTAAGTTTTGAACATGCTGAGTTTAGATGCCTGTGGATCATTTCAATGGAGAGTTCCTATGGGGAGGACTATTAAACTGGCACATAGTAAGAACTTATTATGTTTGTGGAATGAAAATAATAGAGTTCTGGGATGCAGGTATAGACTGTAAGTCATCACTGCACCATGTTACATTTATGATCATATAGATGGTAATTGCTCTTATGAGAGTTGCTGAAGTCCCCAGCAAGAGTACATAGCCAAGAGATGAAGATTAAAGGCATGGAGTCAGAGGTAGGAGAAACTTCAGGAGAGGGAAAGGACTTGGAAGCCAGTGTGGGAGAAGATGTCTGAGGAAGCACTGCTGGTGGAGAAAAGTCAATTGAAGGAAAAATTGGAAAGTGCCCACTTGGTTTACCAATTAGGAGGAGATTGGCCAGAGAGGTTTTGTTTCTATGCTAACACTCATGGCGCTTTCACCATAAACCAGGCAGGTGTGATGCACCACACATACAATGGCACAAATACACCTCAGTTAGGTTTAAGTGCAGTGGTGGAAGCTGAATCAGGATGGCATTGAGTTGCTGAAAGAGCAGTTGGTGAGGAAATGGAGACACAAATAGACCTCATACTCTGTTGGGTATTTTGTCTGTGTGGGGAGGAAAGAGATTTGGTGAAAATCAGAGGAGATGTTGTCTTGAGGAAGTTTTTTTCCCTTCCCTTCCCTCCCCTCCCCTCCCTCCTTCCCTCCTTCTGTCCTTCCTCTCTTTTTCTTTTTTTCCCTTTCACATTTGAGAACTGTGAGACTCCTGAATGAAAAAATTCTAGAGATGGAGAAGCATGAGAGATGATGATGATGGAGTCAAGTCTCTAAGGCTGGAAGCTCAGGTGAAAGGATTAGTCCTGGATAAAAGGAGGAACATGTCACAGGGACAGTGATGTGTTTAGGAGTGGGGGCAAAGAGATGGAGATGGGGGAGGAGGAAATGAAAGGAGCTCAGTTCTCAAGTCCTCATTTTCCCCTCTGTGCAGAAGGAGGGAGGGGGTGAGACAAGAAACTTAGAAAGGCAGATAAAGTTTAAGAAATTGCTGATGTGAGGAATGAGAAAGGGACATCCAGAAGGACTGCCGAGCACCACAGAAAGTTGAAGGCTTTTGAGTTTTTGTTTCCCCACCCCCAAAAGTGTATACGTGATTCTGTCTAACTGTTCCCATGTGGAAATGGACAAGTGGCCAGGAGCACCAGGTCAAGCTGCAGATTCATTGGGTGTGTGATAGACTCTTCAAAGTCTACTCCTAGGTAAAACACCCAAAGATGAGTCAAGAAAAGTAGCAAGGCATCATGCCAATTCACAGTCTAAGACTTTGCTCACATAATACAGTGTATTTCACTCTTTGTTGGAGATCCATAAAACCCAGCTACTAGGTCATTGCACTCAAACAGCCAGATGGTAGAATTTAGCATAGATGGTTTGAAAAACCAACAAATGAATGGGTGAAAGTGTGAGTGTGAGGTGACTCTTAACTGGGCAGGAAGAATGAAAGACCAAGTGGTGAAAGGTGTGAAATGTGGCATTAATAATTACTTAATATAGATATTAACTTTCTTTGTGGAGGCACTGAGGCTTTTTTCCCCAACCCCCAAGATTCTAGTTTTATAATAAAGAGAATCCAGCAAGAGGAATAATACAGTTAGGCAATTCTGTAGACCCAAAGATGTAGCTGTTGAGCAAGAAACTTCTCAAGCCTTCAGAGTGATGGGGTAGGAATTCAAGAAGGAGTGAGAAAGGCCAGGGGACTCTGGTTTTGATGCTGCTCTGAGCCAGGTTTTCTGTTTATTACACGGTTTAATGTAAGTGTAAGTGAGCTGCCATAGAATTTTAGAGCTGGAAGAGGTACATGTGCATTTGCATGCCAAGCAGGGTTTGAGCCAAAGTCCAAAGACAGCTGTATTTGCATTTCATCTCATACGGGGCCGACAGCTGGTCTCTTGTGAAGCTATCTGTCAATTATTAGTGGAATCTTCTGTGATCCTGCCTGACCCACCAAGTCCCATGGCTTGCCTGCTCTCTGAACTTATGCCTATTATTCTGTCCTGCTTCAGATGTAGAAAAGTCTACTTTTTGCAGAATTTAAGATGAACATATGTGTAGCTGCAATGCCTCCTCTTGTCTCCCTCACCTGAATGTGAGTTGCTATCTCAGATAAAGGACGAAAGTAGGACTTGGGTATAATAATCTCTCCAATGGTATGGGTAGGGGCGTGAGGAAGTAGCAGCTGCTGTTAAGGACCCAAGGGCTCATAACTGTCTCTACTGGCTTTTATATCCTCCTGCACTCCTCATCAGAGAATTGGGCTGATGATGTCATTTCTCATATAAATGCCAAGAAATTGACACTTGCATTTGAGTGCCTCGTAAAATGGCTTCCATCAATTATCCCTGCTTAATAGCATTACAATGTTAATAACAAATAATTCTCACTAAAGACTTGGGATTTTTAATACAGTTAAGTGTTGGCCTGTGGCCATGGTTCCCTTCCCTCCAACCTCCAACCCAAATCTTGTTAATTCTCACAAGCTAGTCTGAGCTAGAACAATGAAGTGAAAGGCTTGTGGGGAAAGCACAGTGAACTAGTATTTGAGTGGTGTTGCAGTAGATGGCGCTATTTCCTCTGAATCCAAGCCCGTTTATTGTGCTGTAATCAAGAATGTGTCACATTCCAGGTAGCAACAGAAGCAAGAGATGAAATGAGGACCTGCCTTCTAATCCATCAAAAGCCAGATTTCACCTCAAGTTCCATCATATGGATATTTGAGTTTCGGGCAATGATTAGCTGTGTGTGTAGATTTAAAAAATCTAGCAAGCATTTATGAACATAATGTCCATCTTCAATTTTGGCCAAGGTAAAAGTTCAGCTCCTCATTTCTTGAAGGATTCTAGACAGTCAGAGATGTAATTTTATTGTTGTTTTTTAAATACAAAACTTATTTTTTTGTTTTTATTTTTTTAAAATCAGTTTCCTCAGGTTGAATCATGAGGATAAAATTTATTTTTACATGTCTGAAACCTAAGCTACGATCTAGGCTGCATAGGACTTCTTGTTGCCTTTCACAGGCCTGGATGCCAACTTCACAAACTCAGCCATGCACTTTTTAGAGATTGTATTTTACTGAGCTTAAGCAAGGATACATATAACCCTGTTTATAAGATAATTCACTACTTACAAACTGTTGCCTAATACTTGATTTGAATCCTCCCCTCTTTTTTCCCCACAGCTACATCACTGATTTAGTCTTTAGCTCTGACAGGGAGTCTGAGTTAGGGATGATGTCAGTCTAGTAGCAAATGAATCGGTTAGGAATCCACAATTTTGACAGATTCAGTATTATTAAAAGATCTATCTTTTGTGCCATTATACTCCATGTTCACTATAAAAGAATTAGAAAATATAGTAAGCAAAAGGAAAATAAACCCAAAGATCAAAATGGTTGCACTTTGGTATACTTATTTTTAGTCTCTCCTCTCTCTCTCTCTTGCTCTCTTTCCCCTCCCTGTTTCTCTCTTTCCTCTCCCTTCTCCTATCCACTTATATAACACGTGTGTGTGTGTGCGTGTGCCTATCAATAAAGGCTGTCAAAGTCCTTGCAGGAAGCAGATGGCACACTGCCTATTTACAATGCCTAGGGACTATCTATAAAGGTGGACAGAGTTATGGAAAACTGGTAAGTACCGTACAGCTATAGTAGGGAGCTGTTCAGGTAAAGGGGTCTTCACCTACAGGCCCTGAACCCAGAAAGCTAATGGATGGATTGCATCTTTCCTGGCCCTTTGACTTTCAGTACAGTTTCATCTATGAGAGGCACCTGCAGAAGCTCCCAGGGTGTGAGGAGAGTGAGGTGGAGGTGTTATTCTCCAGGCTCCCTCCGGCTAGTTTACCAGGGCTTGGATGCGTCCCTCCACTGAGGGCACAGCTATGCTTCTGGACAACCTTCATACAGTTTCTCTGAGTTCTGGTGGCCTCTCCCTCCCCTTGCCTCTTCGAATCCTTGCTCTCAGTGGTCCCTCCGTCCCTTGTTGTTTTCCCTTTGCCTTGCTCTCACCTTTTAAAATAGTTGCTTTAGGCCAGGTATGGTGGCTCACGCGTGTAATCCCAGCACTTTGGGAGGTGGAGGCAGGAGGATCTCTTGTGGCCAGAAGTTCAAGACCAACTTGGGCAACATAGGGAGACCCTCATCTGTACAAAAAGTAAAAAAAAGCCAGGCACAGTGCCTCACGCCTGTAATCCCAGCATTTTGGGAGGCTGAGGTGGGTGGATCACGTGAGGTTAGGAGTTCAAGACCAGCCTGACCAAAATGGTGAAAGCTTTCCACTAAAAATACAAAAATTATCTGGGCATGGTGGCGCACCTGTAATCCCAGCTACTCGGGAGCAGAGGCACGAGAATAGCTTGAACCCAGGAGGTGGAAGTTGCAGTCAGCTGAGATCGTGCTACTGCCCTCCAGCCTGGACAACAGAGCGAGACTCTAAAAACAACAAAAACAAAAACAAAAAACAAAAAACAGTACCTGTAGTTCCAGCTACTTGGGAGGCTGAGGTGAGAGAATTCTTTGAGCCCAGGAGCTCAAGGTTACAGTGAGCTAGGACTGCGCCACTGCACTCCAGCCTGAGCAACAGAGCGAGACTGTGTCAAAAACAACAACAAAAAAAGTCACCTTATTAAAAAACCTTTCTCAATTACCTGGTTTGAGTGTGCTTTCTGCCTAAACTCTGATTGATACTCCTGTCTTTCATCAAGTCTCATAAATTCTCAGACATTTTATTCTGATTGTTGCTTTTACCTCATACTCTAATTTCTCTCCTGGAATTTAAATGAGATGTATTTTAAAACTTCTCAACTCTCTTAACCTCTCTCTCTTATTTTCTTTTGTGTTAAATTTATGTAAGTATCTCTCATATCTTCTATATCTTTATCTCTTATTGCTGCATTTTGAATGATTTTTTTTTACATCTGTGTTCTCAGCCATTTTTACTCTTTAACCTGTTCGTTGAGTTTTACATCATTTTCATTTCTAGAAGTTCTCTCCTTCTTTTTTTTTTTTTTTTTTTGAGATGGAATCCTGCTCTGTCGCCCAGGCTGGAGTGCAGTGGCATGGTCTCAGCTCACTGCAACCTCCGCCTCCAGAGTTCAGGAGATTCTCCTGCCTCAGCCTCCCCAGTAGCTGGGACTATAGGCGCCTGCCACCACACTTGGCTACTTTTTGTATTTTTAGTAGAGGCGGGATTTTGCCATGTTGGCCAGGCTGGTCTCGAACTCCTGACCTCAAGTAATCTGCTTGCCTCAGCCTCCATAAATGCTGGAATTACAGGTGTGAGCCACCGTGTCTGGCCTAGAAGTTATCTCATTTTTTTTTTTTTTTTTTTTTTTTTTTTTTTTTTGGCACAGTGCCTGTCCTTTCCTTATGGTTTCAAATCTTTTTAGTTGAAACCACAATTATTTAACAATCTCTTTTAGGTTGTTATGTTATCGATCATACAAATCTTTCCTTTTGCAATGACTGCTGACCCTTCCTTATGGTAACTCTTTTTCTACTACGTTTTGTAATTTTTTATTGTCAGCTTATTTTCAGTCAGAATTTATTTATTTGTGTGTGTGTCTGTATGTCTTAGAATGTTCTGTATCCTTTAGGTATTAGAAGTCTTATTTCTAAACAGTTTTGTGTTTGCTTTTGCTAGAAGCTCCAGGGTTTCACTTATATGGGGCCCATTTTTACATTAATTTATTGGCTGGAAGTTCCTGTACCATGTGGGTTTTATAAATTCAGAGCCCATGTACATGTGTGGAACAGGCCTGGGCCTGCTATTTCTAATGGAGGACTGTTTCCCCATAAAGACAAACTTCTTTGTTCCTTCTCTGAGCTAATCAGGGAGTCTATCTAGTCCACTTTACTGAGGGACAGCCCTTCAGGAATCCTGGCTTTATCTGAGGGTTTCACTTCCTACTCCCTTCCTTGTGCATTCTGAAACTAAGTTGCTTGCACCCTCATGGATATTAAACTCCAGCCCTTGCTCACAAGCTTATCAGTTTGGATTTATGTTCCTTCTTAATTTCTGCCTATTGGGAATGTTTCTGTTTTCTGAGCCCAATTAGGAATTTATTTCTTATAATTTTTTATCCAGCAAATCTATGAACTTTTATTGAGGTGAGATTCCATGCTCACTCACCAAATTATGTTTACATAGAGTGCTGTAACTTGCTTTTCTACTTAATCACATTTTAACATGGAAGGATATCTACTATATATAGTTATCTTCTTTAAGCACTAGTTGATAGAAAGGGTATGAAATAGAGGTTATAAGGGCTGTCTTTATGCTCAGATTTCCTGGGTTCTAGTACTGTCTTCACTGTTCACTAGTTCTTGACCTTGGGCAGGTTACTTGACCTATTCATGCCTCTCATTCCTTACCTGGCAAGTAAAGATAATAATATACCCACTTTGCAGCTTTCCTGAGGCTACAGTAACAAATTGTCACCTACTTCATGGCTGAAGACAACGGAAATGTATTCTCACAGTTCTGGAGGCCAGAAGTCTAAAATCAAGGTGTGGGCAGAGCCACACTTCCTCAGAAGGTTCTAAGGGGAGAATCTGTTCCTCGTCTCTTCCATCTTGTAGTGGCTGTAGGTATTTCTTGGCTTGTGGCTGCATTACCCTAATCTCTGACTCCATTTTCACTTCTCTTTCTCTTCTGTGTGTCTGTATGAAACTGCTTCTGTCTCTATTCCTGAGTAAATCATGATTGATGCTAGGCTCTGGGGAGCAACTCTTACCCTGTGCCGTTAGTGTGTCTCAAGCAGGCATTAACCCTTGGCTGTGGACAACATCAATACATTTACTCATCTGTTTAGTTCTATAATGCATTTAAAATAGTTTCAGAATTGTTTTGCCAATACCTGTATAAGTAATAAATGTATTAAAAAGAGTTCAGGATTTGTTTGTTGCTCTCTCTAACCTCAATCTTGTCTATGACTAGGGGTATACAGTCAAAAATACTACGTTCATAAATTACTTGGATTAGTTCTTTGTTTTGTTTTGTTTTTTCTCCTTCACTATGGTTATGGTATTCACTTGAAACACGATTGGTTCATTTGTTTTAGTTTGCTTTAGGTTTTAGGGTTTTATTTTCCTCTTCCCATCATTGTTGATTTCATTTTGCTTTTTTTTTGTTGTTGGTTTTTGAGACAGAGTCTTCCTCTGTCGCCCAGGCTGGAGTGCAGTGGTGTGATCTCGGCTCACTGCAACCTCCGCCTTCTGGGCTCAAGCAATTCTCCTGCCTCAGCCTCCTGAGTAGCTGGGATTACAGGTGTGCGCCACCATGCCCAGCTAATTTTTTTGCATTTTTAGTAAAGACGGGGTTTCACCATGTTGGCCAGGCTGGTCTTGAGCTCCTGACCTCAAGTGATCCGCCCGCCTTGGCCTCCCAAAGTGCTGAGATTACAGGTGTGAGCCACTGTGCCTGGCTCATTTTGCTTTTTGAATATGTAAAACATGCCTCCATAAGTTAAAGCTATGCTAAAAGGTATATCCAGAGAAGCATCAGTTTCCCCTATAGCCTTTCTACCCCACTGTCTCCTGTTATACCTCATAAATAACCAGATTCAGTGTTTCCTGATTAATCTCTCCTGTGTTTTTTTTTTGTAAAGAGAAACAGATATATATATATATATATATATATATATATATATATATATATATATGTATCTTATTTCCCTTTATTGCTTACACACATGCTCTTTTGCATGTTGGGAAGCTGCTTTCTTAGTGCGAGAGGCAAGAAATTAAAGGAGAGATACCACCTTCATTATTTTCAGAATTCTTCTCTATTTTAAGTTTTCCCTTTCTGCCTTTCCCAATACCTTTAAAGGGTGGTCATCTAAGCTGGATGTGAATTTTAATGTGCACATGAATCACCTGGGATCTTGTAAAAGGGCAGATGTGGTAGGTCTTAAGTGAGGCCTGGGATTCTGCATTTCTGACAAGCTCACAGGTGGTGCGGATGCTGTTGGCTCTGGGCCACAGGACTCCAGACTTCTCCTGGGTGTGACTAGACTGCATCATGAACAGCCTACCTTGACTGTGGATGAACTTCAGATCACAGTTCTTGAAATGTCTTTTTGGAACCGATACATATACTGGCCTGTCTCCATATGATGCAGGCTTTATTTTGGGGTGCTGGTGATGGTACACTGGAGGAGACAAACATGAAGTGCTATTTTATATTTTGATGAAATGTAAAATATCCTTCTAACTCATTTTATCCTCCTGTCCTCTTCCTACTTCTTTATCCAGTTGCCTCATAAACTGTTTCCTGTAAAGAGGTTCGAGTCATTTGGGCAGAGGTGTTAATTATTGAGAAAACACACTTTTCTCTAAAAGGAAAAAGGCAGGGTATAAGCTATGTTATGTGTAATGTGACAAAAAGAATGCTGTTTAAACCTGGGTACATAGGATAACCTGTGTCTCCCAGCCTCCCAATTTTTGAGTACACATATGGTTTGTTTGTTTGTTTTTACGGCACATTTTCCAGATATGACATGTCTGCTTCTCATACAGGCACTCAGCTCCTCAGAGCCTCCCCCAGTTATTTCTGGGAATCTCCGGAGGCCCATCTCAATTGTGCGCAGCTTCAAGTCTGCCCTTCCTTATCTATTCCATTTCCTTGGCGGTTGACACCAGCATTCTTTCCATTGCTTTCCTCTCTCCTGAGCATCCTCATACAAATCCCATTCTCCTCCTTCATGAAAACTAAGCAAATATACATACAAAAGTCAAGCATGTCAATCAATCAGTATCTGCAGAAAGTCAGTGACCCACTAGTCCTACAAAGAATACAATTCCAAATGCCAGTTTGGGGGTAATTCTATGCTAATTTGCTATTATGGCACTGAAAAATTGAGCATTTCTTGTATACTTAGCTTTACAATGGGGGAAGAATTGTGGCCAGAATTGTATTGAACATGTTTGGATTTCATTCTAGAAGAGTGACAGTGGTTATTCTGGACCTGCGGCTTCTAATTAAACTACTTTGTTACTTACCGCCTCGCTCAACAAACAAAAAGGTCAATTTAAAATAAGAAAAACTCATGCCTTTTTACTGTCGAGTGAAGCTTAAGATCACCTAACAGCCTCCTCTCACTGCATGGGGCACTTCAGTCCCTAGTGGACAATAGTCATAATCTAAAATCTATTACATGTAATTTCAACATCATTTAGCACAGCTGTCAATCTGCCAAAGCAAAGGCCACAAACTGAGCCTCCATGGAGACCAAATCATCTTCCTTTTAAACATGCCATCCGCACAGTGGGCTGGAGGTCACTTGGAAGAGAGCACAGGGGAACCCTGTTTTGTGTCCCTTTGTTCCCGGCTACTTACCTTCTCATAAAAAAAAATACATTCAATTTAGAGACACATCAGCATAAGCTCCTCCAGCAAGTGCAAATATTTGCTTGGGGGAGGAAAACAAAATAATGTCTGAATGAGAGCTTTCATTTTCTATTAGACTTTGATGTTACTTTTTTATTTGAAGTCCACGGAGAATAATAAATTGAATTCCTTTTGTAAAAGTGAGGCACAATAAATGTTGGATAAAAATTGAAGCTGTTTGTAAGTTAGTCAAGGAGAAAAATGCTGCCTTTTACTGGGACATATATGATCTGCACAATGTTTCCTTAGCGTCATCTTTAAGGATTTTTTTTTTTTTAACAGAGTGTGGTAGGGGAAAATGTTTTATGTATGTATGACTGAGTTGCTGATTGACAGAGTTCATGGATGTCTCTTTTGAAGTGAGAACAATCTAATCCTGGAGCCACAGCACCACCCACAGATGTCATACTAGATCTCAGCTGTCAACATGCCACCTTATTTTATTGCTATTTTCTTTTGCTTTTGGCTTTCATCAGCTATTGTTCTTCAAATAGCTGGACCACGCTGTAGCATGCCACTGTGAGCACATTTTGTTTTTTTTTTTTTTTTTTTGAGACGGAGTCTCACTCTGTCCCCCAGGCTGGAGTGCAGTGGCGCAATCTCGGCTCACTGCAAGCTCCGCCTCCTGGGTTCACGCCATTCTCCTGCCTCAGCCTCCCGAGTAGCTGGGACTACAGGCGCCCGCAACCACACCCAGCTAATTTTTTGTATTTTTAGTAGAGATGGGGTTTCACCGTCTCGATCTCCTGACCTCGTGATCTGCCCACCTCGGCCTCCCAAAGTGCTGGGATTACAGGCGTGAGCCACTGCACCTGGCCTTTTTTTTTTTTTTTTTAATAGCCACAATTGAGGACTGATGTTGAATGTCCACTGAGTTTACTTTTAGGAAACTTTGTCATTTAAAAACATATCCCAGGAAACCTGTTGTGCCTTAGAGTTACTCATACTACATGGGTCTTTGAGGTTAGGTACCTTCTCTAACCAAAAACCTCATTTCTGTTTAAAGTGAAGTAATGTGAAAGAATGCCAGGATAAAAGCTACTCAGCACATCTGGTGGGATTTCACTTTGTAGTAGAAGGGAAAAAACAAAACAAAAAGCCTTAGAAGTTTTCAGTGCTAAACTGTATCCTCAGAATTCTAAGCCACAATGCACACAACAGCTGGCTTATAGAAGCTCTCAGATAGTTGCTTTGGTAGTGAGGATATGGCCTCTGCTGTGGCTGTGGGCACTGCTGGAGTTCAGATCTGCCCAGGCAAGTCCAGTGCACTGCTGAGATGGGCTGCCAGCAGCTGGGATTTTTGAATTTATTTGCATGATGGTATATACTTTTGGCTTGAGGAGGAAGGAGGCCATTTTGTGTGAGCTGTGTTGCTGGTGGTGGACCCTGGGGAGAGACAACAAGGGGGAGAGAGTAGGCCAGCTCCTTGGACTAGGGCTGAAGCTGAAGACACTGTCTTCCATGACTGAGCCTCTGGTCAGTAGCAGCACCACATGTACTCTCCCAGCCCAGTGTGACTGGGGTACAGAAGCATATTCCCACGTCTGTATGAACCACAGTATAGCTCCTGCACAGGGAGAATGGGAAGAAATGTGCTATCTTCGCAACTGGAGGGTCTGGCAGATTTGGGAGCAGGGAAGGTAACATGGTGCAGTCTTGGGGTGGGCTTGGTTTGACTGCTTGCAGAAGGACCTACAGAAGAGGGGCTGGAATGGGAGAGGAAGAACATGGTGGACAGACAGTTTGATTTCTAAGTGTGTATGTGCCGTGCCCTCTGGAGGCTTGGAGGTATAACTGTGAGAAGGTCGCAGGAAGCTAGAGGGCTAGATAGAGGGTTAGAGCCATTGAAATTTGAATGTTTATCATGACTTTGTACTTGCAGCCTGGTGAGACTTGGGAAAATCCTAGTTATATCAGCCAATAATTTTTTTATTTTTTTACCTAACACAATTTAACAATCACTAATCCTAGAATTAGTGACACATTCTCTAAGATGGATAAAAATGACAAAAGGCTGATAAAATTATCATAGCATGTGTGTATCAAATGCTTCTTGTGCACCCACTCAGATTCTCTTGGACCACTTTTTTATTCTAGTTTTTGCTTTGGCAGCCATCTGTGTTCAGGTGTAACCTGACCCTGTCTCACCTCAGCTGCACTATTTATCACTTGCTTTCTGTCCTGGGGCATCTTTAGTACCATCACCTAGGATACCTGCAGAAATTTGCTCAGTCATTCATAGCCACACACATCAAGTGTGAGAAAGGTAAGATCTAATAGGCAGCTCTTGGCCAATAGGTAATGGGTAATATGGATACATTCTCCCCTGTTCTTTCTCTTCAGGGGATGATTCTGAGGTGCTTTCTACATGATTCTTCAGAGTGTTCCCAGTGAGAGGGAACCCCATTGCCCAAGAAAGAACCAGCTTGATAACACACCTGATTTTGTCTTTCTCTTCTTTTTTATTTCACTCTTTCCAGCACCCAGACCCCTACCCACTTCTGTTCCCACAAGCCCTTGTCTTGTGGAAGGGAAGCTTGCTTCAAAAAGTGGAGCAACCTGGGATAAGACAGGGTGACAGTCAGCTATACATGTATTGCTGACACCCTTATTTTCCCACCAGTGACATACCTGGAAAAAGGGGCTGAGGTGAGGTGAAGGAAGGAGGGCTGGTCAATTTCTTGTTGGTAGCAAAAGTCTGTTATTGTCAAACTCAGTGAACATTTAATACTCTTCTACTATGATCCAGGGCCTGTTTTTACTCAGAAATCACTGAGACAGATCCCTGTCATTAGCAAGCTCACAGATGATTTGGGGAAGGCAAACACGTACATATCTTACAACATATAGAGTACTAAAGAGAGGGTTAGTGTGCTTTAAAGCATGTAGAGAAAGGAACAGTTAATTTTGACTGGGAGTGAGAAGCCTCCACAGAGAAGAAGGCATTTGATCTGGACCTTGAGAGATGAAAAGGCTATTGAAGATAGAGAATTGAAGAGTTGGAGATGCTTAAAAAGAGTCTTACTGAAATGGAATTGGGGTGAACTTTACTGTCCTCCCAGCTTAGGGAGCAGAGGCCTGCAGCCCTAATTCCACTTCCTTTTCTTCCCCTACATAGTGTTTTGATTGCTCTCTCACAACCTGCCTTTTCAGAGATACCCTGCCTTCCTTTTCTCTCTGGATGTTTTATCATCTTTTGTATAGGACACAGTGAGAGAGCTGTAGTTCTTTACCTTGCCTGCGCTGGCTGTGGAGGCCTTATCTCTGGATGCTGGAGACTTGAGGAGACTTATTGGTTCTGAGTGATCTCCCTTCTACTAAGAAGCGGGATGACTTTAGTTTAGATGAAGGTTTTCAGGTGTGATTGCCTAGTGCACAAGATCACTGGGCAACACTCAAGGACAAGCATCTTTATGTTGAGTGTGGAGGTCACATTTGCAGGCTCACCTCCTCTTCTGCTACCATCTGGACTGCTAATCATAACATGTATTCACTAAGTGCATAAACAGGGGTGTATTATTTTCTTGTTTATTTTTGAATAAGGACCAGAGATGCATTTAATTTCCCACGTGTAGAGATTTGACAGAATTTTATGACTTGGACCCAGGAAGGGCAGGCTTGGTGCAAAAGACAGGTGACTGGAAAGGCAGGAACACATTATTCTCCTCACTCTAGTTCTTTACTGTTAACCTTACTCAGCCTTCTGAACATCTGCACTTCTCTGTCTCCCAGGCATGCAGATAACACATTTTTGAGTTTTGATTTCCCAGCTAGGGAAGCAGAACAGTCCCACCAGGTTAAACTAGAGGTTGTTAATGGTTGAACCTAACCTTGCTCAACCAGTTGACATTCTTTTGCAAAGAAAGGTCTAGATCATGGGTGAGTAGTTTAAGGTAGATGGGGAAGTGGGCATGTTGGGCATCTATATTGCTGTCTCCAATCCATTTCATCCTTGCTGCCATGCACACACTCCTCTTCCTATATGTACAAAGATACCTGTCCTAGCATGTTCTATCATATGCATGTCTGTGGATGTTCACTTTACTTCTGACATAGAAGTGACCCAAAGCACAGGGTTCCAAGAGGAAATGGATGATCCTTTGAAAATAATATAGTCCAATGAGGCTCACTGATAAAGAGACTATTATAAAAGTATTGGTGAGGAGAACCACTAGTTATAGTGCAGCAACCCAAATCTTGTAGCATTAAAACTGTTATCACCTGTAGTTTCAAAGGGATGGAAGAGAGGATGGTTTTTGAAAACTGAAAAAAGAGAGACTCACATTGAGTCAACCACATTGAGACGATTAAACGATTTTAAATCAAGGGGCACAGTCAGCTTGAGGCTACCCTGCAGGGAGAGATCCAGGTAAATACTGATCTTGCTTTCATTGTTTCCGTATTCCTATTTCCCGTATGGGACCTCCAATGGCCAAACCCAACCACAGCCAGAAGGTACACAAGCCATGCTGATATATTGAGGACAGGTCAGCCTCCAGGCAGGGAGCTGAGTGAAGGATGGAGAGTGGATGTGGAGGGGCAATTGGCAGAGACACCGAATGACTCTGTGGAAAGACATCTCAGTGTCTGTGCAAGAGTGCTCATCAGTCTCTCTACTTATTGTCTACCATTACTGTCCATTCCCTCTTCAGCTGCATTGTGATCCTACCTAAGTGTTATTATTCACCACAAACAGAATATGATTAAGATAATTAGAATGAAATAATAAACCCTATTTTCTTTAAAAAATAAATTTTAATACAATTTTTAATAAAACTATTAAACAAGAAAAAATTTTCTTGTTTTGTTTTTTTAAAAAAAAACAAGAATGGGAAGATATTTTTTCAGTCTTTGCATAATCTAGCAAGGAAAGAAATCTGAGCTATAAATGGTGGCCACAACCTTGTTTCTAGAATTAGTCGTGCAACCACAACTGGCATGGAAGGCTTTCTCCAGTGGTGCTTGTCTTAGTCCATGTGGGCTGCTATAACAAAATACCATAAACTGAGTGGCTTATAAACAACAGAAAGGTATTTTCACATTTCTGGAGGCTGGAAAGTCCCAAGACTGAGATGCCAGCAGATCCAGTGTCTGGTGAGGGCCCATTTCCTGGTTTATAAATGGCGTCTTCTTGCTTTGTCCTCTCATGGTGGAAGGGATTAGGGTCTCTCTGGTGTCTCTTTTATAAGGGCACTGATACCATTCATGAGGGCTTCCCCACAATGACCTACTCATCTCCCAAAGTCCCCACCTCCTAATACCGTCAACTTGAGGGTTAAGATTTCAACATATGAATTTTCGGAGGACATGAACATTCAGTTTATTGCAGTGCTATTGCTGAGCTATTATTATTTAACATCTGCAGAGCCATAGACACATGCTAAGTGCTTTATACAATTACCTCATTTAATCCTTACAGCAATCCTCATAGAAAGTTACTTATTTTCTTTATTTTATAGATGAAGAAGCTGAGGCTTAGTAAGGTTAAGTAACCTGCCCAAAATGATGAGTCTGTGGCAGAGATGACACAACTCAGATCTATCTGATTCTTAAGCACATGCTCTCAATCTCTAGGCAATGTGGCTTACCCTTCAATGGTTCTCTTGTCTTTGGAAAACAATTTTTCTGGCAGGAGAACAAATTCATCTCTAATTCCTCCCTCCCCGACAACTTAATAAAACTCCTTGACTTCTGCCTGTTTCTCTAAGTGAGAACGAACACTACTATGTTTAAGCCTATAACCTTTGTATCTTAGAGGCGCATGTGGGAAGGGCTTGGAATCATGCATTGTATCACACTTCTACTTGATCCAGCCCCCACCCAGAAACTTGAGGCAATCTTTACATGGGACAGTTCAGCAGCTGGCTGGTACCATGTCATCCTGTAGGAAGGAGGCTGGCCACAACACAGACAGATAAAGTATTTGCCAAGCAAAGAAAGCCAAGGCCTTCACTGGTTAGGCTTTATTCACAGATATCCATGGGCTGAATTCTATGTGTGAGGCAGTGTGCTAGGTGCTGGAAGTAATAAAATTATGTCTTCATTCCTGCTGCCTTCAAGGTGCTAAGAGGCATCAGAATAGTCCAGAGTTCCACAGTATACATTTTCCAGCATCATTCACCATACTTGGACAAGGTTAAGTCCATTCAGGGACCCAATACACATCTATTAAACTTGGACTGAAGTGGTCAGTTTCCTCATTATCTCCACCAGCAACTTTTGGCTGGAATCTCTTTTGAAGTTCTTAGTTGGGTCCTTCCAGTCTTGATTGTGTCCCTCCTGCTACTTTCCTAATGCAGTAGCATCTTTGATGTCTCTCCCTAGGCACTGAGTACACTGAACAGTGTACAGAATGAGGATCAAGTGTCCTGAGTTGGGACCTCTGTTCTGCTATTGACTCTCTATGTGATTCTGGGCAAGTCACTTTTCTTCTCTGAACTTTAGATCCTTAGGTGACAGTAGCTTCTACAAACCCTGGCTTTACAGTTATCACAGATACTCATACATTTTCCTGGAGCCAGGCTATTTATGGATGTTGTTTTAGCAAAGTCTTTCCTTGAAAGGAGGAGTCTTTTTGTAGTTGCTCTGGCTACTAACAGCTTTATTGCCTATGGATGGCCAGCCACTGTCACAGTTTATCACCCTTGCTCCTCCAAGTGTGCTCTATGGACCACTAGCATTTACATCACTTAGGAACTTATTAATTATGAAGAATCTCAGATGCTAGCCAGACCTGCTGAATCAGAATTTACATCTTAAAAAGATCCACAGGTGATTGGCCCTTACATTACCATTTGAGAAGCACCAAGCCCCATGCACAGGATAATTGTGTTGATTAAATTGGAATCACTGCAGTTGCGTTCTCAGGTGCTTGGGTGAATTTTAATGTGTAGTTGGAGTTGAGAAGCTCCGAATAGTCTCACATAGAGCGGAACTGAACTTCTTTGTGTAGAATGGGAGTCAGAAGACGGGCGTCTAATTTAGCCTGGAGGAGGATCAGGACAGAAGAAGTTTTATGGAGGTAATGCTTGAGCTGTTTGGGGAACACAGTGTCAGTTAGGCAGGTAGGAGAGAAAGGGTACTCCTGGTGCCCTGACCCACCAAGGGGGAACTGCAAGTCAGCATGGCTGGGGAATGGGGCTGGGGTGCTGCAGGAGATGATGTTGCGGAAAGGCAGGAGCCACCTGTGCCGTGCTTGGGAGTTTCTACTCATCTCAGAGGCAGTGGAATGGGTGTGGGTGATGGCTGAAAAAGTTGTTTTAAGCAGGGAATGATGTACTTAGATTTGCATTTTAGGAAGATTTTCTTCTAGCAGATGTAGCAGAAGGTAGAAGGAAATGAAGGCAGAGAGACCCCTCTGGGGACTGTTTCAAATAAGAAACAAATTAATTTGAGTGTTGGGAAGGATGGAGAGGAAGAGAGAAATTGAGAAATACCTAGTTGGTGGCTTGTTTTATGAAAGATGATAACAAAGGAGGAGCTTAGAATGACTCCAGGATTTCTGGTGTGGGGGAATGGGGAATGGTGGTACAGTTCTCCAAGACACAGGCTATTGTTTGAATGTTTGTCCCCTCCAAAACTCATGTTGAGGCTGAGGTGGAACAAGATGGTGGAATAGAAGGCTCCACAGATCAGAAAGTTAACAACTATCAACACAGAAAAAACATTTTCATAGGAACCAAAAATCAGGTTAGCCCTCATAGTACCTGGTTTAACTCTATATTACTAACAGAGGCACTGCAGAGATAGAAAAAACAGTTGTGAATTGCTGATGCCAACCCTCCTCCACCTCCAGCGGCCGCAGCATGGTCAAGGAGCTTCTCTGGGTGATTAAATTGGAATCTCTGGGAGAGAGAGCACAGCAATTGCGAGGCAGTGAACTCAGTGCTGTCCTGTTATAGAGCAGAAAGAAAAACCAGACAGAACTCAGCAGACGCCCTCCCACAGAGGGAGCATTTAAACCGGCCCTGGTCAGAAGGGAATTCCCGGTCCCAGTGGTTTGAAATTGAGTTCCAGAAAACCTCACCACTGCAGGCTAAAGTGCTCTGTGCTCTAAATAAACCTGAAAGGCAGTCTAGGCCATGTGGACTGCAACTCATAGGCGAGTCTTAGAGCTGATCTAGGCCCAGAGGCAGTGGACTTGGGGGGCATGTGACCTACTGAGACACTAGCCAGGATGGCTATGGGAGTGCTGGCATCATCCTTCCCCTAATCCCAGGCTGCATAGCTCATGGCTCCAAGAGAGATCCCTTTCTTTTGCTTGAGAGGGGGAGAGGGAAGAGTGGGGAGGACGTTGTCTTGCATCTAGGATACCAGCTCAGTCACAGCAGGATAGGGCACCTGTAAGAGTCATGAGGCCTCTGTTCCAGGCCCTAGCTCCTGGATGTCATTTCTAGACACATCCTGGGTAAGAATGGAACCTACTGCCTTGATGGGAAGGACTCAGTCCTGGTAGCAGTCATCACCTGCTAATTGAAGAGCCCTTGGGCCCTGAATAACCAGCAGCAATATCTAAGTACTGCATTGAGGCCTTGGATGAGCCTCTGGGATTTGCTGGCTTCAGATGTTGGCTTCAGCACATTACCAGCTGTGGTGGCTACAAGGTGAAACTCCTGCTTGAGAAAAGCAGAGGGAAAAGTAAAGGGGACTTTGTCGGGCAGAGGACCAAGTAGGCTCTAGGGGGTCCCCGATTCTGGGACTTAACTCTTATGCAACATCTCTGGACCTGCCCTGGTCCAGAAGGGAGCCCACTGCCTTGAAAGGGTGAGCCCCGGGCCAGGCAATACTTACCACAAGCTAACTTAAGAACTCTTGGGCCTTAAGGGAACAGCAGTAGTCTGTCAGTACTCCCCATAGCCAGTGGTAGCAGTGGCTATGGGGTGAGGTTCCTCTGCCTTTGGAAAGGAGAAGGAAGAGTGGGAAGGATGCATCTTGTGGTTTGAGTGCTTGCTCAGATGCAGTACAGTAGAATACCAGGTAGACTTCTAGGGTTTTTGACCTTAGTACCTGACTCCCGGATGAAACTTGGGGTCTAGGGGCACTTGCTGCCCTGAAGGGAAAGACATAGGCCTGGTTGGCTTTGCCACTGCTGATTATAGAGCCCCAGGTCTTGAGCAAATATATGGAGTAGCCAGGGAGTGGTTATAGCAGGTGTTGGGTGAGACCCAGCGCTGTGCTGGCTTCACCCAGTGCAGTCATAGTGATGGTGGCCACAGGGGTGCTGGTGTCACCCCACCCCCAGCTTTAGGTTGCTTAGAACAGAGAGAGAGAGAGAGAGAGAGAGAGACCCCATTTCTTTGGGAAAAAGTAAGGGAAGAGAACAAGAGTGTCTACCTGAAAATCCAGAGAATTCTCCTAGATGTTATCCGAGACCATCAAGGTGGTACCTTCACCAGTCTGCAAGAACCACTGTGCTACTGGGCTTGGGATGTCCCCTAAAGCAGATACAACTTAGATTATAACACCCAAATCCTTTCAAATATCTGGATAGCCTTCACAAGAATGGGTACAAATAAGCTGAGACAGTGAAGATTACAATAAACACCCATCTCTTCAATGCGCAAACACTGAAGAATATCTAGTGTCCGTGTTACCGGTAGAAGGTGTCCAGGTTCTTGGCGTCTTGCACAAAAAATTGGACAAAATGCACAAACAAAGCAAGGAAGGAATAAAGGGATTTATTGAAAATGAAAGTACACTCCACAGTGTGGGAGCAGGCCCAAGCATAGGGGCTCAAAGGCCCTGTTACGGAATTTTTGGGAGTTTAAATACCCCCTAGAGGATTCCACTGGTTACTTTGGGTATGCCCTATGTAAATGGAGAGGACGAAGTAAAGTTACAAAGTCATTTACAGTATACGCCCTATGCAGAAGATATTTCCTGTTAGAGCTGAAGTGTGAATTGACCTTATGTTCCCTTCCTCCAGACCCTGTTTTCCTGCCTCATCAGCACCATCCAGGAAAACATGACTTCATCAAACGAACTAAATAAGCCACAGGGGACCAATCCTGGAAAAGCAGAGATGTGTGACCTTTCAGACAAATAATTTAGAATAGCTTTGTTAAAGAAACTCAAAGAGATTCAAGATAACAGAGAGAAGGAATTCAGAATTCTATCAGATAAATTTAACAGAGATTGAAATGATTCAAAAAAATCAAGCAGAAATTCTGGAGCTGAAAGATGCAGTTGATTTACTGAAGCATGCAACAGAGACTTTTAGTAGCAGAATTGATCAAGCAGAAGAAAGAATTAGTGAGCTTGAAGATAGGCTATTCTTCTGAAGATACACAGTCAAAAGAGACAAAAGAAAAAAAAACAATAAAAAAGAATGAAGCATGCCTATAGGATCTAGAAATAGCCTCAAAAGGGCAAATCTAAGAGGTATTTACCTTAAAGAGGAAGTAGAGAAAGAGATAGGGGTAGAAAATTTATTCGAAGGGATACTAATGAAGAACTTCCCAGACCAAGAGAAAGATATCAATATCCAAGTACAAGAAGGTTATAGAAGACCAAGCAAATTTAAACCGAAGAAGACTACCTCAAGGCATTAATAGTGTAACTCCCAAAGATCAAGGATATAAAAAGGATCCTAAAAGCAGCAAGAAAAAGGAATCAAATAACATGTAACGAAGCTCCAGTATGTCTGGCAGCAGACTTTTCACTGGAAACCTTACAGGCCAGGGGAGAGTGGCATGACATGTTTAAAGTGCTGAAGGAAAACAACTTTTACCCTAGAATAGTATATCTGGCAAAAATATCCTTCAAACATGAAGGAAAAATAAAGACTTTACCAGATAAACAAAAGCTGAGGGGTTTCACCAACAACAGACATGTCCTGCAAGAAATGCTAAGGGGAATACTTGAATCAGAAAGATAATGATGTTAATGAGCAATATATAATCACCTGATGGTACAAAACTCACTGATAATAGTAAGTACACAGAAAAACACAGAATACTATAACACTGTGACTGTGATGTAGAAACTACTCTTATCCTAAGTATAAAGACTAAATGATAAACCAATCAAAAATAATGACAAAAACTTTTCAAGACATAGACAGTACAATAAGATATATATAGAGAAACACCAAAAAGTTAAAAAGTGGGGGGACAAAGCTGAACTGTACAGTTTTTATTAGTTTTCTTTTTGCTTGTTTTTTTTTTTTTTTGAAAATTATTTTTTTATTTCAATAGGTTTTTGGTGAACAAGTGATATTTGGCTACATGAATAAGTCCTTTAGTGGTGATTTCTGAGATTTTGCTGCACCCATCACTTGAGCAGTGTACACTGTACCCAGTGTGTAGTCTTTTATACCTCACCACCCCCGACCCTTTTCCCCCGAATCCCCAAAGTCCAATGTATAATTTTTATGCCTTTGTGTCCTCATAGCTTAGCTCCCACTTATTAGTGACACCATATGGTGTTTGGTTTTCCATTCCTAAGTGACTTTACTTAGAATAATAGTCTCCAATTCCATCTAGGTTGCTGTGAATACCATTATTTTATCCCTTGTTGTGGCTGAGTAGTATTCCATGGTATCATATACACCATATTTTCGTTCTTTGTTTTTTTGCGTGTGTGTTTTTTTTTGAGACGGAGTCTCGCTCTGTCACCCAGGGTGGAGTGCAGTGGCGCGATCTCTGCTCACTGCAAGCTCTGCCTCCTAGGTTCACGCCATTCTCCTGCCTTAGCCTCCTGAGTAGCTGGGACTACAGGCGCCCACCACCACACCCGGCTAATTTTTTTTTTTTTTTTTCTTAGTAGAGACGAGGTTTCACCATATTAGCCAGGTTGGTCTCGATCTCCTGACCTCGTGATCTGCCCGTCTTGGCCTCCCAAAGTGCTGGGATTACAGGCGTGAGCCACCGCGCCCGGCCATATTTTCTTTATCTACTCTTTGATTGATGGACATTTGGGTTGGTGCCATATTTTTGCAATTGCAAATTGTGCTGCTATAAACATGCATGTGCAAGTATCTTTTTTATATAATGACTTGTTTTCCTCTGGGTAGATACCTAGGAGTGGGATTGCTGGGTCAAATGGTAGATCTACTTTTCATTCTTTAAGGAAACTCCACACTCTTTTCCATAGTGGTTGTACTAGTTTACATTCCCACCAACAGTGTAAAAGGGTTCCCTTTTCACCACATCCCTGCCAACATCTCTTATTTTTTATTTATTTTTTTCTTATTATGGCCATCCTTGCAGAAGTAAGGTGGTACTGCATTGTGGTTTTGATTTGCATTTCCCTGATACTTAGTGATGTTGAGCATTTTTCCATATGCTTGTGGGCCATTTGTATATCTTCTTTTGAGAATTATCTATTCATATCCTTAGCCCACTTTTTGATGGGATTGTTTGTTTCTTGCTGATTTGTTTAAGTTTTTGTATATTCTGGATATTAGTCCTTCGTTGGATGTATATATTGTGATGATTTTCTCTCACTCTGTGGTTTGTCTGTTAACTCTGCTGATTATTTCTTGTGCTGTGCAGAAGCTTTCTAATTTAATTAAGTTAGATTGTGACCAACTCAGCATTCCACTGAAGACTGTATGATCAAACAGCAAACTGTTTATCATGAATGCAGGATGTGGGCAAACTCACATCTGCACCTGCCACCAGAGGGTATGCAGAGTGCAATCACTCCCTGGTGCCATGCTCCTTGAGGTTATCTACTGGAACATCTGGAGGCTACTGTTCAGAGAATGCAGTTGTGCAAGCCTGCACCGAGTCAAGCAACTGACTGACAACCACCTCACTTCTCCCTATCTCCTTTACTCAATAAATACGAAGGGCTCTAAAAGCTCAGGGCCCTTGTTCACTAGAAGAAAGGAGCCCCCTGACCCCTTCTTCCAAATATACTCTCTTGTCCTTACCTTTATTCCCGCATTTGCCCCCCTTTGTTCAGTCCAACAGGGATTGGGGCTACAACAGAGTTATTTGTAGATTCTGGATATTAGTCCTTTGTTTGATGTATATATTGTGATGATTTTCTCCCACTCTGTGGTTTGTCTGTTAACTCTGCTGATTATTTCTTGTGCTGTGCAGAAGCTTTCTAGTTTAATTAAGTCACATCTATTTATCTTTGTTTTTGTTGCATCTGTTTTTGGGTTCTTGGTCATGAAGCCTTTGCCTAAGCCAATGTCTAGAATGCTTTTTCTGATGTTATCTTCTAGAATCTTTATGGTTTCAGGTCTTAGGTTTAAGTCTTTGATTCACCTTGAATTGATTTTTGTATAAGGTGAGAGATGAGGATCCAGTTTCATTCTCCTACATGTGGCTTACCAGTTATCCCAGCACCATTTATTGAATAGAGTGTCTTTTCACCAGTTTATATTTTGTTTGCTTTGTCAAAGATCACTTGACTGTAAGTATTTGGGTTTATTGCTGGGTTCTGTATTTTGTTCCGTTGGTCTATGTGCCTATTTTTATATTAGTACCATGCTGTTTTGGTGGCTATGGCCTTATAGAATAGTTTGAAGTTGGGTTATGTGATTCCTTTTTGCTTGGTCTTGCTTTGGCTATGTGAGCTCTTTTTTGGTTACATATGAATTTTAGGATTTTTTTTTCTAATTCTGTGAAGAATGATGTGGTATTTTGATGGGAATTCCATTGAATTTGTAGATCGCTTTTGGCGGTATGCTCATTTTCACAATATTGATTCTACCCATCCATGAGCATGAGATGTGTTTCCATTGTCTGTGATTTCATTCAGAAGTGTTTTGTAGTTTTCCTTGTAGAGGTCTTTCACGTCCTTGTTTAGGTATATTTCTAAGTTTTTAAAAAATTTTTAAATTAAAAAATTTTTTTTGCAGCTATTGTGAAAGAGGTTAAGTTCTTGATTTGATTCTCAGCTTGGTTGCTGTTGGTATATAGCAGAGCTACTGATTTGTGTACGTTAATTTTGTATCCTGAAATTTGCTGCACCCCTTTACCAATATTAGAAGCTTTTTGGACGGGTCTTTAGGGTTTTCTAGGTATATGATCATATCCTCAACATATAGTGACAGTTTTTACCCTTTATTTCTTTTTTTTGTCTGATTGCTCTGGCTAGGACTTCCAGTGCTATGTTTAATGGAAGTGGTGAAAGTGGCTATCCTTGTCTTGTTCCAGTTCTCAGGGGGAATGCTTTCAAGTTTTCCCTGTTCAGTATAATGTTGGCTGTGGGTTTGTCATATGTGGCTTTTATTACCTTAAGGTATGTCCCTTCTAAGCCGATTTTGCTGAGGGTTTTAATTATAAAGGGATCCTGGATTTTGTCAAATGTTTTGTTTGCATCTGCTGAGATGATCATGTGATTTTTGTTTTTAATTTTGCTTATGTAGTGTATCACATTTTTTGACTTACATATGTTAAACCATCCCTGCATCCCTGGTATGAAACCCACTTGATCACGTCAAATTATCTTTTTGATATGCTGTTAGATTCAGTTAACTAGTATTTTCCTGAGGATTTTTGCCTCTATGTTCATCAGGGATATTGGTCTATAGTTTTCAGTTTTTGTTATGTCCTTCCCTGGTTTTGGTATTAGAGTATTACTGGCTTCATAGAATGATTTAGGGAAAATTCCCTCTTTCTTTATCTTTTGGAATAGTGTCAATAGGTTTGTTACCAATTTTTCTTTGAATGTCTGATAGATGTCAGCAGTGAATCTGTCTGGTCCTGGACTTTCTTTTGCTGGCAATTTTAAAAAACATCATTTCAATCTAGCTGTTTGTTATTGGTCTGTTCAGAGATTTTATATCTTCCAGGTTTAATGTAGGAGGGTTGTATATTTCCATGAATTTATCCATCTCCTCTAGGTTTTCTAGTTATGCCCATAAAGGTGTTCATAGTAGTCTCGAATAATCTTTCATATTTCTGTGGTATCGGTTGTAACATCTCCCATTTTGTTTCTAATTGAGCTTCTCTGGATCTTTTCCTTTTCTTGGTTAATCTCACTAATGGCCTATCAATTTTATTTATCTTTTCAAACAACCAGATTTTTGTTTCATTTATCTTTTGTATTTTTGTTGTTTGTTTGTTTTCATTTCATTTAGTTTCATTCTGATCTTTATTTCTTTTCTTCTGCTGGGTTTGGATTTGGATTGTTCTTGTTTCTCCAGTTCTGTGAGGTGTGACCTTAGATTGTCTATTTGTGCTCTTTCAGACTTTTTGATGTATGCATTTAATGCTATAAACTTTTCTCTTAGCACTGCTTTTGCTGTATCCCAGAGGTTTTGATAGGTTGTGTCACTATTATTCAGTTCAAAGAATTTGTAAATTTTCATTTTGATTTTATTGCTGACTCAGCAATCATTCAGGAGCAGGTTCTTTAATTTCCATGTATTTGCATGGTTTTGAGAGTTTGTTTTGGAGTTGATTTCCAATTTTATTCCGTTGTGGTCTAAGAAAGTACTGGATATAATTTTGATTTTTAAAAAATTTACTGAGACTTATTTCGTGGTCTGTAATATGGTCTATCTTGGAAAATGTTTCATGAGCTGATGAATAGAATGTATATTCTGCAGTTGTTGGGTAGAAAGTTCTGTAAATATCTGTTCAATCCATTTGTTGTAGGGTATAGTTTAAGTCTATTGTTTCTTTGCTGACTTTCTGTCTTGATGATCTGTTAGTGCTGTCAGTGGAGTACTAAAGTCCCTCACTATTATTGTGTTGCTGTTATCTCATTTTTTAGGTTTAGTAGTAATTGTTTTATACATTTAAGAGCTCCAGCGTTAGGTGCATATACATTTAGAATTGTTATATTTTCCTTGAATTAGTCCTTTTATCATTATATAATGTCCATCTTTATCTTTTTTAACTGCTGTTGGTTTTTAAAGTTTGTTTTGTCTGATATAACAATAGTTAGCTACTCCTGCTCACTTTTGGTGTCCATTTGCATGGAACATCTTTTCTGCCCCTTTACCTTAAGTGTACGTGAGTCCTTGTGTGTTAGGTCTCCTGAAGACAGCAGAAAGTTGGTTAGTGAATTCTTTTTTTTTTTTTTTTTTGTATTTTTTAATTATACTTTAAGTTCTAGGGTATATGTGCACAATTTGCAGGTTTGCTACATATGTATACATGTGCTGTGTTGGTTTGCTGCACCCATTAACTCGTCATTTACTTTAGGTATTTCTCCTAATGCTATCCCTTCCCCATCCCCCCGCCCCATGACAGGCCCCGGGATGTGATTTTCCCCACCCTGTGTCCAAGTATTCTCATTGTTTAGTTCCCACCTATGAGTGAGAACATGCAGTGTTTGGTTTTCTGTCCTTGCAATAGTTTGCTCAGAATGATGGTTTCCAGCTTCATCCATGTCATTACAAAGGACATGAACTCATCCTTTTTTATGGCTGCATAGTATTCCACGGTGTATATGTGCCCCATTTTCTTAATCCAGTCTGTCATTGATGGACATTTGGGTTGGTTCCAAGTCTTTGCTATTGTGAATAGTGCCACAATAAACATATGTGTGCATGTGTCTTTATAGTAGCATGATTTATAATCCTTTGGGTATATACTCAGTAATGGGATTGCTGGGTCAAATGGTATTTGTAGTTCTAGATCCTTGAGGAATTGCCACACTGTCTTCCACAATGGTTGAACTAGTTCACAGTCCCACCAACAGTGTAAAAGCATTCCTATTTCTCCACATCCTTTCCAGCACCTGTTGTTTCCTGACTTTTTAATGATTGCCACTCTAACTGGTGTGAGATGGTATCTCATTGTGGTTTTGATTTGCATTTATCTGATGACCAGTCATGATGAGCATTTTTTCATGTGAAAGTTGGTTAGTGGACTCTTATCCTCTTTGCCATTCTGTACCTTTTAAATGGAGCATTTAGGCCATTTACATTTAATATTAGTATTGAGATGTGAGGTGCTATTGTATTCATTGTGCTATTTGTTGCCTGAATACCTTGTGTTTTTTTTTTTTTTTTTTTTTTTTTTTTTTTTTTTTGAGATGGAATCTCACACTGTTGCCAAGGTTGGAGTGCAGTGGTGTGATCTTGGCTCACTGCAACCTCTGCCTCCCAGGTTCAAGCAATTCTCATGCCCCAGCCTCCCGAGTAGCTGAGATTACAGGTGCCTGCCACCATGTCCGGCTAGTTTTTTTGTATTTTTAGTAGAGATGGGGTTTCACCATCTTGGCCAGGTTGGTCTTGAACTCCTGACCTCGTGATCCACCTGCCTCAGCCTCCCAAAGTGCTGGGATTACAGGCATGAGCCACCATGCCTGGCATGTGTTTTTTTTTTTTTTTTTTTTATTGTGTTACTGTTGAATTAGGTCTTGTGAGATTTATGCTTTAAGGAGGTTCTATTTTGGTGTATTTTGGGAACTTGTTTCAAGATTTAGAGATCCTTTTTAGTAGTTCTTATAGTGCTGTCTTGGTAGTGGCAAATTCTCTCAGCATTTGTTTGTCTGAAAAAGACTGTCTCTTTCCTTCATTTATGAAGCTTAGTTTCACTGGATACAAAATTATTGGCTGATAATTTTTTGTTTAAGGAGGCTAAAAATAGGACCCTAATCCCTTCTAGCTTGTAGGGTTTCTCCTGAGAAATATGCAGTTAATCTGATAAGGTTTTCCTTTAATAGGTTACCTGATGCTTTTGCCTCATGGCTCTTTGTCTTGACTTTAGATAACCTGATGACTATGTGCCTAGACAATGATCTTTTTGTGATTAATTTCCCAGATGTTCTTTGATCTTCTTGTGTTTGGATGTCTAGATCTCTAGCAAGGCTGGGGAAATTTTCCTTGATTATTCCCTCAAATATGTTTTCCAAACTTGTAGATTTCTCTTCTTTCTCAGCAACACCAGCTATTGTTAGGTTTGGATGTTTAACATAATCCCAAACTTCCTTGAGGCTTTGTTCAGTTTTTAAAATTCTTTTTTCTTTGTCTTTGATGGAGTGAGTTAATTTGAAAGCCTGTCTTTGAGCTCTGAAGTTCTTTCTTCTGCTTGTTCGATTCTATTGCTGAGGCTTTCTAGTGCATTTTACATTTTTCTAAGTGTGTCCTTGATTTTGAGAAGTTGTAATTGTTTTTTATGTATGCTACCTATTTCACTAAAGAATTTTCCTTTCATATCCGTGCCATGTTTTTGATTTCTTTACATTGGACTTCATCTTTCTCTGGTGCCTCCTTGATTAGCCTAGTAATTGACCTTCTGAATTCTTTTTCTTGCAATTCAGAGATATCATCTTGGTATGGATCCATTGCTGGTGAGCTAGGATGATCTTTTGGAGGTGTTAAAGAACCTTGTTTTGTCATATTACCAGAATTGTTTTTCTGGTTCCTTCTCATTTGGGTAGACAATGTCAGAGTGAAGATCTGGGATTCAAGTGCTGCTGTTTAGCTGTTTAGATTCTTTTTTTTTTTTTTTTTTTTTTTTTTGAGACCGAGTCTCGCTCTGTCACCCAGGCTGGAGTGCAGTCAGTGGCATGATCTTGGCTCACTGCAGCCTCCGCCTCCCGGGTTCCAGCTATTCTTCTGCCTCAGCTTCCTGGGTAGTTGAGATTACAGGCCCATGCCACCACACCCAGCTAATTTTTGTATTTTTAGTAGAGACGGGGTTTCACCATGTTGGCCAGGCTGGTCTCATGCTCCTGACCTCAGGTAATCCACCCACCTTGGCCTCCCAAAGTGCTGGGGTTACACACATGAGCCACTGTGCCTGGCTGCTGTTTGTCCCACGCGGTGCTCCCTTGATGTGGTGTTCTCCCGCTTCCCCTAGGAATGGGGCTTCCTGAAAGCTGAACTGTAGTAATTGTTTTTGCTCTTCTGGATATAGCCACCCAGTCAAGCTAGGGCTCGACTACCAGGCTCTGGGATGGTGCTGGGTTGTGTCTGCAAAGAGTCCTGTGATATGATCTATCTTCAGGTCTTGCAGCCATGGGTACTAGCACCTGCTCTGGTGGAGATAGCAGTGGAGTCAAGTGGACTCTGTGAGGGTCCTTGGTTGTGTTTTGTTTAGTGTGCTAAACACAACCAAACCTGATTGGCCTCCAGCCAGGAGGTGGTGCTTTCAAGAGTGCATCAATTGTGGTCCTATAGGGAGGATGCAAATTTGCCTTAGGGACATGTGGTTAAGTATTCAGGTTTCTTAAGTGGTGGGCAGGGTTATAGAGCTCCCAAGAGATTACGACCTTTGTCTTCAGCTATGAGGGTGGGTAGAGAAAGACCACCAGGTGGGGGCAGAGATAGGCATGTCTGAGCTCAGCCTCTCCTTGGGCGGGGCTTACTGTGGCTGCTGTGGGGAATGGGAGTGTGGTTCCCAGTCCAATGAAGCTATATTCCCAGAGGGATTATGGCTGTCTCTACGGAGTCATACAGATTGCCAGGGAAGTGGGGGAAAGCAGGAAGTTACAGGCCTCACCCCACCTCCATGCAGCCTGCAGTCCTAAAGGCTGGTCTCATTCCCACCATGCCTCCCCACCGCAGCACCAAGTCTATTTCCAGGCAGCCTGTGACCAGGGCTGAAAACTTACCTCAGACCATGAGCCTCCCTGCTGAGAAAGCAAGCAGACTCATAGATTTTTGGCATCTCGGGGAACCTGCAGCAGTGATCCAGTTCCTTCGAAGAGTCTTTGGATTCTCTTGGCTTTCCTGGTATGTTCCTGTGGTAGTTCTTGGAGCAATAGTTTATGATATGAGTCTTCACTTGCTGTTCTGTCCATTTGAGTGGGAGCTTCAAGTTAGTCTTGCCTCCTATGTGCCATCTTCATCATCTGCTTGTTTGTTCATGCAAATAGTGTTAAGCAGTTATCAGGTTAAAATAATGGGTTATAAGATAGTATTTCCAAGCCCCATGGTAATCTGAAACCAAAAAACATACAACAGATACACAAAAAATAAAAAGCAAGAAACTAAATTATATAATCAGAGGAAATCAACTGCACTAAAGGAAGACAAGAAAGAAAGAAAGACCACAAAACAACCAGAAAACAAATAACAAAATGGCAGGAATAAGTCCTTACTTATCAATAATTACATTGAATCTAAATGGACTAAGCTCACCAATCAAAAGATGTAGAGTGGCTGAATGGATTAAAAAAACAAGATCCAATGATCATTTTCCTACAATAAACACACTTCACCTATAAAGACTCACATAGACTGAAAATAATGGGATGGGAAAAGATTTTCTACGCCAAGGGAAACCAAACAAGAGCAGAAGTCACTATACTTATATCAGACAAAATGGATTTCAAGACAAAAACTCTAAGAAGGGACAAAAAAGGTGTATTAGTCTGTTTTTACTCTGCTAATAAAGACATACCCAAGACTGGGCAATTTACAAAAGGTTTAATGTACTTACATTTCCACGTGGCTGGGGAAGCTTCACAATCATGGCAGAAGGCAAGGAGGATCAAGTCACGTCTTACATGGATGGCAGCAGGCAAAGAGAGAAAGCTTGTGTAGGGGAACTCCACTTTTTAAAGCCATCATATCTTGTGAGACTTATTCACTATCATGAGAACAGCACAGGAAAGACTTGTCCCCATGTTTCAATTACCTCCCACCGGGTCCCTCCCATAGCACATGGGAATTCAAGATGAGATTTTGGTGGGGACTCAGCCAAACTATATCATTCTACTCCGGGCCCTTCCCAAATCTCACATTCTCACATTTCAAAACCAATCATGCCTTCCCAACAGTCCCCAAAAGTCTTAACTCATTTCAACATTAACTCAAAAGTCCACAGTCCAAAGTCTCATCTGAGACAAGGCAAGTCCCTTCCATCTATGAGCCTGTAAAATCGAAAGCAGGTTAGTTACTTCCTAGATATAGTGGGAGTACAGGCATTGGATAAATACAGCCATTCCAAATGAGAGAAATTGGCTGAAACAAAGGGGCTATAGGCCCCATGCAAGTCCGAAATCCAGTGGAGCAGTCAAATCTTAAAGCTCCAAAATGATCTCCTTGGCTCCATGTCTCACATCCAGGTCAATCTGATGCAAGAGATGGGCTCCCACAGCCTTGGACAGCTCCACTTCTGTGGCTTTGCAGGGTATAGCCCCCCTCCTGGCTGTTATCATAAGCTGATGTTGAGTGTCTGTGGCTTTTCTAGGCACTGGATATAAGCTGTCAGTGGATCTACTATTCTGGGGTCTGAAGGATGGTGGCCCTCTTCTCACAGCTCCACTAGGTGGTGCCCCAGTAAGGACTCTGTATGGGGGCTCCTACACCACATTTCCCTCTGCACTGCCCTAGCAGAGGTTCTCCATAAGGGCCCCGCCCCTGCAGCAAACTTTTGCCTGGGCATCCAGGCATTTCTATACATCTTCTAAAATCTAGGCGGAGGTTCCCAAACCTCAATTCTTGACTTCTGTATGCTCACAGACTCTACCACATGGAAGCTGCCAAGGCTTGGGGCTTCCACTGTCGGAAGCAACAGTCCGAGCTGTACCTTGGGCCCTTTTAGTCATGGCTAGAGTGGCTGGGATTCAAGGCACCAAGTTTTTAGGCTGCACACAGAAGAGGAACCCTGGGCCTGGCCCATGAAACCATTTTTCCTCCTAAACCTTTGGGCCTGTGATAAGAGGGGCTGCCACAAAGATCTCTGACATGCCCTGGTGACATTTTCCCCATTGTCTTGGTGATTAAAATTCAGCTCCTTGTTACTTACGCAAATTTCTGCAGCTGGGTTGAATTTCTCCTCAGAAAATGGGGTTTTCTTTTCTATTGCATTGTCAGGCTGATAATTTTCCAAACTTTTGTGTTCTGCTTCCCTTTTAAAATGGAATGCCTTTAACAGCACCCAAGTCACCTGTTGAATGCTTTGCTGCTTAGAAATTTCTTCCACCAGATACCCTAAATCATCTCTCTCGAGGTCAAAGTTCCACAAATCTTTAGGGCAGGGGCAAAATGCCTCCAATCTCTTTGCTAACACATAACAAGAGTCACCTTTGCTTCAGTTCCCAACAAGTTCCTCATCTCCATCTGATACCACCTCAGCCTGGACCTTATTGTTCATATCACTATCAGCAAGTTCCAAACTATCCCACATTTTCCTGTCTTCTTCCGAGCCCTCCAAACTGTCCCAATCTCTGCCTGTTACCCAGTTCCAAAGTCACTTCCACATTTTTGGGTACATTTTCAGCAACACCCCACTCTACTGGTACCAATTTACTGTATTAGCCTGTTTTGACACTACTAATAAAGACATACCTGGCCCGGCACAGTGGGTCACACCTGTATCCCAGCACTTTGGGAGGCTGAGACGGGTGGATCATGAGGTCAGGAGATCAAGACCATCCTGGCTAACATGGTAAAACCCCATCTCGACTAAAAAAAAAAAATACAAAAAGTTAGCTGGGTGTGGTGGTGGGTGCCTGTAGCCCCAGCTACTTGGGAGGCTGAGGCAGACGAATGGCATGAACCTGGGAGGCGGAGCTTGCAGCGAGCTGAGATCACGCCACTGCACTCTAGCTTGGGCGACAGAGTGAGACTCTGTCTCAAAAAAAAAAAAAAAAAAAAAAGACATACCCAAGACTGGGCAATTTACAAAAGAAAGAGGTTTAATGGATTTACAGTTCCATGTGGCTGGGGAAGCCTCACAATCATGGTAGAAGGCAAGGAGGATCAAATCATGTCTTACATGGATGGCAGCAGGCAAACAGAGAGGGCTTGCACAGGGGAACTCCTCTTTTTAAAACCATCCAATCTGGTGGATTCACTATCATGAGAACAGCATGGGAAAGACTTGCCCCCTATGATTCAATTACTTCCCACTGGGTCCTTCCCACAACACGTGGGAATTCAAAATGAGATTTGGGTGGGGACACAGCCAAACCATATCAGAAGGCACCTATATAATGATAAGGGAGTCAATTCAGCCAGAGGATATAGAAATTTTAAATATATATGCACCCAACACTGGATCACCCAGATGCATAAAGCAAATACTATTAGAGCTAAAGAGAGAGATAGGCCCCAGAACAACAATAGCTGGAGACTTCAACACCCCACTTTCTGTACCAGACAGATCTTCCAAACAGAAAATCAACAAGGAAACATTGGACTTAATCTGCACTATAGACCCAATGAATCTAACAGATATTTATAGAATATTTCATCTGATGGCTGCAGAATACAAATTCTTTTCCTCAGCACATGGATCATTCCTCAGCAGATGGATCATTTTCATGGATCATTTGTTTTGTGACCATATGTTAGGTCACAGAACAAATCCTAAAACATTAAAAAATTGGAATAATATCAAGCATCTTCTCTGACCACAATGGAATAAAACTAGAAATAAATAATAAGAGGAATTTTGGAAACTATACAAATACATATAGATTAAACAATGTACTTCTGAATGACCAGTGAGTCGATGAAGAATTTAAGAAGGAAATTGAAAAATTTCTTGAAACAAATGATAATGGAAACACGACATACCAAAACCTATGGGATACCGCAAAAGCAGTAGTAAGAGGGAATTTTATAGCTGTAAGTGCCTACATCAAAAAAGGACAAAAACAAATCTGTTGAAATTTATTTGCCATTGTAATAGTATTAAGAGGTGGGACCCTTGAGAGATGATTAGGCCATGAGGGCTGTACCCTCATTCGTGGGATTAATGTCATTATAGAAGTTTGAATTTGGCACCCTTTCGCTTCTTTACCCTTCTGCCTTCCACCATGAGATGATACAGCAGGACCCTTTCAAGATGCCAGTGCCTTGATATTGGATTTCCCAGCCTCCAGAACTCTAAGCCAATAAATTTCTATTCTTTATAAATTACCCAGTCTATGGTACCTTGTTATAGCAGCACAAATGGATTAAGACAATGTATAAATATAGAAGAAGGAACCATCTTGGGGTGGGAGTAAAAAAAAGGAGGAAAGGGGAGAAGATGGGCCACGTCTTTTACATGATGAATTTAAGTTGCCTGTAGGATGGACAAGTGTGGATCCAGGATGTAGTTGGATATCAAAGCTCAGAAGAATGATCTGAACTAGAAATACAGATTTTAGAATTATTAACAAATAAAAACATAATCAAAGACAGAGATTGGAGCAGCAATACTTCCAGAGAGAGGGTAAATATCAGAAAAGTAGGAAGCTTAGCGTGTGAAATAAATCATTTTAAGATGAGATGAAGAGAGGGGTGCCATTTTCAAACTGAAGAAGTAGCCAGGAAGGAAAGGAGAAAATGAGAAGAGAGGCCAAAGGGACAAGAGCATCAAAGGATGGTGCTCAGGGGTCAAGAAGGATATGGAATGAAAATGTCTCTCAGACTTGACGTCAAGCAAGTGTCAAGACAATTGACTTGACGACTGTTGCTTATATTAGGTAGAATAGCTTCATTACTGTTCCAGAGAGAGATTCTTACTTGATCCTTAGTTTGCATTCAAACAAATAAATTTTCATTTCAGTAAATATTTCTTGAATGCCTAGTCTGTCCTAGGCACTGGGGCTCCAAAGTATAGAACTCTGGCCTTAAGGAATTTACTGCTTCTCAATAAGCTTTTCCAGGGCAGGAATGTACTCTTCTGTCTTCTGAACTGTCCTCAGGACTGGCCAAGAACAGGTGCACAGATGCAGGCACTTGGGATGCAAATACATGTTTATTGTATGAACTGATTCTCTGATCTTCTAGAGTATTCTGTCTGTTGGGTGAGACACAAATAATTAAACTGTACTACTAAATTTTAAGTACCCTAATAGAAGTTTTGAGAACTTCTCTTGTCATGTGAGAATATGGAGAATGTCATATGGAGAACATTCATTGAGTGAGCTTCCAGTATATACCAACAAAAACTAACAGTGTGACTTATATATCGTGCTTCTCTTTTGGGGAATCAGCTCCAGCTTGTGAGTACAGGCTATTGGGATATAGGGCATAACCATGTGGGAGTAGACTGGCTTCTCATGGCTGCTCTCTAGTTAGGGTGTGGGAGTACATTCCTTTAACATCGTTTGAGTTTTAGAAGAAAAAACACTTTACAGAGTGAGATGGGTTGAGGGTGGTTATCAAGGCTAGGTGGCACTGTGCAGTATGAAGTCCAAATGCAGCTGGTAAGTTTCCATTGCCTCACTGCTACATTTCGAAGTTAAACTGCCTCTTTGGGAAACAGACGTTACTTTGCTTAGAGTGAAGCTGGAGGAGATAGACTTCGTCAGGACCTAACTAGTAGGCAAAGTGTGCAGACTCCAAGTTCTAGAAAGCAGGTGTTGGTGTGAAGTGGCAGAGGAGGTACAGAATCTCACTGAATAGGTTTGGCTGTTTGCACCAGGTTTAGATTTACAAGTGTTTTTCTCTTAGAGAGCATCTGGAGGAGAATCCTACTGTGTGAAAGTCACTCTAAATATTTCAGACTGAACAGCCTGTGACTGGCCTGGGAAGCCATACTTGCTCTTTGGCAAGTTCGGAGGTTGTTCCTGGGCCCTTTTTGCTGGGATAGGATGGCTGGCTATGAAGCCCATAGTCGTTTCTGCCATGTACAAAAACACTACATCTTTGGGTTGAAATAGCAGCATATGAGTATCTTTATACACAATCACTCTGTTTCTTTGAAGGGGAAATCATTCAATGTATGCCAAAACACAAATTTGGAAGGCGATTTGATCTAACACATAGAATGTTTACGAAATTTATTTCCATATATCTGGAGATCAAAGATGCATATAATGCTCTACTCTCAAGAAAAACCATAGCTTGGTCATGGAGATGATATGTAAAATAAGTAAGTCTAGTCCAATGAGTACATAAGGTATTTCTTGTTGTTGTTTGTTTTTTTTTGGAGACAGAGTCTCACTCTGTCACCGAGGCTGGAGTGCAGTGGCGTGATCTCGGCTCACTGCAACCTCTGCCTCCTGGGTTCAAGCAATTCTTGTGCCTTGGCCTCCCAAGTAGCTGGGATTACAAGTGTGTGCCACTACTCCTGGCTAATTTTTTGTATTTTTAGTAGAGACAGGGTTTCACCATGTTGCCCAGGCTGGTCTTGAACTCCTGAGTTCAGGCAATCCACCCACCTCAGCCTCCCAAAGTGCTAGGATTACAGTTGTTAGCCACTGCACCCAGCCCCAATGAGTACATAAGGTATTTTGGAAAACTAAGAGAGCAGTTGCTGCTTCTGTGGACTGTATTTCGGGAGAAGGCAGTCAGAGGGAGCACAGAGAGGAGGTGGCATCTCAGTGTTGGCCTTGAAGGATGAGCAGAGACTCACGGCAGGTGGCGGCACTGGAAAGAAGCACACTAAGAGGCACTGAAAACTGATGATGCGGCCGGGCATGGTGGCTCACGCCTGTAATCCCAGCACTTTGGGAGGCCGAGGCGGGTGGATCACGAGGTCAGGGGATCAAGACCATCCTGGCTGACACAGTGAAACCCCGTCTCTACTAAAAATACGAAAAATTAGCCGGGCATGGTGGCGGGTGCCTGTAGTCCCAGCTACTCGGGAGGCTGAGGCAGGAGAATGGCGTGAACCTGGGAGGCGGAGCTTGCAGTGAGCCGAGATCACGCCACTGCACTCCAGCCTGGGTGACAGAGCGAGATTCCATCTTAATTAAAAACTGATGATGCCCAAATAGGACTGAAGTAGGCATAAAAAGTCCTCCTCTCTGTAGGCAGGTCATCCGTTGAGCGTTCAGCTCTTAGCAGAGAGGAGCCCCTGGAAAGGGTGGCTCCTCTCCACAGGCAAGTCATTTGAAAGTCTCTGCAAGTCTCTGAAGCTTTCAGCAGAGAGGGTAGCTCCTCTCTGCAGCTGGCCGTCTCATTGTCTCCAGCTGTCAGCAGGG
Source organism: Homo sapiens (assembly GCF_000001405.40). Lineage (NCBI taxonomy): Eukaryota > Metazoa > Chordata > Mammalia > Primates > Hominidae > Homo > Homo sapiens. The sequence goes on from NC_000015.10 coordinate 45,829,215, forward strand.
AGGATACTCCATTCCGCACCTGGTCGTCCTGTCCTGTAGTCTCTCTGCCTTCTTCATCCTCTGGCTAAGCCCAGGGCTTTTATGGACCTCAGAGGGAAGGAAGTGCATGCGGATTGGTCCATGGGTGGCCATAGGTGGGTTGGAAGAGGCACCAGGAGTCCCCACTCCGGTTAGCAGGACTGGTAGTCCAGCCCACAGCCTTCAGGCCCTCCCTGGCCTGAAAGTGGGGCCTTACTGGGGACCCCGCCCCCTTCCACCCAGGACTCTGTCTGCCTCTGACTGCCATTCATGGCCCTGGGGCTTGGCCCCAACCCCGCTCTGAGAATGGAGCAGGTGCTAGGAGCAGAGAGAGGCCAGGCAGTAGGAGCAGACACCCCTGAGCCTGCAGGGACTGGGAGGCGGGGGTTCCTCCCTGGGGCACTGGAGGGTGCAGGCTGCAGAGACGCCCCAGTCCTGTGCCTGGGAGGGTGGGCGCAGCTGCACCCGGGAGCTTCTGCCTGGCCAGCTCGGAAGGGGCAGGGCTCCTGCTTGTTCCCGGCTCTGCCAGCTTCCTGGAGCTGGAGGCCCAGATCTGCAGGCTGCAGGCGCTGCAGCTGCAGCTGCACCTGAGAGGGCAGATCCTGCCTGTTCCCAGCGCCCCCAAGAGCACAGGGAGGCTGGGATCCACAGCTGCAGGTTAGGCGGTTGCTACCTTCTCCCTAGAGCAGGAGGCCTGGGTCTGCAGCTGAAGTTTGAACAGCTGCAGTGGCATGAGCTCCGGTCCCAACTCAGAAGGGGCGGGGCTCCCACTGGCTCCAGGGAGTGGCGTGATGACAGCAACCACTACCATGAATACCATTGGCAAAGTAATATGGGGCAAAACCTCCCCTCTTAGTCCATGGACACCACATATTGAACCCAAGGTTGGTTCCAGCTCAACTGTGGTTACTTTAAGGAGGATTCTGGTCAATTAAATCCAACTCAAGAAATGTTTATTGAATCTACACTATCTGTGAGGCCCAAAGAAAATCGCAGCCTTCATTTCAGGACCAGCATGGAAATTGCTATGACTTTGTGTTTGTGTTGGGGCAGACTTGAAAATTCTGCATGTGCTGTGTGCTGATATCCAACCCAGAATGATGCTTATCATAGTATGCTTTGTTTGTAGAAGCATATAATTGACATATCGTTGAATTTCTGTGAAGCTAATGTGGGTTAAATAATGACAGCCTTTTCCAGGTGCCTGGCTCATCTCTGTGCTTTTGCATTCCTGAGGGGATTCTGTCCACACTGGGTGCTGTGCTGGCTGTTGTGAGTGGCACAAAGCATTCAGACAGAGTTGCTGGTGGGTCTCCTTCCACCTAAGAGTCACCGTCAAGCAGTTGCCCCCTGGCTAAACGTGCAGAGATCAATAGCATTTTGTCTGTTAAGGATCAGAATTTGCTTCTGTTTGTTTCTGTCATGTTTATTTACGACTCTAGGAGCTCACCTATTTGTTTTTCTCTCAGCCAAATCTTGGTGCTATTCTGCTTTTCTTGAGGACATAGCTTAGAATGCTAACTGGGTAGTATTAAAGCCAAGGACCATTAGGAACACACCTGGAGTAAAAACAAAAAGTTAGGTTAACGGGGCTTGCAGTAGCAAGGAAGGACACACCAGAGATTAACTGTGGGGGGCCCCCTTACAGGATTCAGGCTTATGCTGGATGATTTTCACGAGGGGTTAGGAGAGCAGAGGCTGGTTTCGGGTTGTGTTGTGTCAAGAGGGAGGGTCAACTTGGTGACCAGGTATCTTAATACATTTTATCAAAGAGGCTGATGGATTAAAGCTGGGCTAGGAGAAGTCACTTGTGTTAGTCAGAAGAGGGGATGTTTTGTGATTGTTGAGGTTGTGGAGTGGCCATGTCTCTGTCTTTTTCCAAACGTAGCAGCAGTGGCCTTGTGTGAGCATTGTTCAGATTCACTGTTTATGTTCAGTTGGGAACATCATTGTTTGGCTGCTGGTGGGGCCATTTTTAATGTTCTTAGTAGCTTCCTCATTTGTAAAATGAGAGGACTGCATAAGAACAGTGGTTTCAAACTGCTCCCCAAAGGTCTAGGAGCTTTGGGGGCCGCTGTAGATACTACGGGGAGGCAGAGTGTGCAGGGCTCTTGGCCCTCTTGACCTCCTCTCAACAGAGCAGGTATGCTTTTCCAGTTTTACATTTTGGGGTTCTGTGTTAAACCACATTTTATTTTTTTAACCTTTATTTTAGAATTGGGGGTACATGTGCAAGTTTGTTACATGGGTATATTGTGTGATGCTGAGGTTTGGGATACAAATGAAACCACCACCCAGATAGTGAGCATAGCACTCGATAGGTAGGTTGTTTCCAACCCGTCCTCCTCTCCTTTCCTCCCCTCTCTTGTATTCCTCAATGTCTATTGTTCCCACTTTTACATCCATGTGTACCCACTTATAAATGAGAACACGTGGCATTTGGTTTTCTGTTTCCATGTTAGTTTGGTTAAGATAATGGTTTCCAGCTGCATCCATGTTGGGGCAAAGGACATGACTTCATTCTTTTTTATTGCTGTGTAATATTCCATGGTGTATATGTACCACATTTTCTTTATTCAATCCACTAACATTGATGGGCATTTAGGTTGATTTCATGTCTTTGCCATTGGGAATAGTGCTGCAATGAACATACGGGCACTTTTTTTTTTTTTTGGTAGAACTATTTATTTTCCTTGGGGCGTATACCCACGTAGAAGGACATTGTTGCATTGCTATAAAGAAATACTGGCATGATGCCAGCATCTGCTCAGCTTCCGGGGAGGCCTCAGAGAGTTTTTACTCATAGCAGAAGGTGAAGTGGGAGCAGACACATCACATGGCAAGAGCAGGAGTGAGGGAGAGAGGAGGAAGTGCCATACTCTTTTAAACATCCAGATCTCACGTGAACTCAGTGAATCACCACGGGGATGGTGCTAAGGCATCCATGAGGGATCCGCCCCCATGACCCAATCACCTCCCAGCAGGCCCCACCTCCAATACTGGGGATCACATTTCAACATGAGATTTGGGTGGGACAAATATCCAAACCATATCAGCCCAATAGGGGTTGCTGGGTTGAATCAGTTCTTTGAGAAATTTCCAAATTGCTCTCCACAGAGGCTGAACTAATCTTCATTCATATCAATACTGTATGTGTTCTCTTTTCTCCAAAGCCTTGTCAATATGTTATTTTTTGACTTTTTAACAAAAGCCGTTCTGACTGGTGTAAGATGGTATCTCATTGTAAACCACATTTTCGGCACACATTCTTTCGCTATAGAGGAGCTTAAAAATTGCTGAACTGGATAAGCTCTAGGTCTCTCTATTGCTTCCTGGCACAGGGAGGTAAAATAATTTGTCCCAAATGTATAGAGCTAATTAGATTCAGTGGCTTAAGTTTGAACCTCAGCTTTGCCATCAATTTCAGAATTTTGCTCATTTTGTTTACTTTTTCCCACTGTGTCAGGATTCCAGCATGCTGGGTCTAAAGGGCTGATGGGACACACTGTAAATTCATTTGAATGAGGCTCCCAGAAGCCTCATGAAAAATATTTTATCTTAATAAGTGAGACGCATATAAGTTTGGCTTGACTGAGCAGGAGGACAAAAATGAGAAAAAACTAGTAATGGGACCCATTTTTACCATCCAGAAGGTGAGGTCTGGGGCATCATGATCTTCATATTATTCCATGATTGATCAACTATGCAGTAGGAACAAGATGGCACAGATTAAACTAGGTTCTTATTTACTATACAATTCTTTTGGGGATAACTGTGCTTCCATTAATTTTATGAGACTTATCCTTGTATGTTTGTATCAGTAGCTATTTGCTTATTAGATGTTTATTTTCCATTTTGTCTCCACTGTGGCAATGTGGGTGCTGGAATTCTCCCTTTCTCCTAGAGGTACATTCTCAGCACATGTTGACTCTGTGCATCTGTTTAGCTGTTTGGGGTCCATAAGTTTTGTGGTTATAATTTATGTGTCTATAATAATTACTAATCAGAATAGCAGTTGATTCAATGCTCAAATCTTAATTTAGACTTTGAGTTGACAGTGATGTGCTAGAATTTACAGTAATGATGTTGAGTGATTCTGCTTTGTCTGAGGATTTAATAGTTGCTATTACCTCCACATGGCACCCTTTGTTCCTTCAGCTATGAGATGCCAGACCTTTGAATGGCTATATGAACTCAAGGGAACAAGGGATAAACTATTAAGACTAGAGAGAACTCTGCCCCTAGAATTAATTCTTTGGGTTTTTGATTGAATCAATTTACCAGAAGGAAGCATCACATGTAAACAGATCAGGAGAAGGTTGCTCAGTAAACCGAGCAAGGAAAATTGGACATTATTAAGCTGTGTTTCTCAATGAGGCATTTGGAGAATCGCTTTGTGAACAATAGATGTTAGTCTACATCAAACTACAGCAAACCATGTTATATGTTCTGAATCTATCTTCCTGCCAGTTTTGTATGTCCCCTGGGCTAAGAATGGTGTTTAGATTTTTAAATCATTGAAAAAAAATCAAAAGAAGAATAATATTTCATGAGATGTGAAAATTATGCAAAATCCAAATTTCAATGTCCATAAAAAGGTTTTATTAGAACATAGCCACACTCTTTCATTTCCGTATTGTCTGTGGCTGTTTTGTGTTATAATGGTAGAACTGAGTAGTTAAAAAAGAAACCTAATAAACCGCAAAGGTTAAAATGTTTACCCTCTGGCCCTTTATAGAACTGGTTAGCCAACACTTGGTCTGTATGATAGTGTTGCACAAGGAAAAAGTTAAGAATCTCTGCTCTCGGCTGGGCACAGGCCTGTAATCCCAGCACTTTGGGAAGCCGAGGTGGGTGGATCACCTGAGGTCAGGAGACCAGCCTGGCCAACATGGGAAAACCCCATCTCTACTAAAAATACGAAAATGAGCCAGGCGTGATGGTGCATGCCTGTAATCCCAGCTACTTGGGAGGCTGAGGCAGGGGAATCATTTGAACCCGGGAGGTAGAGGTTGATATTGCACCACTGCACTCCAGCCTGGGTGACAGATTGAGACTCCATCTCAAAAAAAAAAAGGAACCTCTGCTCTTAATAAATAATCTCATTGAATTATGATTGCTTGCTAGTGAATACGTATTCACTTATTCTAATAATTTTCTCAGGGCTAGTATTTTGGAGTCAGCATATTTTGTCTTATAGATAGGTCCAGGGTGGGCCTTAATCTTCTTTCCTTCCACTTATTTTTTGTTTAGAGGCACACTTTCCAATTATGGCATTGGTGGTTACCATTTGTGTGAAAAATGTTGTATTCCATATTGCAGTTATTCATTTTTCTTCTTGTGGATGTTTTGCACATACCCAGGTTTATGTGTGTTAACGTAGCTCTTAGGTACTAGGGAAGTGAGGGTGTTTAGGCTTAAAGGTATTGGTGTTCAAGGAAGGAATGCTCAAAAGAAAGACTGAACACAAGAATGCAGAGTTCTAAGGGGCCAGAGAAAGGAGACAGAAGTCCTAATAGAGTCACGGTGATAATTTGTTGGCAACTGCAGATCAGAAAAATGCTGCTATTGAGATTTCAGAGAACTGCTTAGGTTGCAGTTTACATTGCAATGGGGATGGAAGCTGAAGTAACTGGGCAAAAATTGCCTTATTTTTTTCCACTTTCCAGATCAGTGAAAGATAAAATGATTTAATCTTTGATTCAGGGTAGACACAGAGAAGAGAATCTGAGTTCTGGAAGAGTAAGGCTAACGTGCGTGCAGTCTGTTACAAGTTACCAACTAAATTTCCAGATGAGCCAACTCCTCCCAGGACAAAGAATTGTAGGTTGAGGGGCATATATTGCATTGGCGGGCTCATTGCATCTGTTTTCTCAATCATGCTTGTTACTTACTGTGGAATATGGATTGTTATGGTGATGTGAGGATGGAAGCCATCTGCCCTGCAGAATCTTGGGAAATTTTATGGACCCCATAATGTTGGCAACAAGGAAGGAGCAGAGGATGTGGCATCTGAAGACCAGCTCAAAAGAGTAAACTTTTACCAAAGCTTATGCACATTCCACTCCTCTCTTCATGGCATTCTTTCAGAGCATCCTCCTACTTTCATGCTTTTGTGTCCTCTCTAAAAATCCCATGGAGTAAGAGACTTCTGCCCAGTAAGACTGATGACCAGTGTACTGACACCAATTCCATGAGTACCACCATCTTAAGCCTACCCCAGTGTTTCAACTTTGAACCTCTGGTTGGCAGAGTGAATACAGTATCCCGTATGTCACCAACTTTGTAGCAAGTAGGCTCTATATTTTCAGTACAATGCTAAGGAACTTATTAGCATTTGCCTCTCCACTTAGGGGGAATACAGAGTTTCACACTCTCCAGTTCACCTTCACAGAAGAGTAGATTTAATAATAATAATAAAAAAAAACTTGGTGAGACTCTCTGCCACACTGTCTTCTGGTGATATATGCTAATCATAGGCATGAAGACATTGTGACCTGTTTTGTAAGTTTAGTTAGTTTCCTGATCTCCCTGCCATTAACAAGGCTTTCTTGTTACTAGAAATTTTGAAGAAAAAGAAACATTAAAAATTAAATCATAGAAATAGAAGATAATATAGGTCAATACAGCATGTCCTTGAATAGTCATTTTGTTACAATGCTGATGAGATAAAAAATCGATTCCTGGCTGGAGCCATTATCTGTGTGGAGTTTGCACATTCTCCCCATGTCTGCTAGATTTTTCTCCAGATAGTTCGGTTTCCTCCCACATCCCAAAGATATGAATATTAGGTTAATTGGCACGTCTATGTTGTCCCAGTCTGAGCGATCGTGGCTGTGTGTGAGTGCACCCTATGATGGAATGGCGTCCTGTCCAGGGTAGGTTCCTGCCTTGAATCCTGGACTCTTGGGATAGGCTCCAGCCACTCAAAACCCTGATAAGTGGGTAAATAATTACCTTACTTTTTAAAAATTTAATTAATTAATTAATTAATTAATTAATTAATTTATTTTGAGATGGAGTCTCGTTCTGTTGCCAGGCTGGAGTGCAGTGGCGCGATCTCGGCTCATTGCAACCTCCCTCTTCCGGGTTCAAGTGATTCTCCTGCCTCAGCCTCCCGAGTAGCTGGGACTACAGGCGCGTGCCACCACACCCGGCTAATTTTTGTACTTTTTAGTAGAGACAGGGTTTCACCATGTTGGCCAGAATGGTCTCGATCTCTTGACCTTGTGATCTGCCCGCCTCGGCCTCCCAAAGTGCTGGTATTACAGGCGTGAGCCACCGTGCCCAGCCCTTACTTTTTTTTTTTTTATTAATCTTTCTTAAATATATGTATAGCTCACATTTCTTTCTTTCTTTTCTTTTCTTTTCCTTCCTTCTTTTTTTTTTTTTTTTTTTTTTCCCAGAGTCTCACTCTGTCACCCAGGCTGGAGTGCAGTGGCGTGATCTCGGCTCACTGCGAGCTCTGCCTCACCGGTTCACGCCATTCTCCTGCTTCAGCCTCCAGAGTAGCTGGGACTACAGGCGCCCGCCACCACGCCCGGCTGATTTTTTGTATTTTTAGTAGAGACAAGGTTTTATCGTGTTAGACAGGATAGTCTTGATCTTCTGACCTTGTGATCCACCCAGCTTGGCCTCCCAAAGTGCTGGGATTACAGGCGAGCTCACATTTATTTCAATGTTTAATCTTAGAAGTGTTTCGGGTCTTAGAAGTTTGGTGATGTTTTCGTGACCAGAAGTATACCATAGGAACTGAACTTTTGTTTATATCAATTAGCCTATGGTAAAATTGGGTTTGACATACATTGTGCCACTTAAAGTCACAGTTTCCAAGAACCTATCAAGGGATGTTAAGTGAGGACTTACTGTATTTGTCTTATCACAGAGTAGGGAAGGACTTTCTAAGCATGAATGCAAAGACGGAAACTACAAAAAAATCTGAACACTTGTTCTAAAACAGAGTTTCTCAATTATTCCTATTTTGGGCTAAATCATTCTTTGTTGTGGGGGCCTGAGCATTGTAGAATGCTTAGCATCATTCCTGGTGCCTGCTTCTTAGATGTTAATAGCAGCCCCCCACTCATGACAATCAAAAATGTTTCCAGATGTTGTCAAAGTTTCCCTAGGGGGCAATATCGCCACTGGCTAGGAACCACTGTTCTAGAATGATTGTTCTGTATGCAAGGGGGAAATAAAAAGCCATCTCAAATTCAAGTTGTGGGCTTGAATCATATACTTACATGGGGCCTCATCTTGGAAATATAAAATTCCAAGGAACCAAAGCAGATAAAGGGCCTACTTTGGTTTCTGTGTCTACCTGATAGGGTTTGTGGGCTTTCTTTCAGGGCAGCACTGCCTCTATCCTCACATTTATCCTTTATCTTCTCTGTGGTCGCTTGTTTCCTCTGTTTGTTTCTGATCATGCCTCCCTCTGCTTGCACATTCCTTTGGCTTGCCAACTCTTTTTCATGGAATCTATTACTTTCAGATCTGGCCCTACTTGCTAGCTGTGAGAGACAGAAATTTATCTCCATGTATAATCACATCTCTGCTATTATGTTGGGCTGTGCGATAGGCATAGGCTGCAGGTCACGCTATGGAGAAGCTGTCTGTGGGCCAAGTGCATGCCCCTCATCCACCAGTTGTGACCCGTAAGGAAGGGGTGTCATTGGTGTAAAGCACCAGTGCTTGGCAGCAGGAGCCATTGACTGCAGATTCACTCAGAAGAAAGTGGGGACAGGTGGGTGCTGACTGAGATCTCTAAACCAAAGAAAAAAATCTAAAAGTTCCATCTATCCAGAAGGAATTCCCATAAGCATAACTAATCTAAATGAAATAAACTGGGTAGAAGATTCAACATGCAGCATGGGATTAATATAAAAGTGATTTTACAAATCAGTATATAAAATGGTGAATATCTCAAGAAGACAATGTATCAAGGGCAGGAAGGAGCAAAACCACAAAACAAGAATTACAGTGGCCACAAATATTGGAATAAATACTCAGACGCATGAAGTATAAAAGAAGCGCAAGTTATTACAAAGCAAATATAAAATTTTGCCTTTCACATTGGTGAAACATTAAAAAATAGTAATTGTTCGTTCATTCTTAGTGAGAGACTAGCAAAATTCTCATTCTGGTACTGAAAGGAAAATTGCTGATATTATTAAAAATCAGGTCAGCAAGTTTTTGGGTGTAATCTGGCAATAGAGATGAAAGCACCAAAAATGTTCATACCTTTTGAGTCAATAATTCCCTCTAGAAATTTACTCTAAATAAATATTCAGAGCTGTGAGTAAAGAATTATATATGAAGATGAAATATTAATCAATGGATGTTTTATTCTAACAAAAGATTGGAATTAACTTAAATATCCAAAAGGGGATTGATTAAAGGTGTTTTAAAAATATATTTCATGGCATAGGAAAGGTTCAGAATATTATGTTTAGTGAAATTAACAGGTTACAAAGCTATTTCTAGTATAATTTAAATTTTGCATGTATTTACAGAGATACACACACAAAATTAAAATTAGGAAGAAATATATCAAGTATTTAATAGTGTTATCTAAAGTTGGTTGTATGACTGATTTTTATCTTCTTTTAACTTTTATGTTTTCTCTAAACTTTCTACAAGAGTCCATTACTTATAAATATATACTCTATTTAATTTTTATTAAAATTTTTTTTTTGGGGATGAAGTCTTGCTCTGTCTCCCAGGCTATATATAGTACAATGGCACCATCTCAGCTCACTGTAACCTCTGCCTCCCACGTTCAAGTGATTCTTCAGCTTCAGCCTCCCAAAGAGCTGGAATAACAGGTGCGTGCCACCATACCTAGCTAATTTTTGTATTTTTTAGTAGAAATGGGGTTTCACCATGTTGGCCAGGCTGGTGTCAAAACTCCTGACCTCAGGTGACCTGCCTTGGCCTCCTGGGGTGCTGAGATTACAGGCATGAGCCACTGCACCCGGCCTATAAATATGTATTTTTAAAAGTTTAGGCCAGGCGCGGTGGCTCATGCCTGTAATCCCAGCACTTTGGGAGGCCGAGGCAGGCGGATCACCTGACGTCTGGAGTTCGAGACCAGCCTGGCCAACATGGCGAAACCCCGTCTCTACTAAAAATACAAAAATTAGCCGGGCGTGGTGGCAAGCGCCTGTAATCCCAGCTACTCGGGAGGCTGAGGCGGGAGAATTGCTAGAACCCGGGAGGCAGAGGTTGCAATGAGCCGAGATTGCACCTTTGCACTCCAGCCTGGGGGACAAGAGTGAGACTTTGTCTGAAAAAAAAAAAAAAAGCTTAAAAGATGCACTCTTCACAAAGAATAAGTTTTAAAATGGCTTATACGCTATCTTCTGAGAAGCCCCCCGAAAGTGAGAATTTGTTATTGTCCAGGGCCCAGCCTTTCAGACTGAGAATCCCATTTTTTTTCCCAGCTCACTAAATGCAGAAAAATTTATCAGGGGGCAGACTCACATTTAACCAAGCTTATAGAGACTGATGTATAAAACCAGAACACCAGTGAATTAATTTGCAATAAGAAATAGAACTGTAGAAAGAGCCAAACACTTGTGTTGTCTGTAGCTTATTGTGTGGAAAACTACATTATAAATAATACTGTCTTGTGAGTAGGGAATCAGAATTAAGAGTGTTAATTATAAGACTTTAATGTTTCATTGCATCAAGTTTTAATTGCATGAGGCAGTTTGGTCCATAGTAGGAAATGACATGCCACCAGGCCTAGATAAGTAGAGTCTTACTATCTGAACTGAGACTCAAGAGGTATTGCCAAAGTTTGTCTTGAAATATATTTTTTAAACTTTCATTGACTTTGTGATGGTCACCTTTCTTTGTGTGCAGTGTCTCAGGTAAGGTTCATATTGGCATACACACACACCTGTACACATTCTAAAGTAAATCATATTATCAATTTTTTTAATAAAGGATACAAAAATTAGCTAGAGGGAGAGTCAGGCCACGCAGAGTCAGAGCATACACTCTGTTTCTCAACCCAGCTTCCCCAGACCTTGCAACCCCCAGTGGGAGGATGTGTGGCTAGCAGTGATGTTGTCCACCAAAAGTGGGTCTTCCCAGATCTGCGAAGCGTAATTTTCAGTTGCAACACCATCCTCTTTATACTTGAGGCTTATATATATCATACGTGTGTGTGTGTATAATGGGGAAAAAAACCACAAATGAAGCAAACTGTCTGTTTTCTTCTACTGTACTCGATACTCATCACAACACAGAACACTCTGGTCACCAAAATGTGTGTGTGTTTTTTTCCCCCAAATATCCTGACCAGTTCTCCAGCAGACACCAACTGGATGTCCTGTAATTCAATTCAATTCTGACACTATCTACCTGGAGTTAAAAGTCAGATCCCACAGGTTAAGGGCTCAGTCCCACAAGACTGCCCCCCATTTCAGACGCCAGTCATAAGCCCAGACCTTTGGTAATTCTGACCAATTGGCTATAAACTGGGGGAGGGATCTTGTAACCCTCTCTTTGGGATTGATCATTTGCCGCAATGGCTCACAGAACTCTGGGAAACATGTATATTTTCTGGCTTATTACTTAATCAAGGATATGATAAGGGATAGGTAAGAGGCACACAGGACGAGGTTTGGAAGGATCCTGAGCACAGCAAATTCCCTCCCTGTGGAGTTGGGATGCACCACCCACCCAGCACATGGATGCCTTCTTATTTACAAGCCCAGAGGCTCTCTGAACCCCATACTTCAGGATTTCTTTGTGATATGGACAGGAGGTGGGGAAATATTGGGTAGAAGAGGGTGGTTGCCTGGGAAAGGCCCCACCCTCAAGTCTGGAAACTGCAGCCCTAGGTGAAAACAGTTATCCCTGTTTCCTGCCCAAATGTTGCCTTTTTTGGCCCTCCCTGCCCCCCATCCTGTGCCCATATAAACCCCAGACCTCAGCTGGCAAAGAAGCAAGCAGCTGAACATTGAGAGGAGAAGAAGCAACTGAGCATCTGAGACTAGGGAGAGACACAACTTAACCTCAGATGGCATGACTTCAGAGAGGAGCCTGGCCGGAGATGGCTGGGCTTCAGGGAAGGACCATTTTCTTCCCACACAATCCCCTTCACAGCCCACCTTCTGCTGAGAGCCACTTCCACCACTTAATAAAATCCTCCACATTCATCACCTTTCAAACTGTTTGTGTGACCTGGTTCTTCCTGCATGCTGAACAAGAGCCTGAGTACCAAGAGGGCAGGGTGTAAAAGGCTGTCGCACTCACTCTCCACTGAGCTGGTTCACACTTAGCCATCTGTGGATGGCAAGTGCTAAAACAGCATTAATTGTAACACACCCCTAGATGCTGCTTTGGGGCCGGAGCCCAAAAGTGCTTGCCCAGCCTCGGCACCCGCTCACCTGCCTGCTCCCACTCCCACAAGGGGTTTGAGCTGGGCGGCAGCCGAGTAAGTGAGCCACACCCCTGTCACAAGTCCCGTGAAGGGGTCAAGGGAACTCTCCCGTCTCATTTGGAGGCTTCATCATGTAGGCATGATTGATTATTAATTCATTCTTCAGCTTCTCTCCCCTTTCTAGAGGACCGGGGGTGGGGCTGAAAGCTCCAAGCTTCTAAACACGGCTGGGTTCTTCTGGTGATCAGCCCCCATCCAGGACTCCACCGAGAGAGTCACCTCATTAGAACAAAAGATGCTCCTGTCTCCTAGTAAATTCCAAGGGGTTAGGAGCATTATGTCAGGAACCTGGGTCAAAGACCAAACATTAGAACAAAAGATGCATCTAGTACCCCTATCAGTCAGCAAATTACAAAGGTTTAGGAGCTCCATTTTGGGAAATGGGGATGAAAGCCAAAACACACATTTCTTACTATGCATCACAATGTCATAATATATAAACATAAGTATGTATGTTTATGTCTCACCATTTTTGATGTGTAGCATTTAAGGGTGTATTTATGAACACAGAGCTCTCCTGGTGCTTTAGCTAGATGCACTACTGGCAAGGCCATTCCTCATGGGAAGACAATGCAGGTTGTGCCCAGGTATCCTGACTCCAGCTTTCCAGAGCTGCAGTTGTCAAATTCTCCTGATTGGTCAATAAACATTGTGAAATGGGATTAAAAGTTAACCAGTCAGCTGTGCCTCTGCTGTTCCATTCCCTGCCTCATTAAATAGGTTTCCGGGTTTGTCCAGTTTTCTCCCCTCCCTGCCCTGTGAGTGGGATCCTGAGTTCACAGTCCAGCTTAGTGTGGATTTATCATGTAAAATCTGGAGAAAAGAGAAGGAGGGAAAGGATAGAGGTGCAGGGCTCTAGGCTTGGGAGTGGAGTTTTGTAGAGAATTTCAAAACAAAGGGGATAAAGGCAATGGGGTGGGAAGGGAAGTGGAAGAGAGAAACAAGCCACCTCTATGTATTCAATAAATACAAATAAAACACTTGAGTTTTTCCAAAATTACTTCTTTTGTCTGCTGCGTTTTTTGGAGATGATCCTGTTCTGAGACTAGACTATATGAATTATTGTTTTATTTGTATGTATATTCTATTAATTTCTGGTTTATGAATATATGTGTAGATGATAAACAGGACAAAATGGTATATCCTGAAAAGTAAGCCTCTCTCCCATCTCTGACCATGAGTTGCCCAGTTCTCTTTCCCTGATGCAACCATGTTATCAGTTTCTTGTGTATGCTTCCAGTAATAGTTGATACATAGAAAACGTGTATATAAGTAACTCCTAGCCTTAAAAAAAAAGGGTAGGATATTATATCCATGGTTCAGAAGCTTGCTTTTAAAATTTAAAAACATACCTGAAAATCTTCTATAGTAATATATAGTTTATATACAATATATAAACATTTGCATCATTAAAAATGTTAATCATACCTTTATAAGCATCACAGATGCGTGAATGAAAAAGTGCCGTGTGGTTATTGTAAGCAGTAGCCACATTTTAATGCAGTGTGTCGTCAGAGATTGCTGCCTAGTGGTTCCCATCTGCCTGCTTGCTGTTCAGGGCTCCTCACTGTGTTTCCGCACCTTGTAGGTAGATGCAATCCAGGGGGTGGGCAAATGTAGTGAGAGGAGTGAGATATCTGAGCTCTGTCAGGCAGAATGGAATGTTCTGAGAAAAGAAAGAAGAGAAAGAAAGAAAAGAAAAGAAGGAAGGAAGGAGGAAAGAAGGAAAGAGGAAAGAAAGAAAAAGAAAAAGAGAAGGAAGGAAGAAAGAAAGAAAGAAAGAAAGAGAAAGAAAGAGAAAAGAAAGAAAGAGAAAAGAAAGACAAAGAAAAGAAAGAAAGACCACTGTCCCAGAAGTCTTCACTGATTTCAAGTTTGGTGAATTTTTAGCCAAATACCACTTAAGTCTGAGCCCAGAGTTTCTGGATTACAAAAAGCTTTTCCTCATGAAGGTACATCACATAGTGCAAGTTTCGAGTATTATCTCAGTAACCCTCAGAATAGCAATTTTACTTTCAAGTAACCTGTTTTTTTTTTGTTTTGTTTTTGTTTTTGTTTTTGTTTTGAGACGGAGTCTTGCTCTGTCCCCCAGGCTGGAGTGCAGTGGCGAGATCTCGGCTCACTGCAAGCTCCGGCTCCCAGGTTCACGCCATTCTCCTGCCTCAGCCTCCCGAGTAGCTGGGACTACAGGCGCCCACCACCATGCCCGGCTAATTTTTTGTATTGTTAGTAGAGACAGGGTTTCACCATGTTAGCCAGGATGGTCTTGATCTCCTAACCTTGTGATCTGCCCATCTTGGCCTCCCAAAGTGCTGGGATTACAGGCGTTCGAGTACCCTATCTTGAACTCATTCATACAACGTACACATAATGGAAGGCTAAAAAAGCTATTTTTCATAATCTCTGGGGTAAAGTGAAATAGTTTTCTCAAGTGTGTCTAAGTGACCATGGAGACAAAACTCAGTTATCGCTGTTTCCAATCTCCTCTCTGGACATGGCCCTTTACATAGTGGTTATTCGAACCTCAAGCCTAGGACACCCACGTAAAAAAACCCAGCCATTTTCCTTTTAATATCTGTGGTAGAACTTGGGCATTCATTTTTTCAATTATAGTTGGGGAAAAAAAAGAAAATTACAAGACCAGAGAGATGAAAGAGATTCCCCATAAGACACTTTTATTTATTTATTCAGCCTCTTCTCATCTCCTTTCTCCATCTAGATCTCCCTCCTTACTACCACTTCAGCTGAGAAAGTAATTATAGACAACACCAAAGAGCATATAAACACTTCCAAATTCCTGTTATAAATGAGCCTTTAGGAAGTAAAGAGCTTTGCAACAGTTAAAAAAAATCTCTGAACCTGGCTGGGATGTCAGGACTAAGGATTTGATCCATAAAAAGTTCCTAAACAGCCCCACGGAAATTGTAACCATATGTTTACAATGTTAAAATGCATATTTGAATTGAGATAAATCTGGCATCCAATGCATATGCCATTGATGCAAATAAAGCATTTTCTCATAAATACAATTTACTTAAATGAGGAAGCGAGTTAGATGTGGTGGGGTCTCAATGTTTCATTTTAGCAAATTGCCTTGAAGTGATACTATGATTTTAAAATTCGCTAGTGTGTCATTCTGCACCAGGTATCCACAGGCAGGCTGTCTCAATGGCTGTCAATACAAGGAGGACCTCCTTCCTTAGGCGTGACTGTACTTTGATTCTTCTGATTACAAGGAGATGTACATTTTAAGACATCTAGAGTCAGAGAGTAGCCAAAGGATTTTATTCAGGTTTTGTTTCCTATCAAATACTATGTCACATTATCTTCAGACATTATCTGTTTTGTCAGATAATTCCTTATATAACGAGTTCCTCTGAATTTGGAACATGGCTCAAGCACTTCTGGGATTTTGAGCTGGTTTGCATATTGGCATCTACTCTGGGGATTTTGTCTGTAGCCCATTGTGGAGACCCAGCCTTTGTGGGGGCTGTCCGATGGTTATGCTGGAAGAAAGTGGAGTAACATTCTGACCCTGTTTAATACCCTCCTTAGGCTTTTCATCTATTCAATCATAACTTTCCTTTGCCTTATGTAGGATACCAAGGAGTAGGTTTTTCCCTCTGGTTTTTAGATTCATTTCTACCCATCCAGGTAAGTATCAAGCAAGAAGAATTTCTTTTTTTTTTTTTGATGTAATTTCTTTAATGTTTATTCTTCTATTACAAAGTTTGAAGAACTGTAAGAATCACATTTTGATCATTTCTTTTCAATACTATTTATTTTTTATCTGAGACCATTTAGTTTAATCATCTGCCTAAATCAAAATGTACAGGATAGGTCATTAGGTCTACTCGTTGTTCCATTAATCATCATTTTATTTTATTTTTTATTTTATTTTTTTCTAGCTCTGTCATTTATTTGCTATGTAACCTCAGTCACATATGTTTTTATTTATTTATTTATTTATTATTATTATTATACTTTAAGTTTTAGGGTACATGTGCACAATGTGCAGGTTTGTTACATATGTATACATGTGCCATGTTGGTGTGCTGCACCCATTAACTCGTCATTTAGCATTAGGTATATCTCCTAATAATATCCCTCCCCCCTCTCCCCACCCCACAACAGTCCCCAGAGTGTGATGTTCCCCTTCCTGTGTCCATGTGTTCTCATTGTTCAATTCCCACCTATGAGTGAGAACATGCGGTGTTTGGTTTTTTGTCCTAAGCAAGAAGAATTTCTAACCCAAATACATCCAGTGGGAAATCTCAAAATTTTAATAGTTTCTTTTCCTAGAACAGGAATGTTTGCATGTTTTATATCTTTGTGTATTTTGAAGATGTACAGCAACCTTAGTAGTACTGTACTTTAAAACAGGAGTCCTACCTGCTCTGTGAGAAGGAAACACCAATATAAGATGAGGCCAAGGATATGGACCTCTATTTAGTGAAGTATCCCCAGGCTCTTCTCATACAAAAGTAGATTCTTTGGCATTCCACCCAGTAATCATGGGAAGCAAGAAAGGCTTCAGAGATGAATTGAACTGAGTACACAGCAGGCATTCCTGGTCTGATTCATAGGAACTTATTTTTGCTGGGTACAGTGGTATTTTTCAACATGTGTATCAATAGAAAATTTGAGTATAGTAAGGCCAACAGATCAAGAGGCAATTGCCATTGAAAAGATAGTTTATGGCCGGGCGTGGTGGCTCACGCCTGTAATCCCAGCACTTTGGGAGGTTGAGGTGGGTGGATCACCTGAGGTCAGGAGTTCAAGACCAGCCTGCCAACATGACAAAAACCCATGTCTACTGAAAATACAAAAAATTAGCTGGGCATGGTGGCGGGTGCCTGTAATTCCAGCTACTCAGAAGGCTGAGGTAGGAGAATCACTTGAACTAGGGAGGCAGAGTTTGCAGTGAGCTGACATCGTGCTGTTGCACTCCAGCTGGGGCAACTAGAGCGAGACACCATCTCAAAAAAAAAAAAAAAAAAAAAAGAAACGGGGCAACCCGCTCGGGTCCCCTTCCACACTGTGGAAGCTTTGTTCTTTCGCTCTTTGCGATAAATCTTGCTACTGCTCACTCTTTGGGCCCACGTTGCTTTTATGAGCTGTAACATTCACTGCGAAGATCTGCAGCTTCACTCCTGAGCCCAGCAAGACCACGAGCCCACTGGGAGGAACGAACAACTCCAGACGCGCCACCTTAAGAGCTGTAACACTACTGCAAGGGTTCGCGGCTTCATTCTTGAAGTCAGTGAGACCAAGAACCCACCAATTCCGGACACATTTTAGCTCAGATATAGTATTACATCACATTAATATACTTTAAATTTACTTATCCATATTCTCTCAGCTAACAGTAAAGATTTTAAAAATTAATAATCTAGTATAGATTAATGGTAAAGGGCAGAGAAGCTATATATTGATATCATGTCTTGGAAAGTAAAGTTTTAGGTAAGTTACCAAAATTTGAAATTCATATACCATTGAGCTGTGAAGTCCACATCTGGTAATCTATCCAAAAAAATACTTGTGCAGATATGGAGAAATTTACTAGGATGCTCTTTTAAAAAATAATAAAATTATGTAAAAACAAACAAACAAACAAACAAACAAACAAACAAACCCGAAAAGATAGTTTATCACTTGCAGTTCCCAAGAGGAAGGGACATGCCATACCACGGGGGCCTCATGGGGAAGCCCTGGGATGAGTCAGGAGGCAGAGGAAGAGGGGAGAACAGTGGGCAAGAGCCTTTGTTGTTTTCCTTGGGAAAAGCTTGGGTGAGGCAAGGTGAACTGACTTAGGATTGGCTAGTTTAATAATTTCAATGGGCTCTGAGGGATAGAGGCTATCCCTACCTGTCTGGTATTTGGCCATAGGGTAATTAGGGCAGGGGTGTAGTAGCTTGGAGTGTGAGAGCCCAGTAAGAGGTGGTTTGGGGCTGTGAGCTCCGGGTTGGTTGTTTTTTATTTGAAAAGCATAACCTGGGAGGGGGACTTCTCCAGGTAAAGGGAGTGGGGGGGGTCAGTTGACAAGAGAGGCAGGAGGACAAGGCAACGTGACTGAGACATATTATTGGGTTGTCTAGAATGAGGTGTGTTTGACATATGCATGTAGGACAGATATGAAAATGTCAAGTTTACAGAAGTTAGGCACGTGGTTAATATAAGTGGCTAAAAGCCAAGATTCTAGAATCAAACTGCTTGATTTCTTAATATGTAATAATGGCCTGGTGCAGTGGCTCATGCCTGTAATCCCAGCACTTTGGGAGGTCAAGGCAGGCAGATTGCCTGAGCTCAGGAGTTCAAGACCAGCCTGGGCAATGTGGTGAAACCCCGTCTCTACTAAAATACAAAAAATTAGCCAGGCGTGGTGGTGTGCACCTGTAGTCCCAGCTACTCAGGAGGCTGAGGGAGGAGAATTGCTTGAACCCGGGAGGAGGAGATTGCAGTGAGCCAAGATCACACCACTGTACTCCAGCATGGACAACAGAGTAAGACTCTGTCTGCAAAAAAAAAAAAAAAGTAGTAACATCCCCACCTGCCATATGACGGGCCTGAGAAAGGTGTTAAACAGGGCACATTTTATAACCCATTTACTCCTTATAATAACTCAAGGGCACAGGTACTATTATCAGTCTCATTTTACATATGGGATAAGTGAGGCCCAGAGAGGTTAATATATGAAAGTGCTTAGAACAGTGTCTGACATCTAATAAATGCCAAATAAGTGTTTGCTACTATTATTCTATTATCATTCTTGGCATGTTTCAGGGATCCAAGCCAGTCATGGTTAACCTGCTCACGCACATCTGATGGGTAAAGCTTGTGCCTCTGCAATTTGAATGATTTGGATTACAGAGTCAAGTTCATGTTCTTTTTTGGCAGGGGGATGCCCAACTATACAACAAAGAGTTGCCAAACATTTCTCTGGAGCAAATAAATGGTGTGATGGATGGAACTAACTGGATCACCAACCTGTGAGAGATGGCTGGTTCACTGGCCTTGGCCTCCTCGGGCCATGACATTAATTCACTGGGTAAGGCTCTGGTGGCCCAGCCAGAGATTCTTCCTTTGCTGCTTCCAAGTGAGAAGCTCTTCCCTCTGGCCTTGGCCTGGAAACTGAACTCACTTTCCTTTGAGCTCCTCCACCCTCCAAAGTCAAGTCTTAACAAAACAACATATTCCCCATGCAGGCTCTTAGAGTACAACAAAACCTGCTAAACTGTGGTCTTGAGGATGTCATGAATGGAACAAGATGGACATCTCTCATGGTGTGCTGAAAGACAAGTAGTGCACAGATGCAAGTGTGCATTAGGCAAACACAGTATCAAAGTGTGGAATTTAGGACCCAAATCTCAGTTCTGATTGCTTGACCTAGCGTATCCTTGGCCTTTTGTCCTTATTCGGCTCTCCAGGAAGTCTTAGAAGTGTTCTGAAATGCTGCTTCTCTTTGTTTCAGTTGAGTCACATGGACAATCTTTGACTACTCAGGAAGCACAGCCTTTCTGACCAACCACCTCTGATAACTTAATAACTTTTTTCTCCTCTAACCATCATCTTTGTTACCATTGCTGTTTGGGAATGAAAGATACTTTTAGGTTTCCTGGGCATGCTGCTTGCTTATCTAACCGAACATGTACATATTAACCCGACTACATGGCCCACTGACTTCGCACTTCAATATTGTTCAGCTGATAGTTGGGTTCAGTGGGTGGAGGAAATGGGTAAAAGGATGTCATTTTCAGCAGGAACAACTGAAGCAATTTGGATGACTTGTATTTCTGTGTTCAAACAGTATAGGCTAAACCCTCCTCTGCACAAGCTCACAGATAACAGGGTGAGTGATCCTGAGGGGACTGCTCTAGGATAACAATGTTTCACTGATCTGATTACAAGGAATTCTTGACAAAGAATAATCAGGACAATAGAAGTTGTTTCCAGCAACTACTAATGTAGTAATCACTCTTCCCGATGAAAGTACCAAATTGTTCTGCAAACCGGTGAGCTGAGCTCTGTGGAAACAGATCACATACCTTTGAGAGGCATAACTTCAGAGCAGCTGGTAACACCCCTAGTTTTATTTCCTCCACAGCAATGTTTTAAACAAAGGTGTCCTGGCTCCTAGTTCCTGTGGAGGAGTTCTTCAACCTAGTTCTTCAGAAGGCATAAAAAGAAGCAATGAGCCAAAAACAAACCCAAAAACCTCTCTTTAAAAAGAGCAAAAGAGATCTTGTACCTAGCCTATGAAATTATTCTTGACTTGGGGAGGCCATTAGTTCTGGGACTCAATGTGTGAAGATGGCTTAGAACATATAAAAAAATGCCTTTCTTGTGTTGCTACAATATTAACATTTGCAACCCCTTGGCAATCTTTTTTAAGATTCACAAGCCTGGATTGAAGTCCAAGTTCTACTCTAGCTAGCTGGGCGAACTTTAGCAAACCATTGATTTTCCTTGGAGGTCTAATTCCTTCATCAAGCATTCATTTAACTTAAACACTTTTAAAAAAATAAAATTGAAACCAGCTCAATTGTCCCATAGAACTGTTGTTTATGGTTTTTTTTGAATAAACATAGAAATTGACTCCCCCCACCCCCGTCATAAAACTTGAGAAAGTTGTATTTGTCTTATCTGAGTTTTCTCAGGAAACCAATCATCAGGCCTCCCAGATAGTATGAAGGAACTGAAACTCGCCAGACGACCACATCCAGACAACTGGAAGCCAAAGCCCTCATTGCTCATGATTTCCTTACTCCTCCCTAATTCCTGTTTACCTGCATGCAGTTACAGTTTTTCCCTGCTATATAAACACTCAGTTTTAGACAGTCAGGGAGATGGATTTGAGACTGATATTTTATTTTCCTCAGCTGTAGCACCCAAATAAATCCTTCTTCCATGGCAATACTCATTGTCTCAGTGATTGGCTTTCTGTGTGCTGAGCAATAGGACCTAGATTTTGTGATTACCTCTATACTTCCAAGTTGGGAGTCAAAGCACAAAAAAGAGTTTGCTTTACATTTTTGTACTCTTATTGTGTCCAGTGTTTGTTCCTTCTGGTGGCTTCGTGGTCTCGCTGACTTCAAGAATGAAGCCGTGGACCTTCGCGGAGAGTGTTACAGCTGTTAAAGGTGGCACGGACCCAAAAAGTAAGCAGCAGTAAGATTTATTGTGAAGAGCGAAAGAACGGAGCTGCCACAGCATGGAAGGGGATCCGAGAGGGTTGCCACTGCTGGCTGGGGTGGTCAGCTTTTATTCCCTCATTCGTCCCCAGCCATGTCCTGCTGATTGGTCCATTTTACAGAGTGCTGATTGGTCCATTTTACAGAGTGCTGATTGGTCCATTTTACAAACCTCTAGCTAGCTACAGAGGGCTGATTGGTGCATTTTTACAGAGCACTGATTGGTGCATTTTACAAACCTCTAGCTAGGTACAGAGTGCCGATTAGTGTGTTTTTACAGAGCACTGATTGGTACATTTTACAAACCACTTGTAAGACAGAAAAGTTCTCTGAGTCCCCACTCGACCCAGGAAGTCCAGCTGGCTTCACCTCTCATTATTATGATGAAAACGAAAAAGCTTATGAATATACCATCTTGATGGTTTACAGTCATTTAATACAGTCCAGAATTGGCAACCAGCCTTTTTTGTCTGTGTTCAAAGGAAAACAGTCTACTACACTTTTTATTTAAATTACAAAAATCACCCACTCTATAAGTTTACTAAGGAACCAGGCTACCCTCTCTAGCCTGAAATTCAATATTTGAAATTGGGGCTATAATGGAAAATTACAGCAATTGAACAAAAAGTTTCATGTTACTATTATTACCCCTTTAAACTGTCCTCAGACAGTTCAGTGATGCTTTTTAGAAGTGGCAGCCAACTTTGAGTCTTGTCTCAATCTTTATTTGAAGTCATAAAATGTGACATTATAAATTCAGAAATTAAACAGCATTGCTAATACAGAAGCACTTCTGAAGGTGGTGCATGCATGCTAATTATCATCCTTAAAATAATCCCCTAGACACCAAACATTTTCTGAAATAGCTCAGTTATAATAAATACATCTGCAAATCATCTTTTATGGGCATGATTCATGTGTGCACACATTTTTGACAGTGCGATAATATGTAGGGAGTAGGAGTACATTTCCATTCTTTCTGAACATTTCTGGCCACCAGAGAGAACTAGGTAGTCCTGGTGAATGTCGAGTACCTTACATCTTTGGTATTCTATAATAGATAAGAGGTGGATTCATGAATTAGTAACTTTATTTCTCTGAGACATACAATGTCCCAATTTGAAGAACTTGTTTTACTTACACACTGGGATTGTCTTGGGCACATGTGGAATTGGGGTTTCCCACTTTATTCTGTTTGAAGACACAGGAGAGCCCTCAGCTCTGTTTTGCCTATCTACTTGAACTTCTGAAATTTTATAGTTAGACGTGCAGTACTTGGATAAAGAGACTATCCACATCCACACAGGTGTCTTCTTTTTAAAATGCACTTACTGTGCAGGATGAGATCTAAAATACAGATATCTTGACATACAGATATCTAGGTAAGAAACACCTGCAAGGGGCACTACATTAATCTGTCAGACAATAAAATCTTAGTATAAATAAATTTTCAAAAGTTAGAACAAATGAATAATTGATGGACAATGACTCTTAGCCTTGAAGATTATATTGCTTTGAGGATTCTGAGTTCTGTCTTCCACTAAGAGTATCTATCATGGGTTTGGAGAGAAGAAACTATGGCATTCACGTGAATTTTTGGTGCACAAGACCTAGATATTTTGGTAATGGATGAATAGTTTATTTTTAAATAAAAATTGGGACAAAAAGTCTGGCAAGAAGTTTTTTTGTTGTTTCTGGGTCTAAGAGGGAATAAAAGAGACAAAATTTAGATGTGGACATAATGCAACTTCCAGCATAATTTTATGATTTATAGGAACAATTGAATATTTAAATTGAAGACTACTCTGAAAAATTTCATGGTTAAGAAAGTATGCTAGCTTAGCTGGGGCCACAGCAGTAAAGGAGTGGACATTCTGAGGCAAGGATGGTGAAAGGGAGGGAAGGAAGGAGCCTTTCAGCTGTGACAGTGTCAGGGAAGTACAGGCAGGGGCAGGTGAATCAGTTGTTATCTGAAATGCTTATGTTGAGACACATCCCATTGCAGCCCCTAAAATGGTTCACAAGTTGGCTTCTGTCCCCATGTAGGCAAAATTTCCACTATTCAGGCTGTGAAGGGAGTTGTCTCCTCCAGAGAGACCCTGCCCTTTAAAAGAACACAAATGATTTTATTATGGATAACCAAATTAGAGATAACACTGTTAACCCCATCTGAGAAAACCAAACCAAAACAAACCAAAGCTGGAGGGGCAGGAGTGGTCATGTGAAATGATTTTCTTCTTATTAATTTCTTGGGTCATTTAGAAACTTGCAAAATTTTGAACCACTCATCCCTGGTCCTTGGCTTCACTAGGCTATCGCTGAATTTCCCTGGTACACATTTCTTTTTTTCTAGTCATCCAGGGATGCCATTTTAGTGCAGAGCAGAGCCAAGAAGGTCCTGCATGCTAAATATCAAAAACAGTCCCCAGGAGTTATCACAAACCTCCTTGCAGGTTTGTGTCTTTGGGAGGAGAAGAAATAAAGCGGCTATCTCCACGTTAGCCATTGACTTTCATGTCTCCCTTCTTTACTTCCTCCTGGGCTACTGACCCTAGTGACCCATCAAAGCCTGGGTGCAATGTTACCTGGCATTCTTCTTGCTTTTTTCCTATGGGTGCTCAGGCCAGCAGCTGGCACTATTTGCCCCAAGTACTTAGCTTGTCCCAACATTCTGACGCCATGCTCATAGCTGATGCTACATGAGTGAGTGCATAGGGAGGCACGATTGTGCTAGCTAGGCCATCCACTGGTCTCAGAGTCCTTAGAGAACACTCTTCAGCTTCTGTTTGGCTTCTTGTCCTCCTGATCAGAGGAATGACCCCTCCTCTCTCAGATGGTTCCTTGCTCTGGAAAGAATGGAGAACTAACATCAAAATCGGATGATTATTCACCCCTTGGGATTCTGACTTGAAGAATTTCTTAGGTTGGAGGTGGTAGGTATTGGTGCAGGCAGTCTTTCGTTTTCTGTCTCCTCGGCAGAAGACATCAGATGTTTGGTCTTCTCCAAGAAGGGTGGCTGGGGAAAATTAGTGCAGCCTTCTGAATAGGTGTATGATTGATTTGGTGGTGCTAGCTCTTGATTCTACTTACAATGCCTATAATTTTTGAAAAATCTTCTACCTTCCAGTAAAGAAAAATTCCATTTCCCACACTGAAATTATCTTCTACTTCTCATTTATGATGCTGTAGTTTTCCACCCCCCCGTTCCACTCCCTAACTTCTTTATTATTATTATTATTATTATTATTATTATTATTATTATTATTGTTTTTTAGACAGTTTTGCTCTTGTTGCCCAGGCTGGAGTGCAGTGGCGCGATTTTGGCTCACTGCAACCTCCACCTCCTGGGTTCAAGAGATTCTCCTGCCTCAGCCTCCTGAGTAGCTGAGATTATAGGCGCCCACCACCATGCTCGGCTAATTTTTTGTATTTTTAGTAGAGAGAGGGTTTCATAATGTTGGCCAGGCTCGTCTCAAACTCCTTAACTCAGGTGATCCACCCATCTCAGACTCCCAAAGTACTGGGATTACACAGGCGTGAGCCACCACACCTGGCCCACTCTCCAACTTCTTATGTCCATTTTCCTAGGCCACTTCTAGAGATGATAGCACATAGATCTCAAAATAGTTTTAAAATCTTGAGTTATTAGTTTAAAACAGCATTAGGAGAACTTACAAGTACTTACTCTGTCATAACCTGGTTCAGCTTGTCCCAGGCTCTGTGCCATCGTGGAATCCTTTCTGTTTCCTCCTAAGTCATTTGGTCTCTCCTTTCGCCTTGTCTGAATCAGGTCTGCCCTCAATGCCAAGTCAACACCTGCCTCCCTTTCTCAGGGTACAGTCAGAATGTAGATTATGTCTCAATTCAAGTATGCCTTGAGAACGAGATTTCCATAGAGTAAAAAAAAAAAAAAATCACTGTGAAAGAGATAATGGGAAAAGAAGATGAACAGCTGCCTCTCTTGGGGTGGGGAAGAGAAAGAGAAATCAGAAAACATACATGGGAGAAAACTACTTTTTTAAGAGTTGGCTTTTCTCAGATGATAAGTAGTTTTATGAAACGAGTTTACTTGAAATCACATGGCCTTGGTTCAAACTTTGGCTCTACTACTTATTGCTGTGTGACTTTGGACAAGTCACTTAACCTCTCTGGTCTCAGGTTTTTTGATATTGCCTCAGGACAATAATATCCGATTTTTGGGAGGTTGTGAGAATTCAAGTTTCAAGTGTTGAGAACAGTGCTTGACACGTAGTAACTACTCAACAAACATTAATTTTTGAAAAGCCATATGTTTTTGGACCAAATTTGCCAATGTTAAAATGACCATAATAATGATAACAATATTCACAAATCAATGCCTAGAGTATCTGGAGCTGGCGGTGCATGTTTGCAGGCCTGGTTCTCAGGCAAGTCCAGGAACCTAGAAGTTTGTTCCTCTTCTGCAAATGCTGGGGCAATGGGAAGGGAACAAAGCAGATAAGGTTTCCAGACCACAGTCAGTTGGCAATCCCTGCCCTGGTAAATAGAGGACTGTGTGATGTCTGTTTACCGTGTGCTCAAGAAAGGAATTCCAGCCTGGCTTTCTTTCAACTTGGTGCTAACCACCTGGAGAGGAATAGTTTAAGAAAAGATTTAAAGTACCAGTACTTTTCAACAGAGCTATGAGAACCTGCTTGCTAAAAATTCATCTTGTCTAATAATTACATTTTTCAAAACTCTGCAGAGCTGTGATGGTCCCCGTGGTTAGTACATCCTCTAACACAAACAGACCCAAGCAGACAAGAAGGGTGGGCCTGATGCAGGACATTTGCCCAGAGCCGCCAAGTCAAAGTGAGCTTTGTGTACAGCCTGCTGGCTCATTAGGGGTGTAGCTGCTGCATGCTGGTTCATTAGGGGTGTAGCTTCACATCCAGGTTCCCTGGGCTCTTCAGGACAGAGAGGCAACCTAGTGAATGGGAAAGGACACTGGCCTAGTGGGAGGTGTTTGGGTCATGAGGGTGGATCTCTCATGAATGGCTTAGTGCTGTTTCAAGACTAGAACCAAGAATGAGTTGGATTAGGAGGTCTAAGATTCAGAGAGCTGAAGTTCTTCTGCTGTAAAAAGAGGTTCATAACATGAAGATCTACCTATTTGCCAAGGTCACGGGAGAGGTCTAATGAGAATAAAAACTATAAAGTGCTGTTCAAACATTAGATGGAGTCATTACCTGTTCTGTTGATAGAGTACCAGAATACCTGTATGTGAGTCTGTGCATATGTTCCTGTGTGCTCGTGACAAAAACAGACTCACTTTAAACACACACATTTTATATTGCTGTTCCTATTATTTCTGGATCTTTAAGAAAAATAATTTGCAAAAGTAATAATGCTTGCAGCAAACATTTACGTATACTTTCACTTCTCTGAGGCAACCACTGTCAGCTTTGTTTTAGTCTGAGTACTCCGAGAAGCAGATGCCAATCTGGTTAGACATGCAAGAGATTTATTAATGAAAACACCTGTAAGGACAATGAAGAGTGAGTCAGGGGAGAGGAGGAGAGTCATCTGACTGAAATGCAGACCTGAGGCCTGTGAAGAGAGAGAGAAGGAAGGAAGGTCTTAGATAGTAATGCAGTTTTGAGAAAGTTTCACTGAGAAAGACACAGACTTTGAGGCAAAGTCTTGTGTCAGGAGTTGTGCCTCTCCCAGAAATGGACCTGCTTTTGTATTCTTACTGCATTTATTCATTGGCTGGGATCAGCCTCACATTGTCATGGCCGCTGCAGTGCCTAGTCTTTCAGACTTTCTCTATGTCTATGTAATCTTTTGTAACACACACACACACACACACACACACACACACACACACACATGCATGAATATGTATAGATATCTACATAAACACTTACAGTTTTGTGGGTAGAGCCATGCTTTACATTTTGTTTGGCAACTTGCAATTTTCATTTAATAACAATTTTTTATGAACATCATCATATCAGTATATGATATGGTTTGGATATTTGTCTCCTCCCAATCTCATGTTGAAAATTGATCCCCAGTGTTGGAGGTGGGGCCTGGTGGGAGGTGTTTGGGTCATGGGGACGGGTCCCTCATGAATGGCTTGGTTTTGTCCCAAGACTAGAACCAAGAGTGAGTTCTTGCTCTACTAGTTCACATGAAAGCTAGTTGTTTAAAAGAGCCTAGTACCTCTCTTGCTGTCTCTTTCTTGCCATGTGACACACCGGCTCCCCCTTTGCCTTCTTCCATGATTGGAAGCTTCATGAGGTCGTGACTAGAGGCAGATGTTGGCACCATGCTTTTTGTAAAGCCTGCAGAACTGTGAGCCAAATAAACTGCTTTTCTTTAGAAATTATCCAGCCTCAGGTATTCTTTTATAGCAACACAAACAGACTAATATAGTATATATAGATTCTTCTCATTATTTTTAATGTGAATGGAATTTTATTATTTGCTATACTGAATTTTATTTAACTCATCCTCAGTTGATTTGCATTTGAGTTCCTTTCAGCTTTTCACTATTATACATAGGCCAGAAAACCTACTCTCACGTACATATTTTTATGTCCATATGTAGCTTTTTAAAATAGGGTAAATTCCTATAATCGAAATTGCTGAGTCAGAGGACATGACATGTAAACTTTCAATAGATACTGCCAAATTGACATCCAAAATAATTTCACCAATTCGGCTCTCCCACCAACAGTATATGACAGTGAATCATCAGCCATTGCTATATCAGTCCCAGGCATTGTCCTTCTTTGTAATTTTGCCACGTTGATGAGTGAAAAGCGAACATGTGGGCTTTAAATAAACCAATTTCAAAGGGAGAGTTCCTATATCCATGATTCCTTACGGCTTTCTCCTGGTGGATCTATCTATTCCTAATCCAAGCTGTTAGGAGCCTGGGTTTGACTTGTATAGGTTAGGAGTCCTGAACTCAGAAGCAGAGAAGAAAACTGGATGTGGTCTCTTATGCCAAATACCAATCACAAGCCCCCAAATGGCACCATTAGAAACTTGTTTCCTTGGAACTCTGGGAAGCTGTTAAAACCCAGAGCCCTCTATTGAAGTGAAAATACTCTCTTTGAGCCTCAGATATAATCCAGGATCTATGTTTTCCAATGGGAAAACTGAATTCTTTCCTAGACAGTGCTTCAATCAACCAGGGTCAAAAAATGAGTTAATGATAGAGTTCAGTCTGAGACCAGGTTTTCTGACTTCTACTCTCTTACTCTACACTGTGAGAATACAAATAATATTTTTTAAAAATCATAATTACAGCTATAAATGTTGGTGTTAACTAACCGTTTGGAATCATCAAGTTTCTTAAGTCAAATAGAGAAAATGAAAGCTAAAAGCACTAAATGCTTAATATCTGAAGAATTACAATGTATGTATTCATGTCACCATTTAGCATTTAATGAATCAAATACGTGGCTACAACGATGAAAAAGATAAAAATGGTTAGCTCTCTTGTTTTAGGGAAAGTGACTATGATGCTTTGGCTCTCAACAAGTAACTTTCATGTGTCGCTATTGTGTATATATAAATACATATAACAGGAAGTTTGGTTGCATAGTTTAAGTAGTTGTCCAAAGACCTTCCTAATTTCCAATTTAACCTAGTGTTGTAGATCCTAAACAAGCCATTCTAAACAGGGGAGTGAGTCCCTCTCTGTGACTCCTCAGAGCTGGTTGACAGCATTCCTTTGATCACTTTACTTTTGTACCCTGAGATGTAATTTATTTAAATCTGGAAGTATGAATTCTTAGGGTGTGAGTAGTACTAGTAAAAATATTCCCTAGTTCTTTGTAAAGTGGGAGGTGTTTGGGTCATGAGGGTGGATACCTCATGAATGGCTTGGTGTGGTTCCAAGACTAGAACCAAGAGTGAGTGCTCGCTCTATTAATTCACGTGAGAGCTAGTTGTTTAAAAGAACCTGGCATCTCTCTTGCTGTCTCTCTCTTGCTTTCTTTCTTGCCATGTGACACACCTGCTCCCCCTTCGCCTTCTTCCATAATTGGAAGCTTCCTGAAGTCCTGACCAGAGGCAGATGCTGACACCATGCTTCTTGTACAGCCTGCAGAACTGTGAGCCAAATAAACCTCTTTTATTAGGTTTATTTTAATTCTTCAGGAGTATTTTTTACTAGTTTGGAACTTTGAACTAAACAGAGAGAACAGTTTTGGTTAAGTAGAACCAAAGATCCCACTCCTTAAGTGAAGATAGAATGTAGAATGCCTCTCATTTCTGTTATCTTAGAAACCTGTAACATTAATTCTTGTGCCCCAAGTAGTGAGTCTGTTTTTTCTTGTTTATATTCATGATTTGAATTTATTACTGGGGATTTTAGTCTTTCTTCAGGATCTATCATTTGTCAATCCTCATTTTCCAACATTTATATAAATATTTTTCATTCCTAGCTCTGAAATCACATTGCTTTTTTTTGTTAACCTTTTTATTGTAAATGAAAGCACAGATTATGAAAGCCACACAATACGAATGTGTGGCTTAATGACTTATTTATGAGGCAAGTTCTCTTGTAACTATCACCCAGGTTAGGAAACAGAGCTGTATCACTGACCCCAGAAGTCTTCTATGTGCCTGTTACAATATCCAGCCTCCTGCTCTTTCAAAAATGGTCACCCACTGGACTTTTCTTATATTCCTAGACACTGTAATTTAGTCTTACCCATTTTTTATTTGCTTTTAAGTCTCTCTTGATTTACAGTGCACCCTTCATAACTTTATTTTCCCTATCATTTGTCATTTGAAAAACCTGGGGCATTTGACCTGTAGCATTACCCATAGTGTGGATTCTGTTCATTGCATACTTAGGGTGCAGTTCATCATGCTCCCCTTTACTTTGGATTTCCTGCAAGTTGGCAGCTGATGCAAAGTATTTATCAGATTTATGATCAATCTCTAGCAAGACTATAGGAGGTTGTTCAATCTTTCATCAAAAGGCACATCATGTCTGATTATATTTTTGCAACACTAGCAGTGGTGGATATTCAGTATCCAGATCCATTAGTTTATTGGGAGTAGCAAGGTAGTTACATTTTACTCTTTATTCTTTACTTATTAGTTAAAATATTTTGATAAAAAATGCATCTCATCATATACTATTTGGTTACTCCATGGTATTATATGTATAAGAAAAGCTAGATAAATTAAAAGGAATTGTGAGGTTTATAACAACGTGTAAGAAAAATGTATGAAAAAAATAGCAAAGGCCGGACGCAGTGGCTCACACCTGTAATCCCAGCACTTTGGGAGGCTGAGGCGGGTGGATCATGAGGTCAGGAGATCGAGACCATCCTGGCCAACACGGTGAAACCCTGTCTCTACTAAAAATACAAAAAATTAGCCAGGCGTGGTGGCGCATGCCTGTAGTCCCAGCTACTTGGGAGGCTGAGGCAGGAGAATGGCATGAACCCGGGAGGCAGAGCTTGCAGTGAGCCGAGATTGCGCCACTGCACTCCAGCCTGGGCAACAGAGCGAGACTCCGTCTCAAAAAAAAAATATATATATATATATATTTAGCAAAAAAATTGATTGATTACTTTATTTCCGGACAATATATGAGTGTGTGTGTGTTTTCTTTTCTGTGTATCTCATATTTTAAAAATCAAATCCTGGACATTGTGTGTAAAATAGTGAGACTGAAGAGAACAAAATTTGTGCCTGAAAATGGGCAGTTCTCTTCTTAAGTTATGCTTTTACTGTGGGGTGCTTGAGCTAATCCAGCCAACATTCCAGCTGTTTTTTTGGGTTGTTGTTACAGTTATGTTCAGTACACCATGGACTTCAAATTTCTTCATTGTTAAACTGCTCATAGTTGTATTCTGTGTGGGCTCTGAGGCTGCAGCAGGGTTTTTCTCAGAATTCCTGTCCAGTCAACTTCCATTGAATCTTGCATGGCTGTACCTGGGGTCTCTCTTCACGCCCTAGCCCCTTCTCAGAGGCAAAGTGCTATTACTCGTAACTCCTTGCTAGGCTGCAGTTT
Organism: Homo sapiens; assembly: GCF_000001405.40. Taxonomy (NCBI): domain Eukaryota; kingdom Metazoa; phylum Chordata; class Mammalia; order Primates; family Hominidae; genus Homo; species Homo sapiens. Next base: position 45,860,884 of record NC_000015.10, read on the forward strand.
CCTGTGATTGGGGCAGAGTTCAGTGTTTTTTTGTTTTGTTTTGTTTTATTTATCTTACCCGTTTAACTCTCTCCAGGTAAATTTGTCTTGGTAGTTTTTATTTGATTGTTTTTTTTTGGGAATCGCCGAAGTTGGAGTTTTTTTCTTTTTCCCTCTTTAGACAGTCTAACCCTGGGATTTCACTTATATTCAGGAAGTGTCTAGGGTACACACCCAGTTATACCAAACTTCTCATCATTTGTTATGTCATATAGTATGGTTCTTAAGATTTGTATCACAACTGTTTCATGAGCTAGTACTTTCTTATTGATCAAAATATGGAGTACCTATTTTCTAAACTTTCTGAATGATGAAATAAATAGTGTGGCAAGTCGTGTACTAGGTCCTTCCAATTCTTTCTGGAAGTGTGCAGATTTTAAATGATAAATGAAGTCAGAATTTTTTTGCAAGTTCTCTTGCAGCAGAAAATGACTTCCAAGGATGTAGGCTGTGATATACACAGATTGGGTTTAAAAAGTCTTGGCTAGGCCAGGTGCGGTGGCTAACGCCTGTAATCCCAGCACTTTGGGAGGCCAAGGCAGGCGGATCACGAGGTCAGGAGATCGAGACCATCCTGGCTAACACGTTGAAACCCCGTCTCTACTAAAAAATACAAAAAATTAGCCGGGTGTGGTAGTGGGCGCCTGTAGTCCCAGCTACTTGGGAGGCCGAGGCAGGAGAATGGCGTGAACCTGGGAGGCAGAGCTTGCAGTGAGCCGAGATTGTGCCACTCTACTCCAGCCTGGGCGATGGACTGAGACTCTGTCTCAAAAAAAAAAAAAAAAATCTTGGCAAGCTGTGTCACTTTTAGCAATTTAATTATTCTATCTATATCTCAGTTTTTCCATCTGAGAAACAAAGATAATTATATTCATTCATATTTTTCAACAAATATTTATTGAGTGCTTTCTAAGTTGCAGGCATTGTTCTAGATGCTGGGGATACAGCAGTGACAAAATGTACAAAAACTCAGCCCTCAAGGAGCTTACTTTCTGCACTCACATAGATGGCTTCTGAAGATTAAATGAGATATAACATAATACTCCTTGTTCAGAGCTGGGACATGGTAGTTGCTCTATAAATGTTGATTCCTTCCTGCCTCCTTTTAATAGATGTTCCCTATCACTTTGAAAATGATACTTTTAATTGATTTAGCTCTTTGGCATTATTATTTCAGTAGTCAATGGTTTCCCAAGCAACAACAGCCTAGGCAATGTAATTGAGGCATAAATCAATGTTAAAGGATTTTGTTATGACTCACAGCAGTTACCAGCAGTGTCTCTACTGTCTTTGTTCCCAAATACCTCCAATCTCATCCAGAGACTCGCCCTCAGTGCCCCTGAATGCTTGTGTCACCTGGCTAGCTCAGGGCATTACTGACCCCTGAGGCTCCCTTTCCATGGCTTGATGTTATTCTTCCTTGCCCTAGACACTTTTCACTCCACACTACCCGTATTAGGATGGCAGTAGCTTTGCTTAATTTGTGGTCAAATTTCAGTGGAACATATTCTTGCAATTTTTCTTACCTTGAAAGTAGGGCATGGGATGGAGTGGCCTTATATGTTCAGTTCCTTTCAATGACCTCAGCTTTTTACTTTGCCTGAGCTTTCATTATTTTTTTTTTCTGAAAAGGACAACTATTGTTTTATTTGCCCAGAATTCTTTTCCTCTTCTTCTCAAATATCCAGGCCTCTTCTTTTGGAAATGCCTATCTCTCCATTTCCAGGGTTCTAATGTGTGTAGGGGCCACCAATTCCTTACACATCACGGGCTCCAAATGATCTAAACAGGCTACATTTTAAATCACAAAATTGTGCCTACCTGGTCACAGTTACTGGGTCCAGGGGTAGCTTTAAGATTCAAGAGTCCCAAGACTCAAGAATCCCAAGACTCAAGATTCTGGTTTTCAACCCAGGATTTTTCAAGTAAAACTGACAAAGGGGATTAAGTTCTTTTCCAGTAGTGAAGCTGTGGGATTGATTGGAAATCTTGCCTTCCTCCGTCCAATTACGGCTTGAGGGGTTAATTGACGGGTATGTTTTACTGATTGCTTGGGAGATTTTAACTCCTAAATTATATGCTTCTTCTACATGCCTAGAAACACATTGCTAGATCGCTAAGATCACTGTAGAAATGCAGTTTAGGCTCTCGGTACATGTTATTTGCTCCTTAGAACATCCTGTGAGAAATTTAGTGCAGATAACAATCTCTCTCTCTCTCTTTCTTTGACAAGGAGATTAAACATGGCAAATTTTTTGTCCATTTTTACATGAGTAGAAAATGGCAAAGCCAAAGTTATAACTCAAGATTCTTGATTTTAAGATTAGTGTTCTTTCCACTATACTACATTGCCTGTTTGTGACTTTTGTAATCTCTATTGGACACGATTACCCAGATATGGAGGTTAATATTGCCTCAAAATTGTATCACTTTTGTATCTCATCATTTTAAAAAACCTTACCTATGTACTTTATTATTTTACTTTAAGTTCTGGGATACATGTGCTGAACGTGCAGGTTTGTTACATAGCTACACATGTGCCATGGTGGTTTGCTGTACCTATCAACAATCATCTAGGTTTTAAGCCCCGGATGCATGAGGTGTTTGTCCTAATGCTCTCCCTCCCCTTCCCCCTGACCCCTGACAGGCCCGGTGTGTGATGTTCACCTCTCTGTGTCCATGTGTTCTCATTGTTCAACTCCCACTTATTTGTGAGAACATGTGGTGTTTGGTTTTCTGTCCCTGTGTTAGTTTGCTGAGAATGATGGCTTCCAGCTTCATCCATGTTCCTGCAAAGGACATGAACTCAGAATAATATTCTTATAGGAAAGTATTCTTGAATTAAATAATGCTCTAAGTAGTGAATTGGTCAGTGTGGTGGTTTTAAAAATAAATCTTCAAACTTTTTGATAGCCCTTCTTTACTTAATTACCTCCCTTTGAGTGAGGGCGGACTTAGTGACTTGCTTCTAACAAGTAGAATATGGCAGAAGTGACTGAGATGCCTGAGATAAGGACATAAAAGACATTTTGATTTTCTCTTTTTCTCTTTCTTGGATCATTCACTTTGGGAAAAACCTGTTTCCCCACTTAAGCAGCTCTACGGAAAGACCTGTGTGGCTAGGAACTAAGGCCTCCTGTCAATAGTCCTGTGTATGAGTCATCTTGGAAGTAGATTGCCCAGCTGCCGTCAAGCCTTCAGAAGACTGTGGTCCTCACTGACATCTTGCCTGCAACCTCATGAGAGTTCCTGAGCTAGACCACCCAGTTAAGTTACTGCTGGATTCCTGACCACAGAAACTGTGAGCTGGTAAATGTTTATTGCTTTAAGCCACTCAATTTTAGGGCAATTTGTTATGTAGTAATAGATAATTAAACAGATTTGGGTCACACACTCTTAGACTTGATTTGGATGCAAGGTTCTGCATTTTGAGTTGATGGCATAAAGGGATGAGAGTTCTGAGGGTTCTTGGGAGGTGAGTTCATTTTGCATGTTGGGGGAATGTAAATAATTTCCAACCAGAGGGCAGCTCTGGAAGTTTAAAAATATGTCCACAAATTCTTTGATGTTCCTTTCTTCAAAGATAGAGCCTAATTCTCTTTCTCTGGCAATAAATAACTAATATAACCAACTTCTTCAGGGATGCCCAGAAGACCCTGCACTTGGCTTAATGCCCTGTTGTTGCATCTTGCTCAGTTGCAAGGAGTCTGGTTTGAACAAGAGGCCTCACCCTTTCATTTTTGCACTTTCATTGTGCACGGGGTATGTGGCCAGTCCTGAGCTGCATTTTCTGCCACAAACTTGGGGTCACTGCCTTCCTTGATATTTGGACTTATTTCTGTCCCCAGAGCCCTAGGGAGCTCACTCTCTGTGGTCTTTAGGAATTTGGGAAGTGGCTACTCATTTTACTCCACCTTAGGACAAAAGTGATTCCTCCTGGTCCCTTCAATTGTCAGCTTAGTTGGTGATCTCAACTTCTGAGGTGAAGACACTCAGGGAATGTTCATGGTCAGTGGCCCATGTGGTTCTTCTGAGCTTAAGAGGCACTGCATTTAGCCAATTCCTGATTCTCCCCATCTTTTTCTTGACTTCTGCTCCTTTGTGGGGCCACACGACATCCCTAAATGTGTTGTTTCCTATCTTTTTTTTAGTTATTTCACCTCCATCTCCTCCAGGGATCACCACACCTTTCTTCATTTTCTGGGGTGCACCTTCAGACACTTCTGGACCAGATCATTATTTGCTAACAGTAGCATTGAACTCAATTACACCTAGATACTCCTCCTATCCAGGTTGAACACATTCTTAAATCAGCAACAATTCCCCTTGGGAGAAGATATTTGAGTCTTATGGGCTAGAAATTCACTTTTTTTCGGGGGGGAAAATGTTTGTCCAATGCCTTCCCAAAATGGCAACAAATGGGGCAGTTCTTAGAAAATAATGTTGTTTTTAGCTCCTAAGGAACTACTCCATCAAGCAATAGCTCTTAAGCAGGAACTTGTAGTATGAATATCTTCACTACTCTTGTATCAGCATTGTGGAATTTTCTATCCACTCTCAGAAATTCTGCAAACATGATACAGTCAGAGTTTAGGCGATTTTATCTTCAGCAGTTTCTACTATAACCAATGCAGTGTAACCTGCAAGATGCCAATGTGGGAGCTGTTCTACATTTGGAGTCTGATTGGAGAACTTGTAGCCATGACTTAGTTTCTTTGGTTGACTCAATTGTAGGCCATTTGACTTATTTTTCAGAGCAGGCTAGTTAAAAACATAAGACATGGTTTCAAAGGTAGGGGTGTATTTACTTGCTTCTCTCTAAGATTATGCCTAATCTCTTTTGACATGGAGATACCAAGAAGATATCTGGGCACACATTAGGAAAGAACTGAGGGGAACTGAGAGGCTTCTGGAGATGAGTGAGGGTTCAGGCCTTCATTAAGCCATGCAGAGTTTGTCCAAATACTCACTAGGGGCAGTCTAGCCTTAATTAGATTAATATATATTCAGGCACACATATGGGGTAAAGTCTTATTATTTTACATATCACAATGGCAGACATAGAGATGCATTGCTTAGATCCCCCTTCAAGAAAGGACGTGATCCTTAGTTGCAAGGAGTCTGGTTTCCTGGCAACCTTCTGTGGTTTTCTTCTTCAAGTCTACTTCAGTCTCAGAGCTGGGACTGCCGTAATGGACAGTTGTTGCTCCAGAGATTCTTAGTGGGCTGGCTGAGACTTGGTCTAATATGGATTATGGTTTGCTATCTCCCCTTACCTAGTCCCCCCTCCTCCTGTCTCTTTTCACAGATGTTACGCTTCAATCTACTGTCTGCATTCTTAACTCTGTCTCAGCATCTGATTCCCAGAGGACCTAACTGATGGTGGTTCCAGGAATGCTCAAAGAAAACAGGTGGTAAGATGAAGTTTTGGGCTTGGATCACTCACAGCCTGGCTGGCAATGAGATCACCATCCCAGGTGGTATCCCAGGTGGTATGAGGAGGGCGCAGATAATCTCTGGCATGAGGTGTTGGCCTGATTGCAAAAACTTTCTCTGGTGAATTGAGAGAATGTTCCAATGCAATGATTAAGGCATTTGAAAAGTACAGGAGAAATAATCAATACAAGGAAAATGAAAATTGGCTGATTGTTACTAAGTTGTATTAATGCCTGGTAGAGGAATAATGAAAAGCTGAAGGCAGTTAAAAATTGAAAACTAACAAAGTCACAAGTCTTATTTGGTAGCTTACAAATAGGCCTTTATCTTTGGCATTTGGAGAAAAGAAAAAGGCCAAACTCAGGATTAAATACAGTTCTCAGCTTCAAAGACCATTGGTTACAGAGCTGAGGCAGAGATATTATGCCAGGGGTGGGGCTTTGGATAAGAAAACTGAGATTCTAATGCGTGGGAGAGGGACAACTTGTTGGCTGCCTCCCAAATGTTAGCTTCCCAGACTCCTCTGGACTCTTAGAGCTTGCAGAGGTTGCCTTTTCCCCTATTAAGAGGTAATACAGGCTGGGTGTGGTGGCTCACACCTGTAATTCCAGTACTTTGGGAGGCTGAGGTGGGTGGATCGCCAGGTCAAGGATCGAGACCATCCTGGCCAACATGGTCAAACCCCATCTCTACTAAAAATATAAAAATTAGCTGGGTGTGGTGGCACGTGTCTGTAATCCCAGCTACTTGAGAGGCTGAGGCAGGAGAATTGCTTGAACCCAGGAGGTGGAGTGAGCCAAGATGGTGCCACTGAACTCCAGCCTGGTGACAGAGTGAGACTCCAGCTCAAAAAAAAAAAAAAAAAAAAAAAAAGAGATAATACATTCCTCTTTTATGTGAGAAGCCATTGTAGGCTAGGTGATGTATATGGAGCCCATCTTCTGCAAGGTAATAGCCCTGCCACATTCCCATCAAGATAAGGCCTCACCTATTCTCTTGGCTGCCAGGCCTATATTAGTGTTAAGTCACAGCATGACCCAGTTTGGGATGTCCTGGATCTGATAAAGGAAGAAAGGTATTATACTCCAAAAAAGTTACATGACCTAGTCAGCATGTACCAACATGTACCAGCAGCACCCAAGGTACTAGAGTTTGAGGGTTCTTGAACATAAGACTGGGTAAGGATGAGTTTACTGGCTTGGAGGCACCCTTAGAATGAAGGATTTGATGTCTTGGCAAAGACTCCAGGGCACAGTGCAAACTGACTAGTGAGGCTTCAAGAAGCAAGAGAAAAATGAAAATCTATACTGAGTGAAGTGGTAATACCAGAATTGTCATTGTAAATACTGCAGTAAGAGAATGAAAGTGTCAGGGAAGCAGGCATGCTGGAATGGAGATACTACGTGAGGCCAGAAAATCCACCAGAGGTTTATGTTCCATGAGAGGGCAAGAAGACACATACCATTTACCAAAGCCACCAGGAAGGCACTGGTTAAAGGCATACCAGCATCATTAAAACATTTCAGTGTTGGCTGTCCTTTGCAGACCAGGTCTGATGATGGTAGGGGCTACCACACAACTTAATTTATTGATAGCAATGGGGTTTTGAAGGTACAGTATTTCTATTCTAGAAATGGTATTTGGGCCCATATACTTGGTGACTTGAAAGGCTGCTTTCTTTAAATGGGGCCCAAAACAAGAAAGGCATCTGTAATATGTCCAGGTAGCAACACAAGCAGCTCTGTTGCTTGGGCTATTTGATCCAGCAAACCCTATTAGTATGAGAATAAAAATGCAGATTCCTGAGTTTATGCAGCAAGGCCATAATACCATTTGAAAGATAACTCCTGGCACCTGAATAATTCCTTGTAAAGACAGAATACTTGGTCATGGGGCACTACATGACCATGAGTTCAGAATTTCCTATGATGTATAAGGTCCTGGTGAATCACCAACTCATAAAATCAGGTGTACCCAGCAGCATCCTGTTGTAAGCTGGAAGCGGTACATCTAGGATTTAGAACAAGCAAGACCAGGGGACACAAGAAGCCTTCATGAGCAAATAGCCCAGACTCAGCACAGTTGTACCAGCCGCACTTTCCTCAGTGTAAACTTATGGTATTTAATGTATTGCATCATCCAGAAGCATCTGGCCTAGTAGAGTGTTGGAACAGTTGCTGAAGTGTTGGAGCAATACTCTGAGGATGTGGTGCCATTCTCCAGGATGCAGTACATACACATTATTAGAGGCTTCTATATGGTGCTGTGTTACCAAAAGAAAGAATGCATAGGACCAGGAGCTAAGGGATGGGAGCAAAAATTGCCCCATTTACCACCATTCCAAGTGACACATGAGGGGGCTTTTTGCTTCTTGTCCCTGAAACTCCAGGATCTGAAACATTAGAGAAGGAACTCTTGTTTTCAAAAAAGGCACACTTGCCAGGAGAAACACAAGGTCCCATTCAACTGTAAGCTATGGCTAACTTCTGAGACCTGTTTGACCCTCATATTCAGGGAGAAGCAGGTGAGAATAGCCACCATCTTGGCAGGGTAACTGAACCTGAATAACAGGAGATGGGGCTATTGTTAAACAATACGGGCAGGTAATCCACTTGGGTGCCTCTTGGTTCTCCCTTGCCCAGTTGTGTCTATAAACAGACAAGTGCAGCTAACCTCATCTGAGAAAGATACTGTGACATGGGGCCCACATGCCACATCTACTCATAGGAATGAGGGTTTGGGTCACACCAGCAGGTAAGACACAAAGACCAGCAATGTTGGTAGTTGAGGGTAAAGGGAGTTTAAAATGCACAGTGGAGGAGGAAGTAATTATCAGCTGTGGTTCTGTGTCTGACTGCAGCAATAAGGCTGTGGTTTGTCTCATTAACATCCCTTTTAGTTTCTCCTTGGGTAAAGAGGTCTACAATAACCCTGGAGGAACTTCCTCTCAAACTTGTTTGGAGAAATGGAACCATGCAACACAAGGGCTGAAAAGTGGCAGATATAGAAACGAGCCAGTTCTATTTCTCTTCAAGAAAGGGCGCACATCCCAGCTGGGGGAAATGTGGTTCTCTGAAGTGTCCAGCTGTTGACTATTTCCAGTTCACCTCAACTTTTGAGCTGAGGTCATGCTCTTCTCAATGTGGCCCCTGTGGGTGACAGAGCAAGACTGTGCCACAACGGTCTTGCCATTTCTACCCAACGCATGATGCCAGAGCTCCCACGAGGCTGGCAGATACTTTGACAGATATCATTGTCTGACCCCTCTGCTAGACCAGTTCCACTTTTGCTCTTTTCTTTTCACATGTGTTGTTCCCCAATAACACATTTTTTCACCACTGTCTCCATACCATCTTCCCAGTGGAGCCAACTTCTTTTGATTTGGAATTTAAGAAGATGGATTAAAATGTATTTTTATAATTGATCTATTTCAAAAGGAGGAGGCGTATTAAGCAAATTAATTGTTAAAAAGGGAATGTTTAATGACAATAAAGGACAGTATATTCCTGATACCACTAGACTGCTACATTTGCATGTACACTTTTTATCCCTGGGTTACTTATAGTTTACATTTTACATTCACTTATGAGAGTGTTTAATGTTCCAAAAGTAATGGGAAAGGACTTAAAATATAATCCTTCAATGAAACAAAATTTTATTTCTCAAAATATGTCATGTAAGTCGATTTTACAATACAAAGATGACATTTCTGTGAAATCCCAGAATTAGATGGAAAATGAAGACTTTGATGACTTCCTCTCCAGTAACTAAATGCATTCCTGCTTCTAGGCCTTTGCTCATATTTTTTCCTTCTTTCTTTCCTTGGCTGCCCACTCAGAAACTCCACGGCAGGAAAATCACTGGAACCTGGGAGGCGGAGGTTGCGGTGAGCCGAGATTGCGCCATTGCACTCCAGCCTGGGCAACAAGAGTGAAACTCCGTCTTTAAAAAAAAAAAAAAATACAACCCCCCCCCCCCCCCCCCCCCCCCGCCAAAAAAAAACAAAAAAGAAACAGTGTTGTCAAGAAGCTTTCTCTGACTGTTCTGGGGGATTAAATGTTTCACTCCTTCATTCTTAGACAACACTTTGACCTGCTGCACGTATCTGGCATTTGCTTAGGAAAATGCTTTATTAGTTAATTAAGATTATCCCTTGTCTGTCCAAGTAAATTTGAAGTGCTTTAAGACAGGTCTATGGTTCATTCATATGTTTGTTTGCCACTTTGTCTCTGGTCAGGGTCTGGGAAACAGAAAACACTCACAGATGTGGTTTACTTTTTCTTGTTTGGGACATCTATTTATTTGCCGATAACATAGGACAAGGAGTGCGTTTTATCTTTCAAAGGAAAGACTTTACTCAATTATTGTGTTTCACTGTTTGCAGTTCAAGATCTATCTATATAAGTATGCAGATAATATACCCTCAGCTGGTTCACTTTACCTCTCTGGCCTTATATTTCTCATTTGTAAATTTAGGAAACTAGATTTTATAGTCAAAATCAGCTAGCATTTACTGAATACTTATTATGACTGAGCTATTTGGTTAAATAATTTTATTCAATTCTCATTTTTTCTAGAAGAGAATTCATTGGTTTACATAATTTTAGTTGGAAGTGGACTGAGGGAAAATGGCAGATAGGAGGCAGGACTAACTTGCAGCTCCCACTTGGATGGACAGAACAACATATGGAGACTCACATAATGAACTTTTGCTCCAAGAACTACCACAGAAATATGCCAGGAAAGCCGAGAGAATCCACAGACCCTTTGAAGGAGGTGGATTGCTGCTGCAGGCTCCGTGGGACAGCTGAGGAACTGTGAGTCAGCTTGCTTTCTCAGCTGGGAGGCTTGTAGCCTAGGGCATGTTCTCAGCTCTGCTCACAGGCTGCCTGGAAATAAACTTGGTGCTACTGGGTGGGCATGGTGGGAGTGAGACTGGCCTTTCAGGCTGTGGGCTACGTGGGAGGTAGGTGAGGCCTGTGACTGCTGGCTTTCTCCCACTTCCCTGGTGACCTGTGTGTTGCAGCAGAGGCAGTCATAATCCCCAGGGAACAGAACTCCATTGGCCTGAAAACCACACTCCCATCCCCCACAGCAGCCACAGCAAGCCCTGCCCAAGAAGAGTCTGAGCTCAGACACACCTAACCCTGCCCCACCTGTTAGTCTTTCTCTACCTGCCCTGGTAGCCAAACACAAGGGACATAATCTCCTGGGAGCTATATGGCCCACCTACTGCCTGACCCTAGGGCAAGCTTGTATCTCCCTGTACAACCACAGCTGATGTGCTCTTGAAAGCACCACTTCCTGGCTGGAGGCCAACCAACACAAAACCAGCATAACTTAACAAAAATACAACCACAGACCCTCATAGAGTCCACTTCAGTCCCCTGCTACCTCCACTGGAGCAGGTGCTGGTATCCACGGCTGAGGGACCTGAAGACAGATCACATCACAGGACTCTTTGTAGACATTCCCCAGTACCAGCCTGGAGCCCAGTAGCTCCACTTGGTGGCTAGATCCAGAAGATAAATAACAATCACTGCAGTTTGGCTCTCAGATAGCCCCATCCCTAGAAGAAAGGGGGAGAGCAACCACATCAAGGGAACACCTTGTGGGACAAAAGAATCTAAACAGCAGCCCTTGAGTCTACCCAAATGAGAAGGAACAAGAAAAATAATTCTGATAACATGGCAAAACAAAGTTCTTTAGCACTCCCAAAAGATCACACTAGCTAACCAGCAATGGATACAAACCCAGACAAAAATCTCTGGATTGCCAGAGAAAGAATTCAGAAAGTCGGCTATTAAGCTGATCAAGGAGCCATCAGAGAAAGGTGAAGTCCAACTTAAAGAAATCAAAAAAATAATACTGGATATGAATGGAGAACTTGTCAGTAAAATAGATAGCATAAATATAAAACAATCACAACTTCTGGAAATGAAGGACACAATTACAGAATTGGAAAATTCACTGGAAATTCTCAGCAATAGAATCAAACAAGTAGAAGAAAGAACTTCATAGCTTGAAGATGAGGCTTTTGAATTAACCCAATCCCACAAAGACAAAAAAGAAAGAATAATAATAATAAAAAAGAACAAAGCCTCCAAGAACTTTGGAATTACGTTAAACAATCAAACCTGAGAATAATTGGTGTTCCTGAGGGAGAAGAGAAATCTAAAATTTAGAAAACATATTTGAGGGAATAATCGAGGAAAACTTCCCCAGCCTTGCTAGAGATCTGTAAATCTGTATTAGTCCATTCTCATGCTGCTATAAAGAACTGCTCGACACTGGGTAATTTATAAGGAAAAGAGGTTTAATGGATTCACAGTTCCATAGGGCTGGAGAGGCCTCAGGGAACTTACAATCATGATGGAAGGGGAAGCAAGCATATCCTTCTTCACATGGTGGCAGGAAGGAGAAGTATGAGAGCCAAGTGAAGGGGGAAGACCCTTATAAAACCATCAGATCTCATAAGAACTTACTATCATGAGAATAGCTTGGGGGAAACTGCCCCCATGCTTCAATTACCTTCCAACAGATCCCTCCCATGACATGGGGATTATGGGAACTACAATTCAAAATGAGATATGGGTGAGAACATAGCCAAACTATATCATTTTGCCCCTGGCCTCTCCAAAATCTCATGTCCTCACATTTTAAAACACAATCATGCCTTTCCAGTAGTCCCCCAACATCTTAGCTCATTCCAGCATTAACCCAAAAGTCCAAGTCCAAAGTCTCATCTGAGACAAGGCAAGTCCCTTCCACCTATGAGCCTGTAAAATCAAAAGCAAGTTAGTTACTTCCTAGATACAATGGGGACACAGGCGTTGGGTAAATACACCCATTTCAAATGGGAGAAGTTGGCCAAAACTAAAGGGCTACAGGCCCCATGCAAATCCAAAATTCAATAGAGCAGTCATTAAACCCAAAATGATCTTTGAATCCATGCCTCATATCTAGGTCATGCTGATGCAAGAGGTGGGCTCCCACAGCCTTGGGCAGCTCTGTCTCAGTGGCTTTGCAGGATACGGCCCTTCTCAGCTACTTTCACAGGCTGGCCTAGAGTGCCTGTGGCTTTTCCAGATGCATAGTGCGAGCTTTTGGTGGATCTACCATTCTGGGGTCTGGAGGATGGTGGCCCTCTTCTCACAGCTCCACTAGGCAGTGCCCCAGTGGGGACTCTGTGTGGGGTCTCCAACTCTATATTTCTCTTCCACACTGCCCTAGCAGTGGCTCTCTACTAGGACTCTGCTCCTGTGACAAACTTCTGCCTGGACATCCAGGTGTTTGCATACATCCTCTGAAATCTAGGTGGATGTTCCCATACCTCAATTCTTGACTTTTGTGCACTGCAGGCTCAACACCATATGGAAACTGCCAAGGCTTGGGGCTTGTACCCTCTGAAGCAATGGCCTGAGCTGTACTTTGACCCCTTTTAGCCATGGCTGGAGTGGCTGAAAACCAGGGCACCAAGTCCTGAGGCTGCACACAGCAGGGGGTCCTGGGCCTGGCCCACAAAATTATTTTTCCCTCCTAGGCCTCTGGGCCACATTCCTCCAGACCCTAGTATCATACGTCCACTGACAGCTTGCGCCATGTGGCTGAAAAAGCCACAGGCACTCAACATCTGCTGTGAAGGTCTCTGACATGCCCTGGAGACATTTTCCTCATTACTTATGCAAATTTCTGCAGCAAGCTTGAATTTCTTCCCAGAAAATGTGTTTTTCTTTTCTATTGCATCATCAGGCTGCAAATTTTCCAAACTTTTATGCTCTGCTTCCTCTTGAACGCTTTGCTACTTAGAAATTTCCTTGCCAGATACCCTAAATCATTCTCTCTCAAGTTCAAAGTTCCCCAGATCTCTAGGGCAGGTGCAAAATGCTGCCAGTCTCTTTGCATAGCAAGTCACCTTTACTCCAGTTCCCAAAAAGTTCCTCATCTCCATCTGAGATGACCTCAGCCTGGACTTCATTGTCCATATCACTATAATCATTTTGGTTAAAGCCATTCAACAAGTCTCTAGGAAGTTCCAAACTTTCCCACATCTGTCTTCTGAACCCTCCAAGTCTCTAGGAAGTTCCAAACTTTCCCATATTTTCCTATCTTATTCTGAGCACTCCAAACTGTTCCATCCTCTGCCTGTTACTCAGTTCCAAAGTCACTTGTACATTTTGAGGTATCCTTATAGCAACACCTCACTCTACCGATATCAATTTACTGTATTAGTCCATTCTCACACTGCTATAAAGAACTGTCTGAGACTGAGTAATTTATAAGGAAAAGAGGTTTAATTGACTCACAGTTCTGCAGGGCTGGGGAGGCCTCAGGAAACTTATAACAGAAAGGGAAGCAAACACATCCTTCTTTGCATGGTGGCAGGAAGGAGAAGAATGAGAACTGAACAAAGGGGGAAGACCGTTGTAAAACCACCAGATTTCATGAGAACTTACTATCACAAAAATAGCATGGGGGAAACCACCCCATACTTCAATTACCTCCCACTGGGTCCCTCCCATGACATGTGGGGATTATGGGAACTACAATTCAAGATGAGATTTGGGTGGGGACACAGCAAACCATAACAACATCCAAATGCAAGAAGCTCAAAGAACACCTGGAAAATTCATTGCAAAAAGATTATCACCTAGCCTCATAGTCATCAGGTTATCTAAACTCAAGATGAAGGAAAAAAATCTTGAGATCTGTAAGGCAAAAGCATCAGGTAACCTATAAAGGAAAACATATCAGGTTAACAGCAAATTTCTCAGCTGAAACCCTATAAGCTAGAAGGGATTGGGGTCCTATTTTTAGCCTCCTTAAACAAAACAATTATCAGCCAAAAATTTTATATCCAGTGAAACTAAGCTTCATAAATGAATGAAAGAGACAGTCTTTTTCAGACAAATGCTGAGAGAATTTGCCACTACCAAGCCAGCAGTACAGGAATTGCTAAAAGAAGCTCTAAATCTTGAACCAAATCCTTGAAATACACCAAAATAGAACCTCCTTAAAGCATAAATCTCACAGGACCTATAAAACAGCAGCACACTGAAAAAGAAAATGAACGCAACAAATAGCATGATGAATAGAATAGTACATCACATGTCAATACTAATGTTAAATGTAAATGGCCTAAATGCTCCACTTAAAAGATACAGAATGGATATGAATTCACCGACCAAGTTTCTACTGTCTTCAAGAGACTCACCTAACACATAGGACTCACATACACTTAAGGAAAGGGGTGGAAAAAGATATTCTATGCAAATAGACATGAAAAGTGAGCAGGAGTAGCTATTCTTATATCAGACAAAACAAACTTTAAAGCAACAGCAGTTAAAAAAGTCAAAGAGGGACATTATATAATGATAAAGGGACTAACTAGTCCAATAGGAAAATATCCACAATTCTAAATATATATGCACCTAACACTGAAGCTCCCAAATGTACTATTAGACCTAAGAAATGAGATAAATGATACCACAATAATAGTGGGGGACTTTAATACTCCACTGACAGCACTAACAGGTCATCAAGACAGAAAGTCAAAAAAGAAACGATGGACTTAAACAATACCCTAGAACAAATGGACTTAACAGATATTTACAGAACATTCTCCCCAACAAATGCAGAATATACATTATATTCATCAGTACATGAAACACTCTCTAAGATAGACCATATGATAGGCCACAAAACAAGTCTCAGTAAATTTAAGAAAATCAAAATTATATCAAGTACTCTGTCAGACTACAATGGAATAAAATTGGAAATCATCTTCAAAAGAACCCTCAAAACCATGCAAACACATGGAAATTAAATGACCTCCTGAATGATCATTGGGTCAACAATGAAATCAAGATGGAAATTAAAAAGTTATTTGAGCTGAATGACACAACCTATCAAAACCTCCATGATACAGCACAAATGGTGCTAAAAGGAAAGGTTATACCTTAAATGCCTACATCAAAGAGTCTGAAAGAGCACAAATATACAATCTAAAGTAACACCTTAAGGAGCTAGAGAAACAAGAACAAACCAAACTCAAACACAGCATAAGAAAATAAATAACGAAAACCAGAGCAGAACTAAATGAAATGGAAACAATCAAAGAAACAAAAAAATACAAAAGATAAATGAAACAAAACAAAATTTGCTTCTTTGAAAAAATACATAAAAGTCATAGACCATTAGTGTGGTTAACCAAGAAAAGAAGAGAGAAGATCCAAATAAGCTCAATTAGAAACAAAATGGGAGATGTTACAACCGACACCACAGAAATACAAAAGATTATTCAAGGCTACTGTGGAAACTTCTATGGGCTTAAACTAGAAAACCTAGAGGAGATGGATAAATTCCTGGAAATATACAACCCTTTTAGATTAAACCAGGAAGATATAGAAATTCTGAACAGACCAATAACAAGCAGCAAGATTGAAATGGTAATTAAAAAGTTACCAAAAAAAAAAAGTCTAGGACCAGACGAATTTACAGCTGAATACTATCAGACATTCAAAGAAGAATTGGTACCAATTCTACCGACACTATTTCAAAAGATAGAGAAGAGGGAATCCTTTCTAAGTAATTTTATGAAGCCTGTATCACCCTAATACCAAAACCAGGAAAGGACATAACATGAAAAAGAAAACTACAGACCAGTATCCCTGATGAACATGGATGCAAAAATCCTCAACAAAATACTAGCAAACTAAATCCAACAGCATATTGAAAGGATAATCCACCATGATCAGGTGGGTTTCATACCAGGGATGCAGGGATGGTTTAACATCCACAAGTCAATAAATGTGATACACCACATAAATAGAGTTAAAAATCATGTGATCATCTCAATAGAGGCAGAAAAAGCATTTGACAAAACCCAGCATCCCTTTATGATTAAAACCCTCAGCAAAACTGGCCTAGAAGGGACATACCTTTAGGTAATAAAAGCCATCTATGACAAACCCACAGCCAACATTATACTGAACAGGGAATAGTTGAAAGCATTTCTGCCTGAGAACTAGAACAAAACAAAGGTGCCCATTTTCACCACTTCAATACAGTACTGGAAGTCCTAGCCAGAGCAACCAGACAAGAGAAGGAAATAAAGGGCATCCAAATCAGTAAAGAGGAAGTCAAACTGTCACTGTTTGCTGATGACATGATCATATACCTCAAAAACCCTAAAGACTCATCCAAAAAAGTCCTAGAACTGGTAAATGAATTCAGCAAAGTTTCAGGATACAAAGTTAATGTTCATAGATCAGTAGTCCTGTTACACACCAACAGAGACCAAGCTGAGAATCAAATAAAGAACTCAACCCCTTTTAAAATAGCTGCCAAAAAAAAAAAAACCAAAAAACAGAAAACCAAACCTTAGGAATATAGCTAACCGAGGACATGAAAGACTTCTACAAGGGAAAGTACAAAACCCTGCTGAGAGAAATAATAGATGACACAAACAAATGGAAACATACCCCATGATCATGGATGGGTAGAATGAATGTTGTGAAAATGACCATACTGCCAAAAGCCATCTACAAATTCATTGCAATTCCCATCAAAATACCACCATCATTCTTCACAGAACTAGAAAAAGCAATCCTAAAATTCATATGAAAAAAGAGCCCACATAGCCAAAGCAAGACTAAGCAAAAAGAACAAATCTGGAGGCATTACATTACCCAACTTAAAACTATGCTATAAAGCCCTAGTCACCAAAACACCATGTTACTGGTATAAAAATAGGCATGTAGATCAATGGAACCAAATAGAATACATGGAAATAAAGCCAAATACTTACAGCCAACTGATCATCAACAAAGCAAACAATAACATAAAGTAGGGAAAGGATGCCCTATTCAACAAGTGGTGCTGGGATAATTGGCAAGCCACATGTAGGACGATGAAACTGAATCCTCATCTCTCACCTTATACAAAAATCAACTCAAGGTGAATCAAAGACTTAAACCTAGGACCTGAAACCATAAAGATTCTAGAAGATAACATCAGGAAAACCCTTCTAGACACTGGCTTAGGCAAAGACTTCATGACCAAGAACCCCAAAGCAAAAGCAACAAAATCGAAGATAAATAGATGGGACTTAATTAAACTAAAAAGCTTCTGCACAGCAAAAGAAATAATCAAAAGAGTTAACAGACAACCCACAGAGTGGGAGAAAATCTTCACAATCTATACATCTGACAAAGGACTCTTATCCAGATTCTACAAAGAACTCAAACAAATCAGGAAGAAAAAAACCCAAATAATCCCATCAAAAGTAGGCTAAGGACATGAATAGACAATTCTCAAAAGAAGACATATAAATGTCCAACAAGCATATGGAAAAATGCTCAACATTGCTAATTATCAGGAAAATGCAAATCAAAACCATAATGTGATACCACCTTACTCCTGCAAGAATGGCCATAATTAAAAAATTAAAAGATAATAGATGTTGGCATGGATGTAATGAAAAGGAAACATTTTTACACTGTTGGTGGGAATGTAAACTAGTACAACCACTATGGAAAGGAGTGTGGAGATTCCATAAAGAACTAAACAAGTAGATCCACCATTTGATCCATCAATCCCACTGCTAGGTATCTACCCAGAGGAAAAGAAGTCATTATACAAAAAAGATAATTGCACACACATGTTTATAGCAGCACAATTTGCAATTGCAAGAGACAGAACCAGCCCAAATGCCCATCAATCAGTGGATAAAGACAACATGGTACATATATACCATGGAATACTACTCAGCCATGAAAAGGAACTAAATAATGGCATTTGCAGCAACCTCAATGGAATTGGAGACTAACATTCTAAGTGAAGTTACTGAGGAATGGAAAAACCAAACATCATATGTTCTCACTCATAGGTGGGAGGTAAGCTATGAGGACACAAAGGTATAAGAATGATACATTGGACTTTGAGGACTCAGGGGAAAGGGTTGGGGGTGGTGAGGGATAAAAGACTACACATTGGGTACAGGGTACACTGCTTGGGTGATGGGTGCACCAAAATCTCAGAAATCACCACTAAACAACTTATTCATGTAACCAAACACTGCTTGTTTCCCAAAAACCTATTGAAATAATAAGAATTTTAATTAATTGCTGACAACCACCAGCTAGTAAGTAGTAGAGCTTAACTTGAGTCCAGTTCTGAATAACTACTAAACCCAAGTACTTAACTGCTGAGCACTATCTTGCCTCAGTTCTAAAAGGTAGTTAAATACAGGTTTCTTTTTTTTCCCCCCAACTCCAGGATTTCATTGGTCTAGAAGCTCTGAGATAGAGCAAGTCAAAATCATCTCTCTGCATCTAGTGGCATCCTGAACACAGAGAGGAGAGCTCTACTGTTTTGTGAACACATCACAGCTGGGGGTCCTGTGCTTTTGCATTCTTTCCATGAGTCCAGTATTACCTGAGGTAATTTGAGGGAGTTTCTATTTCCTGCAACCAGATAAACCTACCTAGAACAGTTCTTAGCACATTGAAGGGAACATGAAATCTGTAGTTAGAGAAAAAATGTGTTTATGTAGAGGGTCTAGATGAGACATGTTTCATTGTGATTTTCTTTTCTTCTGAAAAAGTTTCTGGGCTCCGAAAATTCTGGCATATTTAGAGTTCCAATGAATCCAAGATTTATTGCCATTCATCCACAACAAGGTTTTCAGTGGATGCTGATTGTCCTCACATACAACAAGGTAGGTGTACTCGGTTTCAGCCAAAAGCCAGAACTTTCTTTAGTTGAGTAGGGAGCATTTTTATACATTGTACCTTTAACGCTTGATAATACAGCTCTAATTGTATCTGTTATCTAATTATTGAAACAGTATTTCTGAGAATTACCATTGCTTTTAGAGTAGCAGAGCTGAAGTTCTTAAAATTTTTTCTCCAAGGATTAAAAATACCTGGTGTTAAAGGAAACCCATGAGAGTGATTGTTTTTTTGTAGGTCCTTAAAGATGAGGCTATTTAGGTGGTGAATCCTTTACTAAAGGGAAACCTAAGTTAGCCAGAATGTTGGCAAGAAACTCTACCGCACATGCTGAGCCCCAGGGACCTCATCATGCCTAGAGTTCAATATATGCAAAGCAAGTCTGTTGTCCACTTGGGTCGACAATGATGAGAGGCTTAGTGATACTGAGGGTGGAGAAAGCAGGTTTTGTTCCCTCTTGACAGATTATATTCCAAGCAATCTGGTAACAGGAGGAGGAAGACAGGTCTAGAATAAAAATAGAGCCCTTTAATTTTGAAAATGATGAGAGCAAATATAGCAAGAGCAAGAGCCAGTCTTGGAGGCAGGAAGTCTGTGACATGAACACTGCTGAAATAGACCAGGAATATTGATTACAGGAAAATGTGGAGTTATGTGGAAGAAACTTTCCTTCCACTCCATATCATTTACTTGTAAACTATCAATGCTTATCCCAGTTGCTAGGTGTGGACCATAGAATGTCTGGATTGAACATGCATGGGGGGCTTTTTGCCATTTTCCTCAACTTTGATGGTTTTCCTCCCTGACCCCACACAATTACACAGATTCCTCCCAAGGTGTATAACACAAGGATCTACAAGGAAGGCAGGGTGCCCAGGCTAGCGAGAGCAGATAGGACAGCTGTAGGGCAGAGCAGAGTATCTTATGAAGTCTTAGGAGGCCCTGGGGCTCTTTTGCATTTTTCCTCACAAAGCAGTAGTTTTCTTTACCTTAGAAAAGTCTTATTTGATTAGAGAAGAAGCATCCATGCAACTGTGGGGGGAAAAATACTGGAGACAAGTAGCTCATGCTTCGCTGTGAATCTGGACAGGTGAAATGAACAAGCTGAGTGTGGCAAGAAGGAACAATGAGAAGGTCTACCTTCCCAGCAGTCAAGCAACAAACTTTTATCACACACTGGTACCTGCTCAGCCTGAATCAGGACCCTACAAGGGGCATTCAAGTAGGCCTTTCAGTCTAGACAGGAAGACAAAACATATTTATGGGGGTGTGTATGTTTGTGTCTGTATAAATAAGTAAAATATCATAGAATACCATAAAATAAAAAGTAATCTTGTTTGATTTAGACAATTAGTGGTGCATGAGTTCTGAAGGAAGGGATATTAGCAAGGTATACAATAGTTTGGAGATTTTGGCCAACCCATTATGGTTCCCAGTTACTTTTGCCACTTCTAGGAGGTCTTCCCACTACCCTGCAGTGCAAGAGGGGGCAGGAGCACCTTGAAATCTTTTCATTTATGGGCAAGTTCAATTTTTATAGAATATAAAGTTTGAAGGGAATAGAAACTGTAGCAAAACGATACAAGTCTAGGCACTCTGTTCAACGCTTACCTCCTATACTAAATAGTTGATGGTCTCTTTGGATTTTGGAAGCACTCTGTTCAACTTGTTTTATCATGATTTCTCTATCTCTACCAAGGCCCAGCAGCATACCAAGAACTATTTTTCAAGTGATAAGTAGTTTTCTGCTGCAGAAGGTGTGGCTGAGCTCAGAAATACTAGGGATCTGTACATTGCCTTTCCAATTTGGGCTTGCCAAAGACTTTAGACATCCAAGATATCTTGCTGTGGTTATCTTTAGTAACATTAGCACCTTAGTCATACGACCTGAGTGGTAAGGCAACTTGCACCACAGCCTGCATCCCACACAAAATTGTCAGTCTCCAAGTCACCTGATGCATGGGGCAGGTATGAAATACACTGATAATATTTTTGAATGTGATATATACTACCCCCAGCTTGTAATGGTGTACCCCAGGCCACTGCACTCCTTAAAACTTCACTAACATGGCAAGCTGTGGTATCTTCATAGGGTTTTCCTTGCACCGTCCACCATAATGTACCTTTCCAGGACATCCAAAGTATTTGCCACATTAGTCTATTAAGTATGTTGTCATTGATGTAGAGGAACACTAATATGTTCTGTGTAATGTCAAGATGCTCATGTTTCCTGTGGATAATGTTTTGACAGAGAACAGAAGAGTTAGGTTGGCCCTTGGGCAGGACAGTTAAAGTAGAAATCTGTTCCTACTATGTGAAGTCAAGTTACTTTTTATGCTTTCCATTGATGGAGATAGAGAAAAATACATTTACCAGAATAATAGTGACATAGCAAGTGCCCCAGGCCATATTGTTTTGCTTTAGTAAAGACACCATACCCGGAAATAGCATCTGCACTTGCAGCTCACACCTGATTAGGCTTATGGTAGTCTTCTCTCCTCTGCCACATTTCATCTGGTTTTCTCAGGTGCCAAAACATTGAGAGGAGATTTGATGGAAAGTGCCACTATTTCATTTAAGTCTTTCAGGGTAATATGAATCTTTGAAATTCCTCCTGGGATACAATATTGTTTGTTTTTGACTTACTGTTTTGGCTAAGACTGGGGCAGTTTTAGAGGCTTCTACTTGGTTTTTCCTACCATAATGCAAATAGCATGATGTACACCACTACAATGCTGGTTCCATAGAAACCCTCCACATGCGTTTCCATCTTCTCATTTTATTGAACACAGAGAACAGAATAGAAAGGTGAGGGGTCTCAGAGACATATTTCATATTTTTCCTGATTCCTGTTTCCCCCTTTGTCTTCTCCCAGGTATCCAGTGCTTCATGATCTTTAGATGAAAGATGATTAGAGCTAGAGTTAGGAGCCCTGGGTCTGCTTCCTGGTTCTGTCCCTGGTAGGCAGTTTAACTGCAGGCAAGGCACATGATCTGTCAGAACTTAATCACTTCATCTACAAGATGATGCACTGAAAAAGGTAGCCTCCGGCTGGGCACAGTGGCTCACGCCTGTAATCCCAGCACTTTGGGAGGCCGAAGCGGGCGGATCACGAGGTCAGGAGATCAAGACCATCTTGGCTAACATGGTGAAACCCCGTCTCTATTGAAAATACAAAAAAATTAGCCAGGCGTGGTGGCGAGCACCTGTAGTCCCAGCTACTCGGGAAGCTGAGGCAGGAGAATGGCGTGAACCCAGGAGGTGGAGCTTGCAGTGAGCCAAGATTGTGCCACTGCACTCCAGCCTGGGTGACAGAGCGAGACTCCATCTCACAAAAAAAAAAAAAAAAAAAAAAAAAAAAGAATAAGGTAGCCTCCAAGCCCTTTCTAATTCCTAAGATTGTATGAATACTGAGTATAATCTGAAATTGATTCACATTGAGGACCCAACATCTGATCTTTGGAGTTACCTATTCTGGGGATCACTAGCAGGTGTGAAAGTCTCTTCCTGGCTTGGCTGTTTTTTTTCTGGGGAGTTGGAGCAGTCCTTGTCCTGACTATAATAAATATATATATATTTTTTTACTTTAATTTCTTTTCTTTCTTTTTTTTTTTTCAAGGTGGAGTCTCACTCTGTTGCCCAGGCTGGAGTGCAGTGGTGCGATCTCAGCTCACTGCAAGCTCCACCTCCCGGGTTCATGCCATTTTCCCGCCTCAGCCTCCCGAGTAGCAGGAACTACAGGCACCCGCCAACATGCCTGGCTAATTTTTTGTATTTTTAGTAGAGACAGGGTTTCACCGTGTTAGCCAGGATGGTCTCCACCTCCTGACCTTGTGATCTGCCTGCTTCGGCCTCCCAAAGTGCTGGGATTACAGGCATGAGCCACCACGCCCAGCCTACTATAATTTCTACTGTAGATTGTTGCTAGTCCTGAAGATTAGTTTGAGGCCTTGATATCCTAGGGGAACTTCAGCAAGGCAACATGCTAGGATATTGTTAATCTCTGCAAGGGTGCACAGCAAGCCCTGTATACTTAGGCCTTTCAGAAACTCTGAACATTCTGGTTGAACATTCAAATTGAACATTCAAGTAAAGTTGAACATTCAAGTAAAGTTTCCATGAATGGAACTTTTAGCCTTAACATCTTCAGCTGAAAAAACATTGCCTTTTCTGATCTTAAAAGAAGTCCTCTGAAGAACAAATAAAATATTCACACCAAGGAAGAACACTTTATAATTATAATTATGTTCTCTAAAAGGCTATAATAAAGTTTAAGCAAGTGCTTCCTATTTTATTTTCACCGCAAACAATTTATAAGCAGAACTGTCCTCTTGACATGATAATGAAAGAGCAGTCACACATGTCAGCTGGAGCAATTATGTTCTTCAGATGTCTGCCATAAGTATTACATGATTCCTTCCTGCTGACACCTTATCAAGTGTGACATGCATATTAAAAAGAACACCCAAGAGAGCTAACTTAAAAAATCTGAGCACTTTCGAGAAGTTCCATCTGTGTTAAAAAGCCTTGTATCTCATCTTCTAAAACAGTCTTCTCTTTGCTACCTATTTTCTTTTGGGCCTCAAATGAAAAGAACACATAGAAACACATATTCTGGTAGTAAACATAGGCGAATGATTCAGGGCCTTAAAAATCCACCTGGCTAATTATCTCAGTGAATATAGAATCTGGAGCCAGACAAATAACAGTTCAAATTTCAGCTGTATCATTTCCCAACTTTTTGACTTTGGTCAAGGGACAAACTCTCGGAGCTTCACATGTAAAAAGATAAAGACGCAGACTCTATTTCTAGGATTGAAGAGAGAGTTGGATGAGGGAACAAGTACTGGAGGACTAGGTTTAAGGTCTGTAATATGAACACTGAAATGTTTGTTTTCCTCTTCTATGTTTAGCAGGGCCCAGAGGGTGCTTTTCTGGTGTGTTTTGGATGTTACCCAGAGAGTTCCTAAGCCACACGACCATTCTGTTGAGGAGGAGGCATATGGGCTGAGAGGGGGTAGTGTCTTGAACCTTAGTCTAGCTCCAGCATTTGCAGTCTGCAGGTCACACATTTTCTTTCTGCCCTTCCCTTCCTGTCGCTCCTCTCAGGAACGAAGCCATCTGGCACAGTTCCTCACAGTGTTCACTAGCCATCATCAGTATCAACTCTCAAGAGGTGAGTTTCCTCATCAGTCCCCGTCCTCCTGTGAGGGCAGCTCCTCTGACTCTTCCATGTTGCTCTCTTCTGGTGCCTGACTCCATAGGTGCCCAGAAAATGGAGCAGCCAGGAACCCCTCTCTTCCACTCCTCCCCCAGCACAGCCTCCTTGTGTCTCTTTGGGAGAACAAGTACTTCCAGATGGAAGAAGATTCCAGGTCTCCTCTGTGGGCCTCTCCAGAGCATTGTTATCGGGATGGCCAGGGCATTTTTTTGTTATGAACACCTAAATCTCTTTTTGACATCTCAAATCTTATCCATCTCATTCAGTTCACTTTTGGCACCCAAATCTATCAGGTGCTCAAGCCATTCCTTTTCTAGCCTTGATTCAATTTAACAGGAAGGAAAGTAGATCCTACACAATAAAGTTAATTATCATTGCTGCTTGATTCTGAATTCTTTCCAGCTCAATAACCTTCTTATTTTTTGAAGATTGGGGAACAAACTACACAATACTCTAACGAGGGTTCTTGCCGTAAAAGTGAGAGGTGACAACATGCTAGCAGCCCTCGCTGGCTCTCGGTGCCTCCTCGGCCTCGGCGTCCACTCTGGCCATGCTCAAGGAGCCCTTCAGCCCACCGCTGCACTGTGGGGGCCCCTCTCTGGGGCTGGCCGAGGTCGGAGCCAGCTCCCTCTGCTGGTGGGGAGGTGTGGAGGGAGAGGCACGGCAGGGAGTCGGGGCTGTGCACGGAGCTCGCAGGCCAGGCTGGTGCGGGTTCTGGGTGGGCACGGGCTGGCAGGCCCAGCACTCTGCGCGGCCGTCCCGCACCTGCTGGGCTTGATAGGGGTAGGAGCTCCCTCTGGGCTGCTGGAGTGCCCGGGCTAGGTGCCGCAAAGTCCCGCTGCCAGTGCCATTGAGAGGTGAAGCTGGCTGGGCTTCTAGGTTGGGTGGGGACCTGGAGAACTCTTCTGCCTAGCTAAAGGTTTGTAAATGCACCAATCAGCACTCTGTGTCTAGCTAAAGGATTGTAAACGCACCAATCAGCACTCTGTGTGTAGCAAAGGATTGTAAATGCACCAATCAGCACTCTGTGTCTAGTTAAAGGTTTTGTAATTGCACCAATCAGCGCTG
The DNA here is from genome assembly GCF_000001405.40 of Homo sapiens. Classification (NCBI taxonomy): domain Eukaryota; kingdom Metazoa; phylum Chordata; class Mammalia; order Primates; family Hominidae; genus Homo; species Homo sapiens. Next base: position 45,886,381 of record NC_000015.10, read on the forward strand.
TGTCTAGCTAATCAGGTGGGGACTTGGAGAACTTTTCTGTCTAGCTAAAGGATTGTAAATGCACCAATCAGCACTCTGTGTCTAGCTAAAGGTTTGTAAACACACCAATCAGCAGTCTGTCAAAATGGACCAATCAGCTCTCTGTAAGATGGACCAATCAGTAGGATGTGCGTGGGGCCAGATAAGGGAGTAAAAGCAGGCAACCTTACCCCCCAGCGGCAACCCGCTCCGGTCCCCTTCCACGGTGTGGAAGCTTTGTACTTCTGCTCTTTGCAATAAATCTTGCTGCTGCTCACTCTTTGGGTCTGCACAGCCTTTATGAGCTGTAACATTCACCGCGAAGGTCTGCAGCTTCACTCCTGAGGCCAGCGAGACCACGAACCCACTGGAAGGAAAGAACAACTCTAGACGCCCTGCCTTTAAGAGCTGTAACACTCACCGCGAAGGTCTGCAGCTTCACTCCTGAAGTCAGTGAGACCACTAACCCCCCCCAGAAGGAAGAAACTCCGGACACATCTGAACATCTGAAGGAACAAACTCTGGACACAGCATCTTTAAGAACTGTAACACTCACCATGAGGGTCCGCAGCTTCATTCTTGAAGTCAGCGAGACCAGGAACCCACCAATTCTGGACACAAAAGGAAAGATGATGTCTGGGCCTTTGGTCATCATATTATGTTGTTAGACCCCTGGAATCCCTAGAATCTATGGCTTTTTTTTTTTTTTTTCTGCTGAAGCACTGTGTTGCTGACAGGTAGATATTCAAAATTTCTTGCTATGGTTGGTTAATATCTGCCAGTCTCACTAGTAAATGTGTTTATTCATCTTTATTTGTAATATGTGTGTATGTAGGTGCATGTGCATGTGTACGTGTGTGAGAGAGTGAGAGAATGAGAACGAGAGAGAGTTGGAGAGGGAGAGAGAAAGGTAGGGCAAGAAAGAAAAGAATTTGATACCATTTATTTATTTATTTATTTATTTGCCTTCGAGTCACTTTCTTGTTCCTTTTTTTTTTTTTTTGACGGAGTCTTGCACTGTCGCCCAGGCTGGGGTGCAGTGGTGCGATCTCAGCTCACTGCAAGCTCCGCCTCTTAGGTTCACGCCATTTTCCTGCCTCTGCCTTGTGAGTAGCTGGGACTACAGGCACCCGCCACCACGCCTGGCTAATTTTTTGTGTTTTTAGTAGAGATGGGGTTTCACTGTGTTAGCCAAGATGGTCTCGGATCTTCTGACCTTGTGATCTGCCTGCCTCAGCCTCCCAAAGTGCTGGGATTACAGGCATGAGCCACTGCGCCTGGCCTTTTTTATTTTTATTTTTTTATTTTTTATTTTTTTAGATGGAGTCTTGCTCTGTTGCCCAGGCTGGAGTGCAGTGGCATGATCCTGAATCACTGCCACCTCTGCTTCCCGGGTTCAAGTGATTTTTCTGCCTCAGCCTTCCAAGTAGCTGGGATTACAGGTGTGTGCAACCATACCCAGATAATTTTATATTTTTAGTAGAGACAGGATTTCACCATGTTGGCCTGGCTGGTCTCGAACTCCTGACCTCAAGCGATCCACCCGCCTTGGCCTCCCAAAGTGCTGGGATAACAGGCATGAGCCACTGTGCCTGGCCTCTTGTTTCTTAGGTGTAGTAAAGAAGCACTGAGATATCAGGTCAGGAGTACCAGGTTCTTGTCCTGACTAAAGCCAACTTCCTATGTGAACTTGGGCAAGTAGTGGCTCAACCTCTTTGGGTCTTAGGTGCTTTACCTGTGAAAGAAAGGGCAGAACTGGATTTAGAAAGCCCCTTCTAATGTTAGTATTCCAGGAACCTATTCTGTTTTGCATGTTATGCTTGTCTTTCTGTAAGTTAACCAACGTTTCTATACCAGTCCCATCCTCAGGGTATGACAAATAGAAATGATTGTCTCAGACTTCAGAATCTGTGTGTGTGCTTTGCTGCCGTGGGATATGTGGTAACCAGTCTGCCAGTTAGGGAGCAGGAAGTGAGATTACAAGTGACACGCATCTACCCACAAATTAGGATATAAGCTTTTCTGCATCCTACCTTGCCCTCTTCTTACCATCATCTAAAAATTAGTGCTGAGCGTCTGATAAGAACACCTTCCGAGGCTGGGCGCGGTGGCTCATGCCTGTAATCCCAGCACTTTAGAAGGCCAAGGCAGGCGGATCATTTAAGGTCAGGAGTTCGAGACCAGCCTGACCAACATGGTGAAACCCCAACTCTACTGAAAATACAAAAAAATTAGCTGGGCTTGGTGGTGCACACCTGTAGTCCTAGCTACTTGGGAGGCTGAGGCAGGAGAATTGCTTGAGCCTGGGAGGTGGAGGCTGCAGTGAGCCGAGATCATGCCACTGTACTCCAGCCTAGGTGACAGAGCAAGACTCTGTCTCAAAAAAAAGAACACCTTCCTCTCCATATAGGCTGCACATTACTTCTTTAAATGTCTCCCTTCTTTAAGATTGTCCTTATCTATCATCTTAACCAGATTTCTGTAGCCTGAGGCATAAGAACAACAGGCAAATTATTCTGATTCAGCTTTCCAAGGAAGGAGTTGATGATTACTTTTTATTAATTACAGTTTTGACAATTTATGTTGGTTAAGATTCTAGAGACACAGCCTGGGTGAGAACCTTGGTTCTACCACTCTCCAGTTGTGTCTGGGAAGCTCATTTTGGGAGCTTCCCAAAATGAGGCCTTGGGAAGCTCATTTTATCCCTCTCCAATTTGTGTTTTTCTATTTAACAGGTGAAGAAAATAACCAGTTTACAGTGTTGTTGAAGAAGTAGGGAAGGAGCAAGATTCTAGACAATGTAGTGGCTACTCTGTAGCCATCTTGTGTTCAACTCGATGGATAAAGAATGAAAATAGGTTCTAGGCCTCTTTCTGGAAACAATAACTCAAATAAGTCACATTAGGTTAAAGAGTCCTTCCTTAGAGTTCCGTGATCCAGACCAAGTTTTCACAGTTTGACTCTTAAAATCTCAGATGCTGACACTTCACGAGCTCGGGAGAGATTTATTTTTGGCTCTGCCATCCCTGCTTACTTATTGAGCACTTTCTGTGGGCCAGGCACTGTGCTGAACTCTTTATGTGGATTATCTTACTGAGTACTGAAAGCATCCTTATGCATTAGATTCTATTACTGTCCTTATTTTACTGATGAACCTGGAGTCAGCTCCAGGCTTCCTGTCATAGAAGACCAAACTTGGCCAAGTGCTGAGCAGAGCCCCCAGACTTCACCTAGACAATACAGCCTTCCTGTGCCACCACTAAGTGTTAAAACCCCCAGAAATGGTCTGATGAATCATTGATGGAGTCAGAGAAACTAGGTCTTAGGAACTGAAGTTACCTCTAGGGATTGCTTGATTTAGCTCCTGGGTTAAGGCAAGATTTGTCCTGTTCCAAGCTTCCAGATCCTCATTAATAGAAGCCCTGTGGTTAGTCATTGATAAAGGTCGGACCTGCAGGACAGCCAGAGACACAAGATGGAGTAGTTGCAAGTCTTGTGTAGGCTTTTTTTTTTTTTTTTTTTTACTGACAAAAAGCATCCATTAGCTATTACTTTGTGTCCATCTTGTGCTGACTTGCTATAAAGTCCATGGTGTAAGATGAACACATGAGTTGGCACATGCATGCCACAGAAAAGTGTCCAAAGAAGGGTGCAAGGTAAAGGTGATGGCGAATGAACAGCCAGTTAAGGTATGAATCTAAAGTATGTATTAAAAGGTAGAGAAATGGAAAACTGCATGGGTCGAATTTGGTAGGAACAACTCTTTCTCAGTATTTTCAAGTCCAAATAGTAGTTCAGAATGTCTATTTTTTTAAAACAGATGTCAGTCACTAGTATAGTAAAACATCTGCAGTATACTGATAACACATAATATTAAAATAGAACAAATGTGTTTAAATAAACATACTTAATCCTCTTACCCACAAGAGATCTGGTATTCTTGTTAGATGCTTTTCCTAAGTCAACACATGACTTCTCCTTTCCTCTAGAGCCACTGTGATACTATTCTTTTTAAATTGACATTTCTACATGTTAAGTCCAATGGTTTCTTTTTTCCCGGAATTTCTCCAACTATATAATATCGTAAACTAATAAAAATTAACTCTATGTTTTCCAATGCCATTTTCATTCTTGGGTATGAAGGATAGGGAGGGCTTGAGGTTCTAGGAGTTGAATATAATTAACTCATCAGAAACCTTCCTTTTAATTTTTAGGCCATGTAAACTTACCAATTCTAACAGTACAAGAAGTAGACATGTGGATGACAAAGAGATACAAGCAAGTTGTGGACATTTTTATATGTAATATTTTTGTTTTATGAGGAATTAAAGGTAGTATGTTAATAAATTAGTTTTAATAATTTAAACCCTAATTCCCAGATGGTAAGTTGAAAATTAAATTGTCTAATTAATGGAAAATGATGATGAAGTTTTAGAACCTCAAACCCTGTGATCTTAGAATCTGAAACTCTACATTTTGAACAAAAAAACCACTGGAGGTATATCAGTATCTGAGCATATGAGTTCAGCATTTTAGCCTCTGGCTCAGGAAAGACTGTAGACTGAGAATAGCTGGAGGAGGTGAATAGGACACTTGGGATAATCCTGGAGTTTCTATGTGAGCCAAGAGTTTAGGGATATAGTCTGTACAGATATAACCCTTTCTGTAAAGTGTCTACAAGTTAATGGATATGTTTAGATTTTTTTGACAGAAATTGAATTTATTTCCTGTCTATCAAACAAATTTTGTTTTGTTTTGAGATAGGGTTTCACTTTGTCACCCAGGCTGGAGGGCCTCTGCAACCTCTGCCTCCCAGGTTCAAGTGATTCTTGTGCCTCAGCCTCCTGAGTAGCTGGGACTACAGGCGTGTGCCACCATGCCTGGCTCCTTTTTGTATTTTTAGTAGAGATGGAGTTTCACCATGTTGGCCAGGCTGGCCTCGAACTTCTTAACTCAAGTGATCTGCCCACCTCAGCTTCCCAAAGTGCTGAGATCAGAGGCATGAACCTGTGCCCGGCCTCAAACACGTTTTTTCATGACTTTATACTCTCACATGTAGTTAGACCCAAACCTATATCTTTGACCAGCAAGAGGAGGCAAGACAAAGGGAGGCAATGGAGGAAGGTAAGAAATATCATTTGCAATAATTCTCAAATACGTCCCTTCCTTTACATTTCCTTTATCATCATGCCATTTCAGGATCTTATGTTATACCCAGTGTGGCTTTATAATGATAATAATAATGATAATTTAGATGATAATGTCATATACTAAGTGCTTTGTACATATTAACTCATTTAATCCTCACAACAAATCTATAAAGTAGGTAATATTACTATACCTACTTGGCAATTGTGGCAATGGGCTTGGAGTAGCTGAGCAGTTCGTCCAAGTTCACACAGTAAATGCCACAGCAGGAATTCCACATCAGGCAGTTTGGTTCCAGAGTCCAAGCCCATAATCACTAACGCTTTGTGGTCTTCTAACTGAATGTCTTGCCTCTTGGCTAGCCTTAGATTGCTGTCAGATTTAATGTTCTTAAAATACTACTTTGAACATTTTATTCCTGTGCTCAAAAGGCTTCTTGGCTTCTTCCCAGAGTAAAGTCCAAATTTCTCAGCTGGGCAGGACACTATCTGGTTCCAGCCTAGCTTGCCAGCACCACCTCCTCTATTCCTCCCAAGGACCTTCCATTCCTGGCAGGCTAATGTGCTCACTGCCTGGATGATCACTCCCCCTCTACTCTGTCATGAGATTACCAGGTGCTTTTCCTATTTTTCTGTGCTTATTTTGTATGCCACTTTTTCTGCCAAGTATTTTTTCTCCCCATCTCCTCTGTCGTGAGATTACCAGGTGCTTTTCCTATTTTTCTGTGCTTATTTTGTATGCCACTTTTTCTGCCAAGTATTTTCTCTCCCTGTCTCCTTCTCAGCCATTCAACTCAGCACCAGATTTGCTATTGGGCAGAGTGACCAGGCTGTGATGAAATTCTAAGCCATGACCAAAGACATGGGAATGCATGGCCTGGAGGACCAAAGACTCATAGGGACAAAATTAGCCCTCTTTAATTAATAGGCTGCCATGTGGAAGAAGTTTAGAGTAGTTTTATTCAGTCTGAATATGAGACAGCTAAGACGAGGGGATAGAAGTAAATGGAAGAGAGGAAGTCCTTTCATCTTCACGGAGTTCTGATTTTACATTTAAGATCACCAAGGAATAGGTTGTCTTTACAGCAAACTATATTCTGTGACCCACTGCTAGTCCGCAAAGATCTTCCTGCTGGGTCAAAAACAAATGCAAAATTCAGGTCTTTCTTCACAGGGCATCCATCCAGAGGATTCAGAGGATTCAATTCCATTGACTTTTATCTTTGTCACTAACAGAAGGTGTCTCAAGTAAGAGTTATTACATTTCAGTATTCATAAACTAAAGTGTGTGCACTTTTCAGCTTACTGAGGAATAGTAATTTAACAAATGGTACTCAGTAATTGACAGCATGGCAAAACTCCTATTGTGCATACTTATAGGTAGAAATTAGGAAATTCACAGGAAGTCCCAGACACACTGCTTCATGATTAATTGTTGCCTTTTTTTTTAAACTGATAACTTGATAATATTTATGATACATTTATAACAAAGTTTAATTAAAAATTATCGGTTTAGCATCATTATTATCTAGTTAATTGCATAGATTGTTGCATTCACACTTTAGTATATAGTGGGATATATTTGCTTACAGCATTTTGCACCTATAATTTTCCAGTAACAAGAATTTAAAATCATATATTTAGCTCTTCTTACCTCTACAGACATAATTCTTTCTCTAAGTATATAAACTCCAACTCTCTCTCTAACCCCTCCAAATTGCTTTGCTTACTCAGTGGTATCAATATTATTATCATCACCAAGTACCACCCTGTCCTCAGAAGAGGAAGGTGGGCTCTGAGGTCTTTTGTGTCTCCCATAAGTGCCACTGACAAAAATGACTATTTGATAGCATTTTTTTTTTGTAATGAGGACTCAAAAACCAGATAGATGATTCCATGAAATGGGCTTTGTGTGTGCTTTCTATTTAGATATTTTATGCTTTTCAGACTTCTGCAGTGAAACCTGATGATCACTTGCTCTCCTGAGCTCATAGCTCTGATAGACATTATCATTCTGAAAAATGTAGAAATCATTTTTTCAGCATTTCTCCAGTCTTTCTTTTCATTCATGGAAGCTACAACATGATTAGAAAGTGCACTGGGCAGGGTTTTTGGCAACTATCATGCTATGAAGGGCTTCCCTTGGATCCAAAGCACTGGAAATGTAGGTTCAAAAAAGAAGAAAAGGGAGATGTGTACCTTATTCCACAAAAATCATTGTAATTTCTGTTGTTATTAACACTTATGTTTTACAAATAGGTCTTTAAGATCAGCTAGTGCTGTGACAGAGTACTTCCAAAAAGGAATAATCATTTATGCAGATAGCAGCAAGGTATTCCAACAGGGCTTCATTTCATACTATTATAGGCTTTCCCTAAAAGAAACAGTAATCTTTCTGATGAACATGGGGAAATATTTCTTCAATACAAATCCAATTTATTTTGGCTGGCTGATTGGTGCTTGCAGCCAGATCATTGAACATGATATTAATTATTCATTAAGATACTTGGAAGAACAGAATTTGCATTCTCATGCGGTCAAAATTGATGAAGTTTTCATTTGTGCTATAGGAATAGCTTATGACTCAATGCTAACACTCAATACAATCTTAATAAAAATGTTGAAAAAGGCACCAATAATTGGAACTTTCTCATATCTACAGAACATCTGTTTTATTGGACCCTCATGTCCTATTAAAACTGTGTTGAAATATTCTTTTTACATCTAATCATATAGATATGGCTTTGAAAAAATCTCAAGAACATTTCAAATAAAAGGTCATAATCACTATAATGGAGCTTAAAAACTTGTGATTTAGAGAGCAAAGCTGCAACTTGTATCTTTATAAGAGACATTTACTGTAGCACATCTTTCAGCATTTTGGTTCTCATATAAGGAAATATTGGGACTGTAACCATCTTTAGTAGAGAGGCAAGTAGTATTCTCATAGCTAAGTAATATCGAACACAAAAAAGACTTGCCTTAAATCAGATATATGGTAGGAGATACAGCATCAAGCCAGGCCCTGTTGGTCTCATAAAACAGACTTGGTCTGAGATTCAGGCTTGTATCTCTAAACACAAATAGATCCATGGAGGGCAAGCCACCACCATTACATTTACTTTCTCCCAGGCGTGTGTGAAATGTGGTTCCAGCACCTGAGTGGAGGGCAGTAAGCAGGTGTGTCTGACATCCTGGTGCTTCCCTCAGGAAGGCAGCAGTACCAAGTGAGGTTTTCTGTATCATGCTCTGAAGTCCATAAAGAAATTTCAGTTCCACATGAAGAGATGGTTTCTGTACATCACAGTCTTCACATGTACTAGTTAGAGGGGGACCAAGTAAAAAAATATACTTCTCTACCTATTTTTCTAATGCTTCATCAATAAATCACTAAAATGCACTATAAAAAGAGAAATTTCAGTTCCAAAGGCTGCACATGTTTTGGAATGAGAGGATTCTAGGAGAAAGTGTATGTGTGTGGGGAGGTGTATGGGTTAGAATGCCCTGGTCGCAAGTCATAGAAAACCTGGACTCCTGCTGACTTAAACAATAAGGAGACAGCTCACATTCTTGGGAGCCCAGAGGCAGAGCAGCCTCCAGACATGGTGATCAGAGGCTCAACGATAGTACTAAGGGCCCTGGTTCTATCTCCCTGCTCTGCCTCCTTCTAGGACTGTTCCCCATATGGTTGCAAAATGATCACCAATGGTGATCAGGGTACATGTGTCCTTATTCAAAACCAGCGGGAAAAAGAGCTTTGGTATGATTGGCCCATCTAGGTCATGTGCCCATGCCAGAGCCGGCAGTTACTGTTGGGAAACTGTCATGTCCCAATTGGCTTACATTTATCAGGATTTTAGGGAATGCAGTGAATGCCTAGACAGAACCTAAGGTTCCATTAGGAAGGATAAAAAGGAAGGATGGATGCTGAGTAAGAAACCAAAGTGTCTTCTACTAAAAAAGAGGAGTGCTCTTCTCTACTCATGGAAAGCCTGTATTAGGGGAACCATTCATTCACATTCTTGCCCCAGTATCTTGCTTTCCCATCTCCATCCGTCCATTCTCTCTCTCAATCATTAATAAATTCCTGTAGTGTAGACTAGTGTTGCTATGATGGCTTGACAACAGTCTTTCGCAAACCTCTTCAGGGGATATTTATCTCCTTTAAGTTACAGGTAATGGAGGAAACACATTTGACACATGGTACCCAGTGTTTGTCCAGAAAAGTTGTGCTAATACGTGCTTGTACCAACTCCATGTGAGTTTCCAATTTCCATTCCTTAAATATCATCAAATTAGAAAATAGATGGAGAAATAATATGTTTTCTTATTTTAAAAATTATATTTTTGGGGCTTATCAAATTAATTTTACTAATTTTAGATTTTAGGACACCTTATTTTACATTTTATTTCTTTAAAATTATATTCCATTTATTTTAGTTGAGATTTTATATTTTTATTTGTCTTCTATATAGCTACTCTTTGTGATTACTTGAGCCCTTTGCCTGCTTATCAATTGGATAAGATTATTTTTTCATTGACTAATTGCATTAATGGTCCAAATTTTTCAGCTCTTCCTATATTCATTAAACATTTTGTGCAGTGACTTTCAATTTCCTCCCATAAAAGCAGAGTCAACATCCCATTTCACATGACTTGCTTTGATCCATAAAATAAGGTGGAAGTGATTGTGTGCCACTTTTGAGCCTAACTCTTTAACAACCTTTCATATTTCCGCTTTCCCTCTTGTACCTCTGCCATCATTGAGAGTATATGCCAGGCTTGCTGGAGAATGAGAGACATGGGAAGGAATGGAGGCCATTATAATCAACTGACCTTAGCTGATTCCCAGACATGGGAGTGAACTCAGTCAAGAACCGTAGAGCCACCTTGCTGACCCCTAGCTGACTCTAGACTGTGAGCAATAAATGGTCATTGTTGTAGTCCTCTGAGGTTTGGGCTGCTTGTTAGGCAGTATTGGTATTAATAGATAACTGATGCAACTCTTTTGTCCATTATTTACAAATATGTTCAGATCTTGACTTATAATTTTGTTCATGATGTTTTGACTTGTAGAAGTTTAAGAGGTTTATGTTACCAAATCTGCTTTTCCCCTTTGTGATTTCTTCCATTGTTTTAATGTATGGAAAATCCTTCTTCACTGAGAAATCAAATAAATATGAATATATATTTATGTTTTGGTTTCAGTTTTACACCTAAATTTTCCATACATCTTGGTTATTTGGTTGTAGTCTGATCTGAGGATCTAGAATTTTTGTTTTCAAAAATGAATTTTCCAACAACTATTGTAATAATTGCTTCATAATTTGATTAATAAAATCACCTCCACGTGCTTGGTTCTTAGATGTATATCAATATTTACTTCTAAAAATAGTATTATAATATTTTAGGCATTATAATTTTTAATACATTCTAATATTTGTAAAGGTTGGACATCCTCCATTTATGGAAATACTAAAGACAAAGTTGAACAAAAGAATGTATTTATAGATATCAACTTTAGAACCATTTGGCACAACTGCTCCATCTCCTAATTCTGTTGCAATTTTGATGGACATTGTATTAAGCCTATCAATTAATTTAGAAAGACCTGTTATCTTTGTAATAGTTAACTATTTCATTCATGATCATGTCAAATTTTACCATTTAAGTCATTTTTATATTTTAGCATATTTTTATATGTTTTGCTTACTTAAAATCTTTTTTCTTTAATTTTTCCACCTGTTCTTGATACCAGAATCCCTCATTTCTGGAGTGTCGGGAAGTTAGATTTTTCTTTTTGTGTATCTATCACAAATCAAACTATATTTTTGGAATTATTAATTTGAATAGTTAGTTGGTTTTATGACTTAATTTCCAAGGGAACTCCTTTTTTCCTTTGAGTAAATAAGATGGGCAAAGATGGAAGCAAACCAGAGAAGCCAGCTCCCCTTTGTCCTGAGGAATGATGTTGGAGGAGAAGGTTGGAGTGGTGGAGGACTTCCATTTCAGACATCAGTTAGCAGAAAAGGCCTGCGTGGTGGTGGCAAAAGCAATAGGGGCACCTGTTCTGTCAGTTGGTCATGTCATCTTCATCTCTGGGGACTCAGGACAGAGAATACTGTCCCCATAGCATTTTCTAGGAACCACAGCCTTGCACGTTTAGTAATGTGATTCCTAGTTTGCCCAGGACCATTCTGTTTTGTGCCTGTTGTCCTGGCATAATTGCAATTGGTACCACCTTTCACTTTCAAAAGTGTTCCAGTCTGGTTGATAAATTATACATTCTCCCTATTTGTATTGCATTATGAAACAGTGACTGCAGTTACACTGACCACTGTACACTTAGACTTGGAACTGAGATGAGGAGAACAGGTATCCTTAATGGAGCCTCTGTTGCCACAGGTAAAAGACTCAGACTGCTAATTAGGAGTGGTAAGGGCCCCCTTTGTGAGCACAAGCCCCCTTCTCTTGTTTACAGAGTTGCATGTTTTGATGGAGATACAAGTGGCAGAGGAGCATGCATTTTGTTAGCTTTTAGACCAGTCTCTGCACCCAATAGCAAAGCATTCTTCTCAGAGTTCTGGGCTATTTCATTTGTCTAACTGCAATAGAAACAATGCTTGGTGCATCTTGGAGCAGCAATGAGGTGAATCACTTCAAACTCAAGCAACAAGCAAGGTTTACACTGAGAAGGCAATGGGAGAGGGGAGTTTGGAGAGTGACTGGCGGAAGCCCATACCCTTTCTGTGTTATTGAAGGATCAGATGTCGGATGTCATTGCTTGATGATCTCACATGATGCTATCATCTCTCCCAAAGCCTTCTCCTCAAGAGATCAGAGACAGAAGTGCAGACTCATGGAAGCTTGGCTTATCAAGATGGTGTCGAATTAGGCTTGGCTGAACTCCCTCTCCTAAGCCACTGGCCCTTTGTTCTGTAGGCATGAGAACCAGGAGATGGAGCATATTAGGTTCCTGTGATTTTTAGCGATATTATTTCTCTGAAAGAGCATTTCCTAAAGTGTATTCCATAGTGTGTTCCATCTGGTTCTAAGTGGGGGATAAAAACTGTACTAACAACAAAAAGGGGTACATTTGGGCAACAGGGTCGTTTTGTGTTAATCTGCATCTGTGGTCTTTCGTTCAACTTGAGGTTCTTAGTGGAAGTCTCACAGGAGAGCAAGGACAAGAATACAGCTTTGAAGAATTGCATTGAAGAGTCCAGAAAACACTTTTTAATGAACATGAGTAGGGTTTAGAGAGGTGAGAGGAATCACATTGTGGAGATTTGAGTGACATGATAAAGTGGACAGTTTTTTCCCTCTTGTGGGTGAAGAGAGGTGAGCAGCTAGAGGTGGGAAAAGGACTATTCTGGACACTGTGGCTGTACAGTAATCTCCCCTTATCTGCAGCTTTACTTTCTGTGGTTTCAGTCACCTGTGGTCAACCTCGGTCTGAAAATACTGATGGAAAATTTCAGAAATTAACAGTTCATAAGTTTTTAATTGCATACTGTTCTGAGTAGCATGATGAAATCTCCTGCTTGGTCTTGAATCCTTCCTTTGTCCAGTCAGTGTATCTATGCTGTCTACACCACATGCCTTCTAGTCATTTAGAAGCAGTCTGGTTTATTGGGCTGTCATACTATCACAGTGCTTGTGTTCAATTAGCCCTTACTTTACTTAATAATGGCTCTAAAGCACAAGAGTAGTGATGCTGGTAATTCAGATATGACAAAGAAAAACCGTAAAAAGTGCTTCCTTTCAGTGAAAAGGTGAAAGTTCTCAACTTAATAAGGAAAGAAAAACATCGTATGCTGAGGTTGCTAAGACCTATGGTAAGAACAAATCTATCTGTGAAATTGTGAAGAAGGAAAAAGAAATTCATGCAGTCTGTCATACCTTAAACTGCAAAAATTATGGCCACAGTGCATGATAAGTGCTTAAGATGGAAAAGGAACTGCATTTGTTGGTGGAAGACATGAACAGAAACATGCTCTGATGGAAAGCAATCAGGGTTGGTACTACCTGCCATTTCGGGCATCCACTGAGGGTCTTGGAACATATTCCTCGAAGATAAGGAGGGACTACCGTGGTTAGTGTATGTATGATACAAAAGCCTGAGGTAGGGTGGCAGCAATGGGGATACAAAGGAGAAAATGGATGCAAGAAAAACAAAGAGATATGCCAGACATCCCACAGAATAGCCACATTGGGGTGCCAACAATCAGCAGCAGCCATGGTGTGTTCACAGCAGCTAATATCTGAGACCGTACATGTGCCATGCCCTGTGCTGAGTGAGCACAGTCCATAGATTACCCCATTTTATCTCCCCAAGGGCACCAGGAGGTAAAGTTTACATTTTACAGATGTGAGATTTGTAGAGGTGAGGTTGTTTAAAATACCCATAAATAGTAAGTGGTGGATCTCACTTTGAACCTCAGCAGAGCCCCAGAGAAACTATGGGATCAGAAGTGAGATTCCTGCTGCCCGGAGAGACTTCACAGAGAAGATCATGACCAGAAGGAGCAGGTGGCTGCCTCCCTTCTGAATCTTATAGGTCCTAAGGCAACTGATAATGGCACTGAGGGTGGCTGGCGAGTGGATATGAGAAAATGAGTGGGTTTGGTTGATCAGGAAGGCAGCCTGAATGTGACAAGGAGAAGGTCACCAACCTGATGCTTTAGGGGCTTTGACTAGCTCCTGTGCCTATAGTATTACTTTCAAAGAAAACAAGTGATTAAATCTCTTTCCTCCGTCATTTGAAATGAATGTCAAAATCCTATTAAAAATCTGAGCATGACTGAAGACTCTGCACTTGGGAGGAAAAACAGTTTCTAGCTTTTGTAAAATAACTATTGAACATGTCAAGTATTTACTTTCCATTGCAGTTATAACAGTACTTCAATATCTCTCATGGTTGGTTTGGAAGGGGGAGGGAGAAGCATTTGTATAATTTTAAAAAAATTATGATGCCAAATATTCTTCTCAACAATTTTGAGTCAGTTTCTGAGCAGGTCTATAGAGGCTGTTAAAATGTGAGATTACAGCAGAAAACCAATTTCAATATAAGCCTATGGAGATTCCGTTACAATATAAAAATGAAATGTTGCCAGTATATGTTATACGCTACATCCAGAAATAGACAGAAAGCAATATAAAATGCCTCATGCCTATATAATATTTTGGTTCAGGCATTCATCTATTGATTCAGCAGCATTCTCCAAAAGGAAGCTGACACAGTGTCCTTACCCCAAATTGTAGTTGTTATACAACAGATGATGTTTTATTTAAATGGATTATGCTTTAAGTCATCTAGGTAAATTTCAAAGGAACTGAATTCAAAGTATGGGGCCATAACTAGACAACTCAGGGACATTAACTGAGAAATTCAGATAATCAGAATGTTTAGTACACTAGTGATTCTCAATCCTGACTGTATATTAGAATCACCTGGGAAGCATTAAGAGCTACCTATGTTCAGGTTCCACTCCTGGAAAGTCCAATTTAATCTGTGTGCTAGTGGTTCAAAGGCATCAGTATTCTAATGTGCAATGACAATTTACATAAACCCAAATAGCTGGATTCAGCAGGGTCTGCTATGTATGCCATCCAAAAAATTGAGGAAGGGGTTCTGCCAACCACAAGCAGGAATTGCATGCAAATGGGTACAGTAATTTATGCCAGTTTCCCTCTTACCCCAGCTGCTATATTATTTTGGAAGTTTGATGAAAGAAATCTTGAGGAATGATGGGGTACAGGTAGGAGCATTTAAGGTGTACCTAGGGCAGCTTGGATTTCTGGCTGCTTGCACACTGATTTAAATTATTACTGAGGCAGACACTTAGTAGTCAAACTAAATCCATTACCTAACTCTAATTGGATAAGAGCACTTTGGATCTCTTCAGTTATTCACCCCATCTTTAGGTTTAAATGGAAATTTTGATTGATTAGACTTTAAGTCAATCAAGTTGTGACATTCCCCCGGGAACTGCAGTTGGTCCAGGAGTGGGCATAAGATCTAAGTTTGCCAAATTGGAAGGTACTTGTGTTACATCCATAACCAGTATGAACAAGCAAACACACAACTGTCAGTAGCAATCAGTGCTATCTTAGAACCCTGAGGGGATTCAGACTTAGGAGGAAGTTATACCTAGGAAGGGAAGAACCTGGGTCTTTGATAATGTCACTGAGTGCTAACCATGGGTACCTGGAACTACTCTGTCTTTGCACATGTTGAATAATACAGTTCCTTCTTCTGTAAGTTTATTTGATTAAGGGATTTAAGTTATTTGCAGATTCAATCATCCTAACTGATAGAATTCTAGGGAATAATGATATCTACCAGCAAATGGCCTCTATGGTTGGAGTGTACATGAGAAGTTGAGGAGAGAAAGGAGGAGATAAACAACAGGAGTGAAAATGGGGTTTTCAGACAGAAACTTATTTCAAGGAAGAAAATAATAAGAGTTAAGGATCTCGTTCTCTGGGGTCCTTTTGCAATTAAAGTTTGTGCAGGGTCTTTTTATTTTTTAGAATCTTAAGTGAATTTTTTGTTTGTGCTATTGCTTACATTAAACAAGAGGACAGTATCTGCTATTAGTAAATAAGAAGCAGTCAAGAAAACCTTTCCACCTCTTATTCTTATGAAACATAACCATTTTACATCATTAGAGAAGGATTGAAAGACAGTCATGATACAAGTGTTTTATTATTTAACTAAACTTTAGAAAGTCCAAATGGCTACATGTAGAACATCACATATTACTGAATGTAACAATTGTATGTACACTGTTTTATAGTGTATAATGGTGAGTATTACCTATTATTGGTTTTATAAAAACAATTAACTGTAATAGAGTTGTTTTTACGTGGAAAAAAGAAAACCCCTTGTAAAGTAGGCTTGTAAACCTCATGTTACTCTTCTCAAATACTGAATAATGATGTTTTCATGTTGTATTTTAAAAATGATTTATAGTAAATGAATTCTCTCAGATGGGTGGAAAAAAGAGAGCATTCAAGCTGGAGTTAGAAATCCCATTCTGGCACTAACTCAAAGATCTTAGCCCAAGGGAAGTCTCTCAGAGCCTGTTTTCTCCTTTGGTAAAATTAGGGGTTTGAACATGATCTCTAATGTTTTTTGAGCACAAACTGTATGATCTAGGTGTATGTTTAAGAATTTTATTCATTGAGTTATACTTGCTACTCACTCAGTGCTTTTTGATTAAACGTTATTTTCCAACACATTTAATACATCTCCTATTTGTAACCCATAAATTTCAAACTTTTGTACATAATTAGTCTCAAGTGAAATTTCAATACATGTTTGTTAGCATTTTCATTTGGGATTGTCAATTTGGAGACGGGGGCCAATCTAACCACTGGTTTCTATTTCCATCTTTATGTCTTAGGCCTGGTTTCTTCTCACAATGGCCTTCTGTCTGGATACTGCCTCTTGAAATGGCATTAGCCAGTACCAGATTGATAGGTAGACCAGATTGTACATGCTCACATCTGGCTCTGCACAAAATCTCATGAAATGAGTAATATACTCAGAAAAGATTATCTACAGGGGAAGGATGGAGACTCAGGTGAAGCACTAGGAGTTTTGCTCACTTTCAGCTCTAGAATTGTGAGTGTAATAGGCAAAGTCTATCCAGGTATATTACCCTCCCTAAGGAGATCTATTAACTTGGGGCTTTATAAAGACATTTTCACTTTCAACAAATCCTTTTGAGCTTATACTCTGAAATAAAAATGGTATATAATTTACTATATGTACACATATACAGAACAAAATTTGAAGGTATATTATATGTCTTGATGTCATCTTCAATTTTCTGAAGACTGAAGTTCCATAGCCCACATGGTAAGAGCAATCCTCTCACAACTCATCTGGTCTGTATCTTTTTTCTGTGTCTCCCACATTGACCTCATCTTGATGACTCAATAGCTACTTCCTCCCTCCCTCCCTTCCTCCCTTTCTTCTTGCCTCCCTTCCTTTCTCCTCTTCTCCTTCCCTTTCTCCTTCCAGAGATATATAAAATTGCTCTCTGTCAAGAAACAAACACAAATTATTAAAAAGAGTATAATAATTTACATACAAAAGGAGAGAAAAATAACTGCCTCCTAAGATATTTAACTTGGGTAAGATAAGACCTGGCAAGAGATGACATTGTAATGAGTTTTGAAAAAAGCAAAGTAGGATATTTTTTCATCATGTTTTTCTAGCACACAAAAGGCATGATCTAGTGTGTATGGGGTAAAAACTGAAATAGTATAGGAGATTCACTATAATATACTTCCTTTAGTGCTATCTTCTACTTCATCCATAGCTATATGAAACTTTGCAGGATGGCCCTGGAAGATCTGAAAGTATAACTGAAGTCTCTACCAGGGTACCTTGGGGAGGTGACTTGGTTTGTGGTTACATGTGATAACTTCACTTTAGCTCCAATGCAGATTGGAGATTATATGTTTTGATGTCATCTTCAATTTTCTGAAGACTGAGGTTCCATAGCCCATGTGGTAAGAGCAATCCACACAGATTCTACAGAACGCAGATTCTTCCGTAGAGCAGTTGGTGGCTCCTGCATTCACAACTCATTTACCTTTAAGTGTATGATCTTCATGGTAGGGCTGCCCAGCTATTTAAATATTGACCAATACAGAGTCTAATTAGTGAGCAGATGCACAGATGGTGCTGGTATAAACACAATGGTTGACCCTGAAGTTAACTTGCATCATTCTTCATTGCATTTTAATTTGCTTTGTGATTTATGGACAATTGATTTAATTAGAGTAGAAATCTGCTAGGCAATTTCCAGGTTGCTTGAGCTATGCGTCCTGTAACATCATCTGACTATGTATATTGTCTTGTTAGTTTTAGGTTTTAAAGTGTTAACCAAAATAACAAACACGTAGAGATTCTCTAAAATAAAATCTATTTATTTGTGAATAAAGCATTCCAATGGGAATGCACATGCCACAGTAAACCATATGCCTATACTGAAAGATAAGGGAAGACACAGGTTTTTAAAGGAACAAATGAGGTGGGTTGCATAATTGTCTTGAAATGATTATCCCTGGCTACAAAGACCAATAACGAGGGCCATGCTGGTCTGCGGTTGGACAGGCAGTTGCTGGCTGTTTTTTTTTTTTTTTTTTTGAGACGGAGTCTCACTGTCGCCCAGGCTAGAGTGCAGTGGCATGATCTCGGCTCACTGCAGGCTCCGCCCCCTGGGGTTCACGCCACTCTCCTGCCTCAGCCTCCCGAGTAGCTGGGACTACAGGCGCCCGCCACCACGCCCAGCTAATTTTTTGTATTTTTAGTAGAGACAGGGTTTCACCATGTTAGCCAGGATGGTCTCTATCTCCTGACTTAGTGATCCACCCGTCTTGGCCTCCCAAAGTGCTGGGATTACAGGCGTGAGTCACCGTGTCCGGCCTTGCTGGCAGATATTTTTGTAATAGCATTTTTTTGTGTGTAAAGTTGCAATGGCCTTTTTTGCAAGGCTATAGTTTTTTTTGCAGTCTTTCCTGACAGTTTTTATCAGGCATACAAGCATGAGAACCCTCTCTTCATGGCCTTCCGCAGCTCTTTTTGCCAGGATTATTGTAACATTGGACTCCATTTTGATTCTCAGAACTTTCACATTTCCCCCTTTTGATCAAGATCTTTCTCCAAAAGCATCACTGATCAATCATTCTGTATTTAGGTTTTGATGTTTCTTGATGCCAGGATGGACCTGTCTAGTTGCTGGTCTTGTCCTACATTGAGGGGAGTGCTTGGCAACTAAAAGCCAGTGTCAAAAGTTTTTAGCCACATTTAGGCAACAAGGGAGGCTTGAAGAGAATGGCTGTCGGACTAAGGCTACCTGGAATCCATTATTAAATTCAGTTTTGTCTGTTCTATAGTCATTTGTTATCATCTCAAAGTGCTGGGGCAGCATTGTTTTGTTAGGAGTTGTACTTCTGCAAAACATTTAACAAGTAACAGATACAAAGTTTAAAAAGGGAAAATGCAAAGTAAAATTAATAGTCATATGACAATTCTAGTTTGCATAATGGTTTTGAGTCATGAATTTAGGCTTAAGGACAACCGATTGAATAAATCAAATCATGATAGGGAATTAGTTAAGACTTGTAACCATGTAGCCTGTGTTCTTATTTTGTGTGTATGAGTCTCAACTTTTCCACAGCAATTTATCCAGGTACAGCATGTAGTACTAGCAATAGTACAGACATTTTCTTATTTAACCAATCGATACTAAAGTATGTCTTAGGTTTTCTGAAGTTACCAGCAGAAGCCATTGATTGTGAAACTTTGATTGTACCATTACCCTGCCAAATGAAAAAGATAGCATTAAGAAGGGTAAAAGTCTCATTATGACATGGAGTCTTATCCCAACATGTTGGGAGACTCTGTTTACCACATGAAAACAACATCTCCTCCTGATTTGTAGTTTGAATGTCTCTGGTCGTCGCATTGGGCTGTGTGGTGAAATTTTGTGTGCCCCATACAAGAGGCACAAGGCTTGTTCCTTAAAACTTGTCTAGTTTCAGTTTATAAGGCTGTAGGAACAGAAATTTTTTGTTGTTTTCACTTGGAGAGTTGTAGCCAAATATTGGAGAAAATTAGAATTCAGGAACTAGTCCTGTCTACAAGTAGATAACAAGCACTTGAAAATAATGCATAGGGCTACAATCTAATAACGGGTGTATTATAGTTCTTTTACTTATTTTTTTTAGAAATCTAACTTTTTCTTTCCACATTGATCATATAAGAATCTCAGATTTAAAAACCTAGGAAGCCAAACCAAGATAGATTTTAGATTTTGCTCACAGTGATAAGGTTCTTGGGCCTGCCAGGAAGTGACAAATTTACTCACTCACTCTAAGGCCAGGAACTCTTGAAGCCAGGCATTTTATGCACGGTCTTAAATATGACATTTTAGTCAAAGCCTTGTTAATATGGCCAGTGTTTCCAGTTATATCCTCCCCATAAAGAGACAGCATATTTTTCATTAAACTTATGTAGTAAAAATAAGAATACTCAAGAATAGTTTCTGAATTTTAGAAGAGTCAAGCAGAGAGAAAAAGCAAGTACTTTGACCTTTATTTATAAAAGTATACTTTGCCAAATTGTTTTAAATTATAGCTTATGGGAAAAAAGTTTTCTTAGATCTGGAAAACCAAACATTTAAATAAGGAATGAAAAATGTTTTAAATAAAAGTCAGTAAAACATCTTTATCAAATACTTAATTTTATGTAATCAATTTTTTGTTTAATCTTGATTAGCAGTTTCATAAACCCATCAGTTTATTTATTAGAATTCTGGAAATTTATATTTAGTCCATTGGTGTTAAAGTGATCAGAAATCTGTCTTCAAGAGTACTTGTTAGAATGTTTTCCATAAAATACAATTTTGGACTATAGATGCTTTTAAAGAAGAATTCAAATAATAACTGTGAATAAAAAGACTTAGTCATGGTTAAAAATCTGATGAATGTTCCCAATTGACAAGGACACTTAGATGTTTCTAATACATATAGCATTTTAAGATAAAAACCAGAATCATGACTGACGGTGTCACATCAGGACTATCAGACCTTTTTAGTTCTCACATAATCTTTAGAATAAATTAATAACATATCCATCCCAATACCATTTTACAAAAAAACAAAAATATGACTGATAATCTATTAGATATTAATAAACATATATAATTTTTGGAACATTTGTATATTGACATACCCATAAATGTAGTGGAAAGAAAATCTAGTATTACTTATTGTTTGACAATGTTTTCCATATAATTTATCAAATAAGCCGAATCATTTAACATCTCTGCAAGATGAGAGATACATTCTTTGATACTCTCAGGGGCACAACTAGAAAATCCCAAAGTTAATTTTAGGCCCCAAATACTTAATTTAGGATTTTGATACTGGGAAAACCTGCCAAAGATGTCAAGATGATCAAAGCACTTGATCAAAACAGAATCACAGGTCACCGTAAATAAAAGCCATTTATTTAACCAGAGTGATATTAAAAAGACTTCAGAAGCAATACAGAAAGTTACGTGGTTATAAAAGTCTTAATTCTGCTAAAGCTCAGTTTCCGTAAAGACAACACAGGAAATTGTCTTGATGAAACAAAGTCTTTTTTTTTTTTTTTTTTTTTTTTTTAAATTTTAGGCCAGTTACCAGAAAGGAAAAGAAAAGCTTTGTACACCGTGATTGCTTCTCTTTATGGTAAGCCCATTTAGATGTCCAACCCTATGCAAAGGGTACTTGAATTTAATCAGACACAGAAAGACTGTGTCTAGGGTTATGCATAGACACTATGTCATAGAGGAAAGTAAACAAGAAAACTAGACCTTGAGCAGGAGAATACATGGCTCTTAGTTAACAGCATGGGAAGTTTTCTCATTACATAGAACAATTCAGGTTTATCAAGAAAAGCCAAGAGTACATGATCAACTTATACTGGAAGAAAATACTGCACTTCTAGGCCTTTAATATAAACATTTCGGCATGAGGCTGTGAAAGTAGAGTTGAAACCAGAGAGAAAGAGTTACAGGAGTTGATGAAAAGGCAGAAGGAGAAAGTTATCACCCAGCCAAGTAAAAAGATATATCTTTTTAAGGGGATGGAGGAAGACAGCTGAATTTTCAACATGAAATAAGGGAAATTAAAAATATCTCAGGAAGAAATGTGGCAGAAATAAAAACTGCCTGTAGTTTAGAAGATGGCTGTCAAAGAAAGAGTTTTCAGAATTAAACATCAAACCTTCTTGCAATTTTATTAAAAGCAAATCAATACTTTAAGAAAACCTCATTGTTCTAGCATAGGGGATCTTTTTGTAAGTGTTGTATTAATGTCTTTTTAACATCAAAGCTAATCTTCAGAAAGAAAGAAGTAAATAATTATCTTTTAATTATAACCAACTGAATCACAAACACAATTCCTTTCATAAATTTCATTTTCACATACCCTATCACAACTTACTCAGGACTTTCTGCTTTATCCTTTACTTTCTCTTTCTTAAGTACCCAGTCATTTTACTTTAGGACACAAATGTACAACATGAGGTTCTTTGTCATATACAAGTATACTCTCTTTTTTTAAACCTTCCTTACCGAAAATACATCATTATAGTCATAACTTTCTTCACATCTCTCTCTCTCCTCCTTGCTGCTTTATTTCTAGTCTGTGCCTTTTAAAACGACCTTTAAATAATTTCTGAATTAGACAAAATTATTATTTTTTTGAAAAAGAACACATCTTTATGCCATTCTTAAAGCTTTTTCTCATCCAAAACACATATTTAGAAATGACTCACACATTTAATGAATATCTATTTAATTTAACATAATATAACATATCTTCAAAGTTTCATATTACATGACGAGTTCATTTATAGATATTTATACTATTTACATTCTCCTAATTTATTTATTTTTAGCAGTTTACCTAGATTGTTTATGAGAACTAAGAGGTTAGGCAAAGTTAGTCACCATTTCAAGTTACTTCCCTATTAACAATTTTTATAGCATGTGAATATCAGATGTTCACCTAAGTAAGAACCTTAAAGTTAAAAATATGGGTATCTTGCTGCTACCTCAGGAGATACAGCTGTTTTAATTAAACCAGCAATATTAAATTAGTTTTACCCATAAAAATTACATAAACAAAGATAATTCTGTTTTAGACTGGGTTTTTATAGTTTTATAAACTTTGAATCAAAGTCTGGTAGCTTGAAACATCTAACAGAGACAGATATAAAACTTACTGATCAATAAACCCAGGCAAAAAAGTATGCTGACAATTTTGAAGATTTCTATTTGTATTTTACCAATAATTTAAAAACCAGCTTATTATTAAATATTTTCTTAAGTCATGTGAACTAAAAAGACTTTGAGTTAATTATTATATATCTTATATTTTATGTGAGTGCTCATTTGTCTAAATAGAATTCCTTAAGTGATTTCTGTATGACTACACCAGTTTTTATCATGTAGACACAATATATGACATATGGGTAAATACATATAAACACACACACACACATATATATGTGGAGAGAGAGACACACACAAAGATTTTATAGCTTTCATTTTAGAGTTTTAGTAATAAGATGGTAATTATAAACTCACCAGTTTATAAAAGACAATTGGATCCAAATTATATTTCTGACAAAATTTATGCCCATTCACATGGCTAGAATTTATTTGCCCTGATCGGGACTCTAATGAAGGCTGTGAACCAAAATTTTGGGTAAAGCAGTTTCCATGTTAGTTTGATTTTTAAAAATCTCTTTTACTCTTTCCCTACCACTCCTTTTTTTTTCAAATGAGCTTATGGTTAAATTTCAAATTATTTACATTTTAGTTAGGACTGGCTGAATTGTACAACAAAAACAATATTTTCAAGTAGCCTTGAACTGGTAACAAATATATCTTTTGTTTGCTGGTCTGGCTTGATTAATTAGCAAATGTGGGAGGGGAAAATTTTTAGTAGTTTTTTTCCTGGCTTTTTCTTTTTGGCCTCTGTATTGTGGAAAAAGCAAAATTTTTATGCTGGACAGAGATACCTTATATTATAGCTCTGAGCCCAAGATTTTGATCTGTTTGATCTGAGAGCCTGACTTTTGTAAACATTTATCTACTTATTTTTCTTTTTAGATTATTAAGTTTTAAATTACCTGTTTTGTCATCGTACACAATTGTTAGTCAGTCAAACCTAAATTTGTATTTCTAAAAGGTATCTAGGTTGTTGGTTACCATAGAGCTGTTGTAATTTGTAAAGCCATGAATGTGAAAGGCCTTTAAGATTTCTTTTTTTTAAAATCTTGGCTGAAATGCCATAAGCAGTGAGTTTTATCTCAACACCAGTCAAAGAGTCAGCAGATTCAAAGTGGGCAGAAAAAAATAGATGAGAATTTAGAAAACGCTACATGTTAACTCCATAATTGCAGGTTTTTAGTATAATGACCATTTGAGCTCTGAATTTTCTTTGATGTAGTTTTGCCCATTGGTTTAAAAATGGGCACAAGAACAGACCATAATATGTACCTGACAGGAGTTGTGGAAAACCTGGCATGCCTTAGTGTTTGAGAATCCCATTCCATTTCTTATTAATCTCTCAAAAGCAATGAAAATCTCATAAGTCCTTTCAGAGAATGTCAGGGTTTGGACTGACATTCTAGATGGTGGCAGTCACCCTAGTGGCTTTTAATTAGCCATCCTGCACTCAGCATTTAGAATGTTTATTTTTGCTCCTGGGATATTTTCAGAAATAAGCAAGGGAAAAGAGCCAAACCAAATCAAAAGAAACCAAGATGAGAGTGTTTGGAAAGTTTTAACCCACGTATGCAGATTGAACAAAATATTAAACTGGTGTGCAAACCAGATAAGAGATGACCCACAGACAGAATGTAAATTTTGTAGAAACCAAGATTACTCTATCCCCTGAGTCACTCGTCTTTATTCCAGAAAGGACAAAAAGCTTTTTATTATCGCAGAAGGGATGCATGGTCCTTTATTAAGGTGCCCTTATCCAAACCAGATCCCAAATAATATAAAAAAATCCTCTACCAAAAAGAGGGAGGGTAAATCAGACTGAAGACTCAGCAGGGCAGAAAAGGCTAGCCATGGAAGCAGGGAGGTCAAAAGGCTCAAGTGAGTACTGGGCATTGCTTCCAGGAATCACCGATTCCTTTCAATAGTGATATTTTTCAGGTCCCATTTCTGATACCATGTACATCAACCTAAACAATGAACAGAGAGAGGCTCTCTAAAATAAAAGATATTTATTAGGAAATAAAGAATTGCAGTGGAAATACACATGCCATGGTAAACTATGTGCATATTCAGAAAGGTATATGGAGATAAAGGCATTTAAAGGAAAAACTCAAGAGGATTGGATAACTGTTTTCAAATAATTGTCCTTGGCTACAAAGACCCATAACAAGGATGACACCAGTCTGAGGTTGTACAAGCAGTTGCTAGGCAGATGTCTTTGCAGAAGCATTTTTTATGTAAGGTTGTGATGGCAGTTTGTGCAGGGTTGTGGTTTTTGCAGTCTGTGATAGTTTTTGATATCAGGCATACAAGCATGAGAACCCTCTCTTCATGGCCTTTCCCAGCTCTGCTTGTCAGGGTTTTCTTAACATCAGTGACTCTATTTTGGTGGAGACAACTTTCACAAAAGTGTTGTCTTTGAGTAATATTTTAGAAAATAGAAAACCCTCCCCTGCCAGTTAATTGAATAAAAGTAGCTGATGCTCTATCAAGAGAATTAGACATCAAAAGAATTAGACTTTTGGGCTGTGATAGACTTGTAACAAAGTAGAAATGACTACAAGTATTATCCTCCCCAAAACAAGAACATTGTATCTAGAATTTAAGTACTTATATTGTGGTTCTGGATTTTAATAACTAACTGTGTGTGCAAACTCACCTAACCTATCTGGCATCCTGCTCCTCATATGTAAAATATGAGTTACACTACATCAGTGCAACTCCCAAGCGTTTTTCTCCCAAAAAGCTTGAAAGTAGTCTTTAAATAAAATTGCAAGATGAAAATAATGTTATAAAATATATACTATTGGAGCTGTGGTTGAACTAGGAATGTTCAAGAATGTAGGACCCAGAAATACAATTGAAACCTTGCTGAGAAACACTGTAGCAGCTTCAGGGGAGCAGTGGTCTCTCCCCTGTATTGATGATAAAATCTGCAATATAAAACAATGTGATGGCTGGGTGGTATGGCTTTCACCTGTAATCCAGGCACTTTGGGAGGCCGAGGCGGGCAAATCACCTGAGGTTAGGAGTTTGAGACCAGCCTGGCCAACATGGTGAAACCCCATCTCTACTAAAAATGCAAAAATTAGTTGGGCGTGGTGGTGGGTACCTGTAATCCCAGCTACTTGGGAGGCTGAGGTAGGAGAATTGCCTGAACCCAGGAGACAGAGGTTGCAGTGAGCTGAGATTGCACCACTGCACTCCAGCCTGGGCAACAGAGTGAGACGCTGTCTCAATAAAAAACAAAACAAAACAAAACAAAACAAAACAAAACAAAACAAACCACAATGTGATATACTGAGTGTGAAGCTCCTCTTCTAGAATGGCAAATCGGGGACCTTGGTGTACAGATGTGCTGCTATGCAGTGATGGCAAATAAATCTGTGCTTGTTTCAAACTGAGTTTTTAGATGGGTTACTTAGTATTTAGCCTTCTATCACCTTCAAACTACGAAATTCTACCTCTAATCCTCCCATGTGTAAGAAGACACCTCATGAGAACACATCATTCTCTGAGATAGTGATTTATTTCTCACATGTTGACAATCCTGAAAAAAAAAATCTCTTATGGTCTGAAGCTGGCATATTGTAGTTTTAAGCAGAGACCCCAAAGTAATCCCATTTCTGGGTGATTTCATTAACCACTTGCAGTGACTTTCCTGATCTGGAGATGATTTTCTACCAGAATCGGAAGTACTCATTCCTTTGGTATTTATTTAGTGTCTTCCATATGCCAGGCATATGCTCAGTGCAAGATAGAAAGCTCTTTGTCTTCAAGGAAGTTAGGGTGTAGAGTGGGAGACTGCCATTCAAACTAACAATTCCCATTCATGATGATGAGTTCCACTGAGGTCTGCACAAGGTGCTACTAGAAAGATGGGGAAGTAAGCCAACACAGCCTAGTGGGGGCACTGGGGAAGCCTTCTTTGAGTGGAAGATGATGCCTGAGTAGGCATAGGAGGAGGAAGAAAAGTGTTCTAGGCAGAGGAAACAGCACTTGGGAAAACAGAGAGTCAAGAAAAAGTAAAAGGAGTTGAGGATCTCCAAGTATTTTGCAATGGCTAGAGGATCAACCCCATGTGTGTGGGCTGAAAACAAGGCTAAAGAGGTTGGTAGAGCCTCCCTCATGTGCTGTGATCAAGGAGTTAAACTTTATCCCAAAGGCTGTGGAAAATCTCTAATGGAGTGTAAGTAGGGGAAAAACAAAATACAGACATGTGTGTTGGAAAGCTCTGTCAACAAGATGGAGTATAGACTATGGTGGGGGATGATGGGAAGAGACAGGTAAGGAATGAACCTAGAGGGCTGGGGATTAGTGACAAGATTGGCCCAACGAAGGAGTAATCAATGTCAGATGGAAGACCATGGCCTTTAATTGCTGTTGAAAAACCCTTTCATTCCTTAATAAGCCCTATTTGTCATGGTACATTTTTTCGTGTTCTGTATTTACCTATGTTATATTAGAGACTTTTACATTGTCATTAACTAGCAAAATTGATCTGAATTTGGAAAGTGTATTTCTTTTCTATGCTTTGAAAGGGTTGAAATAATACCACATTATTTGTTCTTTAGAGATTTGGAAAAAAAAGCTTTTGAATCTTTTTTGACCTAGTTTTCTTGGGTGTAGGATGTGTGGGGAGTAGTTGTTCTTTGACTTAGAAGAGAAAGATGATAAATCTATAGTCATGAAATAAATCAAGAATACTTTCAATTTGGATGTTATAATTTCCTAGAAAATATTTATTTCATCTAGAAATTCAAAATTATTTTTATAGAGTTTTTACAAAGTACTCATAATTCTTTTTAATATCTTATGCAGATGAGGTTTCTTTCTCCCTTTAGTCTCATTGTTATTATTTGTGTTTGTGCCTTCTCCTTTTTAATTTTTGTTTAGGCTAACTGCTGATTTATGTATATTACTTCCCCCGCCAAGAATCGCCTTTTGGTTATATTGATAAATTCTACTTTCTGTCTTCTGTTTTATAACATATGCATTTCTTTTTATTGTAAATAATGTTTTCCTTCTGCTCTCCTTAGGTTTAATTCCTTTTAAATTATTGAGTTGAATTCTTATTTAGTAATATTTAGTAATATAAGTATAGAACTTCAATTTTTCTACTGTTAACAGCTTTAGCTGTTTACTATGGTTTATTATTAACTGAGTGCATTTAATATTATTATTTTCTAGATATTCTGCAACTTTGGAGCCAATAACAGAATCATGAACTAAATAAATTGTTAGAGAATGAGTTAGCATTTTCAGGTGATTCATTTTGTTACTCATTTCTACTTTTATTGCATTATAACCAGACAGCATGGTCATTACTATTATTACAATTTGTTTTTTGAGGTTTATTTTGTGCCCAATATATAGCCAAGTTTTTGTAAATATTTTTACAAGTATTTGAAAACAGTTCTATACTCTTTTTAAGGATGTGGAATTATAAAAATGTAATTTAATGAATTAGATTCTAGATTCTTTATATCCTCACTAAATTTTTGAGTATTTAACCTATTTGAGGTTGAGAGAAATAAATCAAAATCCTCCTCTATTTGAAGAATTCTCATTAAATTTTCTGCATTTTACACTTTATGTATTCTTATGTTATAATAATTAGAATGTAAAATGTAACATTAGTGATGTCTTCATTGATATCACTAGATTGAATGTTTTTGTGATGATAAACTGTGCTTTGGCCTTGTTTAATATATTTTTTGCCTTGAATTCTGTCTGGCAAAGACGTAAATAAGTGCAAAAAAGAATAGTAATATGAATAATTTTACCTATAACCTTTATGAATGACTATTTGAATAATATAAAGCATACAGCTAGTTTTTGTTTATTCAATCCAATTTGATAATTTTTGATGAATTTATTGTATTTACACATACACATGTAACATACATATTACATTCATAACGTGTGTTTCAATCCTGTCATCTTAGGGGTTTTCTCTTTCTAATGCTTCCATAGTTTTCCATCTTCAATCTCCCATCTTTGGTTATATGGTTTATGTCTTCTTTATTTTGGTTCTGTTGCTCCCCTTCTACTGACATTTTGAGAGATTTGTAATCTGGTTTTTAGTTCCTCTGGGGGTCACTGTTATGACTGTAAATATTTTTTAAGGCTAGCTCTATTGACTCCTTGCTATGAAATACAGGGAAATAAATGCCCTTGTTCATCCATCACCCATATCTCACTACCTTGCTTTTTAATTTCTTTATTTTCACAATGTCAAAGTTTACAAAACATATTAAATGTTGTAAAATTCTAATGGCTCCATTGTTCACCGCCAGTCCTTAAATATCAAAGCTTCCCCATTTCTGGTTCTTTACTTTGGGTCATCTTTTGGCTGGCTGGGGCTCATTCTGTATCCGTTTTTCTCATGAGGGCTTATGGTTGTTAGGTCCTGACTGCATATGCATGTCTAAGGACCGTATTTATGGCTGATAATTGGTTGGCCTGAAATTGTTGGGGTACGGTTATGTCTTCCGAAGACTCTGTAAACATTGCCCTGGAATTGAATATTCTGTGGATGTATCATGCTAACACAGTGTTTCTATTTTCATCATTGCTCCTTACCCAAAGATCCTTTAATATTACAGATATGCTCTATATTTATTTATATATTATGGTCCTCTAGAAGGCCACAAACTATTATAATATCTAATATTATTTTCATTCCCCCAATAATAAATTTTTGTCCCCTTGAAGGCAATATCATCCCTCTTGAGAATGAATGTAGTAACCTGATGACCCTTATCCTCTTGTAAGTGACTACTTTTTCCGTGTAGATAGTGGATTTATTTTTTTCTGCAAATTTTCTTAATTCATAGTGTGTTTTTTTGCGACTGCAGATTTAGGGCTTTCTTTTATCTCTGCCAACTTTTATTGTATTTTGAACTTTTTTCAGGGCTTATTTATTCCATTCTCTTATCGAAAAATAACAATTCTATATTAGGTAACTGCTTTCATCTTCCACATCTCTAATCTTCTCTTTGTCATCTTCTTTTGTCCTTTTTCCCCCATTTTGCCTAATTGTCTCAAAAAGTACACATCATTGCATTTCAGATATATATTTTTTCTTTCTTGCTGCTTTTAATGGTTTTTAAAATTTGGGTAGTAGTTTTATTGTCTTCTATTTCATATATATCATAGCATCACTGTTAGAATTATCGTTCTAATTTTGGGGGTAATCTTTTCCTTCTCTCCCTCTCCAGGTAAGCAGATTGCCAGCCAGAGGATCCATGTGAATTTGCAGCATAGTTCCATGGCTCATAGGTCTTCTATTTGATGATTCTGTACTAATTTATTTTGCTTAGTTGGATGTTGTAAGCAAGTTCAAAGCTAGTTGCTATTTCTGGTCTTTTTTCCTCCTTGCCTCATCTCAGGCTGTTTTCAGCATAGGAGTCTTACTCGGAAAAAGCAAAGGTGAAAACAGTACTTCTTCAGTCCTTGTTCTCCCTCTGTTCATCCGTGTGTAACAAGACTCCTCTACCCTTCCCCTCTTCTCCAGGATGGCCTCCACCTCAAATGGCCTCATGGTCCTCCTTCTCATCGTTCTAGGTAAAGCTGGGACCCATGGGTCCCTCCCACTTATTTTCAAAGAAATCTGCATTCTTATTAAGACTCAAGGAGGTATGAATTGTTTTTCACTATCTCTGGTTTGGGTCTAAGGTTTACTATCTTTTGACAGTATTCTTCACAGCCTGGGGTTGGGAATTGTAGCCATTTTCTATTTTTCATTTTAGATGCAGTTTTCTTCATTTTTTATTCTTTTGGATTGTATCTAATAATTTCAGGAAATTAAGAAGAGTAAATACAACCTTAGTCCTCATCCTTGACTAGAAATTCTCAGCTCATGGTTATGCATCTCCCCAGTAGGTGCAGTTTACATTCCCTGTTCAGAGTTGTGACTAGGATCAGGCAAGAGGCCACTAGTTATAAAATAGGGATGCCTATTAGGCATGCCCAGTTAGGGATTTCAGATAGTTAAAGGATTAAAAAAAACCCTGTTACATTAGGAAGTGTGAGAAATAAGGATACAAAGAGGCAGAGAAAAGAGAGAAGGAAAATTCTACCAGGTTTCTGTGACAAGATGGTTGTTGAAAATCAACAATGAAATTAACTTGAAAATTACCAGAATCCAAGGCTGAGGAGGAAAATCACAATGGCCTATTCAGCTTTCATCTTGATGAGGGG
Organism: Homo sapiens; assembly: GCF_000001405.40. Lineage (NCBI taxonomy): Eukaryota > Metazoa > Chordata > Mammalia > Primates > Hominidae > Homo > Homo sapiens. The sequence continues at coordinate 45,917,558 of NC_000015.10, forward strand.
AAGCACATTATCCAACAGAGATTAACCATTATTCTGCTCTAAAAATTCATATGAAGAATTTGTTAAATGAATATCTGCGTGCCCTTTATGTTTCTGACAGCAGGAAGGTTTGGAGAAGAGGAGCTGGGGGCCTGGCACTCAGCTGGTCCCCAACAGTGAGGGAAGAACTTGCCTCTGCCCTCTGGGTTCACTTCCTGATGCTGGTCCTGGGCCTTCCTCCTGTGCTTTACACCTGGTGCTTTACACCTTGGCAGTCTTGGTTCCTGAAACCTAGGTAATCCTTCTGACTTTGTTCTTCTGGTTCATAAACTTTCTACTCATTTCAGATAGTGAGAACTTCCTAGACTTGTCTCTGCCTGGTCTTTCCTGGTCACTTAGCTTGAGCCTTCTGCTTCAAATGCTGTCTGATGCCATGACATAGTCATGAGTCTCCTTCACCTGGAAGAGCAAAGGGTCAGATCAACCTCTCAGCGAAGGGTGGATGCACTCATGGTGGCTTGGTGGCTTCTGGGGAAGACTATTGAAATGCACTACTCAGATCTCATATCAGAATTGGAGGATCTATTCCCCCAGCTACTGAGAGTTCTGATGGAAGAAAGACTTCAGTTGTCAGCTTCTTATTGCCTTAACTGAAGGCCATGCCCCTTGTGAGGGCTGCCTACATCTGATGACTGATGTTTATGGGGATTTGAAAGCATGGACAGCACTGAAGAGCCCCCATACAAAAAAAAAAACTTTCCATAGGGTTCATGGAGGCCTTCATTGAAACTACATTACAGCCAAACTTCTCCTTTCACCCAGTCTGGCTTTTTTTCCTTTCTTTTTCCAAGAATATGCACTAACAACCTTCCTGTCCATGAATTCTCATTAAGAAGTCTGCTTCCTGCAGAATTCAACAGGTAACAGCTTCTTACAGCCAGCTCAGGCTAATCCACTACATCATAATTATCAGAACATCATGAAATTGGCCTACACACTGCAGTATTAACTAATAAGAACGTATAGGGCTGGGAAGGAAATGTGGGGCACTATAAAGGATTGGAATTCCAGAATAGAAGAGGATGGATTAAAAGGGCAGGAAGAAGTAAAGAAGAAAACCAAGCATATTGGTGTAGCTACATCTGTCCTCAAGATTCAAGCTTTGGGGTTTAGACATTGATGGAGCATCTGAAAACTACTCTCCCCATTCTACCAACTTCACTTGAACTACTTAAATTACAAGGAACATCTAAAATCTCTATAATATTTCCTATTCTCACTCTGTTTAGAATGCTTCTACTTACCTTCCCATCTGATCCTTACACCAGTCTCTGTCTGAAGTGGTACCATGCTTATCTTACAGAAGGAGAGAATCAGAGAGTTTGGGTGACTTGTCCAAGGCCACCCAGCCAGAGGCCAGGGCTCCAGGGCCCAAGGCCAGTGCATTGTCCACACTGTGGGAGTTTCCTCTCAAATGAAGGAGCTCAAGAGAGCCAGAACAGGCACTTCCCCCATTTTAAGTTCAGTACATTTTTTTAGAGTTGCCTGTTTCCTGGTATTGTTTGCACAGCTTGAATAAAACACCCTGGGGTCTCTGGCCTGCATGAGGACACTGCAAAAATAATGGAAATCAAGTTAGAGTTAGAGAAAAACGCTGATTCTCTCGGCTGACACCTTCTGCTCTCTCCACAGGTGTAAATACTACTCAACAAACCCCTTTAGTGCACAAAGCTAGGGGTCTATTTATTTTTAAAATTAAAAAAGCCTATCTGATATTTTGCTTGTGGTCTCAGAGCTTCTTGCTATGCCACTGTGCACCTGCACTGTTGGTGTAATAAATGCCTGGGGGATGTTCCCTGAAGTTTCCATGGGGCCTACATTAGTTTTATTTTCTTTATGTGGGTCTAAGCATTACTGAGCAGATCAAAATCAATTCCTGGAAGACCAGAAGACCATTTGATAGAGTTGTGGCGTAGCTGGCAAGGGATACTCTGCTATGAGTCTTGCTACTGAATATTTTAAAACAGAAATAATTCAAGAAACTGGAGAAAATCTCCCTCTGTCTTTGCATGACTCGCGAGTCTTTGGATCTGTGTTCCGCTCGTCCTTGTCTTCCATAGCTTGTATTGCTCTGGATGATGGTGGAGTGCCAGGATTAGAGTATAATGTGTATTCCCTTTTGTCTCTCTCTTGAGACCTATGGTTAATTTTTTTTTTCACATGTAAGTAAAATAAGCAAATCTCTAAGAATACTAATAGTAAAAAAATAGGGATGTTTCTCCTCCTCTCTCCGCTCTTGAAAAGCCCAGTACAGCCCGCTCCCATGCATCAGCTGGGCTGGGCGGCCACACCTCTCCCTCCAAGGCTGATTCAGCAGTGAGTTTCGTAAAGCTGTTCTGACGCTTGAGAAGTCCTCTTAACACTAAGCAGGTAGTGGATTATGGTTGCTTACTTGCTTTATTTATTTATTTATTCATCCTTTTGATGTTTTCTTTCTAATAAGAGGTATATGAGTCATCTGTTGTGGACTTTATTTTGTGAAGGAATGCTTGGCATGATAAGAACTCTGTAGAAGTTAACAAGTTGAAGAGGAAAAATGACTCATCAACACCGACATTTTATATCACTGTGTGGAATGAAGAAAAATACTACCACAAAATGGAGTTGTGGGTGATGGTTAGGAAATTAGACAAGAGCCATATAAACAGAAAGGCACTTCTTTTAGTTTTCTTTTTTTAAAAGTTTTTTTTTACTTTTGTTTTTTACAATAAAGAACAGGACAAAATGCATTTCTATCCAATTGAATGATTTTAGTTAGTGAATATTTTAAAGAGAAAGTGAGTAGGGATGGTGGTAGAGGGTTGGAGAAGACTCACAGGGTAATAAATCATAGCAATTTAGAGAGTACAGTTTGGGACTATGCTACCATGGACTAGATAAGGGTATTAACTGGGAGCTAGACCTCTGGGTACTGACACCATGGGCTAAATTAAGTGAAGAGCAGATGAGGGTCACACTCAAACCATTCCCACCCCTGCTGTCTAGGTGTCATCTACATCTCAGCTATAGCCAGAGACCAACTTCTTAATGTTAGCTGGTTTGCTCTAGCTAAAACTGATTAACTTTATTGAGGGCTAGTTTTTCTCTCTAAGAAGGTCCTTTTATTTACTTATTTATTTTTGAGACGGCATCTCGCTCTGTTGCCCAGGTGGGAGAGCAGTGGAGCAATCTCAGCCCACTGCAACCTTTGCCTCTGGGGTTCAAGCGATTCTTGTTCCTCAGCCTCCTGAGTAGCTGGGATTACAGGCATGCACCACCATACCCAGCTAATTTTTTTCTTTTTTTTTTTTTGGTAGAGATGGGGTTTTACCATGTTGTCCTGGCTGGTCTCAAATTCCTGGCCTCAAGTGATCCGCCTGCCTCGGCCTCTTAAAGTGTTGGGATTACAGGCATCGTGAGCCATGACACCTGGCCAGATGGTCCTCTCTTTGCCCAACTTTGTGCTATCAGGAAGGAGGCCTGAGGAGCTATGAAGCACGGACCAGCATCTTTCTAAATAACCAGATCAACTGAATCAACTGTTATAGTCAAAGGAGTGACAGATACTTCTTTAGATCCTTCCTTCCTTGCATATTAACAAAGTTAACTTACATAGAACAAAATACACATCTTTTTACAACATGCAATTTTCATTGGTATATAGTGCAATGTTTTCCAACACAAAGTGCCTCTCAGTCTGACAAGAATGATTCTTTAGAAAAGATCCCAGAGTTAAGATAACCTGGAAAAGACAGCAGTAAAATAAACCTTCTTCAAAAAATATTCTCAGAAGGTAGGAAGGAAAAGTGTGGTAGACACAGATATGTGCTGTCCTTCTGAGAAGGACGTCTGCTTAGCTGTGGGGCTTTGGGGAGTGTGGTCAGCAAGATTGCTTCCAGCTGTCAGCTGCTTTGGGCTCTCTCAGCTAGAGACAGTCACTTGGCCAGGTTTCTGCCTTTTCTAGGATGGTCTGTCATAACTGAGGGAGGTTTCAGCCCACCAGGCAGCTCAGATTGGCAATACACATTTCTGAGCCTCCTGCCAGCTTCCTGAAGACTTTATTAGGCCTGCGTTGCAGTTCAGCAACTTCCTGATTCCTCAGTCCTGCTTCCACATGCTTTCTTTCACAGGTGTTGACTCTTAACAAATAAGTGTCTTGCATCACAAACGCCAATGAGATGTCTGCCGGGGAACCCAGCCTGTGACAATTGGTGTCTGTTTCTGAAAAAGCAGGCAGTAAGATGCAGATCTGTAAGGCAAAACTGTGAAGCAGACAGAATATAGTTCGAGAGCACCTCCCATTGCCCCATCTGCCCTGTTCCCACCCTACTGCCAAATGTTCCCTTCCCAAATATCTAGGGTGGTCTTGCTCTTCTGGATCCCTCCACTTCCCCATCCTATGGTTCCCTACACTCTAGGTCCTTTTGCTTTTGTCTCCTGGATATCAAAATTTATGTCTAATATATAGTACATGTAGGTATGAACAGAGGATGGTATCTTAATGTTGCACTCAAAAAATGTTTTCCCTTTACTGGGTACAGTCAATTGGCATTCTTAAATATTGACTTTGTGCTATGAAATGTGGAAGGGATTGGTTTCTTGCCCAAGAGTTTCCTTGTTAGTTTCACCTGCCTTCAGCCTTGTCCTTTGTACATGTGTTTGCCACACTGTCCCTTAAACAGCCTTTCTTTCTTTTTTTTCTTTCTTTTTTTTTTTTTTTTTTGAGATAGAGTCCTGCTCGGTTGCCCAGGCTGGAGTGCAATGGAGCGATCTTGGCTAACTGCAACCTCCAACTCCCAGGTTCAAGCGATCTCTTGCCTCAGCCTGCCAAGTAGCTGGGATCACAGGCAACTGCCACCATGCCCGACTAATTTTTTTTGTATTTTTAGTAGAGACAGGGTTTCGCCATGTTGGCCAGGCTGGTCTCGAACTCCTGACCTCAGGTGATCCACCCACCTTGGCCTCCCAAAGTGCTGGGATTACAGGCACCTGGCCTGAACAGCCTTTCTAAAGCGTAAATTGATGGTCTTTGCCTTTGTGAAACTCCTCCATGGCTCTCCTGACCCTCAGAATAAAATAACAATGATGGTAATAGCTACCTTTTACCCAGTACTTTGTATAGGCCAGGCACTATACACAGCATTCTCTATGGGTTAGCTCAGTAGCTCCTCACCACATTGCTTAGAGGTGGGTAAATTGTTGTTTCCATTTGATAGCCTTGATTCAGGTGCCAGCTCAGGATGTCAGATCCTGTCCTCCTACCACACTGCCCCAATCTTTTTCTGTGGCTGCAGATGCCATATATAACTTAACATCAACTCATCTTTCCAGCATCACTAAACTTCTCTCCACTCCCCACGCTGAACTCCCTGGGCTCTCTTTTATTTCCAGACCTTTGTCCTTGCTGTTTTCTAGAACTCTTCCTGACCCATGCTGCTGCAATCCCAGCTGCTCTCTCCTCACTGAGCTTCTGTTCGCTTTTCCAGTCTCCTTTTAGACATCACTTCCTGTGTCAGCCCCTCTCACCCTTCTCCAAATAAGCTGGGGAAGATGGCCCTCCATGTGTCCACCATTACTGTGATACCTGTTTCTGTCATCCCCACTGGTCTGCCTCAAGTTCTTGAGGGAGGAAACATGTGTTGCTCACTGCTATATCCTCAGCACTGGTAGCACCTGACACAAAGTAGATGCTCAAATATGAGTGATGAATCCCAAGGGAATACATGTACTGTTAATTTCGTGATGGTGGTGGAGGTGTGGAGGCAGGATATCATTTCTTTGGGAGTGGTCTTTTCTTTCTTTCTTTTCTTTTCTTTTTTTTTTTTTTTTGAGACAGAGTCTCACTCTGTTGCCCAGGCTGGAATGCAGTGGCACGATCTCGGCTCACTCGCAACCTCCGCCTCCTGGGTTCAAGCGATTCTCCTGCCTCAGCCTCCCGAGTAGCTGGGATTACAGGTGCCCATCCCTACACCCAGGTAGTTTTTGTATTTTCAGTAGAGATGGGGTTTCACCATGTTGGCCAGGCTGGTCTCAAACTCCCGACCTCAGGTGATCCGCCTGCCTCGGCCTCCCAAAGTGCTGGGATTACAGGCGTGAGTCACCGCACCCGGCCAGGAGTGGTCTTTTCTAGGATGTAGTCATTTTTGCTCCTCCCAAACAAAAAGCCTGTTCTCTGGGACATCAGGTGACAGACTAGCTGTAGAGTCATAATTTCTCACTTTCATTAAGTAGCTGTCCTTATCAGTAGGATAGGTGAACAGCAGCAGAAACTTTTCCCTAGGGAATTTCAGAGGCCATGAGGTTGGAAACTGGAGTCTTAGTTGTCATAACCTAGTTCCCTTGCGTGGTGCTGCAGATCCCCATTGTCTGGGGAAGTCAGCTTGGCTGCTCACACAGTGGGGCAAACATGGGCTCCAGGGTGCAACTTGGGACTCAGATCTGGGCTCTGCCACTTGTTATCTCACGTCTCTAAGCCTCCATTTCTTTCTCTGAAAAATGGAGATACTATCTACTTCTCTTATTTTAAGCTGTGGAACTAATTTATGTTGCATTCCCAGCCCTCAATTAACCGTGGAGTGCACAATCTGATTGAAAGAACCCGATCGAGGCCATTTTCTGGGTGTGCATCCCTGTCTTCCTCTTTGGACAGCCTCTTGGGAAGGAAACATACCATTTAAAAAAGAAAAGTAGGGTTTGTGAGTGGAGCTGCAGCCATCTTGCCCGACAAATTGACCTCTTTGGTGATTGGGGCTACATTTTTTATCCAAGTCAGGTCCAGAGTCTCTTAATGCCATTTTGTCTCTGACCATGTGTGCCACCCAGGAGGATCTGGGGTCGTATCGTTCCAAGCCAGAAGAAGCCTAACGATTGCTTGTTGAAAGAAAATTGTTATGGGCTCTCTAGGTATTTGCAGCCTGACAAATAACTGTCTTTCTCAAAGAGTTTAGACACACATAACTAAACACTGAATACCCATATGGCCCATCACAGATGAAAAGGTGGTAAATAAGAAAAGCCCAGTGTAATCAATAATGTTGTCTTCTAAACTACATGAAGAAAAATTCCAGTCAATATCTGGGATAGTCAGTTCTTTTAAAACCAGGGAATGATGAGAATGAGACGATTCCATATATAGAAAACGATGTGAGGAAATCTTTATTCTAATTCAAAATGTTCACATTTTTGCAATTCATGAGATTTCTCTGTAGCAAAAGAGGAATATGATTGTATATAAAATTTAGTGGCTCTGAACAAAATTGAGTAAATGCTGGAAAAAATTTTGCCGTGTCATTTCGCCTACAAAATGATAAAGGAAAATAATAGCTAAAAAGGCAGCAAGAAATAAGCAGGCTCTGGTTGGGAGTAATTTTTTTTTCAAATGCATTTTTTAATTAAAAAGAAATTGCCTCAGTTAACTGTTTTCAGAAATAAGGCATAAGAATAACCTAAAAACACTGCTTTCTGGAAAGCATAGATATTTATTTTAAATCAACTTGGTTAAAAGACCTTTAACTTGCTATATAGCTCAGTGACTAAATGTTACTGCACTAAGAAACCACAGACTATTTTTCTCAGGATCTTTTATTTTTTCCCTTAGAGAGGGAGATTGTCTCTTCCCTGGTGGAGTTCAGTGAATCAGAATATTGGTCAAATATGTATTGAATGCACATGATTTGACCCGTGTGGATCCACTCTTTAGAGAAAATGGCCTTGATCGGGCTCTTTCAATCAGATTGTACACTCTACGGTTGATTGAGGGCTGGGAATGCAACGTAAATTAGTATGCTTTTTTTAATGTGTAGAGAGTGGTTTCTGCTGCTTTTGAACAAGCTAAAGAAATGTTTTTCCCATGAATCTCTGGGCATCCTGGGTATATCTGTCTGTTCTAGCCCTGACTTCCTCACCGTACATGGGGTGCTTCACTCACTTAGGCCTCCCATCCCCTACCTACATCATCCTCCCTCCCCAGTCTGAACACTCCCGCACTCTGCCCAGCTGTGCCAGGAAGAATGGCCACTCAGGGACAAGGCAGCAGGACCACTGTTGTTCTTTCCTTCTTTCAAACACGTAGGCACTTGGTGTGGGCACTCTTCTAGGTGCTGGAGAGAGAGAAAGTAATGTGTAGAAAAGCAAATACTGCATGATCTCACTTATATGTAGAATCTAAATAAGTCAAATCCATAGAAGCAGAGGGTAGAATGGTGGTTACCAGGAGTGTGAGTGAAGAAATGGGGAGATGTAGGTCAAAGGGTACAAAGTTACAAAGTTACAGTCATATAGGGTGAATAAGCCTAGAGATCTAATGCACAGCCTGATGACTATAGTTAATACTGTATTGTATACTGGAAATTTACAAAAAGTAGATATTATGTGTTCTCACTGTAGAGTCCTAAGTAGAGAAAGGGAATTAGGCTTGTGGGAGCAGGAGAAAGCAAAAAGAGAAAACAGATAAACTGCAAGTTTACCTTTCTTCATGGTTCAGGACACAGCCCTCCTGTGCAAATAACTCTCAATCTTCCTGCATCCAGCTATCACCAGACACCTGCAAGTCAGTTCACTGCAACCTTGGCATTATCAATATTGCACAAAGCCCTCTTCGACAGACAGCATAAACACTATCCTATAAAATCTCCAGCAAGCCTTTGTCTCTTGGCAATTGGCTTCTCTCTTTGAGGCTGTCCGTTCTCTCTCTGGCAATGTATTTTTTCACTTTCTCTAATAAATCTGACTTCCTTGAGCTACAACTGTCTTGGCAAATTCTTTTAACCCTGCGCCATTGACTGTGGTTCCCCAAAAACACTCACCACAAAAAAAGTAACTGTGAAAAGATGAGTATGTTAAGTAGCTTGACTGTAGTAATCATTTCACTATGTATATGTATATCAAAACATCATGTTGTATGACTTCAATATATATTTTTTTATTTAAAAAAGTAATGGTAAGCATTACTTCTGCCTGGGAAGAACCAAGATGAGTGCTAAGGAGAAGTTGGGGGAGAGGCTTTGCTTTTGATTGAGAGGACAGTTTGAATGTCAAGAAAGAGGCCAACTGCAAAGATCTAGGGGCAGGGAATTCAGGCACAGAGATAGGTAACTGTACAGGGCCTACGGTGGACAGGAAAAGGCCAGTGTGATTGGATCACAGTGTGGGAGGGGGATGGCTTTTGGAGGGAGGTGCATTTGAAGTTGTAGTAGGAAAGAGGGGCCAGACCATTTATCACTATTTACTGATATCTCTCCATTTTCCTCTCTAGCTCCACCCTCCACCCTGTTCTATGGCCCTGGGCGTGACTTGCTCTTGCCCCTTGCCTTCTGTTTGGATCCTGCCAATGAGGACTCCTAGCAGGAGATGGGGGCTCTCATATTTAACTGAAAGGCTCAGCTCCACGCAGCGTTTCTGTCTCCAGGTAACAGTAGCCGTACCTTCCTTTCAGGCCTGGGTGCTACCTGCACCCCACTATATGTGTAGCTTCATGACCCGTCTGCCCAGTTTTGAGGAGAGTTCCATGAACTATTTACAACTTTTTCCTAATTTGAGTATGTCATCTGTTTCCTGTGGGACCGTGAGTCATTAAGCCATGTCAGCCGTGGTAGAGAACCTGGATTTTGTTTTAAGAACAATGATATCCATAGGAGATTTTAATTTTTAAAACTTTAAGTTGGGTTTATTGAGGTATATAATTTATATACAGTAAAATTTACCCCTTTTAGATGTACAGTTTTATGAATTTTGATAAAGGCCTATGGTCATATGATCACTACCACAATCAAGATGTAGATCATTTTCAACCATTGGAGGGTCTTAAGCAGGGGGGTTACCTGACTTGTTTTCCATTTTAAATACATTACTCAAACTTGAAGAAAGGTCATAGGAAGGCAATAGTACAGCAGAGTCTGGTTAAGAGACTACTGCAGCAGTGTGGGCACTGTGCTGGACAGTCAGGGTACAGTAGTGAATGATCTTTTGCTCTTAAAAAAGATTACAGTTTAGCAGGAGAAATCAACAAGGAAACAGAACATTATAATTCAGCGCAGTTGCCTGTGTGACATGTTGAAATGTGGGGTGCTATGGGAGTGCCTGGGAAGAAGGTATAGGGATTAGCAATGTGCAAATTCTGCCTTCCTGTGGCCTCTCTGGTCTACCCAATCCCTTTGGGTTGGGCTAGAATTCTCCGCAATAGGTCTGATTCCAAGTTCTTATGGAGAGAGGGGTTCGGAGGTTTTGAATTCTTTAAATCCTAATAGTTCAAGGTATGAATATCACTCCTTTGAAATGTAGAACACAAAGGTAAAAAGATTAATACATCAATGCCAGATAACACGTATCAGTGCCTCCTGACATTTTTCACACTACAGCCCACACAGCACGATGAGATAAAGACTAGAGGCTGCTCACTGCTGAGAGTGGACCATCCAGCTCATTTGGTCACATAATTTCCAGCCAGCCACCTTATGGGCAAGATTTTGGCTCACCTGTAAGCTATTAGCTGGTAAGTGCTAACATAATCTACCTCCCAGCTGGTGAGTTGTCAAGGGATAGAAAGAGCTATGGATAGAAGAGCTAAAATCTGCTTGAAGTCACAGCACTGTTTGGGTCATCTTTGCTGCAGCGCAACCTCTCTGAGCTTCAGTTACCTCACCTAGGTAATGATAATAATATCTTCCTATCTTGTAGACTACTGAGCAGTTTTTCAAACATCAATTATTGCATTGTAAAAACCTCAGTGACAGGAGTATATGGAATCCTCAGGATTGATCACAGTGTTCTGCTTGATGTTTGCACCTGGGAAAATGCTTGTGGTTGATTTTAACCACTCTGAAACAACAGCTCAGGGAAGGACAGCGCAGAAGAGGGAAAATCTTGATAGCTCCTTGCCATTAACCACTTGCTTTCACTACCTATTGAAATCACCAGCTTTAATCGCTTCCTGCAGCAAATTCCTGGAGAGAAGAGACTAAAAAAAGTGAGAAAACGTGTCTAGAAGTGCCATCTTGGATGATTTTAGGTTATTAAATAACAGCCTTACAGAGGGGTTGACTGTCATGATTTTATTGCCGATTCCATCCTTGGTTATATTTCCCGAAGTTTTAAAATCATCTTTCCCCTGCATTTGTAGAATTATCTGAAATGGCTTGTTAAAAGTATACAATGACTATTAAAGGATGTCATTTTAAAAGGCAAATAGGTATCTGTCTGGATACTCAAATGGTATCTGCTTAATGATCTAAGAAATTGCTAAGCTGTTTTTTTAAAGTGGCTGTAATATTTTGTACTCCTACTAGCATAGAATAATTCCAGTTGCACCACATCTCTACCAGCACTTGATATTGTCAGTCATTTTAATTTTAGCCACTCTAGCTGTGTGTAGTGGTATATCATTGTGATTTTATTTGCATTTTCCTAACAACTAATGATACTTGGCATATTTTTATGTACTTATTTGCTGTTTGTATATGTTCTTTAGGTGAAGTGTCTATTCAAATCTTTTACCTATTTTGAAAATCAAGTCGTCTTATTTTTAGTGTGTTGTAAGAGTTTTTTAAATATTCTCAGGTGTTGGCAAACTTTTTGTTTAGGAGTCAGATAGTAAATATGTTAGGGTTATAGGTCATAAGGTCTGGATTGCAACTACATAACTCTGATATTTTAACTTGAAAGAAGCCACAGATAATACAGATAATAAACTTCTGACAAAGATGGGGGCGGGGGTGGGGGCGGAGGGGCTGTAATTTGCTAACCTCTGTTCTGGATACAAGTTCTTCATTAGATATGTTTTCAGCAAATATTTTCTTTTAGTCTGTAACCTTTTAAAAGTTTTGTTACTAATATCTTTTGAAGAGTAAAAGTTTTTATTTTTATGAAGTTAAGTTTATCAGTGTTTCTTTTATGGATTGTGCTTTTTTGGTCTTAGAAAATCTTGGCTAACCCAAGGCCATAAAGGTTTGGTTTTGTTTTTTCTTGTGGTTTATTCTAAGAGTTTTATAGTTTTAAGTTTTACATTTAGGTCTATGATCTATTAGATCATATTGATTTTTTAATTAATATTTTTGTGTGTATTTTATAAGGTAATATTAATATAAGGTAATGTTATAAGATTTTTTGTGGATGTAATAAGGTGTCAAGTTTCTTTTTTTTGTTTTACATATAAATATTCAATTGTTTCCAACTATTTGTTGAAAAGACTGTTCTTTCCACATTGAATTGCTTTGACAACTTTGTCAAAAATCAGTTGGCTAAATATGTGTAGGTCTGCTTCTTTAAAACGATATTCTAGTCTCTGGTGTGGCTTTATAATATATCTTGAAGTCAAGGAAGTCTCAAACTTTATGTTTTCTTTATCAAAACTGTAGCTATTTTAGGTCCTTTGTATTTCCAAATAAGTTTTAGAATCTTTTTTTTTTTAAAAAAAGCAACAAATGCAAAACAGCTGCTAGGACTTTATAGGGATTGTGTTGAATACCAACTTGTGGGAGAATCAACATTTTAACATTATTGAGACTTCCAATCCATGAGGATCAGAAGTTTTACTCTATTTATTTAAGTTTAAAAAAATTTATCTAATCAATGTTTTATAGTTTTTGATGTACAAATTTAATTTTTTTGCCAAATGTATCCCTATTTTACATCTTTTAATGGTATTTTAATTCTCAGTTGTTGACTCCTATTATATAGAAGAAATACAATTGGTTTTGCATATTGACCTTGCATCACACAATCTTATACTCACTTGGTTCTAGTAGCTTTTTTTTTTTGTAGATTCCTTAGGCTAGTCTACATAGATGTTCATGTCATTTGCACCATAGTGTTTTACCTCTTCTTTTCCAATCTGTATGCTTTTTCTTCTCTCCCTTCTTTCTCTTTCCTCTTCTGTTATTTCTTCTTCTCTGTACCTTAATGTTCTGGCTAGGGCATCTAGTATAACATTGAATAGAACTGGTGACAGCAGACACCTCTGTCTCCCTCTAGATGTTAGGAGGAAACATTCAGTCTTTCACTATGAAGTAGAATGCTAGCTATATGTTTTTATAGACACTCTTTATCAGAAAATTTCTTTCTATTTCTGTTTTGCTGAGAGCTTTTCATCACAAATAAATGTTGGTCTATTTCAAATGCTTTGCCACATCTATTAGGATGGTCACATGACCTATTTTTATTTGTCTGTTAATATGGCAAATTATATTGACTGACTTTTGATACAACTTGGCATTACTAGGATAAATTCCACTTGGTCATGATGTATTTTTGAAAATATATTACTGGATTCAATTTGCCAATATTCTCTTAAGAATATTTGCATCTATGTTTATGATTTTTCATTTTCATTTCTGTATTTTTAATTTTTTTTGTGATGTCTTCATCTGGTTTATGTTAGGAAAATACTGGCTTCATGAAATGGCTTGGAAGATTTGGAGGCAACCTAAATGTCCATCAACAGATGAATGGATAAAGAACAACAGGGTGACTAAAGTCAATAATAATTTAATTATACATTTAAAAATAACTAAAAGAGTGTAATTGGATTGTTTGTAACACAAAAGATAAATGTTTGAGGGAATGAATACATGAAGCGATTATTTGCATGATGTGATTATTTGCATTGCAGGCCTGTAACAAAATATCTTATGTACCCCATAAATATACACACCTACTATGTACCCACAAAAATTAAAAATTTTTAAAAAATGACTTGGGAAGTTTGTCTCCTCTATTTCCTGAAGAAGTTTGGGAAGGATTGGTATTATTTCTTCTTTAAATGTTTGGTAGAATACATCAGTGTAGCTATTTGGCTGGAGTTTTACTTGTGGGACAGTTTTGATGTAAGAATTCAATTTCTTTAACAGATACAGAACTACTCTGGTTATTCCTTCTTTTTGAGTGAGCTTTGATAGTTTGTGGATTAAATGGCAAATATTCATTTTCTTTGTCAGATGTATTGGCATAAAGTTGCTTATATAACCCCTTATTATCCTTTAAATAACTATATGATCTGTAGTAATGACTCCTCTTTCATTCTTGATATTGGCAATTTGTGTTTTTCTTAATCAGTAAGACTGACTAGACGTTTATCAGTTTTTAAAATTGATCTTAAGAAAGTGTCTGATTTTGTTTTTTTCAATTTCTACGTTTTTCTGTTTCATTGATTTCTGCTCTTATCCTTATTTACTTTATTCTAATTATTTGGGTTAAATTTACTCTTATTTTCTAGTTGATTTAGTTGGAGATTTAAATTACCTGAGACCTTCCTTCCTAATACAGACATTTAGTGCTATAAATTTTCTTCTAAGCACTGTTTTATCTCTATCCCCAAAATTTTGTGATGCTGTGTTTTCATTTTCCTTCATCTCAAAATACATATATATATTTTAGATTTTTAGGTTCGTGAGTACATGTGCACATTTATTATATAGGTAAATTGCATGTCACAAGGGTTTGGTGTACAGACTATTTCATCACCCAGGTGATAAACCTGATACGTAGTTTTTCAGTCCTCACCCTCCTCCCATCCTCCATCCTCAAGGAGGCCCCAATGTCTATTGCTCTCTTCTTTGTGCCCATGTGTACTTAATGGTTAGCTTCCATTTATAAGTGAGAACATGTGGCATTTGGTTTTCTGTTCTTGTGTTAGTTAGTTTAGGATAATGGTCTCCAGTTCCACCCATGCTGCTGCAAAGGACATGATCTCTTTTATGACATGGTGTCCCTTGTAATTTCTTTTTTAACACAAGCAGTTGTTGAGAAAAGTTTTAGTTGTTTTAAAAATATTGAGTTTTTAAAAGATATCTTTCTGTTATTATCTCTAGTTCTATTTTGGTCAGAAACATGATTTGTATCATTTTACTTCTCTTAAATTGGTTGAAATTAGTTTCATGGTACAAGATACAGCCTATTTTGATGAACACTCCATGTGTAGTTGAAAAGAATGAATATTTTATGGTCATTGATGGACTACTTAATAAATGTAAATTTGGCCTACTTGATTGATAATAATGTTTAAGCATTCTATTACCTCATTGATGTTTTTATTTATTAATTACTGAGAAAGAAGTATTGAAAGTGACAACTATATTGTGGATGTGTCTGTTTCTCCTTTCGGTTCTCTCAGTTTTTGCTTCATGTATTTTGAAGCTCTGTTACTGAGTGCATGTATATTTCGGATTGTTATGTACTGTTATGAGCTGAATTGTGTTCCTTCTGCCCAATTCAGATATTAAAGTTCTAACTCCCAGTACTTTAGAATGTGACTGTATTTGGAGTTAGGGTTTTTAAAGAGGTAACTAAATTAAAATGAGGTCAGTAGGGTGGGCTGCAGTCTAATATGAATGGCGCCCTTATAAGAAGAGATTAGGACCCAGACACACACAGAGGGAATACCCTGTAAAAAAGATGGCCATCTATAAGCCAAGATGAGGTACTTCAGAAACAATAAATCCTGACGATGCCTGATATTGGAGTCCTAGCTTCTAGAATTGTGAGAAAATAAACTTCTGTTGTTTAAGTCATCCTGTCTATGGTACTTTGTTAAGGTAGCCCTAAAAAATAAAAACACATACTTTTGGTAAATGGACACTTTTTTTATTTTTTATTTTTTATTTTTTTGAGACGGAGTCTTGCTCTGTCGCCCAGGCTGGAGTGCAGTGGCGTGATCTCGGCTCACTGGAAGCTCTGCCTCCCAAGTTCACGCCATTCTCCTGCCTCAGCCTTCAGAGTAGCTGGGACTACAGGCGCCCGCCACCAGGCCGGCTAATTTTTTGTATTTTTAGTGATCCGCCCATCTCGGCCTCCAAAGTGCTGGGATTACAGGCATGAGGACCGTGCCCGGCCAAGACTTTTTAAATTATTATAAAAGTCCCTTTTTTGTTGGCAATATTTCTCATTCTAAAATATTTTCCCTGTTTCCTTTTTTACTTTGATTAGTGTGTTTTTGTATTTTATCACTTTTAACGTATTTGTATCTTTTAAAATTATCTTTCATTGCCTTCATTATGCTAATTTTTTCCTTTATCTTCTTAATTATATACAGTATATTTATAATGCCATTTTAATGTTCTTGTATGTAGTTCCATTGGTTCAATCATTTATTGATCTACTTATAATTTTTTTTTTGTTTTGGCTGGCTGTAGGTCAAAATTCTCTACCACATTGCATGCCTCATAATTTTTGATTGGATAGTTGGCGTTGTAATTTTACGTTGTTTTTTATTTTATTGATTGCTGAATTTTGTTGTTTTTATTTAAATAATTATGGATTCTATTCTGATGTGCAATTAATTTACTCGGAATCAGTTGGATCTTTTTGAATTTTGCTTTTAAGCATTGTTATTGTGGGTCTAGATTATTATTTTGTTGAGCACCAAGTTAGCTCACTGCTATGGTGATATTCTTCTACATGATGTACCTTGTGCTGTAATAAATATCTTTACACTGCGACTGGTAGGAACATAAATGATTCCAATCTGTGTGTGGACTTCTGGAATTGCTCTTCATACTCTTTTCCATTGATTCTTTCCCTGTCTCACATGTGCTTCTTTACTTAGCCAAAGACTGTAGGGAACTCCTTGTAGAAATCTGGAGTTCTTCCTCTTGCATATCCCTTATTTTTGTTTTCTGTATCACAAATTCTAGGTGACTTTGTCTTCTGATCTCCAGTCTCCATCTTCTCAACTCAAGGAGATTGCTGGGCTTTGTGTTTTCACTCCTTGCACTGTGGCCTGAAATCACTCTCAAACAGTAAACTGGTAAAGTTGAAGGGCTCATCTTATTTGCTTTTCTTCTCTTGGGGATCACTACACTGCTACTTTGTTGTTTAATATCTGAAAACTGTGGTTTCATATATTTTGTCCAGGTTTTTGGGTCTTTAGTTGGGAATATAAATCAGTTCCTATTACTGTCTCTTGATGTCTTTATTTGATTTAATCCTAAAAATTATCTTCTTTTTAAAGTTAATTCCTATTCTTAGGAGGAAATTAAAGGTCTAACAAAAAATGTACAAAGTTCTATCCTTTTTTTTTTTTTTTTTTTTGAGACAGAGTCTCGCGCTGTCACCCAGGCTGGAGTGCAGTGGCGCGATCTCAGCTCACTGCAAGCTCCACCTCCCGGGTTCACACCATTCTCCTGCCTCAGCCTCCGGAGTAGCTGGGACTACAGGTGCCCGCCACCACGCCTGGCTAATTTTTTGTATTTTTAGTAGAGACAGGGTTTCATCGTGTTAGCCAGGATGGTCTCGATCTCCTGACCCTCGTGATTCGCCTGCCTTGGCCTCCTAAGGTGCTGGGATTACAGGCATGAGCCACCGTGTCCAGCCGAAGTGCTGTCCCTTTTTTTTTTTTTTTTTTTTTTTTTTTGAGACAGAGTCTCGCTCTCTCACCAGGCTGCAGTGCAGTGGCACAATCTCGGCTCACTGCAAGCTCTGCCTCCCGAGTTCAAGCTATTCCCCTGCCTCAGCCTCCCAAGTAGCTGGGACTACAGGCGCACACCACCGTGCCCAGCTAATTTTTTGTAGTTTAGTAGAGACGAGGTTTCACTGTGTTGGCCAGGATAGTCTCGGTCTCCTGACCTCGTGATCCACCCGCCTCGGCCTCCCAAAGTGCTGGGATTACAGGCGTGAGCCACCACGCCCTGCCAAAGCGCTGTCCTTTTAATTGTGTTTTTCTTTGGGTCCATCCTGGCTCTGTGGTGTCCTGGTATCTGAATTATGCCTGGATCTCTTTTTCAGCAGCTGCAGCTTGAGGTATTTCTTATGGAAAATTGCACTGCTCTTTGGTAAATCCAGAAATTACCTCAATATCAAGTCTCTCATATTTCCAAAGTTCTGAAGAGCTGTCAGGATACTTGGAATCTACTAAACTAAATATTTGCAATCTAAGTACATATTGCCTTGTGCGCATGTATTTCCCAAGCAAAGCAGTGTTTCCAGTACTAAGCAGATATCTTTGACTCTAACTCCAATTTGCTATCAACCAGATACCACCATAGAGATGCAGTATATTTGGGGGAATCAAATAAATAGAGAAAACAAATAAGGGAGGGAGGGACAAATGGCGGGGGGCGGTGGGGAGAGATAGAGGAGGGGAGGGAGGGAGGGAGCGAAGGGGAGAGAGAGAGAGAGAGAGAGAGAGAGAGAGTTTCAGTTTCTCCAAAGGGCCAGGCTAATTGGTACCCATTGTCTAGTGTACTGCTGTTGAATTTAAGGTTCAAATGGAATAGGTCTTCTGACAAAAGACTCTTACACTATAAAATGATCGTGTTTGGTGGGGAGAGAGAGGGGAGAGGAAAATATGTATAACTCTGAAACATCCCCTTCTTTCAATAACATTTCTAAGTTTGAGATGATAGGATCCCCTTCTCTAGGTCTTTTTGACGCCTTTCTTCCATTTAGTGTCCAGGTCACGTGCTGTGAACTTCCAAAAGAGGGAAACCAAGATGTTTTATATCCATTTTGGACTCTGCATTCATGCTATTTCTTTCCAGAACCTACACTTTTGAGATCCAGGGTCATACCCTGTAAGAGATTCTATTGGTGCACCCTCCATATCCTCGTGGGCCTTAGCTTTGTGGTTACTCCCTATCTTACTTCTGTTAGCAAGTGCCTTTCTTTACTGGAGGGCTGTCTAAAGCAGCTGGAGTGCACTGCTTGTGCCCAAGCTAGGCTAGAAGTGCCACAGAATTAATGTCCCATAATCAGCTCTTAATCAATGTCTTAGCGGGATATCTCTGAATTGTCTGTACTGCATGGATATCTAGAGTTTCCCAGTGGGATGAAGCTGTAGTTGCCCACAGTGGTAGCTGGCTTGATACGTTCCTTTTTCTGTTTCATTCCCACTTCCCTGCCATGGTTTATTGGATCACCTTCCAAATAAATGACTTGTTCTCTATTCCTTGTCTCATGATCTATTCCTGGGAGAATCTAAATTAAGATACCCCTACTTTCTGGCAAGCAAGCTACTTCCTTATTACCTCACAGATGACAAGAATTCTATAAGTAAAATTTACAGCTTTGCATTCCTAGCAGTGATAGTCCCCAACCCTCACTGAATACTGAAGAAAGAAGGAAAACAAATACAGGATAGTGAATGCCCTGCCTCCTACTATTTCTCCATACTGTTAGGCCCAAAGTGAACTTCCCTATGTGAGCTGAGCCTCCCACACTCCAGAAATGAATTTCTATCCCCAATTAAGTCCAAGACCTATTGTTCCAAGTGGGATCAGATACATAATTGCTGTCGTAATTTGTACCTCAGAAGTGAACCTGCCTTAGCCCCTAAGATGAATTCTTATCCTCACCAAGATGACTTCTAGAATCAGTAATTGAGGACATCTTTCAATGACGGCAATTTTTCTTTCCCCTGGGACTTTCCCCATGAGAAGTAAAGTTGCTCTTGTAGTTTTTTTTTTGTGTGTGTTTATTTTGTTTTGTTTCGTCCAGATGGAGTCTTGCTCTGTCACCCAGGCTGGACTGCAGTGGCGCGATCTCAGCTCACTGCAACCTCCGCCTCCCAGGTTCAAGCAATTCTCCTGCCTCAGCCTCCTGAGCAGCTGGGATTACAGGCACCCACCTCCACACCTAGTTAATTTTTGTATTTTTAGTAGAGATGGGGTTTCATCATGTTGGCCAGGCTGGTCTCGAACTCCTGACCTTGTGATCTGCCCGCCTCGGCCTCCTGTAGTTTGGTGTTTTTGAGTGAATGTGTCTCCTGTATCCATCACCCTTCTGCATATCCCCACCTCCAACTGCTTTACTGCCCCAGGTGTCAGTCTAGGAGATTTATCTGAGATCTCTACGAGCTGCTACAGTGATGGCTGCCGCCCCGTCCCCAAGAATGTCTGCTTTGGGTCCTCTTCTATGAAAGCAACTGTCTAGTTTGTAGCCACAGCTACACTCTCAAGTGATTTCTTACTTTGGCAAATTGGCCTTAACTAAGACAGAACTATAAAGACTATTAATCTAGAGATTTCTGCTGGGCCTCTATGCCTTCTTGTCTCTGAGACCCCCACTCTGGCAGAATCCCTCCTGCCAGTGGAAAGATATTTTAGACTATTCCTTTTAGAGCAGTCACATGAAGAAGTGGGTTCTAGGAGACTGAAGCAACCTTAAAAGCGGGGGGATAAAAGAGCCTTCTACATGGAAAACAAACTTATCTCTGCTTCACAGAAAACTCCACCTGCTGTGTCTGATTGCTTTTCTGAATATTGATTATATAATGTTCTTAGGTCCACCTTGAGGAGGGCATGAGGTTAGTTTGGGCAACCAGATTGATTGAAAATCAATACCTTTTCTTGTTCAAAATATATCAGATAAAACATGAACCAATCTTCATTTTACCAAAGAAATGGCTAAACTGAAGAAAGACAAACAGAAGACCCAGGATTCTTGCAGCCATTTGGAATGAGTACAGAATTTGTTACTGGGTAGTGGGTACAATGTTTTTGCTGTAGTCTGGAAGACCAGCCTGACAGGACTGCATTTTAGAATATATGGATATACCGGTGAGTTAGAAGATAACTAAAGGAATAGGAGAGAAAATAGAAGACCAGGAGGCAATAGGGAAGAGGGAGAGGAGGAGGTACAGACTTAAAGAGAAAAATTCCATGTGGTTACATGTGAGATTATGTTTGAGAGAGAGCATAGACGAGTAGTCAAGGAAATACGTCAGGAAGTGGAGAGGCAGGAGATGGACTAGGCAGGGGTCAGCGGCTGCAGGCCACATCTGATCTGCTGCCTGTTTTTGTTAATATTATTGTTTATCAGAACATAGGCAGGCTCTTTGGTTTATGGATCATCTATAGCTGCTTTAGTGCTACAACGGCAGAGTTGAGTAGTTGTGACAGAGATGATATATGGCCTGTAAAGCCTAAAATATGTACTTTTATGTAAAAGATTGTCAACACCTGAACTAGAAAGGCGGAGGGTAAAGTAGGAGAAATCAGCTGGTTAATAAAATAGTCATAAGTGACCAGTTGCCAATGAAAATTCCTATAGTGGGTGTTGTGGGTGTCCCACTCAGATCCCCCAGCTGCTGTTGAATGTTGATAATTATCACAGATATCCCCTATTGAGAACTGACTTTGGCTAATGACTTTGTTTTTATTTTTATTTTTATTTTTTTGAGACAGAGTTTCTCTCTGTTGCCCAGGCTAGAGTGCAATGGTGTGATCTCAGCTCACTGTAACCTCTACCTCCTGGGCTTTTAGAGATGGGGTTTTACCGTATTGGTCAGGCTGGTCTTGAACTCCTTACCTCAAGTGATCCACCCACCTCAGCCTCCCAAAGTGCTGGGAACACAGGAGTGAGCCATCACACCCAGCCACCTTGGCTAATGACTTTGGCAAATGTGTACAAAGGCCAGTCTTCTTCCCTCAAGGTGCAACTAACTCTGTGGTGCCATATTTGTCTAGAACTTCCCCAGGGGTCAGGCTGAAGCTGGTCTCCAGCTTTGCTTTGTTCCCCTTTCCTATTCTGTTTCCCTGATGTCCCTTCTCCTGAAGAAACTTCCCTCAAAAATCAGTTGAATGCACAAGAGTCCGTTTCTCAGGCCCTGCTTCAGTAGAACCCGTCTTAAGATGGTACTATTTAACGTCAAACTGTGCACTTAGCCAAGATTTTAATAGAAATGAATGCAAAGCACAAAAGGCTACCCGAAAATCCATGTTTTTATAGAAAATATGATCATTAAAATTGTCACTAATCAAATTAACTTACCGATTGTGGTCAGAGAAGCATACTAAAGCAATTTACTGCATCCCATTCTTCTTGGCCACAAGCACTGGATTTGCTTCAGCATACAGCAGACACACACAAGCAGGTTTGAGGCCTTTTGTCATCCATGCGGGAGCTGCTCCGGGCAACTATCTGTGATTAGGCAGGGAGTCTTTCTAACTAGCAAGGCTAATGCAGATCACTCAAAAATTTCTCTGTGGCATGGAACACTTGAAGCCCTTGTGTCCTGACCCAACCAAAAAAAAAATGCCTTAAATCTTGAATCAGCAAAGGGGCCTCTGGCCTGTCATTAATATTTTAAGTTTGTGCTATTCCTTTTCATTGTCCTGAGTATACTGGGAAGCACAGTACACCGTACATCACATTCATGGCTTCACTCGCTGTGGAAGTCAAGAAAACTTGGCAGGTTGTGGAGAAAAGGGAACGCTTATACACTGTTGGTGGGAGTGTAAATTAGTTCAACCACTGTGGAAAGCAGTATGGCGATTCCTCAAAGAGCTAAAAGCAGAACTACCATTCAACCCAGCAATCCCATTACTGGGTATACACCCAGAAGAATATAAGTCATTCTAACATAAAGACACATACATGTGAATGTTCATTGCAGCACTGTTCACAACAGCAAAGACATGGAATCAACATAAATGCCTATCAATGACAGACAGGGTAAAGAAAATGTAGTACATATATAGCATGAAATAGTATGTGCCATAAAAAGAACAAGATCATGTCTTTTGTGGGAATATGAATGAAGCTGGAGGCCATTATCCTTAGCAAACCAACACAGGAACAGAAAACCAAATACTGTAGGTTCTCACTTACAAGTGGGAGATGAATGATGAAAACTCATGAACATAAAGAAGGGAACCACAGACACTGGAGTCTACTTGAGTGTGGAGGGTGGCAGGAGGCAGAGGAGCAGAAAAAATAACTATTGGGTACTATGTTTAATACTTGGGTGATGAAATAATCTATACAATAAACCCCTGTGACACGAGTTTACCTACATAACAAACCTTCACGTGTACCCCCAAACCTAAAAGTCAAAATAAATAAATCCATAAAAAGAAAAATGAGCAAGAGAATCATTGGCCACAGCAGTGGTTTTCTAGCTCTGCAGTTTCTTTTTCTCTCACTAGCATATCCTAGGATGACATCCACTAATTCACACAGCCAGGAAGCAGAAGAGTAGAGTTAACATAAACCAAGCTTTTAGTAGTACCGTCATATGTCACTTACTGATGGGGATATGTTCTGAGAAATGTGTCATCAGGTCATTTTGCCATTGTGTGAACATGATAGAGTGTACTAACACAAACCTATATGGGATAGCCTACTATACGTCTTGGCTAGATGGCATAGCCTATTGTTCCTAGACCACAAACCTGTACAGCATGTTACTGTAGTCAATACTGAAGGCAACTTGTAACATAATAGTAAGCATCTGTGTATCTAAACATAGAAAAGGTACGGTAAAAATACAAAATAAAAGATAAAAAATGATACACCTGTAGAGGGCACTTACCATGAATGGAACTTGCAGGACTAGAACTTGCTCTGGGTGAGTCAGTGAGTGAGCAGTGAGTGAATGTGAAGACCCAGAACATCACTGTATAATACTGTAGAATATAAATACTATATACTTGGCTACACTTAATTTATACAATAATTTTTCTTTATTCAATGTTATTTTACTGTAACTTTATAAACTTTTAAAATAACTCTTTGAATCTTTTGTAATAATACTTCACTTAAAATACATTTTGTAGCTGTACTAAAATATATTTTTTCTTTATATTCTTATTCTATAAGCTTTTCTTCTATTTCTTAAATTTTTTATTTTATATTTTTTCACTTTTTACACTTTTTTTGGTGAAAACTAAGACACAAGCACACACATTAGCCTAGGCCTATACAGGGTCAGGATCATCAATATCACTGTCTTTCACCTTCACAACCTGTCCCACTGGAAGGTTTTCAGGAATGGTAACATGCATGGAGCTGTCATCTCCTATGATAACCATGCCTTCCTCTGGAATCCCTTCTGCAGGACCTGCCTGAGGCTGTTTTATAGGTAACTTTTAATTTTTTTTTCAAATAAGTAGAAGGACACTTTAAAATAAGTATAGTATAGTAAATACATAAACCAGTAACATAGTAGTTTATCATCATTGTCAAGTATTATACACTGTACATAGTTGTATGTGCTGTACTATTATGTGACTGGCAGCGCAGTAGGTTTACTGACAGCAGCATCACCGCAGACCCGTGAATAATGCATTGTGCTATATGACAGTGTGATGGCTGTGGTATCACTAGGGGATAGGATTTTTTCAGCCCCATTATAGTTTTATAGGACTGCCGTTGTATATGCAGTATACATGCAGTCCATTGTTGACTGAAACATTGTCATGTGGTGCATGACGCTATTGGTAAAGTACCCAGAGACTCTTTGGAGAGAGCAGCAGGAACTAAGATCAAAAACATTTTCTTCAGGGCTGCTCAGGCTGAAATATTTACTTTTTTAAACCACCAATCTGCTTTCAAAATTCTACTAATCATTCAAGGCCCAGTTATAAAGGGCTCTTTTCTTCACATTTGCATAGTTGGCATTACTTACAGGTGTATTCATCTATATCTACTTTCCCAGTTAAAACTATCAACTTGTATCAAAGGCTATGTCTAGAAGCAAACAATCACATGCATAAACCAAGTTCTGAGCCTCATTTATGCATTTAACCACCACACTTTTAACTGATAGTGAGTGACCCTAAAGGCCTGTGTAGTAATTTGGAAAATGCTGAGGCAGGGTCTAGAACTGATCATGTTGTGAGGTGCTGGGCAGCGGCAAGCCACTTAGCTGCCTGGTAAACCTTGCTGCATCTCAGTGGGATATGACTGTCTGCTATGCATTAGCTCCCTTAGCTAGAAATTTTGTTACAGTGAAAAAACAACTTTAATTTGTGTGTGTGTGAGAAAAATATCACTCCAAATAAAGCCAACTGCTTCTGCTGGTTCAGACAAGGAGGAGTCAGAAGTAGCTTTAAAACCAGAGAGATCCTAGGTTAAGGTCAGCAAAATATGGCATGTGTCTCACCAGCCTTTTCTTTCAAGCCCATGACAGATATTGGAAGTTGATTAGCTTTTCTTTCCTGCTAAATTCAGCCCCTGCCTCACAAATCTTCTGAGCCTCTCTAGGCAGTCTCCACCAAGACATCAAATTGGGTACTTAAAATGATACCTGTTACCTATCCTTGAGTTTGTTCAAAGTAATTTCTCTCAAATTGCCTTTCATCCTTTTTTTGCATGACCCAGTTCAAACTTTCTGGCCTTATTATGTTCTTTTCCAATTTTAGGTAGCTATGTTTTGATTGCTTTTACTTTTCAATTGACTTATGTTGTTTATGAGACACTACAGCAGCTACTACTATAGCTTAGTTACTAAATTCTGATAGTTGGCACATACACATTTCTCTGGCTTTGTGACAATTTGTGATTAGGCATTTTAAAAATTCTGATTGGTTGAAGTTGCTTGTGGTCCAAGTCAGTTTTGCTCACTGACATGTAGCTTTGAATAACTACCCTTGCAGTAGTCATATTGCATGTGTTTTATATTACATAAAATTCGTTTTTGTTCTATGAATATCTGACAATCTTTTAGCTCAATTCTATAAATGCAATGTCTCAAAACAGGTTTTCTTTAAAAAGTAGCTGCAAATATATTTTAACTGATGTTGTATAGTTTGTGCAAATTACACTTAAATAAGTGAACTGGGATTTTGTTCACATATAAATAATTACTATGATTTAGTCTGAGGCTTGTAGCTTCTTAAGAATTTTGCACCTGTGAGGCTCTAGGTAGATATCTATTCACGTTATGGTGTCTGTGATTCTGGACAAAGTGAAAAAATGTTGGTTCTTGGTTGAATTTAACAGTCTAATTTATTCCAAATTATTTTTAGCTAGCATTCTGTCCTTGACCAGAGCTAGCTTTACCATATGCGCTCGATGGAACAAAAAAAGTGACTCATAAATTTTCAGTGAATGCTTTGGTTCACTCTACAATGGCTCATCAAATAAAAGACAAAACTTTAGTGAATGCTTAACCAGCAGTTATCTGTGGTTGGGGATAAGCCTAGGAAACTCATGACTGAGTCTCTATGCAAATACAACTTAAAGTCAGAAGGCGGAACAGTCATTTCACTGAAGCATGAGGAGTTAAAGGCTTATCTGTCATCACTGAACCACACTTTTGTGGAGTAAATAATATGCTATGGGTTTGTTCATGTGTTGAGGGATTAGCCAAGGTCTCTACACAGAGCTCTTGTAAGTGGCAAAAATCCGCTATGTTGAGTATTGAGCACTCTGTTAGTTCTTTAGCAAATGAAATAAAATATGGAAATCATTGATCTCTTTCAGTATGTTTGAGTGACTACTTTGTGCTGGGCATTATTGAAGTGAAACAAATATATTTTTTTCTTTTTTTGTAGCACATGTGATTAAGATGTGATATTTCTGAGGAAGTTTCTCCTGCTCAAATGTACTTCATTCAAGAGATTTATTGAACATGCCATATGTACCAGCTATTGTGCTAGGTGCTGGTGATATAACATGTATAATAAAGAAACAAATTTTGTGATGATTTGATTACAGATGCTATGAAGGAAAATCAATGCATAAATGAGTAACAGCAGGGCATGGCCAGGCCTATGTGATCAGGAAAAGCCTTGATTTTATATCTGAAGGAGAATGAGTACGAGTTAACTAGCTAAGTAGGGAATGCATTTCAGGGAAAATGAGCACTAAGAGCTAAAGCTCAGTAGTAGAAAGGAGTATAGAGCCAAAGAAGCTGTTGAGAAAGCCAACCCAGGTCTTTGTGTCTGAGCACAGGGGACACAGAGTGGTATGAGAAGAGACTGACCAGTGGGCAGGGCCATGTCAGACATACCATGTATTTCACCATTTGTTTTAACAGCTACATCATGAACATGTTCCAAGCAAGCCATGCGAATCTCATTTTGAGAAGGTCACCGAGATTTTGGGGGGCTGAAAGGCCATTAGAAGGGGATGTCAGTGTATGGGGGAGAGCAGCTGGGAAGCCACTGTGAAAACCAGGCAAGAAGTGATGCCAGTTTTGACTAGGACAATTCAAAATACCCGAAACCATCGTTAATCTCTCCTCTGAGTTAAGGAGGAATAAAGTTCCTGTAAAGTTGTTTTCTGGGAGGTAGATGGTCACTTTGCACTCACCTTTACCATTCATAGAAAGGTTTAGCAGATCAGTCCTGATAAGAAAGAAGCCGGCCGGGCGCGGTGGCTCACGCCTGTAATCCCAGCACTTTGGGAGGCCGAGGCGGGTGGATCACGAGGTCAGGAGATCGAGACCATCCTGGCTAACACGGTGAAACCCCGTCTCTACTAAAAATACAAAAAATTAGCCGGGCGAGGTGGCGGGCGCCTGTAGTCCCAGCTACTCGGGAGGCTGAGGCAGGAGAATGGCGTAAACCCCAGGGGGCGGAGCCTGCAGTGAGCCGAGATTGCGCCACTGCACTCCAGCCTGGGCGACAGCGAGACTCCGTCTCAAAAAAAAAAAAAAAAAAAAAAAAAAAAAGAAAGAAGCCCCAGAGGATGGGCCTCAGGTTAGCAAATAGTGGAAACCAGAATCCTTGTTTGGAGGCACGGTCTGCACAGGTGTGGTAGGTGAAGCTTGGCAGCTGGGAGTTAGCAGATGCTCCTCAGACCTCACACCTGATAGTGCCAATCAATCTGGTGCTAATCCGAACACAGGAAAGGATACAGAGAGGCCCAGAGAGCCGGCCCTATCACTTCTCTATGTTGCTGAGTGTTTGCTCTACCGTGTGTTTCATGAATTCACAGAGACACTTTAAAAATTATAATAACAAGAAAATGTGGTATATATACACAATGGACTACCATTTAGCCATAAAACGAATCAAAGCTTGTGATTTTTGGCAACGTGAATGAGCCTGGAACACTTTATGTTAAGCAAAAGATAAATATCATATCGTCTCACTCATATGTGGAAGCTGAAAAAGTTGAGCTCATGGAAGTAGAGAGTAGAATTGTGGTTATTAGAGGCTGGGAAGGGGATTGGGGAGGAGAGGACAGGGAGAGATTGATTAATGGACAAAAAAATGACAGCCAGATAGGAATAAGTTCTGGTGTTATGCACTACTGTAGGGTGAATAAGGCTAACTATGATATATGTTTACAAAAAGCTAGAAGAGAATTTTGAATGTTCACAGCACAAAGAAATGATAAATGTTTCAGGGCATGGTTATGCTAATTACCCTGATTTGAACATTAAACATTGTATACATATATCAGAATATCGCTCTGTATCTCATAAATATGTATGATTATTATGTGTCAACTGAAAAGGAAAAAATAAATAAAAAAGTATAATGATAAAGGGTAGAACTGGAAGGGATGCAGAGATCATCTAATGGAGTGGTTCTCAAAGTGCGGTCCAGAAACTTCTGCTTCCAGGAAGATGGAGATGTCCTTTTCCCTATTCTCCTGGTAAGTACAGATAAATACCCTGGATGTTTTTCATTTTCAAGTTTTTTAAATTTTTATTTTAAACCGATGAATAATTGTACATATTTATGGGTCCAATGTGATGTTTTGATATACATTGTAGAATGAGTATATCTAGCTAATTAATGTGTCCATCACTTCAAATGTGTATTTCTTTGTGGTGAGAACATTTAAAATGTATTTTTTTAGAAATCTGAAATATACATGATTATTAACTATGGTCACCATGCTGTGCAATAGATCTTGAAAACGTATTTCAAGATCTATTACTAACTGAAACTTAGTACCCTCTGGTCAACATCTCCCCATTCTGCACTACCCATCCCCAAGCCCTGACAACCACCATTCTACTCTCTATTTCTTTAAGTTTGACTTTTTAAAGATTCTGCAAATCAGTGAGATAATACAGTATGTGTCTTTCTGTGTCTGGCTTACTTCACTTAGCATTAAGCCTGCACATTTTTAGAGAAAGCAAACATGAGACTCTGAAGGGTAGAAAAAGAAGGGAGGCTGACTAGAGAGCTCAAGAATGACTCCTTAGGGAATGATGAGTTCCCTAGTTTTCTTTTTGACTCATATACAGACTTAGAGCTGAAGACACTTGCAACCTGAAAACATCAACAGCCACACACAAAACAAAAACAAACCCAAACCCAAAAATGTTCTGCTCTTGGGCCTGGAAAGGGGCATCCCAGCAAGACAGAGAACTTATAGACAATAATCATTATATTCTAGGCAAAGTATGGTACCTGGACCAAGCAGCATCAGCATCACCTGGGAACTTATTAGAAATGCAAATTCGCAGGCCCCACCCCAGACTTACCGAATCAGAAACTTGGGTCTGGAGCCCAGTAGTCTGTGTTTAATGAGTCCTGTGGGAGATTCTGATGTGTGCTCAAGGTTGGGAACTGCTGGTGGGGTACAGCTGGTCTTTTGTTTGACAGCAGAAACTCCGGTTGATTTCCCCCAGGTGATAGTTTGTGAGTAGTCTAGCGCTTGTTCTAGATTTGCCTAGAATGACTCTTCTAGTGCTAAAATCTAAGGTGAACAGAGAAAATTTTATTTTTTATTTTACAAATGTTTTTATTTTAGATCCAGGGGATAAAATGCTTATTTGTTACATGGATATATTGTGTCATGGCGGAGAATGGCTTTCTAGTAAAACAGAGAATTTTCAATAAAACATAAATTAAGTGGTAACAAATGTTAGTATGTGTATTGTTTTAATTAAGTGCTTGGCACATAGTGGATTCTAGATAAATATTTGTTGAATGTTGAACATATTGTAAGTCTTTGATTCAGTTATAGTTTCAGAGAAGATGCTGAAAGAAAGAGGATCTTTTGGAAAACCTCAGTCAGCATCTGCAAATCATCTACAGCATCTATGAACCTGTCCCAGCAAAGATGGCTGCCGCAGGCAAATGGGTTGCACAATGTTCTTTCACATGCCTGGTCTCTTTTTTCTCAATATAAGGCTTTATACATACATGACATCATATCATGCCAGAATTTCTCAACTCTACACTATCACCTTTTCCTAGATTCCTGTAGTTCAAGCACTAAGTCTATTCTCCAGGTTACTTAGAAGGTGATTTTTAAAAAATAGTGCAGTTTTGTAATTGTCCCTCCATTGGATCTTAGCCCCAGACCACATTTACATCATTAAACCTTTGGTTTAATTGGACAAGAGCAAAGCATAAATGTCTGCTGCTTGAAAAATAAACATTTCTGTATTGTCTAGATGTTTATCTCAACATATAGTTACAATTACTCAGAGACTAAATGGGGTTTTAAAATTTATTTAAAAAGTCGTGGCTGCTAGGATAAACTGAAAAAAGCCAAGTTTGAATCCAAACTTTATTTTTACAAGTAGTTTTCTAACAACCCTTAAGGGGTTCTGGGTAACCCCTTAGGTATGAGGAGAGCTCAACAGTGACTAAATTGGGTAGGACAATGAGGCACTTTGACCCTGCAGATGCCAGGGACCTACTGTCACTTTAGTCTGGCTGTTCTGGCAGTCTGCTATTTTGTATTTTGTAAAGCTTGTTGAAAACAGCACTAAAGCTTTGTTTTAAAGATTTTTCAAGCCACTGGGTTCAACAGATGAAGAGGGGTGATAATTGGGTAGGCATCTGAAAAGTCTACTGAAGGATCCTTTTCTAATTCTCACCACCAAAGCCAGCATATACAAAAGGCGGCAGGAGACATGGAAACAGTGCCTTAGGAAGTGAAGGCTCAAGGTGAGACACTTTCTGAGGGGACCAAATATGCACAAGCCAAGCATATGCCTTATGCTAGCTTCCTGATGCCATTTGTGTGTTGATTGTGACATACCACTTGGCTCAGAAACCCATAGGAACTTGATGCTGGTTTATAGCAGTAGTTCTAAAAGTGTAGTGCTAGACCAGCAGCCTTAGTGTCACTCGGGAATGTGTTAGAAATGCAAATTGCCTGGCCCCACCCCAGACCTACTCAATGAGAAACTGTGGGGATGGAGCCCAGCAGTCTGTTTTAACGAGCACCCCCAGGTGATTCTAGTGTACACTAGAGTCTGAGAGCTACTGCAGTAATTTGAAAGAGAGCATATTTTTTCAAAGGGACACAGCATCTCATTGCTCATGTGAAAAGTCAGTTCAAAGCCTGACTAGGAAACCGCAGTAACCATGTCAAAGGCAAGAAAGGAGTCTTTTAAAAACCAGATACACAAAGCAATGGCTCTCCTGCTGGTTTTGAGAGGAATGAGAAAATTCAAGGAAATGGAGGAAGCTATACATCTGAAAGAACCAGAAAGCAAATAGCCAGTAGGCTCCAGCGCACATGTGAAACATATTTGAATAACTCGATTCAACTCTCATATATTCTCTGCCTTAAACTTTTTCCAGATTATTTGCAGTTAGCAAAGTTTGTATATCTTGTTTGTGAACTCGACAGCAAAACTAAGTGATAACCCTTCTCTTTGTGGTGGTGTGAGTGGGGGATGGTGAGTACAGTTTATGCATAATTTGTGTCCATCATGTGAACATAACTGAGGAAGCACACTGATATGGTTTGGCTCTGTGTCCCCATCCAAATATTATGCTGAATTGTAATTCCCAATGTTGGGGGAGGGACCTGGGTGGAGGTGATTGGATCATGGGGGCAGATTTTCCCCATGTTGTTCTCATAATAGTGAGTGAGTTCTCACGAGATCTGATGGTTTAAAAGTGTAGGGCACAACCCCCTTCACTCTCTCTCCGGCTCTGCCATGGTAAGATGTGACTGCTTCCCCTTCACCGTCTGCCATAATTGTAAGTTTCCTGGGGCCTCACAGCCATGCTTCCTGTACAGCCTGCGGAACAGTGAGTCAATTAAACCTGTTTTCTTCATAAGTTACCCAGTCTCAGGTAGTTCTTTATAGCAGTGTGAGAACGGACTAATAGACACACCTACCCGAATTTATTACACAGATGTCATGGGAGCCTCCCAGGAAGGATGTTTGTCTCTGACCAGTAACTAATCTGGAGTCACCTGAGGGAAGGAGTAATCCCTCCCGGGCGTCCTATCCTGGCAATCACCTGGATTTGCCTCTTGACTCCTAGTTCTGTGCAAGATAGGTGAACTGTAGGTAAAAACGGTAGTTTCACGTAAAAAACTCAGAGATCTTTGAGCATAAGCAGCACTGCTTTGGTGTCTGCAAGGAAAAATATAACTCAATTGAGAGAAAGATTCCATCCTGTCTCTCCTGTAAGGAAAATGGCTTCTGTTTTAAGGCATTCAGAACTCCGGGAAACACAGTCAAGCATTTCCTGACTCGGCAACTGGGAATCAGTTGAGGGTCTCTCAGATTCATGTTGGTGCTGCCTGAACAACCTTGGCATTAGTATTATAAAGAACACAATACAGTGGGGAGTTTGCATTTTCCTCTTGTTTATTTTCAATTGCATTTATGGTTGATGGGGCTGGGTGCTGGGTGGGGTACAGGGCAAGTTTCTCTATATCTTCATTTCCTTTGTCTCACACTGTAACACCTAGGTCGTAGCTTAGTTTACACAGCTAGTGTTCAACTAATTATGTTGATTGAGATAACTGCTGAAAGCAAACCTTTTAAGAATTATTTGCGTAATAAAAATGTGGCATGCCTGTGAATTATAAACAGAGTCCGTTTACTTTTCAAAATATTCCTAACCAACCAGAAACCTCATAATCAACTAACGGTGCTGGGAAACTAGGAGAAAAATACTTCAGAAACTTTAGTTAGGGGAGCAACTAGGTATATATTTGTTTTTAACCAAGTTCTACCTCAGTTTCCCACTTATGGTTTCTGCTTGAAGATCCCACCAAGACCCAGGCCTTGTCATGAATGCCGATGGGTGGCTGTGCTCCTTTAGCCTACCTTTTACCGTCTGCCTTCCTTGGCCTTGTCTCTGCTTCCTGCAGCCCCTGGCACCGCCTCCGTCCTTCACTCCCTCCCACTTGTGTGGGTCCTGCATTTGGGTGGCTTTCTTAGAAAAAGCCACTGCCTTCCTGCCTGATGGCAAGTATGGTCTGATGCTTGTGTTTCCTGGTGTTCCCTGTATTGGCAAGGACCTCTGGCTACCAACCAACAACTGCCCAATTCTCTATTACGTTTGTATTGTCCTTGTTACTACTCTACTGCCTTTGTTCAAGTTCGCTGAAATCATTAGTTAGTTTCAACATCAGTCCTACCATGCTTTGTGGCGAGCAAATTTCTAGCCTTTTCCTAATACCTCCATGAAAAAAAAATTATTTTAAGTTCTGGGGTACACGTGCAGGATGTGCAGGTTTGTTACATAGGTAAAGATGTGCCATAGTGGTTTGCTGCACCTATCAACCCATCACCTAGGTATTAAGCCCAGCATGCATTAGCTCTTTTCCCTAATGCTCTCCCTCCCCCGCCTCACCTCCTGCCCTCCCCTGACAGGCTCCTGTGAGTGTTGTTCCCCTCCCTGTGACCATTGTTCACCTCCCACTTATAAGTGAGAACGTGCAGTGTTTGGTTTTCTGTTCCCGTGTTAGTTCGCCGAGGATAATGGCTTCCAGATTCATTCATGTCCCTGCAAAGGACATAATCTTGTTCCTTTTTATGGCTATATAGTGTTCCACGGTGTATATATACCACATTTTCTTTATCCAGACTATCATTGATGGGCATTTGGGTTGATTCCACGTCTTTGCTATTGTGAATAGTGCTGCAGTGAACATACACATGCATGTGTCTTTATAATAGAATGACTTATATTCCTTTGGGTATGTACCCAGTAATGGGATTTCTGGGTCAAATGGTATTTCTGCCTCTCGGTCTTTGAGGAATTGCCGCACTGTCTTCCACAATGGTTGAACTAATTTACATTCCCACTAACAATGTAAAAGCGTTCCTATTTCTTCACAGCCTTGCCAATATCTGTTGTTTCTTGACTTTTTAATAATCACCATTCTGACTGGCATGAGATGGTATCATTGTTTGATTTGCATTTCTAATTTTATGAAGTGATACTCGGGTCAAAAAGTGTGCACATACTGGACAGGCTAAATAGGATGAAGGCATTGTTTCTTAACCCAAACATTAGCAAGTGTTTCTAAGAGTGTGGTCTATGGGGCTATCTGCATCAGAATCATTTGGGGAGCAAATTAACGAAGGAAATTTCTGGGTCCTTCCTCCAGTAACTAGTTTTTTTGATTCTGTAAGTCTAAGAAACAGGTTTTTATCGTTGTTGTTGTTTGTTTTGCTTTAAACCCAGCCAGTTTGAGAGCCACTGCTTTATATTTCGTTCTTAATTTTGGCTAAAAATCCCAGGGTAGAGGTGAGGGGTAGGGAGGTGAAGAGGTGCTTTTAAAAAAATATACATTGCGTGGGTCTCAACACGTCAATTAAATGAGAAGTTCTGAATGTAGAGACTAGGCACTGGCATTTTTAAAAAGCTTCCGAAGTATAGTGCAGCCAGGTTTAAAAACAACTTCTTTAGTTTTGATTATTAATATATGTGGTTTCAAAAGTCTGTAGTGCAAAAACTGCCTTCATTAAGTTATTTCTCTTTAGCAACGTTGTTTACAACCTTCCTTTCTATAGGTCATGTTAATAAAATGTACTTCCTTCTGTGTTATGGAATCATCTTTCCTCTTTTCTTTATTGCTTTTATTTTTCTGGTTAAGTTAAAACATATAAAGCTGGCTTTGCAAGCTGATGGTCCACAGCTAAAATTGGTCTAGCAGGTGTGTTTTGTGTTTGCAGAGTACTTTAAAAAAGATTTAAGCCAATAGTTAAATTGTGACTTTCGACATAAAAATTCAGACTTGACAAAATGAAGGAAAAAGCAGATGTCTCCTTAACATGGGAGCCACCTTCCCCAGAAAGCAGTTGGGTAGCAGTGAGCCCCAGCTGCCCCCTTTAGGGGGCTAAGTGCTGCCTGCCCATCAGCCCTCCTTGACCCATTTATGCCATGCCCCTCTGACACTTCTGGTCATGACCTTCAGGATAAATAAGTGAATTTAATCAATTAACATTTGGGCATCTACTAAGTGTCAGGCATTCTATGATACATGTTTTTCTTGAACAGACCTATGACAAATGTATTATCTTCTTTGTAGAAATATAAGGTGGGGCATGGCTGAGCAAGGCTGACCAGGGACTGGGTCAGAATTCTAATCCAGATCTGTATGCTGCCAAAGCACCTCCAGATCCTCATACTTGTAAAAACTGCAGGAGATTTGGCTTGGTTCCACAACTCTGAGATTAAAGAGAAGGAACATTTTGGGGCACCTGGGAAGTATTTTGCATTCCTTTAAGGCTCTAACACCTGGATTAAGGGAATTCTGAAACCAGTAAATTTGGGGGAGGGCTTTAGTCTAATTAGCTTGAAGAGTCAAAAAAAAAAAAAAAAAAAAAAAGAGAAAGCTTTTGGGCTATTTAAGACCGATTTGCAATCCCATCAAGTGGATGCAATCGTGTATGTAACCTGAACATTTCAAGGAGAGTTAATAATGACTTCTCAGGCACCCGGGGGAACTGAACGGGAAGAACATTTGTTCAACGTAGTTAGTTATCTGAGCATTTTTTTTTTTGTAAAACAAATTCTTGAGTGTACCTCTGAAGTGAGGCCTCATGCCCACATCTCAATAGCAGTCACTTTGGCTTCCCGTAGTCTAAAGTACCACCTTTTTAGTGTAGTTTACAATTTACGTTATAAATATTTTACCAGAGTTACTTTGTTAAATAGCATTTTATATTCTTTGTGTGATTTTCAGTGACATCTTGGGGTCAGAATCATTCCCTTAGAAATGGATCTCAATTTTTGGTGTATTAATAGAAAAATCCTGTTCCTAGACAAGTTTCTAGAAAACATCTGCTTAACCAAAGCATGCAACTGTTTTCTTCTCTAGAGTGTTTTCAGGGTCCTAAAAATGGGTTGGGAAGAAGGCTACTAGTGAGCTGTTCTGAATCTAGAAACTTCCCGTTTCTCAAGTAGGCTGTGTGAACTGGCAAGTTAATAAAAGAAGTGGTAAAAAGGCACTGAAAGACATTAAAAAAAAAAGGTAGTAGTTATTGGGACAGGATAATATTTAAACCATTTAATGAGACCGTGTTCAATAAGTTTTTGCCTTTGTATTCCTGCATTGTCTGCTGTGGGGTAGTTGGCTGTGTCTATTAGTATATTGTCAACCTCGGTCATCATTGGCTCAGGGTTCAGCTGAGCCTAACTCTGAGGTTAGCATGTCTTCATCATCTATAGCTAACTGAACTTAGACCAGATAGATGCTTGTTTTCCCCTACTACCAGGAGACCAGAACTGAGTAGCACCTTGTGCTTTTTTGGTGACAGCCTAGTCCCACACTACCTTTCTGATCAGCACCTTGCAAGGGCTACTGTAGTTAGTCCTAATATGAAAGGAAAATTGACTACTTTTTTTTAAAGTTATACTTTAAGTCCTGGGATACATGTGTAGAATGTGCAGGTTTGTTAAACAGGTATACACGTGCTATGGTGGTTTGCTGCACCCATCAACCCGTTATCTACATTAGGTGTTTCTCCTAATGCTATCCCTTCCCTAGCTCTCCACCCACTGACAGGCCCTGGTATGTGATGTTCCCCTCCCTGTGTCCATATGTTCTCATTGTTCAACTCCCACTTATGAGTGAGAACATGCAGTGTTTGGTTTTCTGTTCCTGTGTTAGTTTGCTGAGAGTGATGGTTTCCAGCTTCATCCATGTCCCTGCAAAGGACATGAACTCATCCTTTTTTATGGCTGCATAGTATTCCATGGTGTATATGTGCCACATTTTCTTAATCCAGTCTATCATTGATGGGCATTTGGGTTGGTTCCAAGTCTTTGCTATTGTGAACAGTGCTGCAATAAATATACGTGTGCATGTGTCTTTATAGTAGAGTGATTTATAATCCTTTGGGTATATACCCAGTAATGGGTTTGCTAGGCCAAATGGTATTTCTGGTTCTAGGTCCTTGAGGAATTGCCACACTGTCTTCCACGATGGTTGAACTAATTTACACTCCCACCACCAGTGTAAAAGCATTCCTGTTTCTCCACGTTCTCTCCAGCATCTGTTGTTTCGTGACTAAATGATCACCATTCTTACTGGTGTGAGATGGTATCTCATTGTGGTTTTGATTTGCAGAAAACTAATTTTCTAATTCTAATTCCCAGGATGCCACCCTAGACCATTCAAAGGGAGGGCAGCTAGGAGAGTTGCGCTACTATGGGGGCTCATTTTTCTCTGCTGATCTGGACCTAGTTTTTTATGTCAGCTCCCTGTTTTATCCCGTCAGTATAGGTAGATTCTCTAGTGCTAGGAGCCACCTCTCTAAGGTGGGTATAGAGGCTGTAGATTCTCTCCCAGATCTTGGTGTATAATGAATGGGTCAGAGAGACTGGCTGACATCCTTAGGCCCTCAAATGAAGGATTTTGATTATTGCAGTTTACTGAAAGTTAAGACCCTGGACTTGAGGTAATGCTTCCTGGTATTTATCCACAGAGGTGCCCACAAATCCACCTTTGCAACAGGCTTCCATCAGAGCTAAGAATAATTTCCTCGTGGTTTACTTTTGGTAAAGGTTGTCTCAGTAACTGACAGCTCTTAATTAAGCAATAGTTTTGTGATCTCTCAGCCAGGAGGTGGTGGAGAATAGTAATATGAGGTCAAGGACTGGAAACATTCAGACCAGCAGTCAAATCCTTACTTATGGGTTACTGGAACACAAAGCTCTGAGCCTCAATGCCCTTATTTGTAAAAAGGGACAATATCAAACTGAGGAGGGGAGTATTGGAGGATTAAATGAGAATGTCTATCAAGTGCTATCACAGAGCCTGGCACACAAGTGCTCAATGGATAGGATGTGTTTTTAATGAGGAAATATTCCTAAAGTTATCCTCAACCTCTCATTCATCAGGTATCCAAAGGTCTCCAGACTTTCAGAATAGGAACACTTCCACAGACTGCCATCAGCAGGAGTCAAGGCATTGTCGGCTCTGGCTGCAGGCTCAGCATCGTGCATTTATCAGGGGCTGCTTGCTTGCCTGAGCCAGAGTAAGACCACACTCTCAGCAGTCCACCATCAGCAGAGTCAGAAGCGGGTCAGAACCCTACAGACTGCCATTTGGCAGTTGCTATGGTTTGAATGTGTCCCCTCTAAAATTCTGGTGCTGCCTATGTGATAGTATTGAGAGGTGAGGCCTTTAAGAGATGATTAGGCTATGAGGGCTCCTCCCTCGTGAATGGGATTAAAGCCCTTAAGAGTCTTCAGAAGCATTTGGCTAGCTTACTCTTGTACT
Organism: Homo sapiens; assembly: GCF_000001405.40. NCBI lineage: Eukaryota > Metazoa > Chordata > Mammalia > Primates > Hominidae > Homo > Homo sapiens. The sequence continues at coordinate 45,955,634 of NC_000015.10, forward strand.
TTGTTACCTGAGGAAACAGTAAGAAGGCCCTCACTGGACCAGGTGTTGGCACCTCGGCTCTTGGACTTCCTGGCCTCTAGGACTATGGGGAAATTAATCTCTGTTCTTTTAAACTTACCTCGTCTCAGGTATTCCATTATAGTCGCAGAAAGGGACTAAGACAGTGGGTGTCCAGAGTGAGCCTACATTAAAAAAGATCACCCTTCTTTAGGGTGTACTTCCTTCAGTGGAGTGAATTAGAAGTCTAGGACTAGTTCTGTTCCTGGAAAGACTCCCTCCCCAACCTGCTCTCAACACTCACAACTTCTCCATTGCTATCTGCCTGGGGACCAGCAGCAAAAACTCCATCACATTCCTTACCCCTGTGCAACGTGACATGTTTAGGACTCTCAGGTCATTGCTCATTCCCCATATAATTCCACCACCTCCTCTGACCTGTCTCCCTCACCTCATCACCTCTTGAAATTCTTACGCTTTTTTCCTAGGAACACAAGGTCAATCATGATCAAAATAACCTTTATGCGGAGCCTCTTCTGAGAAAGTTGTCTTCACTTTCTTGCTCTAACTGAAAACTGCTCTGCTCTTATTGGCTCCTCTGTGGTCTTTTACATCCACCCTACCAAGGAGTCTGGAGGTCAGGAAGGTGCCATACTTCCTCTTCGTATCCCCTTCCAGATCTCTTTTTTCCCCTCATAAAACACTCAGCCTTGAACCTCAAGTAATTGGACTCTATTTTCCTCTACCTCTCTTTATTGCAGTTGTTTACTGCCTCCCATCTTAGCCCACTCCCTCTTACTTTTTTTTGATTACTTTAGCTTTCAGTTAACTCTTTAATGCTACTCCTGTTATAATTCTTAGTGATTTAATATCCATATTTATAATCTTTCCAATACACTGGCTTCCCAGACTGATAATATTAAAATGTCAGATCATGTCACACCTTGTTGAAAATTCTCCAGGGACTTTCTACTTTATGTAAGGAGCCTGATCATATAAGGCTTTACAAATCATAACACAGGCTCTGAATTTTACCGTTATTGTTCCTTCCAATCAGCTTCACAGATCTCCTTGGTACTCCATGTGCACTACACAAACAGTCCTGCCTTAGGGATTTCATACTGCTGTTCCCTCTGCCTGGAGTTCTCTTCTCCAAGAAGTATGGTTTGGTCTCTGTTTATTCAGATCTTGAATCAAAAGCCACCTTCTTATTGAGGTTTTCCATGAACATCTTATCTAAAATGCCAAAACCCCTGCTGAGATTTCATATCTGAGTTCTTCCTTATGTTTTCTCATTAGCATTTATCACTCTGTAATACAGTATTTTATTATTCCCCACTAGAATGTAAGCTTCATGAGGGAAGGAGTTTTTGTCTATTTTGTGACTCCAGTGCCTAGGGAAGTGTCTGACACTTGATACTTAATGTTTGCTTATTATTAACACATTGTCATTGGTAAAGTTCTTATCTGTTATGTTCACCATTCACTCATTGAATAGTCAGTTTATTTTGAAAATGAAACCTTCCAACTGAAATGGAATAGTCTATCTTTCATGGAACAATCACATGTCCACACCTTTTCCCTATTCATTCCCTAAAAGGAACCAAGCTGATGACCATCTCATAGCTCTTTCTAAAGCAAGCAGTCATACATAAGATCCATATTCAAAACAGTTTTACTGTACTCAGTTTAAAAAATAATCCTGGTCCATGCTGGCATATTTTGGCACAATGAGATGATTAAGTGCCACAGCCCATACAAGATTGTCAAGTAGGGGAAGCCTGGTTTGGGTCCTGTGGGATATCCTCAATCAGCCCTCCTGTTCCTGTTTCAGGGTCCTCGTCTTCAGGTACTTTTACCACAGGGCCCTCTGGAGCCCTATATTGGCAGTGAACAGTTTATGGACAACTTGGGTCATGAACAGAGCTCAGTATAATTACATTAAAAATTAAACAACTTAAAATCTATTTGGTAAAGACTTAAAGAATAACCTCAGGTGGGGTTATTGTATTTTTAAGTGGAAATTATGAGAACTGCCTAGTTGCCCAGATGTAGAGAAGATAGGGAGAATTCATGGGCTCAGAACTTTCAAGGCTGCGGGCAAAGGACATAAGCAGAAACTTCTCAAAAGGACATTTATGCGGCCAACAAACATGAAAAAAAGCTCAGCATCACTGATCATTTGAGAAATGCAAATCAAAACCACAATGAGATACCATGTCACACCAGTAAGAATGGTGATTATTAAAAAGTCAAGAAACAACAGATACTGACGAGGCTGTGGAGAAATAAGAACACTTTTACACTGTTGGTGGGAATGTAAATTAGGTTGACCATTGTGGAAGACAGTCGGGGCAATTCCTCAAAGACCTAGAGGCAGAAATACCATTTGACCCAGCAATCCCATTACTGGGTATATACTCAGAGGAATAAAAATCATTCTATTATAAAGACACATGCAACTGTATGTTCACTGTAGCACTAGTCACAATAGCAAAGACATGGAATCAACCTAAATGTCCATCAGTGATAGAATGGATAAAGAAACTGTGGTACATATACACCATGGAATACTATGCAGCCATAAAAAGGAAAGAAGTCATGTCCTTAGTAGGGACATGGAGGGAGCTGGAAGCCATTATCCTCAGCAAACTAACACAGGAACAGAAAACCAAACACTGCATGTTCTCCCTTATAAGTGGGGGCTGAACAAAGAGACATGGACACTGGGAGGGGAACAACAGACACTCGGGCCTCTTGAGAGGGAGGGAGGAGCATCAGGAAGAACAGTTAATGCATGCTGGGCTTAATATCTAGGTGATGGGTTGATAGATGCAGCAAACCACCATGGCACACGATTACCTATGTAACAAACCTGCACATCTTGCACATGTATCCTAGAACTTACAATTAAAAAAAATTTCAAGGCTGAAGCCAAGAATACCTGTAGGTGTTTCTGACCCCATTTTTAGTTGTACAGAAGAAGGGATAATGATTACTTGGATTAATGCTTCTGAAAGTTTGCTGACCCCTGGTCTAAATGTTATTAAATACGTAACAAGTTCCCCTACATATTGGTAAGGTGAAAAATATAGGTATATGACACATGACTGTGGAAGTAGAGACATTTGAATGCAGTAATAGAAAGGTTTAAAATCGGTAAGCCCTCTTTGTTAGTGAATTTAATTTCCTTCTAATAGACACATTTAAGAGTTGTAGTCATTACTCTAGCCTAGCTTTGAACTCGGCCGAGCCCTCCAGTCACCTTCTACACCTTTCCAATCATTTTGAGAAAAACTGGAGATGAAGTAGAGAGAAATGAGGCCTCAGGAGTGGAGCGGGGAGATATCTTAAAATTTTTCCTTTCAAGTCTGACGTATTGATCTCTGTGCTGGAGACATGAAAGCATACATAGAACATCATAAAGTATTTTGTCACATAAAAATGGGTTAACATTAGCAGTCACGTGATTATTGGAGGTTTACTTTGGTCACTCATCCTGTTCTTCTAAGGTAAAGACAAACCAGAAATGAACAGCTTGTTAGTTACATTTCTCTTTGTGAAATATATTTGTTCTTCCTTGATTTATAGACCTTTCTTTCAGGTGATGTGAAATAGAACTAATATAAACTGTATCAACACACACATATCCACCTTTAAAACTTCTATGAGATGTAGCCTTAAGAAGTTACTGAACAATGGTTTTGAAAGGTTTCTCAAAATTATATGAAGAACAGTTTTATAATGCAAATGGTTTTTATAATTGACAAACATTTACATAATTTTCAATAAAATGTGTTCCAACACCTTGGCAAATTATTGCTTAATACTATAAAAATATGGCATTAATGAAATTGAAAAGACAAATATCATCAGCTTAAGTATCAAAATCAATCTTCATTTGAAATTAATGTTATCAAATACAATATGTTATGTGAATGCAGATTGATTCTTTGACTCATTGTCTTAAATTTTAGACAGCTGACAGTATTGCATAGTTTATTTTGGAATTGTACTGCATGCTATGTGTCTAACATAATAAAAGCATTTATCAATGGAATAGTCACAGTTGGGAATTAAGTCTTGATTTAGGTAAATTACATTTTTAAGCTTATAGGATTAATATGAAGAAAAAAAGCTGGGATATTTTAAATGTTTATTTTAAAATGCACCTCTTAAAGTGAATTTCTACAGAATTAGAGAGTTTGGTGAAGTGAGGAGAAATGATATATTGGGAGACTGGAAAATTCAAGGTGACTTTTATAAAAAATTGAATTGCCCTACTTTGGCTCAAATACTGAAAGTTTTCTACTTCGTAGATCTTTCTTTGCAGATGAAAACACAGAATGGTTCTGGTTCAGTTAGTGCCCTGCAGAGTGAATTATGAGAGGTGCAGGAATGATTTAGTGAGTTAGAGCTGCTGTTTTGACTTCTGAAAATGGTAAATATAGTCTGAAAACATCAGAAATAATCACAAAAAATGACCCCATAAATCTTAAACACTTCATTGAAAAATATGTCCAAAAAATAATGCTCACCACATATTAGTGTTTCAGGTATAATTACAACAAGAGGTTCCTTGAGTTCTCCAATTAAGCCAGTTTCTTAAGCTTGGCTAGTAAATAACTTGTGGCCAATTATATTTCACCTAAAATAAAAAATACTAGGATAACATGGATATTTTTAATAAGATGAATGCTTATAGTTAGGGCATGACCCTGTGGTTAGAAAGCATCCCGTATAGAGTTTATTGATATGGACAGGAGTTAAAAGAATTTCCTTGGTTTCCAGCTTAATCAGTCTAGGGACCCGCATGTGCAAAAATTGTTTTTTTTTTTTAAATAATTCAGAATTTTTTAAAATTTTAATTCCTTTAAAAAAGTCAAATGTTTTCCATCAAAGCTAACAACTTCAATTGCTGCTTCCTTAGAAGCCTTTCCTGACTTGCCTGCTAGGACACTTTCCGATATTATACACTCTCATAGCACTTCATAGCAACATGTCTATGCATTTTCTTATGTGATTGTTTTATTATGTCTGTTTTACTCATCTGTATGTGACCTACATGAGTGCAGGGACCAGGGCTGCTTTTGTCATTGTATTTTTAGTGACTGTACAAAACATAATAAAAAGATATTTTTTGACTGAATAATGAATGAATGAGTCTGGTTCATAGTCCCGAGGGTCTTTATGGCTTATATAGTTAGATGGAATTGATAATATAACCCAGTAATACTCACAAAGTGACAGAAACATGTGCACAGAATATACTAGAGAAACAATATACTTCAAGTTCTGAGAAGTTTTGCTTCAAGGAATGATCAAGTGACAAAAATGTAGCATCGCTTCTACACTTAGCCAGTCATTTTAGCACATCATTTGGATGCAAGAGTAGTCACATCTCCTTATCTGAATGTATTAGGACTTTCTCATGTGCAAGTGATGGGAAACCTATCTCAAGTTGGCTGTCCACAAAGGGGAATAGAACTCAATTTCTGATAATATGTATAGTTAGGTATTTAAACTGACCTTTCCACTTAAAGCAAGTAAAAATGCTGGATTAACTACATTTTCTAAAAAGTGTTAGAGATGCCATGATAGTGAGAAATCATACAGTTAATATCAAAAAGGTGGGAGCCCAGAGAGGTAAATTGAACATTAAATCTTGTTTTGACAAATAACATTTATCAAATCACAAAAGATGGCATTTCCCCAAGATGGGGCACCTAATGAGAGACCCTCCCTCAATAAAGCTGAGATTCAAAACATCACTCTTCAGTGTAAAGGAGATCCAGAATTAAATCTTTAGTAGATCTCTACTCCCAGGGGACTGCAGGGAAATTTACTTTTGTACTGAGCAGAGCAGGGAGTTAAAAGGCAATGAGAAGTTTGAACAATATACTGGCTGGCCCTTAAGTGAATTGCTAGCTTAAATTTGCATCACTTTGATCCAGAAAATAGTTGGAGATTGGCAGAAGCAAATTCAAATATTTGGATAAATGTATATATGTCCTAGGCCCTGAAAGAAGTTCCTCAGAAAATGTCCAAGTTAAATGACAAACTTACAGTTCTGGGTAACTAAGCACACAAGCAAACAAGAAACTATCTTAATTTTGGTTTTCACTGTAGCAGTCTCCCAGATAGGGTTATGAGTACATGTCTTATTTGGGAAATGCAGATGACACTAACCAGGAAATGGAGAAGTGATACAGGGAGGCAGCTAATAAAACCAAAAGTGAGTAGTTAGAACTTAATAGACACGGCCAGACATAGTGGCTCACGCTTGTAATCCCAGCACTTTGGGAGGCCAAGGTGGGCGGATCACCTGAGGTCCAGAGTTCAAGACCAGCCTGACCAACATGGAGAAAACCCATCTCTACTAAAAATACAAAATTAACTGGGCATGGTGACACGTGTCTGCAATCCTAGCTACTAGGGAGGCTGAGGCAGGAGAATCACTTGAACCCGGGAGGCAGAGGTTATGGTGAGCTGAGATCATGCCATTGCACTCTAGCCTGGGCAACAAGAGTGAAACCGTCTCAAAAAACAAACAACAACAACAACAACAACAAAAATAGACACACGAGTAAACTCTAGGAAGTGTAGTATAAAACCCACATCTCAATACCACCTGAAAGGTGAGGCAGTTTACCTTTATATGCCACTTGCGGTTCATTATTTGGTTGATGGTTACTCCAGTGTGGGGATTGATATTGTGAATTCCTTGGCACTTGTAGGCAGCCACACAGATTGGTAACACAGCTTGCAGTGGTTCTGACAAAAAGGGCCACCAGGTACAGAGTACAGATGTTGGCAGTTGAGTCAGCCAGAGCACATGGAAAGGTCTGAGGGGTAGGTGTGAGGCACAGACAGCATCTGCTACAATAGCAACAGCAGAAACAGACCCACAGAAATGAAAGATATTAGAATTAATAAACACTGATTATAAAACAACAAAGTAGACAGATTTGAAAATCTAAGGATGAATCAAACTATAAAAAGTGACAAGCTTGTAAGTAAACCAAATAGAACTTTAGGAAATAAAAAATTTAATAGCCTGAATTTAAAGCTCAGTGAATGATAAATTACATCACAGTAAAACTGATGAAAAAACTGAGTGGATGGGCCTAATAGCAGATGAAACTTGGGTAATGAATGAGAACATACTAATGTTCTCATTACTAGAATACTAGAACTGGAGGACAGGTCAAAAGAAATTTTCCGAAGTGCAACACAGAGACAAAAAATGGAAAGCACACGTGAGGGCAGTAGAGGCTTAAGGCATAGAGTTAAAAATTGTAACATACTTCTAGTTAGAGCCCCAAAAGGAGAGGAGAGACAGAGTGAGGAAGAGTTGATATTTAAAGAGATAGCAGTTGATACGTTTGGAATCTTTCATCAATTCCAGAAAACTAAGACACAAATAGCCCAAAGAACCCAAAGCATAATAAATAAAAAGAAACTAAGCTCTAGACTCATGGTGAACCCACAGAGAACTAGAGGCAAACAAAATCTTCAGGCAGAAAAAAAGATTAATTCCAATGAGTGGTAGTTAGTAGGCTTTCTCCTCAATGATAACAATAATCACATTCAATGGAATGTGATCCATAATAAGTTGAAAAATATATCTTCCAAAATACTATACCTTCAAATATGCCTTTCAAGAATGAAGGTGAAATAGAAAAGAAAAAAGAATAAAGGCAAAATAAAGATATTTTCAGACAAGCAAAGACCCTGACAGTTCATATCAGCAGTCCCTGACAAAAGAGTTTCGAAAGTCAGGTGGAAGAAAAATAATTCCATATTGACAATTTGTTATTGAAAGAAATAAGACCAAAAAAGTGAAATGTTAGTTTTACACAATATTACTTAAATTTACTAACGTTTAATTGGGTTAAAATATAGAATCAAAGTACATGATGGCAATAACAAAAGAGTTGAGTAAAAAGGAGAAGGGAGGCTGGGTGCAGTAGCTCATGCCTGTAATCCCAGCACTTTGGGAGACCAAGGCAGGTGGATCACTTGAGGTCAGGAGTTTGAGACCAGCCTGGCCAACATGGTGAAACCCTGTCTCTACTAAGAATACAAAAATTAGCTGGGTGTGGTGGTGCATGCTTATAATCCCAGCTACTTGGGAGGCTGAGACAGATGAATTGCTTGAACCCAGGAGGCAGAGGTTGCAGTGAGCCAAGATTGTACCACTGCACTCCAGCCTGGGTGACAGAGCAAGACTTATCTCAAAAAAAAAAAATACAGATTAATATGCTATGAGAAGATACATGCAATTTTTAGGATACCACTAAAAGAACAGAAATGGAAAGAAGTACAAACTAGTTGACAGAAAAATGGAAAAAGGAAAAATAATTCAAAAGAAGAAAAGAGGGAAAAAAGATATAGAAAAAGCAGGACAAATAGAGTATATAAAATAGCGTCATGACACAAGGTTTATAATTAATACATCTTTTTACCTAAACTCCAAGAAAAGTTTAAAAAATTAAAATAGTCAAACCAACCTAAAAATCGAGAAGATATAAATAAGGTTAAGAGTAAATATTGCCGAAATAGAAGATGAACATAATAGAGAGGATTTAAAAGTTCCATAATTTGTTTCATGACTGACCTTATTAGAATTATTTTCCAAAGGGAGAAAGCATAACTAATGGTATCGGAAATGATTAAAGGAACATCACTACAGATCCTCTAGTTCTTAAAAGATTTATGCCACTAACTTTGAAAATTTAGAAGAATGAAAATATTTCTGTTAAAAAATCAACTTACCAAAAAAAAAAAAACCCAAGAAGAAATAGAAAACATAATTACCTAATGATTAAAGGAACTGAAACCATCATTAAAACCAAAGAAAATTCCAAATCATATATATTCATCAGTGAGTTCTTAACCATTCCAGAAGAAATATTTTCAACCTAAAACTCTTTTGGGAAATAAATATGTTACTTCCCCAATTATTTTTATACTGTCAGAATAACCTTGATACCACCTATTAAGGATGAGAAAAAAATTAAGAGAAATGGAATAAGAACACAATATAAATAGAAATTTATAGAAAAGATAAATATGTAATGAGAAAGTAAGGTTTAAACATTTAATATTGATTTAACATCAAACATCTTTTGTGCACTACTTCAAATCCTCTGGCCCTACCTTTTACTCCAACCGTTGTTAGGGAGACAGTGCCACACAGGCTTTAATCATATTTGCATAGCTGCAACCTGACAGCACCTCACCTCAGCCTTGGATATTTTTTCTTGCTTCCTGATTTTTTTCTGACGCTTCAATGTGAGGTGCTTGTGGGAACCTACTGGCACTCATCTTGTACCACATGAAAGTGAAGGAGTTAATATTTTGGGTGGCATTTTTTCCAATGAGAGGTCCCCTTTGGAGGATTGATAAATACTTGGTCCTTTCATCCCCTCAGTGGATGTAAATTCATCAGGCTTCTCAGAATGCTCAATGGGATTGAGCATCAGTTACCCTTAGAGGTGGCCAACTTGATAGGGCATCCTTGTATAGCGTATTCTCTATTGCCTCCAGGGCATCCTTGGACAGGCTATTCTCCTGTTTCATTTCCTTATCACTTCATTTCCCTTTCAATTCCCCTAGTATTCTTTGGGGGAAAACAGAATACTAATGTAATTTGCTCTATTAACAGATTAAAGGAGAAAAAAAATCATATGAAAATCTCAATAGACATAGTAAAATATAGAATTCAGCATCTATTCATGATAAAAACTTTAAAAAATCTATAACAGTAATTGAGTAAAAAGATAACCCAGAGAAGGGGAGAAAATATTTGCAAATCATGTCTGAGAGGGATTAATATTCAGTATAGAGAACCTCTAAAACTCAACTAAAACCAAACAACCTGATTAAAAAATGGGCAAAAATTTCAATAGACATTTCTCTAAAGAAAACATAAAAATGGCCAGGCCGAGCGTGGTGGCTCACGCCTGTAATCCTGGCAATTTGCGAGGCTGAGGCGGGCGGGTCACTGGAGGTCGGGAGTTCGAGACCAGCCTGACCAACATGGAGAAACCCCATCTCTACTAAAAATACAAAATTAGCTGGGTGTGGTGGCACATGCCTATAATTCCAGCTACTCGGGAAGGTTGAGGCAGGAGAATCACTTGAACCTGGGAGGCGGATGTTGCAGTGAGCTGAGATCGTGCCATTGCACTCCAGCCTGGGCAACAAGAGTGAAACTGTCTCAAAAACAACAAAAAAAAAACAAAACCCAGAAAATAAACAAATGGCCAGTAAGCATATGAAAAGGTACTTGGTATAACTAATTATTAGAAAAATGCAAATTAAAACTATAATGAGATACTACTTTATATCCATTAGGATGGCTGCTATCACAAACAGAAAACAAATGTTGGTGAAGACGTGAAGAAATTGAAACACTTATGCACTATTGGTGGGAGTGTAAAATAATATAGCCGCTATGGAAAATAGCACGACAGTTCCTAAAAAAATTAAAAATAGAATTACCACTTCTCCATATATACCTAAAAGAATTGAAAGCAAGGTCTCAAAGAGATATTTTGTATACTCATCTTCATAGAAGCATTATTCACAAGCTAAAATGTGAAAGCAACATAAGTGCTCATCAACAGATGAATGGACAAACAAAAATGTGGTATAAACATAATGGAATATTCAGAAATTCTGACATGTGAAAACATAGATAAACCTCTAGGACATTGTGCTAAATAAGGTAGTCACAAAAAGACAAATACTATGTGATTCCACTTATATGAGGCACTTAGAGTAGTCAAAATCGTAGAGACAAAGTAGAATAGTAGTTGCCAGGGGGAGGGAGAAATGAGTTCAATGATTATGGAGTCAGTTTCAGTTTTACAAGATGAAGAGAATTCTGGAGATGGGAGGAAGTGATGGTTGCACAACATTATGAATGTATTTAACACCACTGAACTATATACTTAGAAGTAGTTAAAATGGTAAATCTTATGTTAATGGTAAATTTTATGTTATGTGCATTTTACCACAAGTAAAAAACTGGAAAACAAACCATAAATAGGAGAAACTTCCTTATCCTGATTAACATATTGGTGATCAAATGTTGAAAGCTTTGATGTTGTAGAAAGCATTTTAATTTTTCTCTTAATTTCATAGTCCAGTCAGGAAAAAGAAAACCATTCTAGGTATTTTGATAGGGCAATTAAATGCAGGGAAATGATTACATGGGCGACAGAATAGTTAAGCCAAAGAGGGGATAGTGGACTTTACCAGAGATTAGCGACAGCTGGACCTCCGTAGGCTGGAGGGATGTAGGAAGAAGGTACTATTACCAGAGACCAGATGCTGAGTTGTTCAGATAGAAGATAGAACCATGACAGCACGGGAATCACAGAGGGAGGGGCTGTGCCTTTCAGGAGCTGCAAACCAAAAAGAGACTTAGCTGCTGTCAGACATTGCTCTAAACTGGGGTGACAAAAACATTTCCTGCCCCCTTTCTAATCTTCCTCCGGTACCTCTTCTTGGTCCCACTCAACTAGAAACCAGAGGACAAGAGAGAATCTGTCAATATAATTCATAAACTTTGTTTTACTGGCGTATACAGTAAGGTAAAGGATGGCCAGTAGATCTGGAAGGGAAACAAAAACTATGCAACACAGAAGAAATAATGAAAAGTCAAAGCAACTGGTTGTGCATAGGCAGGTGGGAGAAGCACTTAGGTGCCTTCTGAGGTGCTGGTAATATTCTATTTCTTGCCTTAATTTGTGGTTACATTGGTGTTTGCTTTATAATTGTCTTTAAATATCACATGTATCTTAGCATCTCTTTTGTATGATACATCTCATGAAAAGTACAAAATAGAAAAAAATCATAGACTTAAAGAACTGAAAAATTTAGGATTAACTTTGTTTTTTTATTCAGAGGTTCAAATGCTGCCAACAAGGCTTATCTCTGTCATCTGACTATCCTCAGGGTGGCTGTAGAAATCTCACTTTTCCCCATACTGATTGTTTTTCCCTCTCTCTTTCCTCCAGAAACTTCAGTAAATATTTAATTGGCTCTCTCTGTATAGTATGTTCATTGCTGGGCAATGAATGTACGATATGGAGAAAAACAGAAAATGAGTGAGATAGAAAATAGGCTCTCTATAGATTTGTGTTTCTGTTCTGAACTCTGACAAGTTATTCTTAAACAATAGTCACTAGTTGACTTCAGGAGCTATTATCAAATAATTATGTATGTTACAGAATAAGTTTCTCTAAATTGTCTATTTTCCCCTTTTCACCCCAGCCACCTTAAAAAGCTACTGTATCTGGCTCTGAAAGAGATAAAAGATGTAAGCTAGCTCTAAGGGGGAGGCTCGGTGGATGAGTGCTGGTAACTGTGCTGTGTAGCATCGACACAAGACACGACACTGTGGCTTACTGCATATATAAATAAAAATTTCAGATATTTAAAACACTTCTACCTAATCACTTCTTTTGAACAAAAAGGCATATGTATGCTTAATTTCTATATCTTCATATATGTTTATTAAACTTTGCTTTGAAGGCTGGGCGCGGTGGCTCAAGTCTGTAATCCCAGCACTTTGGGAGGCCGAGGTGGGCAGATCATTGAGGCTAGGAGTTTGAGACCAGCCTGGGCTATGTGGAGAAACCCTGTCTCTACTAAAAATATAAAAATTAGCCTAGTGTGGTGGAGTGCACCTGTAATCCCAGCTAACTGGAGAAGCTGAGGCATGGGAATCACTTGAACCTAGCAGGTGGAGGTTGCAGTGAGCTGAGATCACGCAATTGCACTCCAGCCTACACGGCATGGTGAGACTGTCTCAAAGCAAACAAACAAAAACTTTGCTTTGAAACATACGTTGAAAAGGTTTTAAAATTGTAAATTTAATTGTTGAATACATTTAGTCAACTTCATCTGAGTGATGAACACAGGCATGCACTCTCCAGGTCTCACTTGGAGGAAGGACTCGTTGCCCCAGCTGCTGGGAGTGCTGTCAGCAGACTTTTCAGCTGTCAGCCCTTTCAGGGATTGTCTCAGCCATAAAGAGCCACCCTTCTCAACGTCGTGTCTCTTTCTGGGTGATATGATGGTTAATTTTTATATGTCAACGTGGCTAGCCCATGGTACTCAGATATTTGGTCTAATATTCTGTTTCTGAAGATATTTTTTTTAAGATGAGATTAACTAGACCTTGAGTAAAGCAGATTACCCATTATAATGTGAATCTCATCCAATCAGTTGAAACCCTTAGAAAGAGTGACCTCCCTGGAAGAAGGAGGGATTTTTTCCAACAAATAGTCTTTCAACTCAAACCGTAACCCTTTCCTGGGTCTCCAGCCTGCAAACCAACTGGGAGATTTTGGATTTTGCCAGCATCTGCAATAAAGTAATCGATTCCTTAAATTAAATCTCTGTATCTCTTTTTCTGTATATATAGCATACGTGTAGGTATACATTCTGTTCTGTTTCTCTGGAGAACCCTGACTAATGCAGGTGGCCTACATTCAGTGATGAATCGAGGTGAGAGTATGAAGACCAAGCCATTTTGGCTCAACTTGGGACAGCTCTGCCAGGTCTTTCCCTCTCCTGAGCTCCCTCCAGAACTCCAGGTGGCTGAGGCTGCTGGTGAGTTCAACTTCTCCCTCTGTCCACTCTAGCTTTCTTACCCTTTCTTCTACCTGTGTTGATCCCATGAGCACTCCCTAAAAAACATACCGAATACTAAACTCTAAAGAAGAGTCTGCTTCTTTGGGAACCCAACTTACAACAAAAGGAAATGGAATGTATGAGGGAAATATATGAGGACCTTCCTATTCTTCGTGAAAATAAATATTCCAGATTCTTGAAGAAAGACACAAAAGGCAAGGCCTGGGCTGAAAAGCAAGGTGATTCTGATGGGAGTTCCCCAGAGAACTTCCGTAATTTGGAAATAGAAAGAAATAAGGGTTGGAGAATTTTATCATGGTGCTAATAATTTCCATTAGGGTAGCAGACAGTATTCTTAGCCTTGCCTCCCATGCCTCAGCCTCTCGAGTTAGCTGGGATTACAGGCGCACGCCACCACACCGGGCTAATTTTTATATTTTTAGTAGAGACAGGGTTTCTCCATGTAGCCCAGGCTGGTCTCAAACTCAGCTACCTCTGAAGTTTTGGGAAAGAGAATAGCTTGGACAGAGAGAGTCACAGAATAAGAAAGAAGCAATGGACTGTCCAGGTGAGACATCAGGGCATGTCTCCAGTAGGAGATGGAATGGAAAGTGTCATAGCTTTGAGGAAGAAAATGAGAAGTATTTTGTATATACTTTATATACGCACATATATATACTTTATATATATATGTCTGTATAATATATATTTTTATGTTAATATATAAATGTATATATTATTGTATTTATGCTTTTTTGGTAGGAAGTTGGTACAAACTTGCCTTGAAGTATGTTTGTCAACTCTTCTTCACCCCTACTTCCTTTCCCTTCTCTACCTCTTTTTCCAATACACCAGGGACGAATTCAAGTGATATGTTCACACTCTAATCCATGACCTTTTATAAGCTATAGCATGTGCTTTTAAAGGTTAAGCTTTCTTTTGTCCTGTGATTACACAACTAATTCTAGTTAACCACTCAGAAAATAAGCTGAAAGTGATGCAACTTCATTTAGCTTATATGATGGTATTTGAGTCCTCACCGAATGCACAAGTTTTGCTATTGTTGACATATTTGTTTCTTTTACAAAGCTAAGATTTTTCTTTTGAAATCCTTCCTTTGCTTCTCTCCTTGCTGCCTCTCCTCTCCTTGCTGCCTTTCCTCTCCTTGCTGCCTTTCCTCTCCTTGCTGCCTTTCCTCTCCTTGCTGCCTTTTTCTTTCTCTTTTTCTTTTTCTTTTTTCTTTTCTTTCTTTGTTCTTTTTTCTTTCTCTTTTCTTTTTCTTTCTCTTTTTCTTTTTCTTTTCTTTCTCTTTTTTCTCTTTTTCTTTCTCTTTTTTCTCTTTTTCTTTCTCTTTTTCTCTTTTTCTTTCTCTTTTTCTCTTTTTCTTTCTCTTTTTCTTTCTCTTTTTCTTTTTCTTTTTTTCTCTTTCTTTTTCTCTTTTCTTTTTCTTTCTTTTCTCTTTCTTTTTTCTTTTTCTCTTTTTTCTCCTTTCTCTTTTCTCTCTTCTCTTTTTTCTCTTTATCTTTTTCTTTCTGACAGTCTTGCTCCGTTGCTCAGGCTGGAATGCAGTGGCACCATCTCTGCTCATTGAAACCTCCACTTCTCAGGTTCAAGTGATTCTCCTGCCTCAGCCTCTTGAGTAGGTGGGATTACAGGTGGCCACCACCAACCCTGGGTAATTTTTGTATTTTTAGTAGAGATGGGGTTTCACTGTGTTGGTTAGGCCAGGCTGGTCTTGAACTCCTGGACTCAAGTGATTCACCTGCCTCAACCTCCCTAAGTGCTGAGATTACATGTGTGAACCATCAAGCCTGGCTAATTATTTTCTGTTGTTTAACTTGGTGGATGTATTTTTTGTTCATTTCATGAAGAAACGAAATATAATACAGCAAGATAGTTTGCTGTCTTGATAAAAATTTAATGAAATAGGATCATTCTTTAAGAATTAGGCCAGGCGTGGTGGCTCATGCCTGTAATCCCAGCACTTTGGGAGGCTGAGGCGGGCAGATCACGAGGTCAGGAGATTGAAACCATCCTGGATAACACGGTAAAACCCCGTCTGCACTAAAAAATACAAAGAAATAGCCAGGTGTGGTGGCAGGTGCCTGTAGTCCCAGCTACTCCAGAGGCTGAGGCAGGAGAATGGCGTGAACCCAGGAGGCGGAGCTTGCAGTGAGCCGAGATCATGCCACTGCACTCCAGCCTGGGCAACAGAGCAAGACTGTCTCCAAAAAAGAAAAAAAAATTAACTTGGGTGTGTTTCTTACTGCTGTAGACTCAGGAAGAAGAAATGGGAGCTTTTCCTAGTTTTTCTTTCATAGAAGCGTATTCAAACTTTTATTCCTCAGCCCCGTCTACCCTTTTTCTCTCTCTCTACCCCAAACCATGGTAAGGAGAACCCAGATCTTAGGAACAGTGGTTCTGGATTTGATTTGATTTCTTTTAAAAGAGGGATTGACAGACTTTAGAAAATTCTTACCTTCAGTGGATGGAAGGTGGGTGTTACACTGTTGGCTGGAAAGAGGCATGAGACAGCTCTCTAGTGTGATGGCTCTATATTTTTATCTGGGTGATTTCTGCACAAGAGTATACAAATTTAAAACATCACTGAGCTTAGCTATACACTCAATATATCCTATAAAATAATGTCAGATGATATGCTTTAGAAGTTATAACCATCAGAAAACATTTATCCGTCGAGTAGCAACGTTAAAAGGAAGATTGCTATCAGTTCATTAATATGTGGAAAAGGAAAAAAAAGCAAATCAAATAAAGTTTCGTTTCTTTTTCTTTCCATGTTTACTTCCTACAGTTGGATACTTGCATTGTCAACTTGGCAGCGTGAAGAGATTGACGTTTTTAGTGGTTAAGAAGGACAAGTCAGAAATCAGTCCAACAGATTGAAACTCTGTGTTCATTTTTGTGTTTGAATTTGTTCCAAGAAAATTTCCAGTTTTTCTCCTCTGTAGCTCAAAGTCAATTATACAAGTCAGTCCCCGTTCATATTCATCAGTGACGTTGGCTTTTCACTGATATTGTAGCCAGCCCCCTCTGGTAAGCCCCTATTTATAATGACTCTGTTGGACAATTTTTTTTTTTTTTTTTTTTTTTTTTTTGAGATGGAGTCTCACTGTGTTGCCCAGGCTGGAGTGCAGTGGTGTGATGTCGGCTCACTGCAAACTCCGCTTCCCGGGTCACACCATTCTCCTGCCTCAGCCTCCCGAGTAGTTGGGACTACAGGTGCTCACCACCACACCTGGCTAATTTTTTTTTGTATTTTTAGTAGGGACAAGGTTTCACCGTGTTAGCCAGGATGGTCTCAATCTCGTGACCTCGTAATCCACCCACCTTGGCCTCTCAAAGTGCTGGGATTACAGGTGTGAGCCACTGCGCCCGGCCTCTGTTGGACTATTTTGCTGACTTTTAGGGTTCTATTGTGAAGTTTCTGGCCCAGCTTGGTTATATTCTTGATGTATGAGATTTGTTTCTTCTTGGCCAGTGGCCAATTTCTTAGACATTCTTAAGATATATATTTTTTTGGTTGTTGCTGAGTTAGCAAGCTGTCTTACTTGGAATTAGCCTAAGCCACCATGGGGCCCTTTTGAACACTACCAATTTAGGACTCGAATTCCTCTGCTCCAGAAGGAGTGGATATGGGTACAATTTGCTGAAAATTTAACTATTGATATGTGACCTTGGCTTTCAGAAATCTTCCATTTATGTCAAGAATGGAAAGAAGAGATTACAAATGAGAAGTAGATTATCGCAAAAGAGGCCGTTGTTAAACAGCCTAGGCTTGTCATTGGTAGAGTACCCTGGGAAACAGACTCCAAGACTGTAACATTTGTATGCAGAAGGTTTATTGGAGAATGCTCTTGGGAACACCTGTAAAGGGGCATAGAAAGCAGGACTGTCACTGGGAAAAGTTGAATAGTGATACAGTTACAACACCAGTCTCAATAACAGGAGAAACTCTGTAGCTGGGATGGTCTTTCAGAGAAGTCCCAAACTGTGGCAAAGAGACCAGGACATTGTGCCCCTGCCTGGGTAATCTGTAGAGTGAATGCCATCTTGACCAAAGCAGATTCCATTAGCAAGTGTAATTCCCAAACAGAATACAACTGTGAGCCTATGGTAGCAACCACATTTCCAGTATCTAGGGAAATGCATGCCTTGGTTTTGATCCACTTGGTTTGTGCCACTTGGACTCACTTTGTATAGTAAATTCATATCACTTGTGAAAGAGCTTCTCCAGGATTCTTTTCTGTTTCTTTCCTGGAGAAACTTATAAAAGGAAAATTAGTGGGATAAACTACAGCTCCTGCAGCTAGAGATGATCTTGACAATCCCACGGACAGTCATCATCTCACTCTTCTAATACTCATTTTTAGAAATTCCTCACCCTTGGTTAGCACGTCTTTTGGTCGAGATGGTTTACTAAAGGGTGAGATTACTAAATCTTACTAAGGCTTAATAAAGGTCAAGATGGCTTACTAAAGGCCCTAATTCATGGGCAATAGAAGATGGCTTTGTTGGTTATTCAGAGGCCTAGCAGGAGAAAGATGGAAAGATCAGGGAAAAAGAGATCTGGGGAAGATGCATGTAGGAGGACTTAAAGTAGTTGGCATGAAAGGTGAAGATCTTTGTGTTGCAGAAGTGAGTTAATAGCTAAGTAGGCAGAGTGACTTGGTTAACATCAACCAACTTATGTCAGTGGTTACTCATGTGCTTGGGGACTTGAAGGAGTAGCCATGATGGCAGGGGTGGAGGGTATGTATGGTCCCAACAGCACGGGCTCCTGCTCACCAATTTTAATTAGCTTCTGCTGCCACCATATTCCCAACCTGCCAGCAAGAAAGATTAGTGCTAGGCCCCGGACATGGTCTCATCCCTTGAGGAAATAAAATAGTAACTTGGTAGCAACAATAACATGAGACCACTTCTACCATGGAAGGAACAGTGATCCACTGTGACTCTAATTGAGAGATACTGTAGGCATGAGTTTTTTTTTTCTATTTAGGGCCTCAGCCAGCAGCAAGATCTTTGAACACAAAGAGTATTTCATCGTAACATTATCCCAGACCAAGGGACTGATGTAACAGCAAAAGAGATGTGGCCATAGGCATATGGCTATGAGATTCACTGTTCCTATTACCTACCACATCACTCAGAACCTGATGGCTTGACCAATGGAAAAAATAGCTTAGGATGCAGCTGAGGAGCCAGTATGGAGATGATATCTTGTAAGAATAGGATGGCATTTCTCAGACTGCAGTATATACCCTAAATTAATGACCATTACCTGGCACAATGTCCGGCAATGAACCAAAAGGTAGAATCTATGGACTTTGGAAACCCAGGAGTCTAAGTAGGAGTAGTTGCACTTACTTTCACTCCCAGTGTCCACTTAGGGAATTTGTGCTTCCTGTTCTGCAAGTGAGGAAGGTTCTACAAGTTTGGGGGTCCTGGTTACTAGAGTGGAAGCATTTCTGTCAGGGGATGCTGCAAAAATACTAATAAAGCTATGGCTACTGACCAGACATTTCAGGCCCACACCAAGAAAAGAGGAGGCAAGGAAAGGAGTCATTATCCTGGCAGACATAGTTGACCATAATCACCAGGAGGAGGTAAGGCTGATTTTACAAGGGGCAGGAAAGAATGTGTGCTGATTCACTGGGGGAAATCTCATTGTACTGTACTGCCCAGTTTTGATGGTGAGTGAGCCATTAGCTATGGACTAAGAAGGAAATGATGACCAGGACTCATACTCCTCAGGGATGAGTGTCTTTAACACAAAGTAGTGGGCAGGCTATTTTTGCAGGCCCACAAATCTTAGATGGATCAAGGCATTCAAGATTTTTGAGTGCCTTGACCCAGATGTCCTCATTCCATGTGTCTTGGTTGACTGTTTCTCAATCAAGCCCTGATCTTGAAGTAGACTTGTTGAGGTTGAGAATTCAACTCTTTTTGGAGTTCTTTTACTCTTTCACTACAATTAAGATCTAGACCAGATCGTCATTTTGTCTTCTCACTGCCTGCAGGAGATAAGAGTCTCTTTATATGTTGTCAAGGAGAGCCTCTGGCTTCATGTTTTGTCTTAAATTAGTGATTAATGATCCTCAGACTTCCATTGATTTCCTCAATGCAGTGAGTATACCCAGCAACAGCCAACTATTCTATAATCCATATAATAACTACTTCCCGTATACTTCTAAAATGCCTCATATATTGCACTTGATAGTGCATTCCCTTCCCAATTAGTTCATGGCCCATGAAAGTTTTTAATGATTGCAGCACTACAGCAAACCAGGGGGAATCTATACTCCTCTTACCACCAATGATGAAGTCTTCTTTGCCAGCTGGTCAGGGAGTGATCCAGATTAAGCATCCATTTTAGAGTCTGCTTTGTGGGGTCAATTCCAGTATCAACTGTTGCAGATCAGGTTCCATGGGAAACAGACCCTGAAACATTGGAATTTTCATGCAGTATGTTTATTGGAAGTGCTCTCTAGATCCACACATTTGAGGAAACAATGAATGCAGAATGGAACTTGGGAGAAACTGAGTGGCAATTCAGTTGCAATAGCAGCTTCAGCTAATCTCATGGGGAACTAAAAACCTAAGAATGATCCTTCAGAAATTTCCTGATTTAGGTAAAGGGCCAGAATTTTGTACTAGCACATCAATCAGTTACTGAATGTGGATTGTTCTGGGGAGGAAAAGTATCATTTGTGGCTTTCTTTAGCCAAAGGCAATGCTTGTATATGGACACAGATGCTAGCCATTAGTAGCCAACCCCACTTGTGGCTGGGAGAATGAGCATCTTAATCCTGAAGGGGGATTTGAGTGGTATACCACAGCATCTACTACAAGTTTCATTGAAAATTAAGAGGTGCTATTCCAGAGACATAAAGGTATAGTGCTACAAGGGGTGAAGAGTGTTGCTACTTTTTCTGTGATACTGTGTTTCTCAAAGTTGGAAGATCACACTATCAAGTTCTATAGGTACACTAGTAGACTTGAACCTGCTTAAAAACAACACCTTAGAAGTAGCTGAATCACAAGAATATTTGGCCACCTGTATATCTGTAACCTGGGTATTGTCTTGTGAGTCTTAATGTCCCCTATATGTAAGCTTGCCATAGAGAGTGAAACTGACAGCAGAGTTGTCTGACTTTGAATGCACCACACTGGATAGGCAGTGGCTAGTTGGGCTTGTAGGACCCTAGGGAGATCAACAGTGCTAGACAGAGAGGTCTTACCCCATAGTTGTCAGGCAGCTGTTTTCTCTGGAAGTTACACCCTGTGCTATTGAGCTGTGATCTTCGATTATCAGTCAGGATTTAATGTAAATAAAAGTAGACCTAACTCAAGGATCCGATGTACCAAAATTGGTAGAAAGTCTAAGTCATTGATTTGGGGAATTGAATCATTGGTGATATACAAAGTAATATGATATTACTTCTACTTTGATGTGGTAGAGCAATTTATATTTATGTCATTAATATGATTTACCATACTAAACTCTATTGTTTAAAATATTTGCTACTCCCCACTAAGGAAGGAGTTGATGTTAGGCCTGGCTATCTGAATTGCAGTAAAGTGAAATGGCCAATGAGTGAAAATGATGGGTGTATCTTCTGAACAAGCAAGAGTCTTTGCTTGGTGTTTTACTTGCAGTTCTTTTACTTTTCCCACAAAATGAGAAATATTCCAGTTATGGGCTACTTCATCAGTCTAGAGCTTGATATAAAGACTCATGGAGCAAAGCCACAGCTGACCCATGATGAAATGGCAAAGTTGGGTGAGAAATCAACCTCTGCTATTGTAAGAAACTGAGAATGTTTGAGGGTTTATTATGACAGCATAACCTACCTCAAACTGACTGATACGTTCTCATAGATTTCATTTCATATGTTTTGTTTGGAGACTGGTTTGTTCACTTGAAAATGGCTAAGGGGCACTGAGTTGTAGTAATTCTCTGGTAGGAATATTGCTAAAATATAGTTCGCCTTTGGATCTCATTCCTGTAAACTGGCTATTTTAGTGCCTTTTTTTTTTTTGCTTTTATTTTCATGACAACAGCAATGGCAAGGAGGAGAAAGATAGGAATAGACACTGAGGAGATAAACTGGTAAACCCTGACTCTTAGTGGGGAAGACGAGTGAGGCAGCAGCAGCTCTATAGTTAAAAGGAATAAAAAGATGCATTGTTTATTTTAAATTTGTATTTTTGAAAGATACATGCTATTTCTTTTGGAAGTAAGTCTGTTCTGAGTTTGGGTAGGATCAAGGGGAAAAAAACATAGATGCAAGAAAGACTTATCTCTACAGTTAAAGATAGTACACATTTACTGGATCAAAACACATACACATTAGTGAAATTAAACTCTTATTTCCTTTGATAAAATCCAATTTAATGCTTAAAATAGTAACACAAAAAGCCAAAAGCTACTTTTAAGAAGTTTTTCTGAAAATTTATCTGATTTATTTCTTTTTTTTTTTTTTTTTGGTGGGTGAGAGATGGGGATTCTTATTGGCACATATCGATTAAATTTTATACAAATAGAAAAGTATGATTCACCAAAAAATTTTTAGACAAATAGCCACTATTCAAAATATGCTTTTATGTGAGACCTGTGCTAAGTAGGTTATATGAAGTGTAGGCAGTAATACCAAGATGGATATTCTCATCTGTAAAATGAGGCTTGAAGACCAAACTCATTGGTTTGTTGAGATAGAAAGTGGTTGAATGAGAATGCACGTGGAGGGCACGTCTTAGTGTTTGGCATAAAGGAAACAGAAATAAATGATAGCTAATGTGAACCCTAGTGTAATACTTCCTCCCACCAGTGATGAAAGATTTTTAGCCTCGGTTATTTTTTTAACCTTTAACATGAAGAAAATACTAAAAAAAAAATTGATCAAGGTCAGTGTATTAGTATACAAACATTTTTTGTATTCCCCATGTTGCCGAACTTATTCTTTCTCTCTCATTTGATGTCCAACAACCTGGCCACCCTTCCTATGCTGGAACTGAGTTGTGGCAGACAAAATTCTAAAATGACCTGTAGATTCTGCATGTGGTATATACACACTGTATAATACCCTCCTCTTGAGTGTGGGCAGAGCCTATGAATATGATAGGATAGCATGGTCATGATCGGGTCACTAATCTGCTGACATTGAGTTAATCAAAAGGGAAGTTATTAACTAATCAGGAATGTCTTAGTTCATTTGGGCTGCTATAACAGAATGTCATAGGCTGGGTGTCTTAGAAACAAGATACATTTATTTCTTGCAGTTCTGGAGACTGGAAGACCAGGATCAAGGTGTAGGCAGATTTGGTGTCTGAGGAGGGCCTGCTTCTTAGTTCACATGTGGTAATCTTTTCACTGTGTCCTCACATGGAAGAAGGTGGTGAGGGAGTTCCATGGGGGTACCTTTTATGAGGGAACTAATCCCATTCATGAAGATGCCACTCTCATGACCTAATTTGGTTACTAAAGGTCCTGCCTCCTAATACCATTACATTGGTGATTAGGTTTCAACATATGCATTTTGTGGGGGACTAAAACATTCAGTCTATAGCAAGGGGAGTCCTGTAAGAGAAGGTGAGGAGGCATCAGAAAAATGCTTATTCTGCTGGCCTGTGGTAAATGGCCATGCTGTGAGGAGGGCAACATGGCCAAGAGACAAGAGAGGCCTCTAGGAGCTGAAGTGGTCCCACACCAACAGTTAGCATGTAATCAGAGACCTCAGTCATATGGCCACATCGAAATGAATTCTGTCAACAACCCGAGGGAGGTGAGAAGTGAATCTTCCCTTAGTCAAGCCTAAAGATGCAGATGCTGCCCGCTGACACCTTGATTTCTACCTTACGAGACCCTGAGCAGAGGACCCAGCTAGATCCTGCTGGTCTTCTGACCCAAAGAAACAGAGATAATAACTTCGTGTTGTTTTAAGAAGAAAATCTGTGGTGATTTGTTAAGCAGCAATAGAAAACGAACATCAGATGAAACACACCACTGGGAATGGGATCCCACCTCCTAAGTGACTGCTGAGTAGTTGGATGAGACGATTTAGAAATGTAGGCCAGTTAACTCCCCATGGGGTAAATATTGACCAATGGGAAATGAAAAATGGAAGATGAACATAAATTTCCATCTTTCCCTCCACCTTCAGTGGACTCTTCTATTTCTTTTTTTTTTTTGGTAACCTGCCTAAAGAAGCCCTGCATTCCAAAGGAATGAACTTGTCACTTAATTTGCTTTGTCTTTTCCCAGCTTGTTGTGGGTAGTAGCCAGTTTCCTAATGTATCACATCACACTTTGTTCACGTCTTTCCTCTTCGTTTTTACCCCTACAGTCTTGTACTTCCCAAGTAAGGTGTTAACACTTCATTCTTCCCACTAGGTTCTGCTTCCTGAAGGACCTGTGCTGTCAGTCACATAACAATTAAGAGGCAGATCTAGAATCTAAGTCCAATTCTGACTCCAAAACATATTAATTTCATTATACCTTATTTCATTTCAAAGAAATTAAATCTAAAAAATAAAAGTATGTGCATGGTAGAAGCAGCACAAAATTTCTATTCTGATGACCATTCAAGAAGACACAGAATAGGGGTTTCAGATTATCTTCTTGTTCAAAATAGAGTTGATCGAACTGTTAGAAGGAACAATTTCTGGCTGTTTTAGTATGCAGTTTGGAAACAAGGAACTCTAAGTGATACTAGACTCCTGTAATGTTTATTGCTAACATACCTCTTGGGACAATAGTATTGTAAAAGAGTCACTTGCTCTTTCCACAGTGGAGGCAGAATTTAAGGCCTGCTCTTCTTAGTTTTTTAAGAGTTGTCAATACTTTCCTAAAGTTGGGATTTTGCCTTGAACTTGTACTGAGATGCTCTTTTTGTTGAGCAGTGTTCAATGAGCCTGAGGCAGAGTCTGAGGCAAATAAACAGAAACAATACCCAAGTGCAGTTTAAACTCTGAATTCTTTTGGTAAATGAAAATGATCTTTTCAGATTGGTTAATCTGTTTAGTGCATTAGGACCTAATAGGGTGGGCATCATACTTAGCTGCGTTAATGATAGCGCCCAGAGAATAGGTAAGTCTTTATTTCCAGTTTGTTTTTTCTCCTTATGAATTTGTGTGTAAGTAACTTGATGACCATGAATATGAGATGGGAACATTGCTTTGAGGTGTTTGTCCTTAGGATTCCATTGCAGATTCTTCTAAGATATTTGCTGCCCTCATTCTTTGAATTTTTTACTGATAATCTGAGTTGAGTCATTTGGCAGTCACCCCTAAATATACCTCTAGAAATCCTCCAGTCACAGGTGATTGAGAAATAAATACCTAACTGAAGCTTGGCGAAACATTCTCAGAAATTCACGTCTGATAACTTCACTGCGGAGAGAAAGGAGAGACTTATTTGCCTGCCTTCTGTTGTCTTTTGCTTCCTCTGGTCCTTAAGGAGAGTGTTAAGGCTCCTGTATCACTAGCCCACCAATAGCTGCTCAGGGAGTCAGATTCATGTTCTGCACTATGGCAGTTCATCTGAATCCAGGAGTTGAAACGCAACATTGCATGGGTGGGATGCTGACTAAGAGAAAGAAGGAAGCAGTTGAGGGAACCTGTACTGTCCCAGGGTTCTGTGTCCACAGCTTGGATAGAAGAACCTCCAATTTGCTATTCTTCCTTCAATGACTTCTGAATGGATTTGTATGCACTTTACATCACATTCTGGTTGCAAAAAGCACAAATAATCCCATCTCGAAGGTGTCTGCTTGACTAAAACTGTCATCCACTTTCCCCTAGCCTGTGTATTATGTCATCTTTTGAGCTCTCTGAAGGAAGAACCTGAATTTTTTTTTTGAATGGCATTCTCAGAATGTGCTTGTATCATATATTACATTAAATATAAGCTTATAGATATTATATAAATATAAATATAACATATTAAAGTATATCCTTCTATATAAGAATACACAGAGACTCTTATCTGCTCTGTTACATCTAGAGATCCTTGAGGACAGAAATTATGCATTCTCCCTGGATTTCTCAAAGCACTCAGCAAATAGATGGTCATGGAGTGAGTAAATAAATATTGGTAACAGTGGTTACCTCTTAGATCCTGTCTGCCATGTGTGATATGATTTCCTTCTCATCTCTGCCTTTAACTTCAGGGACTGATTTAGTTGTCACCTTAAGCAAAAATGATGAAATTTTTCTGATACATCTTATTACATGAACCTATATCCCATTTAAATTCCCATGGAAATTTATTTGAAAATCTGAATGTATCTTGTGATATTTTGCTTTGCAATCTAGTTCAATCATATAGTAATCTCATTTTTATAGTTATTAAGTAAACTCTGGAAACCTCCTCTGTCTAGGACCTGAGGTTATAAAAATGAGAAGACTTGGTCATTGTCTTCAAGGAACTTACGATTTCAAGGTTGAATGATTCACAAAACATTATTTCCATCACAGCCATTGCCATATTGTTATGCTCAAGCTGCAATGTCAGCAGAAAGAAAAGAGAAAGGCTTTGGGGCAGTTATCATAGAAGAAATCATGTAAGGATTTAAGAAGTGGTGAATGAATGGGGTGTGTGTGTGTCAGGGTAAAATGAGACTGGCCTTTAATGAGTGTTGGTTGAGTGATGTGGGGGTTAGTTCTTGCATGTGCTGCAGGAGGGCACTGATGAAAGAGCACAGAGTATTCTCACATCACTGAAACATGGGACCCATCGGAGGAGACAGGCTGGGTAGGAAAGCTGGGGCTATAGCACCATGGATTATGGCCTGTGCTAGGTATACCATCCTAGGGGTTAAGGGGACCCACCGAAGCATTATAAGTAGAAGAGAGAATGCAAGCATCTTGAGAGTCAGGGACTACATCTTAGATACATTTGTTTCCTTCATGATGCTTAGCAGAGCTTCTTGTACGTAGCAGACACCCTCAATTTTGGTTAAATAATGAAGCTCCATAGTTCTGGGATATCATATAATAGGCATAGATTTTAGCAGAATTTGCAGGAAGACAGTAAATGTTTAGAATTCTTTGTTCCTGGGGACAAACTTCTGAAGTATGACCTTGTATTTCATACAACTTTGTTCTTCAAAAATTGCTGCTATATTTTTTGTCAATTAGCTGGAATTGCGTTTGGTTAATGGCATAAGTAATTAGCCATCTTATCTTGCTCGGAAGGGCACCTAACAAGAGGTAAAATGAGCTATTTTCAGTGGTTGTAAAACTATCAAGCCACAGAAAAGGAGGTTGAGACCCTTTAAGGGCTCAGAGGAAATGGAGCTGAAATTATACAAAAAATATCACAAATGGAAACTACTCTATAAAGAGAAAATTCAAGTCTAAATTTTTGGGATTATGCTGCCGGTTAAGTTAAATTGTCAGAAATTGGTTAACTGTTTCTATCATACTCATAAGCCCCATTTTTCCTTTTCCCATCCAGATAAATATTGAGCCAAAGGGGATAATTGCTCAGAGTTTCATAAATCTGTTTATCTTATCAAAGCCAAAAATAAGCTAGTTAGTAATTAAAATTTAACAACCAACTAATAAAATAAGAGGACTAATACAAAGGCTAACATTTATGTTGTGCTTGCTATGGACCAGGTATTGTTTGAAGTTCTCTACATGTATTTTCATTTAATCCCTGTAACAACTCTATGAATAACAAAATGAAATAACTGTTTGATTGCATATTAGTAAGAAAATATTCTCTCTACCCATCCTTTTGTCATTAGAGTTGTACTGTCTGGTACAATAGCCACCAGACACATGTGGCTATTTAAAGTTAAATCAATTGGAATTTAAAAAATCCAGTTCCTTAGTCCTCGCCTTCTTCCAACTGCTCAGTATGGCTAGTGGTTATTGTATGGGACAGAACAGATAGCATCTTCATCATCACAGAAATGTGTTAGGTGGGTGCTGTTCTAGAGAGACCTGATGAGCTCAGGACATTTAGTGTGAAGAGAGCTAAGAACTCATTCAATCTCTTTATTACCATTTGAAAACCTATCTGACAAAGCAGTTAAGGGACTTGCTTAAGGTCACACAGTCTGTAATTGAGAGAGCCAGGACATCAACCTATGCATATTTATCCATTTCATGGACTGCTATGTCATTCTTGGTTCTATTAATGCACACCAGGGAGTGAGCAGTGAGGATGTGGTACTAACCCAGCCCTGGCCATAAATGCTTCTGTTGATAGTAATCCCAGGGAAAGGTATGGCTAAGGTATGACTATGAGAGGATTCAACTCCAAAGGACATAGTCTAGAATTCATCACTTTTCCTTTTGGAGACCAAATTAGTATTCAGAGAAAAGAGGAACCCCAAGGGGAAACCAAGTACCTTGCATATGAGACTGATTGATAGATGGAAGACATAAAACGAAACTTCTATCTCTTCAAGTTTCAGGGAAGTCTGAAGACTTCTATGACTCCTACTTTTTCTCCTGTGGCACTCTGGCATGTTCACCATAACCTTTGCTCAGCACCTCTGAGGGAAGGTTTCTGCCAAAAACCTGGGATGAGGCCTGGAGTCTGGGAATGTGTTATAAAGTTTTCTGCTTAGTATTTTTTTAAGACTTTCTTGGATTTTTAAAAAATCAAAAGCTTTAAACATTATGAGCACCATAGTTATTGTTATATAATAGAACTTTCATACATTTATTACAAGTATTTTGTCCATATCCTATAATCTCAACCTTTTGTATTTATACCTGATATTTGAAGTATCTTTTAGAAAATAGATGTTTAAAGTATTTGAATTTGTTGTCACCCCCCGCCCCCCACCCCCAACTTTAAGTTCATCTGAGGCTTTTCCTCTTATAGGAGTACAGCAGGTGCTATCAGTATCCAGCTAACTTCTTGTAGGCCCTCACAGTTCTCAAACATGCTGAAGGCTTATTCTAAGCAATGGGACTCACTACTTGAGGGCTTCCTCTGGATGCACTTTGCTCAATGTGGACCTGGCCAGGAATGCTAGCAAGATAACAACTCCAGGAACATCCATACCAATGACAAATAGGAATTGGTAGACAGATAATTCCTACCTCCTTGCTCAACAAGTGAGACAACTCTAAGGGATGTCTTGCCTTTAAAGAAATTCACAATATGTTATACCCTTGGATAATCTCCTTCACTTGAGTGTGGGCAGAACCTGTGACTTATTTCTACTCAATAAATATAACAAATAAGATGGTATACACATACCTGTGGTTATAAGACATATCTTTGCAGATTAGCATGAGAGATTCTCCTGCTGGCCTTGGAGAAGTGAGCTGCTATGTTGTGAGAGGGCCATGTGGTAAGCAACTGTGGATCATCTCTAGGAGCTGAGGCCTTCAGTCCTGTAGCCACAAGAACTAAATTTGGCCATCAACCACATGAGCTTGAAGAGGAACACAAGCTCCAGAAAGAAATGCAGTCTGGCTGAGACCGTGTTTGAAGTCTTGTGAGACTATGAGTAAAAGACTCAGATAAACTCTGCCCGGACTCATGACTTACAGAATTTGTTTAAAATAAAAAAAAGCAGTTGGGATTTTGATAACAGTATGTTGAAAATGATCAATTTGGGGAATTTTGCCATCTTAACAATATTAAGTCTTCCAATCCATGAACATGGAATGTCTTTCCAATTATTTATATTTTTAATTTCTTTCAATGAAGTTTTGTAGTTTTCAGTGTACAGGTATTGAACTATTTTGCTATTTTTGGAGATATTTTATTCTTTTTGATGCTATTGTAAATGGAATTGATTTGCTTCATTTTTAGATTATTGCCGGTGCATAGAAATACAATTGATTTTATACTTTGACCTTGTATCCTGCAATCTTTCTAAATTTGTTTATTCATTCTATTAGTGTTTTATTGAATTCCTAAAATTGTGTTACATACAAAATTGTCATCTGCAAATATAGTTTTACATCTTCCTTTTAGGTCTGGCTGTCTTTCATTCTTTTTTCTTGCCTTATATGCCTAGCTAGGAACTATAGTACAAATCTGAATAGAAGTGGCAGGAACAGACACTCTTATCCTGTTTGTGATCTTAGGGGATATGCATTTACTCTTTCACTATTAAGTATGATGTTATCTGTGGGGTTTTTTTTCTAATAGATATTCTTTGTCATGGGTTAAATTTGTCCTCCAATAAGATATGTTGAAGTCTTAACCCTGATAACTATGAATGTGATATCATTTTGAAAGGGGGTCTTTGCAGATGTAAACAAATTGAGGTCATATTCTTCACAGAATTAGAAAAAACTAGTTTAAAATTCATATGGAACAAAAAAAAGCCTGTATAGCCAAGACAATCCTAAGCAAAAAGAACAAAGATGGAGGCATTATGCTCTGACTTCAGATTATACTACAAGGCTACAGTAAACAAAACAGCATGGTACTTGATATGGTTTGGCTGTGTACCCACCCAAATCTTATCTTGAATTGTAGTTCCCATAATCCCCGTGTGTTGTAGGAGGAACCCTGTGGGAGATAATTTAATCATGGGTATGGTTACCCTTATGCTGTTCTTGCGATAGTGAGTTCTCACAAGACCTGATGGTTTTATAAAAGGGGTTTTTCCCCCTTTTGCTTCTCTTTGCTGCTGCCATGTGAGGAAGGTTGTGTTTGCTTCCGCTTCTGCCATGATTATAAGTTCCTGAGGCCTCTCCAGCCATGCTGTACTGTGAGTCAGTTAAACCTCTTTTCTTTATAAATTACCCAGTCTCAGGTATGTCTTAGTAGCATGAGAATGGACTAATACAGTCCTGGTACAAAAATAGGCACATAGACCAATGGAACTGAATAGAGAGCTCAGAAACAAGACCACAAATCTACACCACCTGATTTTCAACAAACCTGACAAAAACAAACAATGGGGAAATGATTCCCTGTTTAATAAATGGTGCTGGAAAAACTAGCTAGCCATCTGCAGAAAATTGAAACCAGACCCCTTCCTTATACCTTATACAAAAGTTAACTCAAGATGGGTTAAAGGCTTAAATTTAAAACCCAAAACCATAAAAACCCTAGAAGAAAATCTAGGCAATACTATTTAGGACGTGGTCATGGGCAAAGATTTCATGACAAAAATGTAAAAAGCAGTTGAAACAAAAGCCAAAATTGACAAATGGGATCTAATTAAAGAGCTTCTGCACAGCAAAAGAAACTGTCATTGGAGTGAACTGACAATCTACAGAATGGGAGAAAATTTTTGGAATCTGACAAAAGTCTAATATCCAGAATCTATAAGGAACTTAAATTTACAAGAAAAAACTCTGTCAAAAAGTGGGCAAAGGACATGAACAGAAACTTCTCAAAAGAAGACATTTATGTGGCCAACAAACATATGAAGAAATGCTTAACATCACTGATCATTAGAGAAATGCAAATCAAAACCATAATGAGATACCATCTCATGCCAATCAGAATGGCGATTATTAAAATGTCAAACAACAGATACTGATGAGGTTGTGGAGAAATAGGAACACTTTTACACAGTTGGTGAGAATATAAATAAGTTGAACCATTCTGGAAGACAGTTTGGCGATTCCTGAAAGACCTAGAACCAGAAATACCATTTGACCCAGCAATCCCATTACTGGATACATACCCAAAGGAATAGAAATCATTTTATTATATAGATACATGCATGCGTATGTTCAGTGCAGCACTATTCGCAATAGCAAAGACATGGAATCAACCCAAATGCCCATTAATGTTAGCCTGGATAAAGAAAATGTGGTACATATATACTTTGGAATACTATGCAGCCATAAAAAGGAATGAAATCATGTCCTTCGCAGGGACATGGATGGAGCTGGAAACCATTATCCTCAGCAAACTAACGTAGGAACAAAAAATCAAACAGCATACATTCTCACTTATAAGTGGGGGTTAAACAACGAGAACACATGGACACAGGGAGGGGAACAACACACACTGGAGCCTGTCATACTGGGCAGCCAGGGGGAGGGAGAGCATCAGGAAAAATAGCTAATGCATGCTGGGCTTACTACCTAGGGTGATGGGTTGATAGGTGCAGGAAATCACCATGGCATATGTTCACGTATGTAACAAACCTATGCATCCTACACATTTACCCTGGAATTAAAAGTAGCCTGTAGTTTTCATCGGGGTCACCTTTTGTGGTTTTCAGTTCTACAGATTTTGCCAAATGCATGATGTCATGTATCCACCATCATGGTAACACATAACATATAAAATAGTCTCACTGCCCTAAAAATCATCTGTGCAAATCCCCTAATCATCTCTACTCCCTTGACCTCTCTCCAGCTCTGGCAACCACCACTCTTTTTACCTTTTTGCATTTTCCATAACATTTTATTGTTGGAATCACACAGTGTGTTGTCTTTTCAGATTGTCGTCTTTCATTTAGCCATGTACATTTTAACTTCCTACATGTCTTTTCATTTATTTTTAAATGAGCTATATGGCTAAACAATATTCCATTGCATTAACATACCAGTTTATCTATGGAAGGATAACTTGATTGCTTCCAAATTTTGGAAATTATCAGAAAAGTTGCTATAAACATTTGCATGCAGGTTTTTGTGTGGAGGTTTTCAACTCATTTGGGTAAATACTTAGGAACATGTTTGCTGAAAGATAAGAGTATGTTTAGTTTTGTAAGAAATGACAAACCATTTTTCACATTGGCTGTACTATTTTGCAGGTGCGTCAGCATTGAATAAGTTTCCGGCTGCTGTACATTGTTGCCAGCATTTGGTGTTGTCAGTATTTTGGATTTTGGTCATTCTAATAGTTGTGTAGTGGTATCTCATTGTTTTAATTTGCAATTCCCTAATTAAATATAATGTTGAACATTTAAAAACATGCTTTGTGCCATCTTTATATCTTTTTTGGTGAGATACGTATTCAGAGTTTTTGTCTACTTTTTAATAGGGTTGATTTCTTACTGAGTTTTAAAAGTCCTTTATATATTTTGGATATAAGTTCAATTTAAGATACATGTTTTGCAAAATTCTCTCCCAGTATGGTCTTGTCTTCTGATTCTCTTAACAGTATCTTACAGAAAACGGCAGACATTCATATTTTTAATAGTTTATTTCATGGATTGGTTTTTTGTATTGTATCTATAAACTCATTGCCAAGGAGAAGGTCATCTAGATTTTCTCTTGTTTTATCTTCTAGGAATTTTATGTTTTGTGTTTTGCATTTAGGTCTACCATCCATTTTGAGTTAATTTTTGTGAAAGGTATGAGGTTTGTATCTAGATTCACTTATTTATTTTATTTGTAAAAATTCCATTGTTCCAGCACCACTTGTTAAAAAGCATCTTTTCTCCTTTGGATTGCCTTTCCTTTTTTTCTCAAATATTAGTTGACCTCATTTGTGTGGGTCTATTCTTGGGCTCTGTGTTGTGTTCCATTGACTTGTCTGTTCTTTTACTAATACCACACTATCTTGATTCCTTTAGCTTGATAGTAAATCTTGCAGTCAGATAGTGTTAGTCATTTGATTTTGTTTGTCTTTATTATCAGCTATTTTGGATTTTTGCCTCTTTATATAAGCTTTAGAATCAGTTTGTCCATATCTACAAGGAAACTTGCTGGGATTTTGACTGGGTTTGTATTAAATCTGCAGATCAAGTTGGCAGGAATTGACATCTTAAGAATATTTAGCCTTTGTATCCATGAATATGGAATATCTTTTCATTTATTTCAGATGTTTGTTTTCTGTCATCAAAGTCTTTTAGCTTTTTTGGCTGGATGCAGTGGCTCACGCCTGTAATCCCAGCACTTTGGGAGGCAGCACTTTGAGCTGGGCAGATCACAAAGTCAGGAGATCGAAACCATCCTGGCTAACATGGTGAAACCCCGTCTCTACTAAAAAAAAAAAAACAAAAACAAAAACAAAAAATTAGCTAAGCATGGTGGCGGGCACCTGTAGTCCCAGCTACTTGGGAGGCTGAGGCAGGAGAATGGTGTGAACCCAGGAGGTGGAGCTTTCAGTGAGCTGAGATTGTGCCACTGCACTCCAGCCTGGGAGACAGAGCAAGGTTCTGTCTCAAAAAAAAAAAAAAAAAATTTTTTTTTGTTTTCCTCACATAGATCTCATATGTAATTTTTAGATTTATGTCTAAATATTGAATTTTTGTTCCAGTTTAAATGGCATTATGCTTTTAATTTCAAATTTGAATTGATCATTCAGTTGACTTTTACGTATTAAGCTTTGTATCCTTTAAGCTTGACATACTCATTTATTCTAGGGGCTGTTTTGTCAATGTTTTTTTGGAATTATTTACATAGACAATAAAATCACCTGTGAACAAATAGTTTTAGTTCTTCTTTCACAATGTGTATAGCTTTTATTTCCTTTTCTTGTCATATTGTCTTTGCCAGCACTTTTAGGAAAATATTGAATAAGAGTGGTGAGAATTCTTGGTTGACATTTCCTTTTTCTTTCAGCACTTTGAAAATATCATCTCACTGCTTCTGGTCTCCTTTTTTTTTTTTTTTTTTTTTTTCTGATAAGTCAGTTGACATTTTTTATTGAGTTTCCCTTGTATGTGAAAAGTTCTTTTTCATTCTCAAGATTTTCTTTTGGCATTTTAACATTTTTACTCTGATGCATCTATTTTATATTTGCATTTATGTAATTTGGATTTCACTGAGCATCTGGCATGTATAGATAAATGTGTTTAATCAAGTTTGGGAAATCTTAAGCTATTATTTCTTAAAATACTTTTCTGCACATTTCTGTCTGTCCTCTCCCCCTGGAGTTCCCACTACTTTCATGTGGGTATATTTAGAGGTGT
The DNA here is from genome assembly GCF_000001405.40 of Homo sapiens. NCBI lineage: Eukaryota > Metazoa > Chordata > Mammalia > Primates > Hominidae > Homo > Homo sapiens. The sequence goes on from NC_000015.10 coordinate 45,990,118, forward strand.
CCCACATTTCTCTGAGGCTTTGTTCATTTTTTGCCTTTTTTTTCCTGTTCTTCAGAGTGCATAATCTTAATTCATCACTTAAAGTTCACTGATGTTTTTTCTGACATCTCAAGTATATAGTTAATTTCTATATACTTGAGGTTATTGTATTTAGGTTGTTGTATGTTTCAACTAAAACAATGTCCATTTGGTTCTTTTAAAATAATTTCTATCTCTTTTGATATCCTTTATGATGAGACATTATTGTATACTCCTTTACTTCTTGGAGCATTATATTCCTTAGTTTGTTGTTGTTGTTGTTGTTGTTTTGTTGTTTTGGGTTTTTTTTTTTTTTTTTGAGACATAGTCTCACTGTGTTGCCCAGGCTGGAGTGCAGTGGTGTGATCTCAGCTCACTGCAGCCTCCACCTCCCAGGTTCAAGTGATTATCCTGCTTCAGTCTCTCCATTAGCTGAGATTACAGGTGTGTACCACCATGCTCAGCTAATTTTTGTATTTTTAGTAGAGACGGGTTTCCGTATATTGGCCAGGCTGGTCTCAAAACTCCTGACCTTCGGTGATCCGCCCCTCTCGGCCTCCCAAAGTGCTGGGATTATGGGCCTGAGGCACTGCGCCCGGCCTTTAGTTCTTTGAATGTATTTATAATAGCTGCCTCTAAGTCTTTGTTTGCTAAATCTGGCATATGGGCTCTTTCAAAGGCTATTTCTGTTGCCCTTTTTTTCTTGTGTGGGTCACACTTTCTTCGTACTTTGTATTTCTCATAAATTCTGGTTGAAAGCTTGATATTTTGATTGAAAGCAACTCTGGATACTTATTTTCCTACTACTTCTCTGGGGCTAATTGTTATTTGCTTTTTTGCTTGTTAATTTCTTTAGTGACTTTGTCTGGATTATCTTAATGAAGTTTATTTCCTCCAAACTGTGTAGCCTCCAATGTTGCTTCTTAAAAGGTACAACCTTGGGAATGTGCATAGTTGCTCTGACCCCCTTACCTCCCACTCCAAGGATGACATAGGTTTTAGCCACTCTCTGAGTGTCTCTTTCTCTGATCTCCCTGTTAAGCTTTTATCTGGTTTGCCTCTATTGGTTTCACACCCAGTTGTTAGCGTCTAGTAGTTACTGATTGCTCTAATGTTTTCAAGAATATCCTAAAACATAAATTGTTCCACAGTCTGAGCCAATTCTTGGCCACTTTGCAGAGGTAGTCTTTGAGGCTTGTTTCCCCCTCAGGAGATCTCTTTTTAGCTGTATCTTTATCTGATTCTCTCTGCTAAATGATTTGGTCTATGATTTTGCTTGTTGCTATCACAGAGCTACCCACCAATTCACTAGTTGATTAATTGCTCATCACTTATTAATTGCTCATCATTTATTTTATTTTTTTTTTGAGATAGAGTTTTGCTATTGCCCAGGCTGGAGTGCAATGGCATGATCTCGGCTCACTGCAACCTCTGCCTCCCAGGTTCAGGTGATTCTCCTGCCTCAGCCTCCTGAGTAGCTGGGATTACAGGCAGGTACCACCATGCCTGGCTAGTTTTGTATTTTTAGTAGAGACAGGGTTTCATCATGTTGGTCAGGCTGGCCTTGAACTCGTGACCTCAGTTGATCCACCTGCCTCAGCCTCCCAAAGTGCTGGGATTACAGGTCTGAGCCACCATATCTGGTCCCAAATCTCCATTTTTTGACATTATCCTTTGCTTGAAATTCCCTGTTCTGTTCAAATTAAAACCAATTCCCTTAGGGAAAACTTTTGAGCTCTCTGTTGCTGTTGCCTGCTTCTCCCCCATGGTAGAAATTCTGTGTCATTACTTCTGGGGGCAGGGACTGTAGCCTGCTTCTCGAAGAGTGATAGCCCTCCTCTGCAAGCAGGTCGATGGTAAGAGCAGTAGCTCCTGGTCTTCCTGGTTTACCTCTTCCTGTATGAAAGGTCCACTGATGCAAGGCTAATCAGAGCTAGCATTCTCTTCCTGCCACACCCAGAGTAGACTTCTACCCTATAAGTGAAGGCTAGGTAGAAGAAGTCTGGGAGCTGGGGAAGGGAGAGGGATCTTTTTCTTGGCTGTGTACATCCAGAGTAGAGCTTTCATAGCACAGAGCTGAGGGCAGGGGGAAGGGTAAAGGAGCCTGTCATAATTGAAACGTGACAGACTGTCATCATTTTATAGAGATTTAATGGATTTTCTTGAATAAACATTCATACACTTGCTGTATTCTGGAAATTTTTAGAAATTTTAATTTTCTTAATAATTTTCATCATTAATAGTTTTTCTGAGAAAAGCTCTGCAGAGTTTCTCACACCACCATTGAAGAAATCTTGCCAAGTTCATTTCTGTTCCTGCTTCCATTTATTTTATAATCTCATGTCCCCCTAACCCCCTATAACAGTTTCCTGATTCTTTTCTTTTGAATCAGGAAAACAGAATGTGCCTATATTGGACTGACTTTCTGATTCAGGCACTTCTGGAATACTTGGAGAGCTGTGTGAGGGAAGGTCTTCCAGGACTGTACTTGCCAGAGGAAGTGAGGAAGGCCGCTAAGGAAGACTCACTGAAGGGAGGATTGAACAACTCCTCTTCAGTCATAGGGTAGGTGGAGGGTGTCTGTGACTTGGATTTGAGAGTGTGAAACAAAGTTGGGAGAAAGAAAATCTCTGTGGATACAAGAGGGTGGAAAGTATGTTTTGTAAGTTGGAAAAGACCATCCCTGTAAGCAATGGGCTTTCTAGGGGATCCAAAGGTAGTAGGCAGGGATGTGCTGCTTAGGAATGCCTGGGCACCATCTCTGTCTTCCCTCCTCCAGATGCAGGTATGGACATATTGACATATAGTTTAGTTTAAAAACTAGTAGATGTTGATGTCAGGAAGAACCTCCTGAAAGGGAAGCATCAAGATCTTTGGTCATTTGTGATTTCTTCTTTCACAGAATAAAATACCTGTGACTTAGCACACTAAGGCTGTAAGATATATTTCACACGCACAAGGCTGCTTTGCAGCTGCAAGCCAGTTGGTGTTGAATGTGGATGACTGTATGAAACCCACTGAACCTTTGAGATGGAGACTCTCACAGGGGAGCCTCCTAGTCAGAGTTACCACAATTTATGATGCCTGAGTTGAGCGAAAAGGGAAAACTGGTGCTTTATTAGGTTGTCTCTGTTTCGGTTATTGCCACATAGGGAAGTTAAGATGTGGAATTCATATTTACTTCTTGGCACAATGAAATTTAATTGTTCACCAGCATCAGACATTAACAGAAGTGGTTTTGGCATCTTGAGGACTTTAGCCCTGTTTCCCTGGTAGGAGGTCTGCCAATGACTGTTTTTTCTGACAAGCTCTGAGTGCAAAAGGAAGGCACCCATGTAGCTTTGCACAGGTCTTTCCAGCCAAATAATAGCAATGACTTATAATAACAACTTTTTGAAAGATTACTATATGCCAGTAAGCATTTTGCAGTATCACTGAGAAGCAGGTGTTTTTTTTATTAACCTCATTTTATAGATAAGAAAACTGAGATACAGAGAAGTTGAGAGACTTGCACATAGCTTGATCAGGTCTAGCAAGTGGAAAAGGAGGCAGTCTAACTCCCAAATCAGCACTTTGGCCCATTGTATTATACTTCCTTTGCAGAGATTTTCAGAAAGAAGTGTCAATGACCCTGGGAAGATCAGAGGATGATAAGTACCAGGGGAAACTGTTTTACTAGTTAGAGTGATCTCAGTTCTTTTTTTTATACCCTTGGCTAGGTTGTCCTTGGGAAATACTATTTATACTTGTTAGTATTTTTGCCTTTTTTTTAACTTTTAGTTTTTCATCATGTGGAACATAGCATTTATTAGATAAACATTTCACATTTTTGTTCCAAATTGCTATACTTGTCATGAGTATTAAAAACCATATTTTCTTTAATCACACTTTTATAGACCTTATCTAATATGAAAAGGAAGTTGACAGAAAAATTGGGTAATTTCTTTTGTTATGATTCTCATATACACACCAAGAGAAAAACATTATTCCTACTATATATGTTTATGCTCTTCATAACATTTCTACTATTTTACTTATCCACCTTTGAAATGAAGCAATTAAATTACATTTCCCTATGTTTTATTGTCAACAGATAATCTATAACCCACTATATGGTGTTATAATGACATTATTTGCCCTTTTTCTAAGCAAGGAAAGTTACCATTATTTACCACAGAGTAATCATATTTGGAGTGTTCCAGAAAGAACTCTGTTCTATACCATCTGCCCAAGTTACTTACTGACACTCTTTTAAACTGAGAACTCTCCAAATGTGTTGCCAGCTGATTTTTCTTTGCACTAGATCTATGCATCAAATACCAACTGGACACATCTGATAACACTGCCTGTGGCAGATGCTGCCATGCGTTGTCCACATTCCTGTTTTGGAATACAATACCCATGACTCCAGCTATGAGAGTATTGACAGCTGTCAGCCATCTTTAGGGATTGTGTTGGCTGAAGAGTTATCTCACTCAATGTCACGTCCCTTTTTTGGGTCAGCCTCCTTCCAATGAATGCTCAATATAGGGGTATAAGTGCCCCACAAAAGTGGGTACAACTCTGAGGGTAATTCCATTTTTGGTACTTGTCATAGGGCTGGCTGAGGCTTCCTTGAGATTGCATCGATGCCCACCTTCCTCCTCTGCTCAATTATGCTACTTTCTCTTCCCTTCACCGTGAGTTGATTCCAAGTGCACTCTCTAATAAGCCTTCCATATGCTAATCTCCACCCCAGAATCAACTTCCTGGGAAACTCAGCTTGCTATACAGACAGCTATCTCAAATATGATGTGCCTATAACTTAACATACATTCAGGGAACAGGATGAGGGCTTCTCCTCTGTTTCCTAAACTAGATCATGGTATCCAGTCTAACACTCAAGTTAGAGACCTGGGAGTTCCTTTGGACTCTTTTCTTCATCACTATTATTGTTTTGGTTGCCAGTTCTGTTGATTTTCTTAAATTCATTTCCAAACATTTCCTCCTCTTTCCATTCCCACTGCCACTGCTATGGCTGAAGTACTCACTATTTCTCATCTGACAAGAGCAGCGGTCTTATAACTTACTTATTTACAGATGTGTAGCAGATGCTGTCAGGGCCCTGCTATATCCCCTTAACACTTAAACTGTTTCTATACTTGCCAAGGGCTTGTTACAGCAAGCACCTGACACTCTCCCCCAGAGCTTTTTCCAGCCTCTGCAGACAGCTAAGTCTGTGCCATGGGCAGACGGAAAGGGCTGAGGGGTGGGGGCGGTGAGCACTCCCAGGAACAGCCCTCAGCCATTGATCAATAAGAGTTGTATTATGAGGGGAAGAGATTGAGACCATCCTGGCCAACATGGGGAAACCCCTTCTCTACTAAAAATACAAAAATTGGCTGTAGTCTCAGCTACTTGGGAGGCTGAGGCAGGAGAATCGCTTGACCCTGGGAGGCAGAGGTTGCAGTGAGTCGAGATTGTGCCACTGCACTCCAGCCTGGTGACAGAGTGAGACTCTCTCTCAAAAAAAAAAAAAAAAAAAGTTGTATTATGAACTGAACTTGGGTCCACTTGCTTGCCAAAAGCAGCAAAACCAAACACTGAAAATGATATTTGCAGTGAGAGAAATTGAGGCATTTATTGCCAGGTCACCAAGCAAGGAGAATCAGGTAGCTAATGTTTAAGACTTGAACTCCTGATAGCTTATGTGTATGGGTTTTTAAAGGTGGGGAGACAGGTTACAGACAAAGTCACATTGGTTTTGCCCAAAAAGGCAGGATACTTTGAAGCAGGATCTTATGGGTTGTAGGCAGATTCAGAGATTTTCAGATTTGCAATGGATTAAGGAAGCAAGGTGTTTTGTCTAAAATCGTGGGGTCAGCAGAAAGGAACGTCAAGGTTTTGTCTGTCAGTGTGACTCTCTAGGTCGCTTAGGAAGAAATTTAGAATACAGAACAGCAGTCAAGAGTTCAGTCCTCAGTTCTCCCTTATCTGAGGTCTACCCAGGTTTCTAAAAACAACTCCAGAACCACATGTTACAATGTCGTCTTTTAGTTTCTATTGGGATCCAAAACACCTTGTGACTCTGACTTGCTTAGAAGGCTATTGTTTAAGTTATTAATAATTTATTGCTTATTAGTTGCTCATTTATTCTAAAGGCTAGCTAGGGGCCTGGAATTTCCCTGGAAGACACTCAAGATTTTTCCTTTATTTCCATGTGTCGAAGGTGGGGTGGGTTACCTGCCTTGTCTCAGCTGGCTAATAAATACTCAGATGGGTTTTTTACCTGATCTCTCAGAAGTCACCTGTGGATTTGAACTTTAGTTGCCTACAATAATAACCTTCTCAATAATGTATCCTTTACTGACATGCCTTCCCAGTTTTACCTCTTAATTCCCCTATCAGTGCTTCCTGGTATCACTTCTTCTAGGAACTGGCTGTGAAAACAATATTGCCTTAGGCAAGGTTGCCCCAGAAAATGATCCTGAGACAAGGATTTCAGTGCGAAAAGAATTATCTGAATGAAACATATACATGTGATCATTTCATTGTCTTACTTAAAAATTTAGTCTGCTACAGGGTAAGGCCCAAAGTCTTCAACATGACATCTAAGGCCCTTTATAGCTTATGGCAGGATCTTTGCTGGTCTCTTGAGCTGGCAGATCAGGGTCATGGCCTTCTGAATAAACCACAGTCATCTCTCACTAAGAAGATAAGGTCTTAACCTGCCAGGACAAGCTGGTCCAGGCTAAATGTAGGGTACATCTTATAGCTCTGAGAATACTGCAAATAATTCTTCATTGAGCCAATTAATAAAGTAACCTTCTTTATTCTGTACATAAAAATGTGAGCTTCTCAATAACACGTTGATGAAAAATTTCCCACTCTTACCCTATTTTGATGAGAGTTGCATAAAAGTCTTATTAATTTTTCACGGTTAAGCATTTCTTGCATAATGGTTGATGAAATTTCAGAGCTCACAGGAGAACTACAATGGGAAAACAGGCAGTTTTTTCTTGTTTGTGCCTTTAACATAGCCTCTACATTTCAAATGGAAATGAAAGCCAAAGCTAAATTTATTAGATTAGTAAACAAGGCAAGGTAGTTCTATTCAATGAACATTTATGGAACACCTAGCATACAATGTAATAAGAGACATCCAAGAAAGCTATTAGGACCAGGTAGGATGAATTGAAATAGACTAAGTATGAGTACATGCAAAACAAACAATAATTATGAATTTCTCCCCAAAGCCTTATGCTGAACCATTATTTAATCCTGTGTACATTGTAAGTTTTCTCCAATTTACATGTAACAAACAACCTTAAATAACTTAGCCCACAGTCTCAAACTTAAATACCATTTCCCCAGGATGACCCTTTTTAATTTTTATTTGATACATACTATTTATACATATTTTTGGGGTACATGTGATACTTTGTTACATGCATAGAATGTGTAATGATCAAGTCTGGGTATTTGGGGTATCCATTACCTCAAGTATTTATCATTTCTATCTGGTGGGAACATTTCAAGTCCTGTCTGTTTTGAGATACACAATACTTTGTTGTTAACTACAGTCACCCTACTCTCCTGTCAAACATTAGCACTTATTCCTTCTATCTAACTGTGCGATTGTACCCATTAACCAACCTATCTTTATCCCCCATCCCTCTCCACACACAAACTTTCCAGCCTCTGGTATCTATCATTCTACTCTCTATCTCCATGAGATTAGCTTTTAAGGCTCTCATGTGAGTAAGAACATATGATATTTGTCTTTCTGTGCCTGGTTTGTTTCACTTAACATAATGATGTCTAGTTCCATCCATGCTGCTGCAAATTACATAATTTCATTTTTTATGGCCAAATAATATTTCATTGTACATATACCATATTTTCTTTATCCCTTTATCTGTTGATGGACACTTAGGTTGATTCCACATCTTGGTTATTGTGAATGGTGCTGCAATAAACATGGAAGTGCAGGTATTCATTTGTTATTCTATTTTTCTTTTCCTTTGGATAAATACCCAGTAGTGGGATTGCTGGATCACATGGTAATTCTAATTTTAGTATTTTGAAAAATCTCTATACTGTTTTCCATAGTGTCTCTACTAATTTATGTTCCCACCAAAAGTGTATAAAAGTTCCTTTTTCTCTGCATTCTTGATAGCATCTGTTTTTTTGTTTAATCTTTTTATTAATAGCCATTCTGACTGGTCCAACATATCCCATTGTGGTTTTAATTTGTATTTTCCTTATTACTGAATAAGTGAAAAAATGCTGGTGAGCATTTTTTATACACCTGTTGGCCATGTGTATGTCTTCTTTTGAGAAGTGTCTTTTCCTTTCCCCACATTTAATTTTTTTATTTGTGTTTTATTTAAGTTCCAGGATACAAGTGCAGAATGTGTAGGTTTGCTACATAGGTATACGTGTGCCATGGTGGTTTGCAGCACCTATCAACCCGTCATCTAGGTTTTAAGTTCTGCATGCATTAGTTATTTGACCTAATGCTCTCCCTCCCCTTGCCACCTAGTCCCCTGACTGGCCCTGGTGTATGTCATTCCCCTCCCAGTGTCTGATTGTTCTCATTGCTCAACTCCCACTTATGAGTGAAAACATGTGGTGCTTGGTTTTCTGTTCCTGTGTTCGTTTGCTGAAGATGATGGCATCCAGCTTTATCCATGTCCCTGTGAAGAACATCATCTCATTCCTTTTTATGGCTACATGGTATTCCATGGTGTATATGTACCACATTTTCTTCATTTGGTCTATCATTGATGGACATTTGGGTATGTTCATGTCTTTGCTATTGTAAATAGTCCTGCAATAAACATGTGTGTGCATCTGTCTTTATAGTAGAATGATTTGTGTTCCTTTGGGTATATACCCTGTAATGGGATTGCTAAGTCAAATGGTGTTTCTGGTTCTAGATCCTTGAGGAATTGCCACACTGTCTTCCACAATGGTTGAAATAATTCCCACCAACAGTGTAAAAGTATTCCTATTTCTTCACAGCCTCCCCAGCATCTATTGTTTCTTGACATTTTTGCCATTCTGTTTTTGCCCACTTCTTAATGAGATTTTGTTTTTTTGCCATTAAATTGAGTTTCTTTTATACTCTGAATATTAGTCCCATGTCAGATGAATAGTTTGTAAATACTTTCTTTCAGTATGTAGGTTGTCTCTTCGCTCTGTTGATTTTTTTTGGTGTGCAGAAGATTTTTAGTTCGATATAGTTTCATCTATTTTTTATTTAGTTGCCTGTGTTTTTGAGGTCTTCTTTAATGAAATCTTTTCCTAGACCAGTGTCCTGGAGTGTTTCCTCTGTAAACTTTTAGTAGTCTTCCAGTTTCATGTCTTACATTTAAGCCTTTAATCCATTCTGAGTTAATTTTTGTATATGGTGAGATATAGGAATCTTGTTTTATTTTGTGCATATGAATATCCAATTTTTCCAGCACCATTTATTGAAGAGGGTGTCCTTTCTGCAACGTATGTTCTTGGCACCTTTGTTGAAAATTGGTTGGCTATAAATATGTGGATTGGGGTTCTCTATTCTGTTCCATCTGTTTTTATACCAACCATGGTATTTTGGTTAGTATAGCCTTGTAATATATTTCAAAGTCAGGTAATATGCCTCCAGCTCAGTTATTTTTGTTCAGAATTGCTTTGGCTAGTTGAGTTCTTTTTTGGTTCCATATGAATTTTAGGATTGTTTTTTAATGTATCTATGAAAAATGACATTGGTATTTTGATAAGGATTGCATTGAATCTGTAGATGACTTTGAGCAGTATGACCATTTTGACAATATTCTTTTTTTTTTTTATTATACTTTAAGTTTTAGGGTACATGTGTACAATGTACAGGTTAGTTACATATATACACATGTGCCATGTTGGTGTGCTGCACCCATTAACTCATCATTTAACATTAGGTATATCTCCTAATGCTATCCCTCCCTCCTCCCCCCACCCCACAACAGGCCCCGGTGTGTGATGTTCCCCTTCCTGTGTCCATGTGTTCTCATTGCTCAATTCCCACCTATGAGTGAGAACACGCAGTGTTTGGTTTTTTGTCCTTGCGGTAGTTTGCTGAGAATGATGGTTTCCAGCTTCGTCCATATCCCCACAAAGGACATGAACTCATCATTATTTACAATAATCTTTTGATTCATGAGCATGGCGTATCTTTGCACTTGTGTCCTTATCCATTTCCTTCATCAGTGTTTTGTAGTTTAACTTGTAGTAGTTTTCCATCTTCTTGGTTAGATATACTCCTAGGTATTTTATTTGATAGCTATTATAAATGGAATTATTTTCTCAATTTTTTTCCCAGGCAGTTCATTTTTGGTATATATTAATATTACTGTTATTTGTTGATTTTTTTGTATTCTGTAAATTTACTGAAGCATTTTTCAAATCTAAGGTTTTTTAGTGTAGTCTTTAGGTTTTTCTGGATATAATATGTCATCTGCAAGAGGCACACTTTGACTTTTTCTTTTCCAGTTTGAATGCCTTTTAGTTTTTTCTCTTACCCAATTGCTCTGGCTAGGACTTTGAGTACTATGTTGAATGAGAGTAGTGAAAGTGGACATCCTTGTCTTGTTTCAGTTCTTAGAGAAAAGGCTTTCAGCTTTTCTCCACTCAGTGTGATGTTAGCTGTGAGTTTGTCTTATATGATCTTTATTATGTTGTGGTATGTTCCTTCTATTCCTAGTTTGCTGAGAGTTTTTATCAGGAAAGGATGTTAAATTTTATCAAATGCTTTTTTTGCTTCTATTGACATAATTATATGATTTTTGTCCTTCATTCTGTTGATGTGTCATGTTTGTTTATTTGCATCTCTTGAACCATCCTTGCATCCCTGGGGTGAATCTCACTTGCTCATGATATATCATCTTTTTGATGTGCTGTTTGATTTGGTTTTGCTAGTATTTTGTTGAGGATTTTTTATCTATGTTCATTAGGGGTATTGGCCTGTAGTTATCTTTTTTTGTTGCATCATTGTCTAGTTTTGGTATCAGAGTAATGCTGGGCTTGTAGAATGAGTCGAAGAGAATTCCCTTCTCTGATTTTTTTGGAAATAATTTGAGGATAGTTGATATTAGTTCTTCTTTGTGAGTTTGGTGGCGTTTGGCAGTGAAGCCTTGTGTTTCTGGACTTTTCTTTCTTGAGAAAGTTTTTATTACTGATTCAATCTTATTATTCATTATTGGACTGTTTAGGTTTTCTATTTTTTCCTGACTCGAACTTCAGGAATGTATCCATTTACTCTAGGTTTTCCAGCTCATTAGTGTATAGTTTTTCATAATAGTATTTGATAATCTTAATGACTTTCTAACCCCATAATTTGTTTTCCAGTGTATTAGTTTGTCTTGATAAACATTAAAATAATTTTTAATTGCTCATTTCTCTTTTCCAATTTTGATGCCTTTTAGTTTTCTCTCTTGCCTGACTGGACTGTAAGTTTTCTCATGGGACTGCAAGTCTCAGGAGGATGTGGACCATATCATTGTTGTTTACCATGTATTTTTAGTACCCAACAGTGTGCTTTGACACATGAGGGTTCTATACATATGTATTAAATAAATGGATAGTTCAACATGGGAGAATAAGGAATTAATCTCAGGTCTGACTTCCTATCCTCATTTTCTTTATGATACACTATACTTTCAGCAGATTAAGAAGCAAAGATACTATAATGCATATCTATAAAATTGGTGCTGAATTATAAGTTGATTGGCAGTATGTAATTGACAGCACACTGATAAAACCTATATGCTTTTGTGTAATTTTGTTTATAAATGTTTGTTCATGCTTCATGGACTATGGAGGCAGACAAGATTCTAAGCTAGGAATTTCCTCATGCAAAGATTTCAGGACATGGGCTTTTCAGTGATGAACTTTCACACACAAAGTACATTAAATCTGTGAACTACTTATCTAAAACCATTCACCCAACCTTTCATTTATTGATCCCTGGCTTAGCCCATGAGAAAATTTAATATTTTCCCATGACAATTGTTAGCATTGAGGCTTAATCTCATTTAGGCTTAATTCTCACTTTATGGCTATAAGATGGCTTTAACAATTCCAGATAGTGCAGGTAGACAACATTTGGCCAAATAAAACTTTTTTTTTTCCACAATAGATTCTTTGATTTTGAACTAGGAAGGAAAACTTTCCCGGAAGCCTCCTGTAAATTCTCAGGGAAATCTGGACTGGAGTGGGTCCCATGCCCATGTTTTAGTGAACAGGGGAGTGAGAAAATGCTTATCTGGCATTGTAAACTTCTTCATCCACCTTCTTTTTTGTAGGTTTTGTCTTTTATTACAGCATAGACAACCAATGGTGTCTCCTACAGGAGTGCTTACTTATTGCAATGGACCAACTTTAAGTTTTTATTAAAGGGTTTGATTTTACAGATGGTTTTCATAAGAGTTGAAGGAGATTTGGTAATTTAAATAATCTAATGGTAAAAACAAAGCAACAAACAAAACTTGTTCCTTATATTTATCTCTCCAGTATATCCTAACATTTTTCCTAATTAGTTCCATTAACTCATTTTGTCTGGGTTTTTTTTTTTGGTGGGGCGGAGGGGTGGTGAATAGAGATCTAAAACCTATCCTTTTCAGTGAGAGAAAAGGCTGGAAAAGCAGGTATGGGATAAATTAAGGTCTTCCAGTGAAATGATATGCCCCCTCACATTCCCATCCTACACACACTTGGTGCTTGTGGAATTTTCTAAGTACATCACATAGTTCTTGCCTTGTGCCTTTGCTCCCCACAGTCTGTTAAAATGCTAATTCTCACAGGAGAAGAGGCATTAGGACCAGATCTTGAAGTCTTCCATGGTTCCCTTTTCTCTTACATTGACCCACATCATTATAGTTGGGTTCCTAATTTCTTCACAATCTATGACTTCAAGGATGCCACAGTATAGTGTCTTATTTATCTTGGTACTTTCAAGGACAAGTACCCAGTGTGAAGCCAATGCTCGAAGTAGGTTCTTCTTCCTTGTATCCATACCCTTTGCAATATTACTTACAGACTCTACTTACTGATGAGAGGAGCTGCAATTTTCCCACCCCTTGAAACAGGCTGGCTTGTGGCTTGCCACATTCATTGGCTAAAACAAAAGTGACAAAAGGTTAATTCTGAACCTAGGCTTCAAGAGGCCTTGTATGTGTCTGCTTTCATTTTCCATCTGATTAGCCTGGGCATGTTTTCACAATATTGCCAGGGAGAGAGTCCACTGAGACCATGCAGAGAGGAGTTGAGGCCATTCTGAATAAGCTGGCAGCCAGTGGACCCCAAAACTGTGAGAAGATCAAGCCAGATAAGCAGAACTGCCTACTTAAGTCACAGCAGAATATGTACACTTTTATGAATATACCAGAAACCATAAAAAACCCATTCTACCTATAAACATATGAACAGTATAAAATATGATACTTTTTAAAAATTTATTATATTTTAAGTTTTGGGGTACATGTGCACAATGTGCAGGTTAGTTACATATGTATAAATATGATACTTTTAAGCTATGTTTTTGGATGATTTGTAACACAGCAATACCTACTGATATCATGTTCAAAGTTTCTTTTGTTGAAATCACCTTTTGTAATTGAAAAAGTATTTTCATCTTGGCAAATAAGAGTCTGAGTACATGACCAAAATTCTTCGTGGAAAGATTACCACAGATAGCGAACAATCTAACTCCAAAGGAGAAACAAGTCAATAAGACAATAACATTTTTAAAAGTAAGTGGAAATGTTATCTTTAAAATATACTAGTCATGAAAACAAGATGAAAAAGTACAAGTACAAAATCATTTAATGCTAATACTTTTTCTTTTTTGGGGGGATCCACTGTCTTTATAGCATGTGCTTTTTTCCATCCCCTCAACTCAAAAGATAAATGAGTTACTAATATTCCAATTACACTGTTTAAGTTACTTGAAAACTTAAAATTAAGTTATTATTGACTTTAATCACCCTGTTATGCTAAATAGTGGATCTTATTCTTTCTAATCATTTTTTTTTTGTATCTGTTAACCATCCCTACTTCCCCTCTATCACCTTACCCTTCCCAGCCTCTGGTAACTATCCTTCTACTCTTTGTCATGACTTCAATTGCTTTGATTTTTAGATTCCACAAACAAATGAGAACATGTGATGTTTATCTTTCTGTGCCTGGCTTATTTCACTTAACATAATAACCTCCAGTTCCATCTATGTTGTTACAAATGACTAGATTTCATTCTTTCTTATGGATGAATAGTACTCCATTTTTTGTATATGTACCACATTTTCTTTATCCGTTTATCTGTTGATGAACACTTAGGTTGCTTCTAATTTTAGCTATTGTAAACAGTGCTGCAACAAACATGGGAGTACAGATATCTCTTTGATATACTAATTTCCTTTCTTTTGGATATATACCCAGCAAGATTGCTAGATCATATGGTAGTTCAAGGTTTTTTTTTTTTTTTTTTTTTTTTTTTTTGGAACTTCAAACTGTTCTCCATAGTGGTTGTATTAATTTACATTCCCACCAACGGTGTACAAATGTTCCCTTTTCTCCACATCCTCGCCAGCATTTGTTATTGCCTGTCTTTTGGATAAAAGCCATTTCTCCTGGGGTGAGATGATATCTTATTGTAGTTTTGATTTGCATTTCTCTGATGATCCGTGATACTGAGCACCTTTTCATATGCCTGTTTGCCATTACTTTTCTTTCTTGAATACAAGATTTTGATGTGCTTAGAGAGATAGTAGTAATACCATTCAAAAGTCAAATTTATTCAAAATGCCTTTCAAGCACTTCTTTATTGCTATGCTAATTAAGCTTAATTCATAAATGAATTATCAAGTTGAGGTGTGTTTGGCAAATGTGGTCTATTAAGGAACACTTAGGTTTTATAACTCCTCTCAGTTGACTGAGTTCTGAACACTGTATGGTTCTCTGCCAGGCCATGGGGCTTATTCTCATGTTAAAATAACAGGTATTTGCCAAGAATCCTGATTTAAGTATGTCTTTCTACAACTGTAAACAAATCATTATGGTGCCTCAGCACTCTGAACATTAAAAGGGATCATGGGATCATCAATAGCTCAGAGCTACCTAACTCAGAACTTCAGATTTTATGTGATTGGGTCAGAATGCTAATATGAACTAGGAATGCAAAATATATTTTTAGACTCTAATATTTGCAACCAGGAAGAAATAGTTAAGAAGAAAGCATTCAATCCATGATTCTACTTTAACCAAAATCTAAACAGGTGGAAATGATGTACTATTATTTGCTCTTCTGTGCCTGGCAAATCAGCTTTGTGCAACTATAATTAAGATGAGCCATAGAGAAATTCAGTAAAGGGATTTTGAGTTGGTCTCATGCTCAATTTCTTTTGCTGCAGGGGCAAGATAAATTGGAGGTTTAGACATGCACAGGGTTACCCTACTCATGTTAGAATTCAAGGAAGGGGCAAACACTTAAGCAGTAATTCTACTCAAAGCTCACTCTGTGAGTTCAGAGAAGAAACCTGCTTGGAAGTAAGACCTGGGACTGGAAAGTAAATCTGGGGACACTCAGAGTTGAAGGTGATACTACTGCAATATTGATTTGATATGTACCCTTTGATCTGTAGTGAATGAAAATTAAGTCAACAATATTTACTGGGTTCTAAGTACTTCTGGGATGTGTGTATTGGATGGGAGGGGACAGGGAAGAAAAGGTTGCTACTTTATCTCTACTCAGAAATTTACTGTCCTTTTGAAATGGAAAGGGAGGATTTGTAGAACATTGAATAGTTTTTGACACCTCTGTGCCCCCTGCCTTACATATGTCTTCACAGTTGACTTCCCTTATCTCCTGTATTAAACAGTAGACATGACGGACAGAGGCTTTGAGAAGTTAGGTAAATTTCCCAAGGTCATATAACTAGTAAGTGTCAAAGCAAGGATTTGAAACCAGGCATGACTTCAAAACCCATGTTCTTCCCACCATAGAACACCACCAAAGAGCTAGAAGAGTAATTTTTGCAATGCTAGTACTGTATCTGTGAGAAAGTACATAAAACTACACGTTTACACAGCTGCTTTTCAAGGACAGATTGCTTCCACCAGAGGTACGATTTCCTGAAGTCCAGGCTGGTAGGTCTTTGTTTAGTACAATTATAGCCAATTTCTTTTTGTGAAAAAAGAATACAGTTTTATTAAAAACCTCAACTTTGCATATCGTAGTATTAGAGATGCATGGGAGTCAGTGGGGAAGCAAGGTAGGAATTTTTGTTTATTCAATTGAAGCTTTATGGAGCCTGAAAGAGCAGACTTGAAGTTATGAAAAACCAGAGTGGGTTTCCCACTCACACACCACCTAACACAACAATTTTGATACCAGATGTGTGGGAGAAAACTCTACACACCAACCAGTTCTCCAGTGGACACCAGCTGGGTGTCCTCTAATTCATTTCAATTCTGGCAATATTTACCTGGAGATAATGTCAAGTTCCATAGGTTGAGGGCTCAGTTCCACAAGACTGCCCTCTACTATAGATGTCAGTCACAAGTAGTAGGCTGTCACCTACACTTCTGACCAACTGGCTATATATTTTAGGTTCCCATGGCCTTCTCTTCAGGTTCAATTAATTTGCTAGAGTCACAAAAAAAACTCAGGGAAACACTTCACAGTGCTGATGTTACCAGTTTGTATGCAGATAAACAGCCAGATGAAAATACATAAAGTGAGGTCTGAATCTGGGAGGGTCGTGAAAGCAGGAGCTTCTGTGCCCCTGGAGTTGGAGTGTGCCACCTCCCAGCATGCTGATGCGTTCACCAACCTAGAAGCTCTCTGAATCCTGTCCTTTTGGGGTTTTATGGAGGCTTTATTATGTAGACATGATTGATTACATCACTGGACATTGGTAATTGACTTCAGCCTTCAGCCCCTCTACTCTCCCAAGAGGTTGTGGGGTCAGGCTGAAAGTCCCAAACCTCTAATCATTCCTTGGTCTTCCTGGTGACCAGCCCACATCCTGAGGCTATCTTCAGCCACCAGTCTTCTCAGTAGCATGTAAAAAACACTCATCTTGCCAGGGATTCCAAGATTTTTAAGAGTTCTGTGCCAGGAAATGAGTATGAATACCAAATATATATTTCACGACATCACCAGTAGAATTCCCCCAAACCCAGAAACAATTATGCCCAATTTCATTGATCTTGGGACATTGCTAAGGTATATTAGCAGCCTAAGATATAATAATAATTGAATATGTAATTAGTGAAACAATATCTCCAAGCAGAGAGTGCTCTGATTATCCTCTCAGGAGAATTCCTCAGAGCATTCTAGGGCAAAGAGGATTAAAAATATACCTTTCTTTATGTAATCTGTGAAAATTTAAAACTGCTTTCATGCATGGCCTCCTTAAAAATTTTTTTTAATTCATACTTGATAAGAATTGTACATATTTATGGGATACAATGTGATGTTTCAATAGATGTATAAATAGTATAATAATCAAATTGGAGTAATTACAATATCCATCACTAATCATTTGTTAATATATGGCCTCCTTTTTAAAAAAGCATCCTGATGGAGATATAATTCACCTGCCATTAAATTCACTCACTTACAGCATACAATTCAACCGGTTTTAGTTTATTTACAATTATGCAACCATTACGACAATGTAAGTTTAAAATATGTTCATCCTAAAAATAAACCTTATGTCAGATTTTAAAATGTACTCTTCAGTTGATGAATATTCGAGTTGTTTCACATTTTGGCTATTATGAATAATGTTGCTATGAGCATTTGTGTTTAAGTTGTTGTGTGGTCATATTTTTTCATTTCTGTAGGATATGTGCCTAGGAGTAGAATTGCTGGATCACATAGTAGCACTATGTTAACATTTTAAGGAACTGCCAAACTATTGGCTAAATTGTCGCACCATTTTACGTTACCACCAGAAATAAAGAATGGTTCCAGTTTCTCCACATTCTCATCAACACTTGTTATTGTCCTTTCTTTTTGTTTTTTAATTAGCCATCCTAGTTCATGTGAAGTGGTTTCTTGTTGTGGTTTTGATTTGCATTACTCAAATAACTAATGATGCTGAGCATCTTTTCATATGCTTATTAGACATTTGTATAATATCTTTGAAGAAATGTCTATTCGACTCCCTTTCCCATTTTTAAATTGGATTATTTATCTTATTGAGTTGTAAGAGTCTTCGTGTATTCTGGATACTCTTATTAGATATATGATTTTTAAATATCTCCTCCCATTTTGTGGATTGATTTTTCATCTTCTTGATGCTATAATTTATAGCACAAAAGTTTTATTTTGATAGTTAATTTTATATAATTTTAATTTTGTTACTTGTGCTTGTCTGACTTCCTGGTATCATACCTAATCTAGCGTTGCCTAATCCAAGGTCACATATTTTCGCTCCTATGTTTTCTGCTGGGAGACTTATAATTTTAACTCTTACACTATGTCTGTGGACTTTATTTAGAGTTAATTTATTTTTATTTTACTAATACATAATATTTGTACACATTTTAGGGATACATACGATATTTTGCTACATGCATAGAATGTGTAATGGTCAAGACAGGATAGTTACGATATATATCACACCAAGCATTTATCATTTCTATGTGTTAGGAACATTTCAAATCCTCTCTTCTCACTGTTTTGAAATATACAATACGTTGTTGTTAACTGTAGTCACTTTAATATGCTATTGAATGTTAGAACTTATTCCTTCTATCTAACTGTATGTTTGTACCCATTAATTAACCTCTCTTTACCCTCTATCCCCTAAATTCTTCCCAGCCTCTGGTAACTATCATACTTTCTACCTCCATGAGGTCAACCTTTTTAGCTCTCATCTGTGAGTGAGAATATGAGAGATTTGTCTTT
This sequence comes from Homo sapiens, assembly GCF_000001405.40. Lineage (NCBI taxonomy): Eukaryota > Metazoa > Chordata > Mammalia > Primates > Hominidae > Homo > Homo sapiens. The sequence continues at coordinate 46,009,055 of NC_000015.10, forward strand.
ATGTGTATGGCTTATTTCACTTAACATAATGATGTCCAGTTCTATCCATGTTGCTGCTTATGACAAGATTTCATTTTTTTTGGCTGAATAATATTCCATTTTGTGTGTATATACCACATTTACTTTATTCGTCTGTTGATTGACACTTAAATTGATTTCATATCTTTGCTATTGAAATAGTATGAGAGTACAATAAATATGAGAGTACAATTACTCTTTTGATATGCTGATTTCCCTTTCTTTGGATAAATAATAGGATTGCTGTATCATATGGTAGTTCTATTTTTAGTTTTTAAAAAATCTTCATATTGTTTTTCATAGGGTCTCTACTAGTTTACATTCCCATGGTGTTTGAGTTCTTTTTTCTCTGCATTTTTGACAAAATGCATTATTTTTTGTCTTTTCAATAATAAAGATGTTATTTTTATTTTATTGGTAAGATATCTCATTGTGGTTTTAATTTGTATTTGCTGATGATTAGTGCTGTTGAGAATTTTTTATAAACCTGTTGGCCATTTATATGTCTTATTTTGAGAAACATCTGCTCATGTCCTTTGTCTACTTTTTAATGGGATTTTCTTTTTTTGCTGTTGAGTTTATTGAATTTCTTTTATACCCTGAATATGAATACTTTGTCAGATGAATAATTTGTAAATATTTACTCTAATTCTGTAGGTTGCTTCCTTACTCTGTTGATTGTTTCCTTTGCTGTGCAGAAGATTTTTAGTTTAATATGTCTCATTTGTCTATTTTTGATTTTGTTGTCTGTGTTTTTGAGGTCTTAACCATGAAATCTTTGCCTAGACTAATGTATTAGAGTGTTTCCCCTATGTTTTATTCCAATAGTTATACACTTTTGGATCTTACATTTAAGTCTTTAATCCATCTTGAATTGATTTTCATATATGGTGTGAAATAAGGGTCTGGTTTTATTCTTCTGCATGTGAGTATCTAGTTTGCCTAGTACAATTTATTAAAGAAGGTGTCTGTTCCATAATGTAAGTTCTTAGCACCTTTTTTGAAAAACAGTTGGCTATGAATACATGACTTTACTTCTGGGTTCTATATTCTGTTCTATTTCTCTGTGTTTCTTTTCATGCTAGTACCATGCTGTTTTGGCTACTATAGCTTTGTAATATATTTGGATGTCAGGTAGTGTGATACCTTCAGCTTTGCTCTTTTTACTCCAGATGCTTTGGCTAGTTGGGCTTTTCTTTTTTTTTTTCTTTTTTTTTTGTTTCCATACACATTCTAGAATTGTTTTTTAATTCAGTGAAAAATGACCGATATTTTGATAGGGATTGCACTGAATCTGTAGATCACTTTGAACAGTATAGTCATCTTAACAATATTAGTTCTTCTGATCCATGAGTGTGGGATGCCTTTCCATTTGTTTGTGTCCTATTCCATTTCTTTCATCAGTGTTTTGTAGTTTTCCTTGTGGAAGTTTTTCACATCCTTGGTTGAATTTATTCCTAAGCATTTTATTTATTTTGTAGCTATTGTAAATGGAAAGCCTCTTGATTTCTTTTTCAGCTAGTTCATTATTGGTGTAGAGAAATTCTCCTGATTTTTGTACGTTGATTTTATATTCTGTAGCTTTACTGAATTTATCTATTAGATGGAAGAGTTTGTTTTAATGATGTCTTTAGATTTTCCTAAATATAAGATTATGTTATCTGCAAAGAAAAAAATTTGACTTCTTTTCCAATTTGGATGTATTTTAGTTTTTTTCTTGCCTTATTGCTCAGGACTTCTAGTACTTTGTTGAATACGAGTGGTGAATTGGAGTGGGAATCCTTGTCCTGTTCCAGTTCTTATAGGAAAGACTTTCAACTTTCCCAATTCAGCATTATGTCAGCTGTGGGTTTGTCTTATACGGCCTTATTATATAGAGGTATTTTTTTAAGCTGATTTTGCTGAGTGTTTTTATCATGAAGTGATGTTGAATTTTATCAGATGCTTTCTCTGCATCTATTGAAATGATTATGTGATTTTTGTCTTTCATTTCTATTGATGGGTCATGTTTATTGATTTGTGTATCTTGAACCATCTTGTGTCCTGGGTTAGATCCCACTTGATCATGGTGTGTTATCTTTTTGATGTTTTGTTGGATTCAGTTTGCTAGTATTTTGTTGAGGATTGTTTTGCATCTATGTTCAGCAGGGATATTGGCCTGTAATTTTATTTTTTGTTATGTTTTTGTATGGTTTCGGTATTTAGGGTAGTGTTGGCCATATAGAATGAGTTAAGGAGAATTCCTTCCTCTTTAATTTTTTTTAATAGTTTGAAGAAAATTAGTTATTCTTTATTAGTTAGATAGAATTTGGCAGTGAAGCTATCCAATGCTGGGCTTTTCTTTCTCTTTCTTTTTTTTCTTTGTTTTTTTTTGAGACAGAGTCTCACTTTGTCACCCAGGCTGGAGTGCAGTAGCATAGTCTTGGCTCACTGCAGCCATCACTGGGGTTCAAGCAATTCTCCCACTTCAGACTTCTGAGTAGCTGGGACTACAGGTGCATGCCACTGCACCAGGCTAATTTTTGTGTTTTTAGTGGAGGTGGGGTTTTGCCATGTTGGCCAGGTTGGTCTTGAACTCCCAGCCTCAATCCACCCACCTCAGCTGCCCAAAGTGCTGAGATTAAAGGTGTGAATCACCACACTCAGTCCCATCCTGAGCTTTTGTTTGTTGGGAAATATTTTTTAGTGATTTAATGTTGTTACTTATTGATCTGTTCAAGTTTTCTATGTCTTCTTGATTAAAACTTTGTAGGTTTTGTATGTGCAGGAATTGAAGTATTCCCTGTAGATTTTCTAGTTTGTTAGCATTTAGTTATTCATAGTAGTCTCTAATGGTCTTTTGTATTTATGTGGTATCTGTTTTAATATCTGTGTTTTCATTTATTTAAGTCTTCTTTCTTTTTTCCTTCTAGTTAGTCTAGTTATTGGTTTTTCAATTTTGTCTTTCCCAAAATCAACTTTTTGTTGTGTTGATCCTTTATAATTTTTTAGCCCCTATTTTCTTTATGCTTCAATCTTTATTATTTCTTTCTGTCTACTAATTTGGGGCTTAGTTTCTTCTTGCTTTTCTAGTTCATTAAGGTGCATCATTATGTTGTTTATTTGAAATCTTTGTGCTTTTCTGATATAGGCATTTATCACTATAAACTTTCTTGTTAACATTGCTTTTGCTTTCTTAACATTGATTTTGGTATGTCATGTTCCCATTTTCATTTGTTTCAAGAAATTTTATAACTCTTTTTAATTTCTTCATTGATGCAAATTGTCATTCAGGAGCATGTTGAATTTCTATATATTTGTATGATTTCTAAATTTCCTCTTGTTATTTCTAGCTTTTTTTCATTATGGACAGAAAAGATACTTGGTATAATTTAGATTTCTAAACATTTATTGAGACTTGTTTTGTGGCCTAACATAAAGTCTATCCTTGAGAAAGTTTCATGTGCTGAGGAGAAGAATGTATATACTATAGCTGTTGGATGAAATATTCTGTAGATGTGTGTTAGGTCCATTTGATAAAAGGAAAATTGTAATCTAGTGTTTCTTTGTTCATTTTCTATCTACATGATCTGTCTAATGCTGAGAGTGGGGTGTTCAAGTCCCCCACTATTGTGGTATTGGAGTCTATCTCTTCCTTTTTTATCTAATAATACATGCTTTACGTATGTTTTCTTCAATGTTATCTGCATATATATTTAGGATTTTTAATATCATCTTCCTGAATCGATCCCTTTTTCAATGTATAATGACCTTCATTGTCTCTTTTTATTTCTTTTGACTTAACATCTGTGTTATCGGATATGCGTAGCTATTCCTGCTTGCTTTTGGTTTCTATTTGCATGGAATTTTTTTTTTCATCCCTTCACTTTCATCTATGTGTTTTTACAAGTGAAGTGGGTTTCTTTTAGGTAGCATATAGTTGGGTCAAATCTTTGTTTTTATTTATTAAGCCAGTCTGTATCTTTTAAGGGGAAAGTTTAATCCTTTTACATTCAAGGTTATATTGATGTGTAAGGACTTATTCCTGTCATTTCATTAATTGTTTTCTGATTGTTTTGTCTATCCTTTGTTTCTTTCTCTTATTGTTTATCATTTTTGTTCTGTGGTTTTCTGAAGTGGTAACATTTGAGTCTTCTCACTTCTTTGTGTTTGCTGTAACAGTGAGTTTTATACTGTAATGTGTTTTCATAGTGGTAGATATAATCCTTTTACTTCCAAGTGAGGACTCCCTTAAGTTTTTCTTGTAGGGCTGGTCTCTTGGTGATGAATTACCTCAACATTTGTTAGTTGTGGAAAGACTTTATTTTTTTCTTTCTTTTTTGAAGGTTAACTTTACTTTTATAGTATATCTGTCAACCAAAAATTTTATTTTTTTTTCTTTCAGCACTTTGAATTTGTCATCCAATTCTCTCTTGGCCTGTAAGGTTTCTGCTGAAAAATCTACTGTTAGTTTGATGTAGGTTCTGGTATATGTGACCAGAAAAAGTTTTCTCCTGCTGTTTTTAGAATTCTTTGTATTTGACTTATGAAAGTTTGACTATAATGTGCCTTGGAGAAAACTTTGAGTTGTATGTATTTGGGTTTCTCTGAGCTTCCTGTATTTACATGTTTAAATCGCTTTCTAGATCTAGGAAGTTTCTAGCTATTGTTTTTGCTAAATAGGTTTTCTATGCATTTGCCCTTCTCTTCACCTGGAATGCCTAAAATTTGTACATTTGGTAACTTTTTGTGTCCCATCTCTCACATAGGCTTTCTCCATCTTTTTATGTTACCTTTTTCTTTTCTTTTCTTTCTTTTTTTTGTCTGATGGGCTTATTTCAAAATATGTGTCTTTACATTGTGGAATTCTCCTGCCTAGATCTAGTCTATTGTTGAAGCTCTCAATTGTATTTTTTATCTTATTCATTGACTTCTTCCAGGATTTTAGTTTTTTTTTAATGATATTTATCTCTTTGGTGAATATCTCATTCAGATTCTAACTTTTTTGATTTCTTCATATTGTTTATCTGTGTTCTCTTGTATCTCATTGAGCATCTATAGTATCATTTTGAATTCTGTTTTGGTATTTTATAAATTTCTTTTTCACTGGAATCAGTTACAAAGAATCATTGTGTTCCTTCGCAGGTGTAATATTTCCTTGCTTTTCCAAATTTCTTGTGTCCTTACATTGATATCTGTACATCTGGTATAATAGTTGCTTCTTTCAATTTTTTGGATTGGCTGTCATAGGGGAGCACTTTTTCTTGTAGACCCATCTATAACATTGGATGGGTAGGGTACTTTGGTTTTGATTCTGGCTGCATGCCGTAGTGTAGTCTCTGATTTTTCAACTGTAAACAGTACCAGTAGTGTTTGTGATTTCCTTAGTGGCTTAGGCTGAAGTTGTTAATACAGACTGTGGTGAGACTTTGCTGGGAACCCAGGCACCAGATGGGACAATCCTTAGGCCTCAGTGGTGGCAGTGGAAGCCCAAGTGTGCCTGTTCTTGGGCCTCTGTGCAGTGAATGTGGGTACCAGTGTCAGTGGTATCAGGCCAATTCCTTGGCCTGCAAGTGGCTTACTTAGGTGCCAGCAGTGACAGCAGTGGGCGGGGTTTGTGTGCAGGTCCTCGGGCCCCTAGGCAGTGTGTGTGGTGTGAGTGATGGCAGTAATGGTGGCAATACCAGGCTGGGGAGGCCTGCCCTCAGGTCCTCCAGTGGTATGTACAGATGCAGGCTATGGTGGGCAGAGCAGGGCTATCCCCAGGCTCCTGGGTGGCATGCTCAAGTGGCAGCGACTGGGGCAGTGGTGTGTGGGGAGAGCCTATCCTCAGGGCATGTGTTGCATCCTTGCTGCTGAGATTAGGGGAATAAGGTTGCTCTCAGTGGCAGTGGCCTCAGGCAAGTAGCTCTCAGGCTCTGGTGAACGCACACTTCAGCATCCTGTGTCCTGAGGGCAGCCTCCCTAGTGCGCTGCACTGCCTATTTCCCAGAGTATAGGACATTATGTTGGCTACCCGGCTGTACTGCTGTGTCTAACCAGTGTCATGTCACTCCAGTATTCTGGGTGGACACAGGCAGGTGTCAGTGGGGGCTCCAGGAATGGGGAGATGCGCAGAGTCTGTTGGGCTCCAGGGCAAGATGCAAGGTGGGGGCTGGGCTCCTCAAGTGGTGCCACACTGCAGCTGCTTGGGTCTTGGAGGGGGGGTTGTGTGACCCAGTGTGAGCTTCCTCTCTGAAGCAATGCCATTGTGCAAACTCATGGCAGCTCTCTATTGTAGTCTCAAGGCCTGCAAGCATCGAGGGTTCTCCTGTGGCTAGGATTGTAGGAGTCTGCAGTGGGAAGGTAGACCGTTGGGGATCTGTCATTTATGTTTTACTTGCACTGGGGATTCTCTACAGGACTCCAGATGAGCTTGGCTGGGCTGGCTGCCTCATTTTCCTCTCCTTTTATGCCTAGGTTTTTCCTGTCATTTCTCTGTTGAATTCCAGTGTTATTTCTTAGATCCTCTATTTGAAGTGTGATTATCTACTATGTTCTTTGTGGAGGACACAATGCCAGATGATTCTAGTCAGCTTTCTTGAACTGTTCTATTTTTAATTAATTTTTAAAATCTGATGTGAGATAGGGGTCCAAATTTATTCTTTTGGATCGGGATATCTATCTATTTGTTCTGGCACCATTTGTTAAAAAGACTCTACTTTCCCCCACTGAATTGTCTGTCACCTTGTAGAAAATCAATTGATCAGAGTTTAATTCTTGCCTCTCAATTCAGATATATTTTTCTATATGTCTAATCTTATGCCAGTTAAACTTACTTGATCATTGTAGATTTTTTGTAAGTTTGGAAATTGTGAAGTGCCAGCCCTCCAGCTTTGTTCTTCTTTTTGCAATATTGTTTGGCTATTCTGGGTTTTTATATATATATATGTGTGTGTGTGTGTGTGTGTGTGTGTGTGTGTGTATATATAGATATATACCTATATATACCTATATATACCTATATATAGGTGTATATATATACACATATGTGTATATATACCTATACATATATACCTATATATACACATAAATACCTATATATGTATATATACCTATATATACACGTATATGTACCTATAGGCGCGTATATACCTATATGTACCCGTATTTGTACCTATAGAGGCGCGTATATATATGTATATGTATCTATATATGCGTATATATACCTATACGTACCCGTATATATACCTATATGTACCCGTATATATACCTATATATACCTAAGTATGTGTATATATACCTATGTATACATATATACATATATACCTATATATACATATACCTGTGTGTGTATGTGTGTTTATATGTGTGTATATATATACACAATATATATACACACATACACACATGTGTATATATGCATACATATATGTGTATATATGCACACATATATGTGTATATACAAACACGTATGTGTATATATGCACATATATTTACATACATATATACACATATATTTACATATGTACATACATATATTTACATATACATATACATATATACACATATATACACATGTATTTTTTCAGAGTATATGTAGTATGGTAAATGTTATATTTAATTAGATGAGAAGGAATGTAGTTTTTTGTACCCTACACTGGGAGTTAGGGGATACAATATATGCAAAATGCCTGACACAGTAAATACTCAATAAGGGACAGTTGTTAAATTATGGTTTCTTGAAATTGAGATCAGTATTCTTGTTTTATTCTAAAAACTGGACTTAATGTCTGGTAAGTTATAACCAGACTTGTATTGATCAAATATGCTTGTTCATTTCTGATGGGATTTTAGATTGATTAAATGTTACTAAATCCATTCCTGAACCCTGGGAATGATTAGCTTTCATTTTTTTTTTTTAAAGGGGGAAACAGAGGGTCCATATATTCATATATATATATGAGACCTGGAGATGGATGGGGACAAAATTACAGTGCACAATGGAATTCTATTGATTATTGGATTAATCCATACTTTATTCATGGAGAACCTATCAGTGCTAAGTAACATGAGATTATTTACCAGGGTCCATCTCAGTATAGGTCTCATGGGTTTGGAAGGACTGTTCCTGATGAAACATTTATTATATTCTAGGATGTTTCATTTTCTTATAGCTCTAAGCAAACACTTTGAATCTATATATTATTATATTTTACATGACAGTGAGAAATATTTATTGTACTTCTCATTCTTTCAATCTTTCAATCACAAAATTTCACACTTTACTATTTAGATATTATACATATAATATATATAATCTTTAACTCTACATACAAAGTTAGATATAAACACTTTTAACTTAATGTGAATGTCACCTTTGTTTTTTAGAACACTCTCAGATCAAATGATCATTCAATTTTTATAAGTCTTTCTTAAAATGGATTCGTTACTATAATATATGGAATGTACTCTCTCTGTAAAAAATGAGAAATTAGTGGAGTGACAGAAGCCTAATCTTTACCACACAAAAAAGTCCAGGTAATAATGTACATTACTAGTGTGATCACTGTGATTTCAGGATTTTTGAAGCTGATTATTAAATGCAAAATGTTAAAATAAGAACCATTATGTCAATGCATTGAATTACAATAGAGAAAGTGTATACTACATAATTTAATTTATATAGTAGAAGGAAAAAAAAAACGAGAATTCATCTAGATGTTGGGGCTTGTGTCAGTTTGGGTCCTCATATGTAGAAGAGATTTATTAGGGAAAACACCTGTAGAGAATAAAGAGAAGGGGAAGCAGAAGTAGGAGAGTAAAGTCTTCAGACTGCAATACGGGTCTGAAACTTTTAAAAGGAGAGAGGTAAGAAAAGTAGCTTAGGAAGGAAGAGCCTCAGATTGAAGTGCAGATCTGAGAAATCCTTGGCCAGGCTCCAGCAGATCTGAAGACGTACCCCAAGCCCTTTCGGCTAAAAGGGGTAGACTTTGGAAATATCACTAATACAGAAAGGTCAGCTTCACTTGTTCTGGATAAATAGCCTTTCATTGTATTTTTTAAATCTTAAATATTTCATATATACATTTCATATACACTTCATATACATTTAACAAAAACAATAATCTACTGGGATCATTCAATATGTGAATCAGACAAAAGTAAAAATACAAGCCCACAGGTGAGCTTATTCCCATGCCACTACCCATGCATGTAAGTGTGTGTGTGTGTATGTTTCTATTTGGCACCTTTTGTGCACAATTTAATGACTTATTGGTGTCTCCTTTTATCCCAGTCACTGCTGAAATGTCTAGTTCCACACAGGCCAGCTTTGTGCCGATATGATTTCACTGAATCTCAATTTTTTTCATATCCTAGGACTCCTGATGCCACTACATGGGATGCCTGTGGCTGTCGTTCCCAAAAGTGCACACTTGCAAGAATAAATCAGAAGTACAGGAGAGTTTGTCTGTGGTGCTACCTTGAGCAATGGAGAAAGGACTTGATTGATAAATGCCATATTTTTTGTCCACTGAGTGGATAGTTCTGAAAGTTGCCTGAGTGCAAGCACCAGTTGCCTGTAGTGCTAGATAATATATTCTTGTATTGTTTTTCCCAACTGATATGAACTGTAATCCCCAGTGTTGGAGGTGGGGTCTAGTGGGAGGTAATTGGACAATGGAGGTGGAGTTCTCAGGAATTGGTTAGCATGAACCCCTCAGTGCTGTTCTTGTGACAGTGAGTGAGTAAATTATGAGACATGGTTGTTTAAAAGTGTATAGATTCCCACCCTTGCTCTCTTGGTCCTGCTTCCACCATATAAGATGCCTATTCCTGCTTTGCCTTCCACCATAAGTAAAATTTCCCTGAGGCTTCCCCAGAAGCAGAACCCAGCATCATGCTTCCTGTAAACCCCATGGAACCATGAGCCAATTACACATCTTTTCATTATAAATTATCCAGTCTCAAGTATTTCTTTATAGCAGTATGACAATGGACTAAGACAGAAAATTGGTACCAATGAGTGGTACCAAGGAGTGTGACATTGCTATAAAGATACCTGAAAATGTGGAAGCAACTTTGGAACTGGGTAATGGGTATGGTTGGTTCAGAAGAAGACAGGAATAGGAGGAAAATCTTGAAACTTCTTAGAGACTAGTTGAATGGTTATGACTGAAATGCTGGTAGTGATATGGACAGTGAAGGCCAGGCTGAGGAGGTCTCAGATGGAAATGAGGAACTTATTGGAAATGGGAGCAGTCACTTTTGTTATGCTTTAGTGAAAAGCTTGTCTGCCTTGTGCCCTGCTCTAGGATCTGTGGAACTTTGAACTTGAGAGTAGTGATTTAGGGTATCTGGCAGGAGAAATTTCTAAGCAGCAAAGTGTGCAAGATATGAACTGGCTGCTTCTAGCAGTCTAAACTCATAGGCATGAACAAAGAAATAACCTGAAATTAGAACTTATATTTTAACGGGAAGCAGAGCATAAAAGTTAGGAAAATTTGCAGCCTGGACATATATGGTGGAAAAGAAAACCCAATTTTCAGGAGAGGAATTCAAGTAGGCTGCAGAAATTTGCATGAGTAAAAAGGAACCAAATGATAATAGCAGAGACAAGGGGGAAAAGGCCTTGAAGGCATTTTGGAGGGTTTTGGGGAAGCCGCTCCCATCACAAGCCTGGAGGCCTAGGAGGACTGAATGGTTTCATGGGCCAGGCCCAGGGCCCTGCTGCCCTGTGCAGCCTTGGGACACTGCTCCCTGCATCCTGGCAGCTCCAGCTCAAGCTGTGGCTAAATGGGGGCCTAGTTACAGTTTGGGCTGCTGCTTCAGAAGGTGTAAGCCATAAACCTTGGTGGCTTCCATGTGGTGTTAAGCCTGCAGGTGTACGGAATGCAGGAGTTGAGGCTTGGGAGCCTCTGCCTAGATTTCAGAAGATATATAGAAAAGCCTGGATATCCAGGCATAAGCCTGCTATAGAGACACAGCCCTCATGGAGGTCCTTTACTAGGGCAGTGCAGTGGGGAAGTGTGAGGTTAGAAACCTCACGGAGTCCCCAGTAGAGCACTGCCTAGTGGAGCTATGAGAAGAGGGCCACTGTCCCCCCGACTCCAGAATGATAGATCCACTGACAGCTTGCACCCTGTGCCTGAAAATGCTACAGAAAACTCAACACCAGCCCTTGAGAGCAGCCACAGGAGGCTGGACCCTAAAAAGACACAGTGGTGGAGCTGCCCAAAGCATTGGGCGTTCACCCCTTGCATCAGTGTGCCCTGGATGTGAGACATGGAGTCAAAGGAGGTAATTTTGAAACTGTAGGAGTTAATAACTGCCCTGCTGGGTTTTGGACTTGGATGGGGCCTATAGCCTCTTTCTTTTGGCTGATTTCTCCCTTTTGGAATGGGAGTATTTACCCAATGCCTATACTCTCATTGTATCTTGGAAGTAACTAACCTTTTTTTTTTTTTTTTTTTATAGGCACATGAGCAGAAGGGACTAGCCTTGTTTCAGATGAGATTTTGGACTTGGACTTTTGAGTTAATGCTAGAATGAGTTAAGACTCTGGTGAACTGTTGGGAAGGCATGATTGTATTTTAAAATGTAGAAGGACTTGAGATTTGGGATGGCCCACGGGCAGAATTACATGGTTTGGATCTGTGCCTGCCCAAATCTCATGCTGAATTGTAATTCCCAATGTTAGTGGTGGGTCCTGGTGGGAATTGATTGGGTCATGGGGGAAGAGTTCTCATGAATGAGTTAGCACCATCCCCTCAGTATTATTCTCCTGATGGTTGAGTGAGTGAGTTATCATGAAATCTGGTTGTATAAAAGTGTACAGCACCACTCTTCTCACTCTCTTGGTCATGCTCTGGCCATGTAAGATGCCTGCTCTTGCTTTGCCTTCTGCTCTGAGTAAAATCTTCCTGAAGCCTCCCCAGAAGCAAAAGCCAGCATCATGCTTTCTTTACAGCCTGTGGAACTGTGAGCCAATGAAAAATTAAACATTAATAGATTACCCAGTCTCAGGTATTTCTTTATAGCAATGTGAGAATGGGCTAAACTCCCACTTTCTTATTTCATTCGTTTTCCCTAAAATCCCACTCCCTGGGATTATACTCCCTAATTAATGTCCTGCACTCAGGCTCTTTTCAAGGCAACTCAGGCCAAGTCTTGAGGCAAAGAAACCTTCATTTAATGGCAGTGTAACTTTATTTTTATGACTATGACTATACTATTGGTATAATCTGTATGGAAAATGTTGGATATTCAGAAAAGTGAAAAAAAGTCAAATATATTGAGACAAATCTCTTTATGTAACGATTTCTCCATTATTGACTATCATTTTCTTTATCCATACACAATTGTCATTTGAGCAATTTACCTTAAGATTCATAGATACTCTGGCTCTCTTTCTGGGACTTGGTAGAATTGTACTTCTCTTCAAACTTTGAAATTAGGCATGGCCATGATTTGCTTTACTTAGTGAAATGTGTGTGGATGTGAGAAGGATCAGGCTCAAATTTTATGAGCCAAGCCATGATTTTCTATATTTTTATGCTCTTGCCATGTTGATTCTAAAGTATTGAGAAATTTTTTTCATCAACCTATATTCCAGAGTGACAATGATGAGCAGATTCTACCTTTTGATCTGCATTGGACATATATGGCATTAGCAAGAAATAAACTTTGTTATGTCAAACCACTGAGATTTTTCAGTTGTTTACTCTGGTTTACAAGTCAAGAGGTGCTGGGCTATTATGCAATTTTGTAGTGCATACATGGGCACATAAACAGACATTGCATATGTACCAAGCATTACTGTAAGGGTAAAAACAAAAAAATAATAAAAAGAAAACAATAACATAGCATCCGATGAAGTCAGCTTCTTAACTGTAGAATAGAGATCGTAATAGTATCTAAGGTTTAGAGGTGTTGTAACTTGCCCAAGGTTACCCAGCTAGTAAGTGGAAAAGCTAGGATTAAAATTTCAGAACCCTATTTCTAACCTATTTTTCTAGTGCAGTGTTTGTTGGTATGGCAGCAGAATATTGGTGCTCCTTGGTGTCCTCAAGTAGTCTATGAGAAAGTTTTGTGTTTTTAATTAGTTATCTCATACATTTCACAAATTTTACATATAAGATGATTAATTATAAAAATTAATATAAAATACATATCATTAACATAGGTGACAGTAACTAATAAATTGCACATGTGCTAAGGTGGACTGCATTTAAGGACACAATTATGCAGTACTTATCTGTGAAAACAAATGGTAATTTCTCCTTACTGTTATAGATATAATTCACTAAAGTTTGCAATTTCACAATTTTAAAAATTCATAAAGAAATTGAAGCAAAATGAAGTAGTGATAAAATAAGAACAAATGCTACAACTTAAAATAATGCTGAGCATGTAAATACTAAATAGTACTACATTAAATATAAAATATGAGCATCTACTTAAAAAAGTGATTTGGCTAGTGCAATGATTTTCCATAGGAAACCAAGGAAAGATGAGAAAGAATCCAAATACTGATTTTAATGGATGGAGCTACAGTACAGTATTATGAAATTCTCATAAAACTCAAAGCTTTTACATGCTTTTCTAAGCAAAGAACAATGACTCTTCTAGCAAACAAATGCCTTTTTTTTTTTTAAAGAAAAGCATAAAACAATGCTTTCAGTACAAAATTGATTAATTGCTACTAAGGCAGAAGAGAGATCAAAACATCACAAGTATCAATCAAAGTTATAATAGTGACAGAAAATAAAAGTGGAATACCCATTAGAGCTAAGAAACTTGTAAAACCACGCATGAAGTTGACAAATAAAGCTCATAGTGAAAGGACAAGCTATAGGCACATTTTTTAAAATTAAAGACATTTTGGGCATTGCCTTATCAATGGCATACAATGAGGAAAAGCAGTTACCATCACTTATGTGCTTGCAGATAATGTGCTTTTATAAAGCTGGACAACACCAATTCAGCATATGTGTGGCACATGAAGAAGATGCCAGGTAAGGCTTTTTGTCTTGTCACTAAAAACTCATTTTGTGGGCTGTGGTATCAAGGAGAAATCTTTTCAATGATAACTAAGTTGAAAAAAGGTGCACTGGGATTAGTATTGTCAGAACACTAGTTATGAGTATGAGAAGGAAGAGTATTGCTGCATGAACAAAGTTGCAGTTGAATCAGATCCACACACTCTTTGTAGGAACAGTTGTGAGTCAATATGATGTGTGAAGGATATTCTTCATTATTTCATGAGAGCAATGCTCTACCTTTTAAAGTCAGAGTCCTAACAAGAATCAGATGGCACACTCAAAATAGAATAATTCAAAGAGAGTTTATCCACAAAGGAACTATTTTAAGATGTGTGCTGGGGAACCATAAAGGACCAACCCCCAGGCCTTACTTGGTAGGAGCCAACTCATCACAGTGTGTTCACTTCTTTGTATAGGTTCAATAGATTTTATGTAATGACTACTTAAATATTGCTCACACAGAGCTAAGAAATGCGCAAGAATGCACAGACCCCTATCATGCAAAGTCTCACATAATCTCTGCCTCACTTCTGATTCCAGCAATGTCTGCGTCCAGCAATTTCACACTGACTCTGATCTGCTTTGCACCAACATCACCTCTTCCCAACTGCGCTGTGAATCTCTTGCTTCATGCTTGGGCTTCTGATGCAATTGGTGTGGGACCCTCATTGGTATCTCATTGTGGTTTTGATTTGCATTTCTCTAATGGTCAGTGATGTTGAGCTTTTTTTTTTCATGTTTCACGTTTTTAACTTTTTTTTCATATGAATGTCTTTTGAGAAGTGTCTGTTCATGTCCTTTGTCCACTTTTAAATGGGGTTGTTTGCTTTTTTTTTTCTGTAAATTTGTTGGAGTTCCTTGTAGATTCTGGATATTAGGTCTTTGTTGGATAGGTAGATTGCAAAAATTTTCTCCCACTCTGTAGGTTGCCTGTTCACTCTGATAGGTCCATTTTTTAATCAGGTTGTTTGTTTTCTTACTGTTGAGTTTTAAGAGTTCTTTGTATATTTTGGATAATAGTACTGTAGCAGATATGTCCTTTGCAAATATTTTCTTCTAGTCTGTGGCTTGTCTTTTTATTCTCTCGACAATGTCTTTTACAGAGCTAAAATTTAAAAATTTAATGAAGTCCACCTTATCTATTCTTTCAAGGATTATGCTTTTGCTGGTATATCTGAAAAGCCATTTCCAAACCCAAGGTAATATAGATTTTCTCCTGTTTTCTTGTAGAAGTTTTATAGTTCTGCATTTCACATTTAGATCTGTGATCGATTTTCAGTTGATTTTTTAAATAACGAGTGTAAAATTGTGTCTAGATTCAGGGTTTTTTTTTTTTTTTTTTTTTTTTTTTGGCATGTAGATGTTCATTTGTTCCAGCACCATTTGTTGAAAAGGCTATCTTTCCTCCATTGTATTGCCTTTGCTCCTTTGTTAAAGATCAGTTGACAATATTTATGTCAGTCTATTTCTGGGCTCTTTATTTTGTTAATCTGTTTTTCTTTCATCAGTATCATCTTGTCTTGATTACTGTAGCTTTATAGTATATCTTGACATTTAGAAGTTTCTGATCTCCAACTTTGTTCTTCTCCTTCTAGCCTTATATTTGAATATCGTTTCTCTTCTCATATCCTAGAAATTCTGTTAGACATATGTTGGGGTTTCTTGAATGTTTCTACCTCTCTTTCACATTCTATATTACCTCTGGGAATGTTTTTTTTGGGTGAATTTATCAGAAATAATTCTCTATTCAATTATCTTGTGTCTGGAGTTTATCCCATATATGTGTGACTTTGAAATGGACTCAGAGAAGCCTATCGAGGTCATTTCCCAGATAAAACAAAAAATTAATTAAGCAATTTCACTACCCATCACCAAAAAATTCTCAAATTTAGGTTGAATTATCTACCAGTAAGAAGTAGATGCAACCAGCATTTAAATTATATTTTCCTTTTGTCCCACAATTGTCCAAGATTTTGCAGTTTAAAATCTTGCTAGCATATATATAAACATTAGTCTTCTAATTTTACTTGGCCCTTAGAGAAAATTTTTAATCCCATATGAAGTTTTTTATCTTAGGAAAATTTTATTCATTTATTTATTTTGCTATTGCTGTTATTGTGCTATTATTCCTGAAGATCTGTAATTACAGAAGTGGAAAATATAAGATGAATACCTAATTTCTCACCTCACTTTGACATTTTACTTTGACTCATTACTGCTGCATTCAGGGAGAACTTATCAAGTGTGTCTTCTATATCACTGATTCTATTATCTTCAGCATGAATGATAGTCTTTTCTCCTAATGTAGATTCAAATTACTCTACTGCATTTTAAGTTTTTCTCTCAATTCTTTTTCTCATTTCACTTGATGTATTTCTCATAACTTTCTGTTCCCATTCCTTGGGGACCATATTTTCATGCATTTCAGCGGAGATGACAAGCATTTTTTTCTAAAATACTTTTCTAAGTTTTGTAGAAAGTAATTTTTAGGAAGTTTATTTCTCTTAGGCTTATAATGATATGTCTTTTCTGTGTATGCTTCTCAGTGGCTAGACGGAAGAAAACCAATATGAGAACTTTCTTGACTAAAGATGCATTTAAATGTGTTGGGTGTATTATACTGAGCCTCACTCAAATCCGCATGTCAGATCTACAGCTGGAAGTGAAGCAACCTTCATAGCTCCCTATCCAATTGTTAGTGTTTCAAAATTTTGTCTTTACCTCAGTTCAGTAGTGATAGGAAATGTCTCATTCTACCTTCACTGCATGGTTCTGGGCCTTTTTATATTCAGGGAAATATCACTTCTATCAAAACACTGTAGGCAAGAGAGGTGAAAAACCCAGCTGGTGGAAAATGCTGAGATTACAGTTGTGTAATTGGGTTCCAACACTTCCATTTCCTGTCCTATCGTTTTCTTGGAGTTACAGCTTTTGAATATTTGTGGAAAGAGATACTGATGAGAGGGCCAAGAGGGACATAGTACTGATAGGTAATGCTTTTTAAGGCAAAGAGCTGACTGATTAATAATCTTGTATATATACCTTTTATCTCTACCCTAGGGGCAGACTGTGGGGGAGGGTTGAGGCATATATCTACTTCTATGCTGGCAGATTTTGTCTCTAAGTAGACTTTGTGCCTTTATAGGTTTTTTTTATTGTTGTTGTTTGTTTGTTTTTTTACTGGGAAATTGAGAAGAACTACCTCAGGGACTGCCAGAAATCATCTTTAGTTTCTTATTACCATTCAAAAAAACTGCTTGTTCTTTATTCTTTTCACTCACCCCTACAGAACACTTCCATCATTGTTCAAGTTAATCTCTTCGAAGTACGATTCTGATCACCTCTTTTTCAAAGCCTCCAGAGATATTTAGGCACCAGGTAAACTTCTTATTCTTGTATTCAATGTCTTGTATAACAGTCTTGTATAAGGGAATCTCTTTGGAGTACTTCTATATTGGAACTTTTGCTCTGGTCCAGTTTGCTTACAACTCACTGGAAAGTGTTAGGTGTTTTTATAGCACTAATACCATTTGACACACCTAGAATGGCTTCTACTTTTTTACCTTATAAATTCTTGTTAATTCTTCAATACCCATTCAAATATCATCTTACTGTAAAACATTATCTGAGCTTTATACAACTGGATGCTGCTGCCCCCTTCATATTTCTTTTATTGTGTTTATACCAACAGTTAACCTTTGGACAGAAACTGAATCTTCAACTTTATCAGTATGTCTGCATTATATCTACTTAGCAATGCCTCATATCCTATAGGCTTTCACAGATGCTATTCAGTGCCTTTGTTTTTTAGTTCCAACTACACATTGAACAGTTCTAGAGTCTTTGCTTGTCATTGTAACTTTGAGCTTGTCATAGCCCAAAGGTCTGCATTCTGTGACTAAGTGTCTTCTTTCCCCTTAAATGCATTCCCCATTTATGAATATATAAAAATTAATTTGCCTCTCTTTTTTTTAAGATAGGTAAAATACATTGCCCAACTATTTATTTTTTTTCAGTAAGTAGAAAACTTCCTAATTCTGCAGATCATGGAAAGGCCAAAAAAGTCATAATCAATAACCCTGGATCTCTATGCAAATGGTCAATGCCAGTCTGGGTTTACAGCTAACATACAGATAAAATTGCCTCAGTATACACAACTATGAACAAAAAGAACAATTATATAAGGAACTTGGACATAAAACTAAGGATCCTAAAGTTCTCAATGAGAAAGATAAAGTAAACGACACATGGTTAACTCTCAAAATTAGCATTTTGTTTTTGCTATCAAATACTTCAAGTAG
The DNA here is from genome assembly GCF_000001405.40 of Homo sapiens. Lineage (NCBI taxonomy): Eukaryota > Metazoa > Chordata > Mammalia > Primates > Hominidae > Homo > Homo sapiens. The sequence goes on from NC_000015.10 coordinate 46,027,377, forward strand.
AACTCATTACTTTATAAAAAGTTAAGAACTTGCTGGATTAGGGATTAGAGCTTGTCTGATTCAGTCCCACAAAAGTGGCCCACAAGTATTTCCCAGAGAATGCCATTATTCACTTGAACCAACAACAGAAATTGCTTTTGCTAAGCAAGGTAAGAGTGAATCAAGTTTAGAAAGATACTGTCTCACTGTCTCAATGAGGAGATTGGTCTGAAAAGTCTAGAGAATGTACGAGACCAGTCTGAAGGTTAACAGACTAGTCTGAAGATAGCTGGAATAGACCAAATGCTTAGAGCCTGAATCAAATTAAAGGCAATGAGAATGGAGATTAAAAAATAGGTTGGGAAGATAAAATGAGTTAAAGCAATTATTTACTTCTCTGTCCCACATACTTATTTGCCATTTTTTAATTTTAATTTTTAAATTTTGTGGTTACAATTTAGGTGTATATATTTAAGGGGTACATGAGATACTTTGATATAGGCATGCAATATGTAATCCTTTGTGTTACAAACAATCCAGTTACACGCTTTTAGTAACTTTAATATGTGCTATTAAATTATTGATTGTAGTAGCCCTGTTGTGCTATTGAATACTAGTTCTTATTTATTCTTTGTAACTACTGTTTGTGCCCATTAACCATCCTTGCCATTTTTAAAGGTGATTATCTGCAAGGATTTCAGTTTAGGAAATTGAGGCCAAGATGTCAACTGAAAGCAGCAGGACAAGAAAAGCAGGCTGCTTTCCTGGCTTGTTCACGCAGGAGAACGTGAGATGCCCTTCTCCCCACTTGAAACTGAGAATCACTAGGAAGAAGAGCCAAAGAGAAGAAAGGTTGAGAGCCTCATATTAGGTAGGTTTGGGCTAGGAAATGAGAAATTCAGGCCTGATAGTGTAGGAGGTATCTGAATCTCAGTATGGTATACATATTAAATACTTTTTTACATTTAAAAATTTTGTTGTGTTTTGATAAATTTTATGTATATATAATATATAATTTAATATATATTATAGTTTAATATTATATATTATGGTTTAATATATATTATAGTTTAATATATAATTATAATTTAATATATATAATATATATTATAATTTATAACATACCACATATCACATATATGTCATGATATATATATGACATATATAGATGAATATATGTAATACATACATATATATGTAATATATGTAATATATATGATATGTGTTATACATCATGATATATAATATATGATATATGACTTACGCTATATATGATTATATGATATATAGTATGTTAAATTATAGATGATATATAATTATACATGACATATAACATATATAACATATGTAATATAAAACATATAACATGTAACATGTAATATATAATAATTTGTATATTATGTAATATATAATAAATTGTATATTATTTAAATTATAAATTATAAATAAAATATGTGTTAACATACTAATATATTAAAATATAATAATATATTAATATATATTAAAATATAATAATATATATTAAAATATAATTATTAATATATATTAAAATATAATTAATATATATTAAAATATAATTAATATATATTAAAATATAATTTATAAATTATTTAAATGTAAATTTAAATAAATTATTTAAAATAATTAATATATGTTAAATTATATATTATATATACATAATATTATCTATACATAAAATTTATCAACTACAACAAAATTTTAAAAGTAAAAAAGTTTTTAATATGTATACCATACTGAGATTCAAATACCTCCTACACTATAATACATATATAATATATTATGATATATAATATACTAATACCTATACTATAATACTTAGATATTATATATTATAATACAGAATATACTATAATATATACTACAATACATATATAAAATGTATAAATATATATAAATTTATATAACTATTTATATAATTTGTCAAATACAATGAAATTATACATATTTATGGGGTATAAAGTAATTATTTTATCCATACACATACATACACAAACACAATGAGGAATGATTAAATCAAGCCAAGTAACTCAACTATCGCCCCAAATACTTAACTTATTTTGTGTGTAGGAACATTTGAAACTTATTTCAATAGCAATTTTGAAATCTACCCTATTAACTATAGTCACCATGCTATGCAATGTATTACCAATAACCTGTTCTTCCTGTCTAACTGAAACTTTGCACTCTTTAACCAACATCTTCCCATTTCCTCCAGACGGCTTCTGGTAGAAGCTGAGGATAGAATGGTGGCTATGAGGTTGATTTCTATAGATTCCACACGTAAGTGAGATCATGTAGTATTTGTCCTTCTGTGTCTGGCTTATTTTACTTAGCCTAATGATCTCTAGGTTCATACTGCTGTCACAAATGACTGAATTTCCTTCTTTACTGGGGCCTTTTCATTCAGAATATATATATTTTCCATTGTGTATATATACTATATTTTCTTTATCCATTTATCCACTGATGGACACTTAGGTTGATTCCATATCATGGCTATTGTGATAAAGCTGCAATGAAGATGGGATTACAAGTATCTGTTAAACATACTGATTTCAAATCATTTGAGTATATGCCCACAAGTGGGATTGCTAGATTGTATGGTAGTTCTATTTTTAAGTTTTCGAGGCACCTCCATGCTGTTTTCCGTAATAGCTGCATGAGTGTACATTCCTACTGAAAGTGTACAAAAGTTCCCTTTTCTTTATATCCTCACCAACATTTTTATATTTTTGATAATAGCCATTTATAACAGGTGTGAAGTTGTATCTCATTGTGGTTTTAATTTGCATTTCCCTAATGATTAGAGATGCTGAGTATTTTTTCATATACCCTTGAAAAAACTCTATTTACATTCTTTGTCCTTTGCCTTTTTTTTTTTCCCCCAACAATTTCAACTTTTATTTCAGTTTCAGGGGACCCATATGCAGGTTTGTCACCTGGGTTATAGTGCGTGATTGCTGAGGTTTGGGGTATGATTGATCCTGCCACCCAGGTACTGAGCATAGTACCCAATTGTTAGTTTTTGTACCCTTACTGATCCCGTCTCCCCCAAGTAGTCCCCAGTGTCTATTATTGCCATCTTTATGTCCACTAGAATCCATTGTTTAGCTCCCACTTATAAGTGAAAAAATGTAGTATTTGGTTTTCTGTTCCTGTGATAATTTTCTTAAGATTATGGCCTCCAGCCACATCTATATTGCTGCAAAGAACATAATCTCATTCTTTTTATGGCTGTGTAGTATTCCATGGTGTATATGTATCACATTTTCTTTATCCAATCTACTGTTGATGCCTTTGCCCATTTTTTAAATTGGATTATTTGCTCTCTTGTGATTGAGTTGTTTGAGTACCTTATATATTTTGAATACTAACCTCTTATCATACATATGGCTTATAAATATCTTCTCCCAATTTGTAGGTTGTCTCTTCATTCTGTTAACTCTGTTTTTTGTTGTGCAGAAGATTTTTAGTTTGGTGTAATACCATTTATATATTTTTGCTTTCATTGACTGTGCTTTTGCAGTCAAATAGGTCAAATAAATATCTTTGCCAAGACTGATGTCAAGATTGTTTTCCCTTATGTTGTTTTCTTGTAGTTTGACAGTTTTGGATATAATGTTTAAATCTATAACCCATTTTAAGTTGATTTTTGAATACAGTGTGAAATAAGGTTCCAATTTCATTGCTCTGCATATAGATATCCAGTTTTCTCAGCACCCTTATTGAAGAGACTGTCCTTTTCCCATTGTGTTCTTGGTACTTTTGTTGCAAATCAGTTGATTGTAAGTAAGTGGGTTTATTTCTGGGCTCTCTGTTCTGTTCTATTGGTTGATATGTCTATTTTTATGCCAATATTATGCTGTTTTAATTACTATGGCTTTGTAATATAGTTTGAAATCAGATAGTTTAATGCCTACTGCTTTGTTTCTGCTCAAGATTGTTTTCGCTATTTGGGATCTTTTGTGGTTCCATACAAATTTTAGGATTTTTTTTTTTTCTATTTCTTTGAAAAATGTCACTGGGATTTTGCTAGAAATTGCATTGAATCTGTAGATTGCTTTGGGTGGTAGGGACATTTTGACAACATTCTTTTAATCCGTGAAGATGGAATACCTTTCCATTTACAATCATGCACTATATAATGATGTTTTGGTCAATGATGGACCATATATATGACAGTGGTCCCATAGATTATAATGGAGCTGAAAAATTTTTATTGCCTAGTGACATGTAGCCATGGTAACACCGTAGTGCAATGCATTCATTACTCAGGTGTTTGTGTGATGCTGGTTTTAGCAAACCTAGTCTAAGGTTAATTTGGTATTGCAGAAAGAAAAATATTTTCTCTAAATTTAGTAAAACCGAAGTGTAGAGTGTTTAGAAAGTCTACAGTAGTGTACAGTAATGTCCTAGGTCTTTACAGTCACTTGCCACTTACTCATTGACTCGTTGACTCACCCAGAACAATTTCCAGTTCTGTGACCTCGATTTATGCCCTATACAGGTATACATTTTTTTAAATCTTTTATACCATGTTTTTACTGTACTTTTTTATGTTTAGAAACACAATTGCTTACCATTGGTGTTATAATTGCTTACAGTATAGCATTATGCTATCCAGATTTGTAGCCCAGGAGTAATAGGCTATATCATATAGCCTTAGAATGTAGTAGGTTATACCATCTAGGTTTGTCTAAGTACATTATATGATGTCTGCACAATGACAAAATTACTTAATGCATTTCTCAGAATGTATCTTTGTTGTTAAGCAACTCATGGCTGTATTTGTTTTTTTCTTCAATTTTCTTCATCAATGTTTCACAGTTGTTATATAGTTCTTTCACCTCCTTGATTAAATTTATTCTTTAAGTATTTTAATTTTTTGGTGGCTATTGTTAATGGGATTGTTTTCTTGATTTTTTTTTCAGATAGCTTGCTAATGTATGGAAACTACTGATTTTTGTGTATTGATTTTGTATCCTGCAACATTGCTGTATTCATTTATTAGTTCTAACAGTGTTTTTAGTGGAGTCTTTATAGAGTTTTCTATGTATAAGATATAAGTTCATGTCATTGGCAACCGAAGGACTTGTTCCTTTCTGATTTGGATGCCTTTTTTTTCTTTTGCCTAATTGCTCTGACACAGACTTCCGTACTATGTAAAATAGGAATGGCAAAAGTGGGTATCCTTGTCTTGTTCCTGACCTTAGAGGAAATGCTTTCAATCTTATGCCATTAAGTATAATATTGTTTGTGTTTAGAACAGTATACATCTTGTGTATAGAAAAATTACTACCCCTAAATGCAGAACAAATTAACTTTGGGGCCAAAGAAGTTACATGATTTTGCTAGAAAGGAATGGTTATGGGTACCAAAATCCTTGTTGGTTTTGAGGCATGCTAATGAACTGTGAACATGACAAAATCGAATATGCACTCTAAATTGTATAGATGCCTTGGCAAAATGTGAAAGAAACATCAATGCAGGCTTGTTAGTGGTTTCAGAAAAAACTGATTATTCTGCAAACCTTCAAACCTAAGATTAATTTTTAAAATGTGGCAATCTGGAAGGTGATCTCTAAGCTCATTTTTTTTCCTCAAAAATTTTACTGTAAGATGAGTGAGCAGTGAGAGACATGGCCAGTCTATCTCAAGCCTTGGCTAGGAAAGCACCTCTACAGTTCCAAACCTGAGTGTATCTTCAGAGAGATGGGCCCAAATGTTGGGCCAACCAGCAGGGAAGGCTGTTCTGTGTGTTGGAAAAATCACGTGGTACCCCAAAATAAGATGTAGTTTTACTGTTTTACTAAGCCCAAGGAAATAATCATGGTAAGGACCCTATACAGGTGTACCATTTTTTAAAATCTTTTAAACCTGTGGCCAAGGGAGGATGCGACCTTAAATACTGAGTATTTAAGGGCCACCATTATCAACTTCTACTTTTCCATATCAGTTTATGAGCATTTTTTCAGCATCTGAGTATTATGAAACAGAATAGCTCAGAATTTTGGCCTGATTAATCTAAAGCATTTAGTTACACTTAAAAAAGTTTGAAAATATCTGCAAGGAGTACTGAGGTTTTCCACTACATATCAAAGGCCTGAAAAGATTTCATCTTATGAAATAGCCCCTAGCATAAATAAGGAGAGATGTAAGCGAACAATAGATCAAAGAGATACAGGCAGATCCATTTTGAAGAAATGGTAGATGAGGCTACATATAATAAGGTTTTAGCTGAAGCTTCTATTGATAAATTAAGGTGAGACCCCCGACTGATTTCCTAACCAAAGCAAAACAAGAAAGTAGAATGATGCTGCTCAGGAGAGATACTGAGAAAGGAACAGAGAAAATGGCAATTTCCAAGATACTCACTAGTGTTCTGGTGACTGGGGTAGATGAGAATTTGACTTAAAGCCATGGAAGCCCTGACAATACACAGAGGAATTCAGGAAGAGCTAGCAGAAATGCTTAAGTTCAGGCTTCTGAGAATAATATTGATAGGGGGAGACAAAGTAGATTCCCTAAGTTTGTTACTTCTTATAGGAAGATATAGTTCCCTAGGTTTGTTAATTCTTATGAGAAGGGTAACATCTGTAGTAAAGGAGAAACTCTAGGATTTGAAGGGTTAAAAGCCACTTGGTACAAGTTAGAATATCTAGAGTCCAGGGATATCAGTTGTTTTCGGCCTTTTCAAGGGCAGGTTCAGGTGTGGTGGCTCCAGGGTTAATTTCATGAAGATAGGTGGGCCCTGGATCCCTGGACAAACAACCAAGGACAGAAGAAACTGGGTGATCAATGGAACTGAATAATAAATAACAATTGTCTATAACTTAAGCCACTTTTCAAATGTGTTATTTGGGTCCTTTGGACAGTAGAGGCAGGGAAGAAATTATAGGAGTGAAAAAGATGTATTGGGCAGTCATGCCCATGAAAGGAAAAGGGAAGAGATAGGATTGGGCAGAGGAAGCCCAATTCTATCATCCATTTATCTTGGACCAAGATGAATCTCTGACAGTCTTTGCAAGCCCAATGGTGAGCTTCTGAGCAAAGTTTGCCCATTAGAAGAGTCCTCTGTTGGATAGAGGAGGTTCTTTTACCATAGTCTTGTTCAGTCACTGGCCGGGGCTAACACCTGAGAAGAGCCTGATCTCAGCTCAAAATCTGAGGTGGATGTGAAGGAGGCTGTCAGCTAGCCACACTTCTCACATCTGGCTAGAGTAAGTTCCTGAAGAAAAATATGCACAGCACAGCCACATTTCACATTTATGCCATAGAGTTACTTCTCCATGCCTATTTGGAGTAACTTTTCCAGGGTTCCAGTGAACCACTCACACTGAGAAAAAAGGTTGGTGGACCGTAGTATAACTCCTGTTACTGCAGTTTGGTCTCAGGATTGCAACTGATACTCATTTTCTCACTCCTCAACCAGCCATCCTAAATTTTCTTCAACTTTAGTTATCTCTGCTGGGATTGGTGATTGTTATGTTTGGATATGATTTGTTTATCCCTACCAAGTCTCATGTTGAAATTTAATCCTCAATGTGATGGTGTTGGGAGGTATTTGGGTCATGGGAACAGATTCCTCATGAATGGCGTGGAGCCCTTCTGGCAGTAGTGAGTGAGTTCTTGTTCTGGCTAGATGGATTAATTCCCTAGGAATGGACTAGTTCCCAAGAGAGAGAGTTGTTATAAAACCAGGTTGCCCTTTGAGTCTGGTCCCTCTTCATGTAGTGCCTATTTTCCCTTTGACCGTCTCAGCACAAAAGTTCTCACCAGAAGCCAAGGAGGTGCTGATACCATGCTGCTTATATAGCCTGCAGAATTGTGAGCTAAATAAACCTTTTTCTTTATAAACTTCCCAGCCTCAGGTATTATTTATAGTAACATGAAACAGACTGAGACAGTGATTTACCTGCTGGTGTGACCAAACTTTCATTCCTGAGGGCCCTGAGCCCTTGGTAACCAATATTATTCTCAGGTTAGGACTGCTGTATTCATTCCTTCACTGTCATAATTAGGCAAGTGCTATGGACTAAATGTTTGTGTACTCAGTACCCCCTGCCCCAGTTCCATATGTTGAAGCCCTAACTCCTAATGTGGTGGTATTTGGAGGTGAGGACTTTGAAGGTAATTAGGTTTATATGAGGTCACAAAAGTGCAGTCTTCATAATAGAATTAGTGCCTTTGCGAGAAGAGAAATCACAATGTTTTGTTTCTCTCTCTCTGCCATATGAGGACACAGCAAGAAGGTGGCTGCTTGAAATCCAGGAAAAGGGCCCTCACCGGGCATCTAATCTGTTGGCTCCTTGATGTTGGACTTCTCAGCCTCCAGAACTGTGAACAATACAAGTCTGTTGTTTAAGTCATCCAGTCTACAGTAGTTTGTTATAGCAGCTTGAGCTAAGTCAGCAAGGGAATACCAAGAGGTGCCCAAGTGGATTGCCTGGGTTCTGTACATATTCCTCCCTACATTTTCATTCTTCTCTATTGCTTTTGAGTAATGTGATCATGCCTCATCCTGCTTCTTAGGATCAATTGCTACCAAGATGGTGACTCCTCTTGTGTGCTCATTCATGGGCACAAAACGTTCAAAGTTCTCAGGAGTCAGCTATATCTTGTAGTGCAATAAGATTCTTTCTGTGTCCCCCAGCAAGACTGTATCCTTTTTGGTGAGCAGAAAATCTAATTCTGCAGAGCTGAGAATTATGGAGGTAAAAACACAAAGTCCTCCAGTGGTTCAATAGTCATTGCAAATTAAGTCATTCCTGCTTTCACCTTTTGGTTCCAGGGCCCATATACTCTTTCTGTTTGGGACACAGTGCCAAAAACAGGCATTCAATCCTCTCAGAGTATTTGTTCAGAGCTTGTGCTTCAGCTGTACCTTCAGCAAACCATTCCAATATTTTTTGAGGCCAGCAGATGTGTGGTACAGGATGTGATATAATCAATAGATCCTGTGAACATGGGCCCCCTCACACACTTCCCCTGCTGTGAAGTAAGCTCATTGGCCAGATGCTATGCTCTATGGAATTTCATTCCTTTGGATCAGGTACTTTGTAAATCACCGGAGCTCCTGCTGGCTGGGGCTCCATAGGTTGGAAGGGCAAATCCACCTGGAATAAGTCTATTCATGTGAGAGCAATTCAATAGTATTTTCAGGATAGCAGTGGCCTACTTTAGTGAACTCATTACCAAGTGGTCAATTGTTTTCCTCAGGGAATGGTGCCATGCTGGGTCTCAGCTTTGTTTTCTGTTACTGGCATGTGGAACATCAGAGCTGGCAGATGCAGGATCAACTCTGGTAAAGACATCTGTGCTAATGGGTCCAAACATAAATTCTTTCATTGCTACCATGGTCATTTCATTCATGTTTCTATCATGCCAGCACTGGGTGGCTGCTGACAAAAGTGATATCAACAGGCTGAGTCATTTTGCCTATTTAATTGTGTAGTGCCTCTTCCAAGGTGAATCCTTTTTGGCGGGCATAAATGTTATATGAAAATTTATAACTTTGTGCACATTACTATGTCTCTCCATGCCTCTTTTCTAGACTTGCTTTTCTTTGATCTTCCCATTATTTTTCCTACATATATTATAACCTTGGACCACTTTACCTTCCACACAAAATAGATGCCAGGTGTACTTTTAAAGCATTGCCCACTAGGATTTTCTATCTGTACTGTCTTGCCAGGCCATTCCTGAGTGAAACAGCTGTCTATTTTTTGTCTTGCAAGCATGTACTGAGCTAACCCAAACATAAATCAAGTTCATAATTTTCCCTCCTTATTTATCTTGTCAAAGTGCAGTAGGGGTACAGTAGTGGTGAGTGATGTGGGAATCTGGGCTATCTGCTCATGGTGTTGCATGTGCTCTTGGTCCTGCTCATGTTTGGTCTTGAATGTGTCATTTCTATATTACTATGTATTCCTCTGAGCTGACCAAGTTTTATGACTTGGAGGATGCCAGAAGTATACAGCTCTCTATGGGCATTTCTGGATGTATGGGCACTTGGTATCCCACAGTCAAGCACTCCATTTATACTGAAGCTCAGAAACGTGCCAACAGCTGTTTATCAAACAGTAGGTAATTCTTTGCTGCAGATGGCATATCTTTGTTTTAGAAACACTGGATCTTCTGTTGTGAATGTATATGGTTGTCTCTTCATGTGAAGGCAAACTGTGTCTGACATTCTTGTTTGGGATATAAAATAACTCACTTCCAAATCAGTAGTTGAATATCACATAAATGCTCTAGCAATGACACCATGACCAGCATGAAAATTATGATTGGGACTATCACTTGGTTGAACTTGTCATTTTATAGATTTATAGTCATTTATAGTCACTTTATAGATTGCATCTGGTGTCTGCAGGGGGCAGCTGAGGAATATAAGGAAACTATGAAAGAAACCACCACCTTTGCATCCTTTGTATGTTTAATTCTGATAGTTTTTACCACACCTACCACACCATGAAATATGACACTGTTCTTGATTTACTACCTTGATTAGGGAGTTGGGAGGGGATAGCTTCAGAAACTTCCAGTTGGCTTATGGGGGAACAGCTATAATAGTGGAAAAGCAAAAGACCAAGTGAGGGTTACTTCAACTGCTAGGTATACAATTCCAATTACACAGTAGGTAACTAGAGAAATGACCACTGAATGTGTTCAGGGATCCAGTGGATTCACCATAAGCTGAACTTTTGTCAGGACTTCACTTAATACCTATACTCTTTATTCCCTCATTCTAAATGGGAGCTATGACAGTGCTTCAGGTCTCTGAGTATCAAGGACTTTCTGAGAGCCATAGGACACACAAGGTCTGAGTTGTCAGAATGTTCTCTTTTCCCCATTGTGCAGTTATCTGAGTAAATAGCATTGTTCAATTTTGGAAAAGACCAGGGGAATAATTTCAGTATACATTTGCTATAATGTTTCAGGGTCCTTTGTCCTTGTGACCTGGCTGCCATTTTAGTTATCAGGTTATAGGTTTGTTTGAAAACTGGCTTAAGTCTGGAAACTGGGCAAGGGATTTTAATTTTTTATTTGGTGATAAGTTTTAGCTTTCTAGTCATTCATTCGTTTGGTATTTTATTTTCACTCATTATTTTCACTGGGTTCCCACCCATTTTCCCCATAGGGAGCCATGTTCTACTAACTATCTCCACCACTCTGTGGGTCAAGCCTCGTTGGCTGTCACCATGAGTGTATTAGTTCATTCTTACACTGCTAATAAAGACATACCAGAGACTGAGTAATTTATAAAGGAAAGAGGTTAACTGGCTCACAGTTCAGCATGGCTGGGAAGGCCTCAGGAAACTTACAATCATGATGGAAGGAGAAGCAAACATGTCCTTCTTCACATGGCAACAGCAAGGAGAACTGCCAAGCAAAAGGGGGAGAACCCCTTATAAAACCATCAGATCACGTGAGAATTCACTGACTATTACGCGAGCAGCAGCATGTGGGTAACTGACCCCATGATTCAATTACCTCCCATAATGTGGGGATTATGGGAATTACAATTCAAGATGAATTTGGGTTGGGGACACTGCCAAAAAAATACCAGTGAGGTTACTTGCTGTTGTGGTAATTGAGATGTCCTGGCTTCTGGGAGTTAAGTGTGCTGCCAGCTAGCCTGTATTGCTTAGGGGCTCCTTCCTCACATTATTGTCAATAAGCCAAGCTCTACAACAACCTCTCCTACTGTCAACCCTGGCTGAACTTTTAAGTGATGCTGCTGTCTCCTTACTAGCACATTTCTGATGACCTTGGTGAATAGTGTGCCTTTTCAGTCTTCTCATGCAATTTAATTTTCTAGTGGGTCTTCTGGTCTCATATAATGGGTTAATTCCAGCAATGTCCACTTTCCTGAGACTTCTACCTATTTTTTTAAAATATTTTTTATTGTTGTAAGAACACTTAAGATTTACCCTCTTAACAAATGTTTAAGTCCACATTATAGTAATGTTAACTATAAAAACAGTATTGTATACCACATCTGAGCCGTCACCTTCCTTTCTCTACAATCTGCATGGAAACTCAGACATCACAAGTTCACCCAGCTTGGATGATGATTTTCTCCAGTCTTCTAGGGGTCAGTCTAACAGTGACTTACACTACCCCCTAGAGTACTTGTCACCGTCAAAATCTCATATCCTGAGATGGTGCTCCCTGAGTCAATAAACTCTAACTTAGTCTTACGTTCCAGGCCTTTTGATCACACATTCTCAAAGTCCATGTCCACTTTGAACTCCTTGGATACCATCAGGATGTTTTTGCAGCTTCTTTGGAATATCAATCCTTTCTTCTGCACATCTCCAGATGTGTTAACATACCGTAAGTTATTGATCTGGCAGCTAGAAAGGGAGGTGATGGTAAAACCTTAGAGGGGTGTCTGTTGCCTTCTAAGTAATGGGTCTCTAAAGTGTCTTCACACAGGAAGGGATTGCTAACTCTTAATGGGAGGAGAGGCAGCTCTGCAAGTTCTAAGGATTCAGAGCAGTCTGGTTTGTCAAAAGCTTTGTGTACAACCACCCAGCTGTCCTCATCGTTCGTGTCTCAGGCTTTCGCAACAGACCTGCTTCTTGGCTAAACATTCAGTTTTGAAGTTGTATGACTTTTATTATTGAATCCTGAGTTTGATCTTTTTCTTTTGCTCTTCCATTGTATCAGATAAGCCATCTTTTAAATCTAAAAAAGATTCCTTCTGGTCTTCACAACTTGTTTTTCAATGTTCTCATTTTTTTAAATTATACCTTTTAAGGGTATCAATGCAACTCAATAACAAGCTAATTCCTTTTTTTTTTTTTTTTTTTTTTTTTGCGCAACAGTCTTGCTGTCACCCAAGCTGGTGTTCAGTGGTTTGATCTCAGCTCACTGCAACCCCTACATCCCAGGATCAAGCAGTTCTCCTGCCTCAGCCTCCAGAGTAGCTGGGATTACAGGCATGTGCCACCATGTCCGGCTAATTTTTGTATTCTTAGTAGAGACAGGGTTTCACCATGTTGGCCAGGCTGGCTGGTCTTGAACTCCTGACCTCAAGTGATTCACCCTCCTTGGCCTTCCAAAGTGCTGGGATTACAGGCATGAGCCACCATGCCTGGTCAAGTAATGAGCTAATTCTATTGTACTAGTATGAATTGCTTTATTTCCATTTTTAAATGCTTAAATCATTGAAACTGCCAGGACATTCTTTTCCACCAAAACATTCTCTCAAGTTATTACCAGTGAACATGTTAGCATTTGTGCTATTATCTGGTTCCAGGGACTATCTGTGCTCCACAGGGTCCTTGTTGCCATCCAGTCAGTAGGTGATCCAGTCTCCAAATCCCATTTTATAGCCTGTCTGGTTTCTCAGATCACATCTGATACTATTGTGTAAGTTGGGTCCCCATGGAGCACACACTATGATGGTGTTAAGGAATGCAAAAGGTTTACTGAGGAGTAATATCTGTGAAAGGAAAAATGAAAGAGGATTGACAAAGGAGGTCAGACCATAATGCTTCTCAAGGTCTCTGCCAGCCAAGTAGGAAGTTTCAGAGTTTCAGAGAAAAACTTGTCCATTAGAGGTGAAATGATTAGACCATTTTTACCACAGTCTTACTCAGTTATTGGTTGGATCCATCCTGAAAAAATGATAGCTCAAAAATGTAAAGGAGTAAATAGCTGGAGGGTGTCAGCTAACTATACTCCTCATAGCTGGGTGAGAAATCTTTTCTTGAAGGAGTATCTGAGTTGTGCATCTCTATTCCTGCCACAACAACTCAGGATGCCATGCACTACCTTCAATTCTAGATACTGGATAGATTGTAGCTTGGATCTCGATTTTGGGAAAAGGGGAAAATGCAGTTGTTTTTGCATCTGGACCCAGTGTGCTGTCTATAGAAGTAGGCAAGCTCTATAAATGAGGACTTCATTTCTCCTATTCTGGAAAGGAGGCATGCAATATGGGATGAACTGTAGGAACCTATTTCAAAGCCAAGAGCAGCTGATCAGCATCTATTTTAAGAGATTATTGTCGAAACATATTTATAGAGTAGATTTTTTCCATTGAACCGTGGATGCCACCTAATTATAGGCTTTTGTTTTAGAAAATCTATCTCTGAAATGGAAACATTTGAGTATTGTTCCTAAAGACCTGAACTGTTGTGTACTATAATAAAACAGAAACCCCCAAATTTGTCTTTGATGTAGGGATAGATACATCTTGATACTCTGTTCTTCGGAGAACTGTTTTCTGTCTCTGTGAAGGCTAATAGCACTTTTCAAGAAGTGTAAAATCCTTCTCAGAGAAGAATTTTCACATTCAAGCTGTTGGTTAAGGGAAGCATCTAAGACCAAGAACGTGCAGGAACCACCCTTGGGCAAGATCTTCACGTTATTTGTGAGGAAGGACCTTAATGGGTCTGAATGGGAAATGCTGAGTCTGTGTTGAACCAACTTTGTGGAATTAAATGAAAGAAAAATCAGAGAATCACTTCATACACTATTCCCTTTTATCTCTCAGCTGCCACATGCCTATCTCATTTAGGGTTTAGGTTTTGCCCTCAAATCGTTTCCTTATCACAGTCACCATTAAGATCATCCTATCCCAGCAATGAAAGCAGAGGCCAGTACAAGTCAGAGAGGAGCAGTGGTAGGAGAATAGTCCCAGGGAATCTAGTCACACATTATGAACAGTTAGGGATGGGGGCTAGAGTGTGAGAAGCACAGATTTGCTTAGTTGGCGAATTTTCTTCCAAGTCTCATTATAGGGACAAATAAGACAATTGGGTATAATTGACGTGGGTTTCATGTGCCTCCTCAGATTATCTTGGTGCTGCCATCTCTCAGAACCTTTCCCTCCGCCTCAGTTGCTGCTGAGTCTGACCCCGCTCAGGTGTGATTTCTCCCTGCATATTTTCCTAACAGATCCTGCCTCATGAGCAGCCTTCTGTGACCTGTCCTGAAGTAGCAGCCAACACAATGATTCGCCTGTTCCCGGGCCTCATTTCACTTTCTTCTTTCCCTTGAGGTCATGGACTTGTGTTTCCCAAACACATTCTCAGGTTCTGTTTTTGTGGGAAACCCTGGCTAAGTCAGTAAAATTGATCCAAAGTAGGTTTTATCAGTCAGATATTGAAGCAGGACAATACACATATCCAAGCAGTTAGTGAGAATATTTTAGGTCATCAGTTGTGATGCTCAAATCATATCTCCCAGCTGAGAAGGCCCAAATGACCACATAATTTGAGGGTTGTTAAAGAGAGATAATCAATAGTAGGGGAAGGTAGGCATTGGAAATCTGTATTTGCTGGTACCTTGGACATTTTATCCCAATGTAGTGGGATCTCCAAAGTACCAACCCCGTGGAATACTTTCAGCCTCACATATATGGATTGTATTCTGATTTTTGGTGGGGTGCCAGGTCGTGAAGTGTATGAACCAGACTAAAATCTTGGTCCAAATTCCCCACCTGTAGTAGCCAGCCTCCAAGATGGCCCTGGTGACCCTACCTTCTGGTGTTTACTCCCTTGTGTAGTTAGTAACCTTCCATATTGCACCAGGGTTTGTCTTTATGATAAACTAGATATGGCAAAAGTGATAGTATGTCACTTCCAAGATTAGGTTATACAATATACTGTGGTTCCATCTTTATTTCTCTCTCTTCCTTTCCTCTCCTGATACCCTTTCTTGTCCTGATTGCCTTTCTTAGGTCACTCACTTTGGGAAAGCCAACTACCATTTAGTGAGCAGCATTATGGAAAGGTCTAAACAGAACATTCTTGCTAACAGCCAAGTTAGTGAGCTTGGATGCAAATCCTTCTGTCTCAATCAAGCCTCCAAATCACTGCAGCTCCGGTGCAGCTTGACTGCAACCTCATAGAAAATCCAGAGCCAGAACGACCCCACAAAATGACTTCTGGATTTATGACCCTCAGAGATAACACAGTTTTATTGTCTTAAGCTGCTAAGTTTTGGAGAAATTTGTTATGCAGCAATAGATAATTAATACACTGCTTGACCCATCAAGCAGATGGCTCTACTCTCCCTTTATATTTTGAGATTATGCTTTTACCATTGCAAAGGCTTTCCTTTTGGAACCCATTCTACCAGCTATCCCTGTGCCAATAATTCCAGATAAATAAGCCAGCTGTAGGAAATTTTTTTCACAGTGGCTGAGGAGCTTCCAAACACCACTGAAGAAACAACTGTTAAATCCATTTGCAGTTTGCTTTTCTGTCAAGTACTTATAATCCATTCCTGACTCTGTGGCCCGTGGATACCAAATGAAGGCATCTTATTCATTATCTTCTCCTCTTC
This sequence comes from Homo sapiens, assembly GCF_000001405.40. NCBI lineage: Eukaryota > Metazoa > Chordata > Mammalia > Primates > Hominidae > Homo > Homo sapiens. Next base: position 46,043,684 of record NC_000015.10, read on the forward strand.
CCTGCAGAGTCTGAACAAAAGCTTGTGACAGGAATTGTAATTTCAGTGAAGTCACCATTCACCATTATTGATTATTAATCTTTCTCATTGATTTCTGGTAGCTTGAATAGCTCTGAGGAATGTGGGTCATTATAAAAAGAGACAAATTTGCCTCTGCCATAGATCCAGGTATAAACATTGAAGATGAGTATGATTCTGAAGTTACAGACTAAGTCTACATGAATTATGGCATTTGTTTTCTATTGCTGCACAACAAATTAACACAAACTTAGAGGCTTAAAGCAACACAAATTCATTATCCTGTAGTTTCTGTGGGTTAGGGGTCTACCATAGGTTATATGGGTCTCTGCTCAGGGTCTCATCAGGCTGAAATCAAGTTGTTGGCTAGGGCTGTGAGCTCATCTGAGGCCAGGATCACTGGTTGATGGCAGAATTCAATTCGCTGTGATTGAGACCTGAAGGCCTTCAGTTCTTAGAAGCTGTTTGTTCTTCCCTACCGTGTGGCCCTTTCTGCACCATGGAAATTTGCTTCTCCATTGCCAGGAAGAGAGTATCTCCTGCTTTGATTCTGATTCTTCTACGTCTGAACTTCAGAACTTTTTGTAAAAAGTTCTCACCTGATTCAAGACAAGTATACCCAAGATAGTTTCCCTTTCAATTAACTCAAAGTCCACTTATTAGGAACCTTAAATTACATCTGTTAAAATCCATTCACTTATGCCATATAATTTAATGTAACGATGGGAGTGAAATCTCCTCATATTCACAAGTTCTGCCCACACTCAAGGAGTAGGAATTATACAGGGTATGTACTCCAGGGGGTGGGAATCTTGGGGACTATCTTGGAATTCTGCTTATTACAGTGTTGCTGCCAACATCTTTAGGTAGGAGTAACTGTTGACCTGCTATGAGGTTCTGTCTCTGATTTTAATAATAGTTTATTCTTTAATAAAAGTAAATACATTTCTAAGGTGGCCACAGTATCCCATAAGGCCAGTATTGTGGAAATATGTCATATGTGGGGGAGTAGATAATGCTTATTACAAGAAATTTTGTGGTGTTGTGCAAGATGAAAGCTTATGGATTCAATGATGAGAGTATATTCATTTCTAAGGATTTCAAACATATTTAATATCATCCACTGGCTGAAAGCATTGATTACCCTACTCGGGCTTACTCTCATAAGAATTTTATGAAGGAATTACTCTTATAAGAATTTTCAGAAGGAACATCTAATAAAAATAACAATGATAAAAAGAACTCCTTAATTAATATCATCTCCAAATAGGATCCCACATTGTTTATGGAGTATGCATGAGCCTGACTAAAGGTACTTACGTAGCTTAAAGTCCAGACAGACATTCTGATGATGAAGCCTAGCCCATTTGTTATAGTAAAATGCAACATGAATGATGAATGTTATTGTTAATGTCACTATGAAAATAGAATTTATCACTTGCTATTTGAATTTTGTCATGGTGCTATATTGAATTATTGTAGATGTGAATAAATGAGATAAGATTCCCAAGGTGGTAATTCAGTTAATATGTATAGAGTGGCAATATGGGCTAGGATGGAAGAACCTCACTGGTGGTGGCTCAGATTAGCCATTAGCAGAAGAGAGGCAATTATTACCTCAAGTATGGGGAGTAATGCTTTATAAAATGGTGGAGTTCTAGGTGGCACTGAGTACAGGAATTATAGATTTCACATTTAGGTCATTCGAAATACTTGGGAATGCATGTGGACATGGGTGACCAATGGGAATCTGACATAACCTATACTACTTTATGATCCTTGGTTGCTCCTGACTGATGGTCACAGAATGTTGTCTATAATGGTTAATACCCAAATTAGTAACAGAAATTGCTTGATTTTAGACATGTTTGAGGTATAATAACACAGGATATTGTACTCAGGGATGCTTGTATTATCAGTTTGACTCTATTTTGATGTTTGACTACTAAACAATTTTTTTGGACCTGGTGTGTTGCTGCAACTGGATTCTTTTTTTTAAGTCATCTTTTATTTTAGATATGAGGGTGCATGTACAGGTTTGTTTTATGGGTATATTGCGTGATGCTGAGATTTGGGGTATGAATCTCATCACAGAGGTACTGAGCATAGTACCCAATAGGTAGTTTTTCCAGGCATGACCCCCTTCCTACTTTTTCTGTTCATAGTCTGCAGTGCCTATTATTCCCATGTTTATGTCCATGTGTGCTCAATGTTCATCTCCTCCTCATAATGAGAACATGCAGCATTTGGTTTTCTGTTCCTATGTTAATTCACTTAGGATAATGGCATCCAGCTGCATCCATGTTGCTGCAAAGGACATGATTTTGTCCTTTTTTAGGGCTGCATAGAATTCTATGGTGTGTATATACCACATTTTCTTTACCCAATTCACTCTACCACAGATGGTCACCTAGGGTGATTCCATGTCTTTGCTATTGTACGTACCATTGTGATGAACATACGAGTACGTGTGTCTTTGGTAGAATGATTTTTCTTTGGGTATATACCCAGTAATGGGGTTGCTCAGTCAAATGGGAGCTCTGTTTTAAGTTCTTTGAGAAATCTCCAAATTGCTTTCCACAATGGCTGGACTAATTTACATTTCCACCAACAGTGTAAGTGTTGCTTTTTCTCTGCAGCCTCACAAGCATCTGTTTGTTTTTTGATTTCTTAACAATTGCCATTTTGACTGGTGTGGGATGTTATCTCATTGTAGTTTTGATTTGCATTCCCCTAATAAGTGATATTGAGCGTTTTCATTGACACCCTAACATCACAATTAAAAAAACTAGAAAAGCAAGAGCAAACACATTCGAAAGCTGGCAGAAGGCAAGAAATAACTAAAATCAGAGCAGAACTGAAGGAAATAGAGACACAAAAAACCCTTCAAAAAATCAATGAATCCAGGAGCTGGTTTTTTGAATGGATCAACAAAATTGATAGACTGCTAGCAAGACTAATAAAGAAAAAAAGAGAGAAGAATCAAATAGATGCAATAAAAAATGATAAAGGGGATATCACCACTGATCCCACAGAAATACAAACTACCATCAGAGAATACTACAAACACCTCTACGCAAATAAACTAGAAAATCTAGAAGAAATGGATAAATTCCTCGACACATACACCCTCCCAAGACTAAACCAGGAAGAAGTTGAATCTCTGAATAGACCAATAACAGGAGCTGAAATTGTGGCAATAATCAATAGCTTACCAACCAAAAAGAGTCCAGGACCAGATGGATTCATAGCCAAATTCTACCAGAGGTACAAGGAGGAAGTGGTACCATTCCTTCTGAAACTATTCCAATCAATAGAAAAAGAGGGAATCCTCCCTAACTCATTATATGAGGCCAGCATCATCCTGATACCAAAGCCCGGCAGAGACACAACCAAAAAATACAATTTTAGACCAATATCCTTGATGAACATTGATGCAAAAATCCTCAATAAAATACTGGCAAACCAAATCCAGCAGCACATCAAAAAGCTTATCCATCATGATCAAGTGGGCTTCATCCCTGGGATGCAAGGCTGGTTCAATATATGCAAATCAATAAATGTAATCCAGCATATAAACAGAACCAAAGACAAAAACCACATGATTATCTCAATAGATACAGAAAAGATCTTTGACAAAATTCAACAACCCTTCATGCTAAAAACTCTCAATAAATTAGGTATTGATGGGACATATCTCAAAATAATAAGCTATCTATGACAAACCCCACACCCAATATCATACTGAATGGGCAAAAACTGGAAGCATTCCCTTTGAAAACTGGCACAAGACAGGGATGCCCTCTCTCACCACTCCTATTCAACATAGTGTTGGAAGTTCTGGCCAGGGCAATTAGGCAGGAGAAGGAAACAAAGGGTATTCAGTTAGGAAAAGAGGAAGTCAAACTGTCCCTGTTTGCAGATGACATGATTGTATATCTAGAAAACCCCATTGTCTCAGCCCAAAATCTCCTTAAGCTGATAAGCAACTTCAGCAAAGTCTCAGGATAAAAAATCAATGTACAAAAATCACAAGCATTCTTATACACCAACAACAGACAGAGAACCAAATCATGAGTGAACTCCCATTCACAATTGCTTCAAAGAGAATAAAATACCTAGGAATCCAACTTACAAGGGATGTGAAGGACCTCTTCAAGGAGAACTACAAACCACTGCTCAAGGAAATAAAAGAGGATACAAACAAATGGAAGAACATTCCATGCTCATGGGTAGGAAGAATCAATATCATGAAAATGGCCATACTGCCCAAGGTAATTTACAGATTCAATGCCATCCCCATCAAGCTACCAATGACTTTCTTCACAGAATTGGAAAAAACTACTTTAAAGTTCATATGGAACCAAAAAAGAGCCCGTATCGCCAAGTCAATCCTAAGCCAAAAGAACAAAGCTGGAGGCATCACACTACCTGACTTCAAACTATACTACAAGGCTACAGTAACCAAAACAGCATGGTACTGGTACCAAAACAGAGATAGAGATCAATGGAACAGAACAGAGCCCTCAGAAATAACACCGCATATCTACAACCATCTGATCTTTGACAAACCTGAGAAAAACAAACAATGGGAAAAGGATTCCGTATTTAATAAATGGTGCTGGGAAAACTGGCTAGCCATATGTAGAAAGCTGAAACTGGATCCCTTCCTTACATCTTATACAAAAATCAATTGAAGATGGATTAAAGACTTAAATGTTAGACCTAAAACCATAAAAACCCTAGAAGAAAACCTAGGCATTACCATTCAGGACATAGGCATGGGCAAGGACTTCATGTCTAAAACACCAAAAGCAATGGCAACAAAAGACAAAATTGACAAATGGGATCTAATTAAACTAAAGAGTTTCTGTAAAGCAAAAGAAACTACCATCAGAGTGAACAGGCAACCTACAGAATGGGAGAAAATTTTTGCAACCTACTCATCTGACAAAGGGCTAATATCCAGAATCTACAATGAACTCAAACAAATTTACAAGAAAAAAACAAACAACCCCATCAAAAAGTGGGCGAAGGACATGAACACACACTTCTCAAAAGAAGACATTTATGCAGCCAAAAAACACACGAAAAAATGCTCACCATCACTGGCCATCAGAGAAATGCAAATCAAAACCACAATGAGATACCATCTCACACCAGTTAGAATGCAATCATTAAAAAGTCAGGAAACAACAGGTGCTGGAGAGGATGTGGAGAAATAGGAACACTTTTACACTGCTGGTGGGACCGTAAACCAGTTCAACCATTGTGGAAGTCAGTGTGGTGATTCCTCAGGGATCTAGAACTAGAAATACCATTTGACCCAGCCATCCCATTACTGGGTATATACCCAAAGGACTATAAATCATACTACTATAAAGACACATGCACACATATGTTTATTGTGGCATTATTCACAATAGCAAAGACTTGGAACCAACCCAAATGTCCAACAATGATAGACTGGATTAAGAAAATGTGGCACATATACACCATGGAATACTATGCAGCCATAAAAAATGATGAGTTCATGTCCTTTGTAGGGACATGGATGAAATTGGAAACCATCATTCTCAGTAAACTATCGCAAGAACAAAAAACCAAACACCGCATATTCTCACTTATAAGTGGGAATTGAACAATGAGAACACATGGACACAGGAAGGGGAACATCACACACCGGGGCCTGTTGTGGGGTGGGGGGAGGGGGGAGGGATAGCATTGGGAGATATACCTAATGCTAGATGACGAGTTAGTGGGTGCAGCACACCAGCATGTCACATGTATACATATGTAACTAACCTGCACATTGTGCACATGTACCCTAAAACTTAAAGTATAAAAAAAAAAAAAAGTTTGTTGGCTGCTTGTATGTCTTTTGAGAAGTGCCTGTTCATGTCCTTTGCCTAATTTTTAATGGGATTGTTTGTTTTGTGCTTGTTTATTTAAGTTCCTTATAGATTCTATATATTAGACCTTTGTCGGACGCACAGGTTTGTGAATATTTTCTCCCATTTTGTAGGTTGTCTCTTTTCCCTCTTGACAGTTTCTTTTGCTGTGCAGAAGTTCATTAATTTAAACAGATCTCACTTGTCAATTTTTGTTTTCATTGCAATTGATTTTGAGGACTTAGCCAAAAATTCTTTGCTAAAGCCTGTGTCAAGAAGGGTATTTCCTAGGTTTTCTTCCAGCATATTTATAGTTTGAGATCTTACATTTAAATCTTTAATCCATCTTGAGCTAATTTTCGCATATGGAGAAAGGTAAGAATCCAGTTTCATTCTTCTGCATATGGATAGCCAGTTATCCCAGCATCATTTATTGAATAGAGAGTCCTTGCCCTATTGTTTGTTTTTGTCAGCCTTGTCAAAGATCAGAGGGTTTTAGGTGTCTGAGTTTATGTCTCAGTTCTCTATTCTGTTCCATTGGTCTGTGTGTCTGGGTTTGCAGAAAGTACCATGTTGCTTTGTTTACTGTAGCTTTATAGTCTGGTTTGAAGTTGGGTAGTGTGATGCCTTCAACTGTGTTCTTTTTGCTCAGGATTCGTTAGGCTATTTGGGCTGTTTTTTGGTTCCATATAAATTTTAAAATAGTTTTTTCTAATTGTGTGAAGAATGATATTGGTAGTTTCATAGAAATAGTGTTGAATCTGTACATTGCTTTGGTCAGGAGAGCCATTTTAACAATATTGATTCTTCCTATCCATAAGCATGGAATGCTTTTCCATTTATTTGTGTTGTCTGATTTCTTTCAGCAGTAATTTATAATTCTCCTGTAGAGATAGTTCACTTCCTTGGTTATATGAATTCCTAGGTATTTCACTTTTTTGTGGCTATTGCAAGTGGGATTGTGTCCTTGATTTGACTCTCAGCTTGGATGTTACTGGTGTATAGAAATGCTACTGCTTTTGTACATTGATTTTATATCCTGAAGTTGTATTAAATTTATCAGTTCCAGGAGCCTTTTGGCAGAATCTTTAAGAGCTTCTAGACATAGAATCATATTGTTAGTGAAGAGAGATAGTGTGACTTACTCTTTATCTATTTGGATGCCTTTTATTTCTATTGCTTGATGACTCTGGCTAGGACTTCCAGTACTATGTTGAATAGGAGTGGTAAGAGTGGGCATCCTTGTCTTTTTCCAGTTCTTGAGAGAATGGTCTACGTTTTGCCCATTCAGTATGATGTTGGCTATGGGTTTGTCATAGATGCTTCTTATTTTGAGATATGTTACTTTGATGCCTACTCTGAGGGCTTTTATCATGAAGGTATGTTGGATTTTGTCAGAAGCCTTTTCTTCATCTATTGAGATGATTATATGATTTTTGCTTTTACTTCTATTTATGTGATGAATCACATTTATTAATTTGTGTATTTGAACTAGCCTTGCATCCTAGGAATAAAGCTTACTTGATTGTGGTGTATTAACTTTTTGACATGCTGCTGGATTTGGCTTGCTAGTATTTTGTTGAGGATTTCTGTGTCTATGGTCAGCAGGGATACTGGCCTGAAGTTTTCTTTTCTCATTGTGTTTCTGCCAGGTTTTAGTATCAGGCCGATGCTGGCTTTATAAAATGAGTTAGAAAGGAGGCCTTCCTCCTCAATTTTTAGAATAGTTTTAGTAGGACTGATACCAGTTCTTTTTTGTATGTATGGTAGAATTCGTCTGTGAATCCATTTGGTCCAGGACTTTTTTTGGTTGGTAGGTTTTCTTTTTTATCACTGATTCAACTTCAGAGCTTGATATTGGTCTGTTCAGGATTTCAGTCTCTTCCTGATTCATCTTGGGAGATCATGTGTTTCTAGGAGTTGATTAATTTCCTCTAGATTTTCTAATTTGTTTGCATAGAGTCATTCATAGTATTCTCTAAGGATCTTTGTATTTCTGTGGGATTGGTTGTAATGTTATCTTTGTCATTTGATTGTAGTTATTTGGATCTTCTTTTTGTTCTTTGTTAATCTAGCCAGGGATCTATGAATCTTGTGTATGTATTTGAATAATAAACTCTTGGTTTTATTGATCTTTTGCATAGATTTTTGCATTTTAATTTTGTTCATTTCTTCTATAGTTTTAGTTATTCTTTTCCTTCTACCTTTTGGGTTTGTTTTTTTCCTAGTTCCTTTAGGGGTAAAGTCAGATTGTTAATTTCAGATCTAACTTCTTGATTAAGGTACTTAGCACTGTACACTTTCCTGTTAATATTGCTTTAGCTGCATCCCAGAGAGTTTGTAAGTTTTATTTCTATTTTTATGGATTTAATTTTTTTTAAATTTCTGACTTAATTTTAATGTTCACTCAGGAGCTATTCAGGAGAAAGTTGTTTAATTCCCATGCTTTTGTGTAATTTGAAAAGATATTCTTGATACTGATTTCTATTTTTATTGTTGTCTGAGAAGATGCATTGTGCGACTTAAATTTTTTTTAAAAATTGAGACTTTTTTATGACTGAGCATGTGGTTAATCTTAGACTATGTTCTGTATGTAGATGAGAAGAATGTACATGTTGTATATGTTGCGTGGAGTGTTCTGTAGATGTCTGTTGGGTTCAGTTGGTCAAGTATCAAGTTGACTTTCAGAGCTTCTTTGTTAATTTTCTGCCTTGATCTGTCTATTGCTGTCAGTATGAATATTTAAGTTTCTTACTATTGTGTGGTTGTCTAAGTCTTTTTGTATGCCAAGAATAATTTGTTCTATGAATCTAGGTGCTTCAATGTTGGGTGCATATATGTGTAGGACAGTTGAGTATTCTTGTTGGATTGTACCCTTTGTCATTATGGAGTGTCCTTCTTAATTTTTATTCGTTTAATGTCTGTTGTATCTGAAATAAGAATAGTGACTCCTGCTTTTTTGTTTTCCATTTGCATGATAGATCTTTCTCCACTCCTTTACTTTGAGCCAATGGGTGTCATTACACATGAGATGAGTCTCCTGAAGATAGTAGATAGTTGGGTCTTGTCTTTTTATCCAGCTTGGCACTCTGTCTTTTAAGTGGGGCATTTAGCCCATTTACATTCAGGATTAGTATTGATAATGTGAGATTTTGACCTGTCATTGTGTTAGCACACAACACACAATTACGTTGTGTTATGTAGATATGGTTGTGTAGTTGCTTTATAGTGACTTTGGGCTATGCTTAAGTGTGTGTTTGTGGTAGTAGATGTTCTTTCCATTCCATGTTTAACACTCCCTTAAGGACCTCTTGTAAGGCTTGTCTAGTTGAAATGAATTTCCTAACCATTTGCTTGTCTGAGAAGGATTTTATTTCTCTTTTACTTATAAAGCTTTGTTTGGCAGGAAACAAAATTCTTGGTTGGAATTTCTTTTAAGGCTGCTCTGGGTCACTGAGAACATAATCAGGTAGAGCAAAGCATCCAGGTTGGGCAGTGGAGGCTGTATTGTACACATGATTTTGCATGGTGGCCACATAGGGGCCCTGGGAGGAGGTGGGGGACAGGAGGACCTGCAAAACAGATGTGCCCCAGTCCACTGGAGAGGTTGGCTGTGATTGTTCCTGGCTCAGTGATCAGCTGGGGTTAAAGCTTCTTGGAGGGATATGGGCAGCCCTGGGGAATGGGTTCCTATGACCATGCTCAGCTGCAGCTGCACTGTGCACAAAGACCCTGGTTCTGCACTGGCTGAAGACTCACCTCTGTCTACTCTCTGAACAGACTCCCCTGTAAGTTCAAACATTCTTGGCAGATGTGGGGCTCCCTGTAGCCAAGATCCTAAAGGTTCCTGATGAGGGTGGGCAGTCCCACAGTTCTTTCACTCACCCATTCCCCAGGAGCTGTTTGGGTCTGGGAACTAGGCCCAGTAATTGACTACTCCATGCAGGGTTCCCAGCCTTCTGTCTCCTCAGCCTCAGCATCTGCATCATGTCTTTATCCACTCTTGGTCTTGGTGTTTTCTTCCTAAAGATCTGTCCAAATTATGTTGGTTTACACAAAACCTTGGGGTCTCTCAGTGTGGGTGGTGCTTCCTAGCTGTGTCTGGTTGGCCATTTTATCCCTTGACTGCTGAAAATTTTTAAAGACTTTTTGTTTTAGAGCAGTTTTGGATTCATAGCCAAATTGAGAAGAAGGTACACAGACCATATTCCCTGTTCCTCTACATGCATAGCCTCCCCTATTATCAACATTCCCTACCATCGTGGTAAATTGATTGTAATTGATAAATTTACACTGACACATCATCTGCACTCAAAGTCCACAGTTTACATTAGGGTTACCTTTTGGTGTTTTACATTCTATGGGTTTGGATAAATTTATAATGGCATGCATCCACCATTATAGTCTCATACAGAATAGTTTTACTGTCCTAAAAGTCCTCTGTGCTCTATTCTTTTCTTCCTCCCGACCAATTCTTGACAGCCACTGATCTTTTTACTGTCTTCATTGTTTTTCCTTTTCCAGCTTGTCATATAGTTGGAATCACACAGTAGAGAGTTTTCCAGACTGATTTCTTTCACTTGGTCATATGCATTTAAGTTTTCTCCATGTCTTTTTATGTCTTGATAGCTCATTTCTTTTTAGTGCTGAATAATACTCCATTGTCTCAATGTATCATGGTTTTTTCATCCATTCATATGCTAAAGGATATTTTGGTTGCTTCCAAGTTCTGCAATTATGTATAAAGCTTCTATAAACATCCATGTACAGGTTTTTGTGTGGCATAAGTTTTCAACTCATTTGGGGTAAATACTAAGGAGTGACGTTGCTAGATTGTATCGTAAGAGTATGTTCAGTTTAAGAAACCATCAAACTGTCTTCCAAAGTGGCTGTACCATTTTGCATTCCCACTGGCCGTGAATGAGAGTTCGTTTTGCTCCACATCCTCGCCAGTATTTGCATTGTCTAACTTCTGGATTTCGGCCATTCTAAAAGCATTGTTTCAATTTGCATTTCCCTGATGGCCTAGGATGTGGAACATCTTTTCAGTTGTTTACTTGATGTCTATCTTCTTTGGTGAGGTGTTCTTTAAGGTCTTTGGCCTATTTTGTAATTGGGTTGTTTTCTTGTTGAGTTTTTAGAGTTACTTGTATATTTTGGATAACAGTTTGTTTTTAAATCAGACATGTCTTTTGCAAATAGTTTGTCCCACTTAGTGGCTTGTCTTTTTATTCTCTTCACAATATATTTTACAGAGCAGAAGTTTTAAATTTTAGTGAAGCCCAGCTTATCAATTCTTTCTTTAATGAATCATGCCTTTGATGTATCTAAAAGGTCATTGTTAAATCTAAGGTCATCTAAATTTTATCCTAAACTCTTTTAGGAATTTTATAGTTTTGCATTTTACATTTAGACCTGCGATCAATTTTAAATAAATTTTTTGTAAAGGGTATAAGGTTTGTGTCTAGATTTTTTTTTATATGTGGAGACGTCCAGTTGTTCCACCATCATTTGTTGAAAGACTATTTTATCTCCATTGTGTTGTTTTTATAAGAACAGTTGACTATATTTATGTGGATATACTTCTGAACTTTTTATTTGCCCCATTGACCTATTTGTCTATTCTTTCACCAATATCACACTGTTTTGATTATGTAGCTTCATAATAAGTCTGGAAGTTGGGTAGCATTAGTTCTCCAACTTTGTTCTTCTCCAATATTGTGTTGGCTATTCTAGGTCTTTTGCATTCTATGTGAACTTCAGAATCAGTTTGCCAATATCTAAAAAATAACTTGCTAGGATTTTGATTAGGAGTGCATTGAGTCTATAGATCAACTTGGAGAGAACTTGACACCTTGACAATATTGGATCTTCCTCTCCTTGAGCATGGGATATCCCTACATTTATTTAATTCTTCCATTTCTTTCAAGAGTTTGTAGCTTTTCTTAAATAGATCTTGTACATTTTTTGTTAGATTTATAACTAAGTATATTTTTGTATATTTATAATACACATGGATTTTTAAAATTTCAAATTCTTGTTTATTGCTGATATATAGGAAAGCAATTGACTTTCATATGTTAACCTTATATCCCACAGCCTTGCTGCAATCACTTAATAGTTTCAGGAGGTTTTTGTTGATTCTTTTGATTTTTTACATAGATGATCATGCCATCTGCTAAAAAAAAGACTGTTGTATTTTCTTTTTGCCATTCTATATGCCTTTTTTTTTTTATTTTATTTTTTCGTCTTGTTGCATGAGCTAGGACTACCAGTACAATGTTGAAAAGGAGTAGCAAGAGGGGACATCCTTACCTTGTTCCTGATCTTAGTGGGAAAGCTTATAGTTTCTCATTATTAAGTATTATTATGTTAACTGGAGATATTTTTTATCAAGTTGAGGAAATTTTCCTCTATTCCTACTTTTCTGAGAGTTTTTATCATGAATGGGTGTCAAAATTTTTTTTGACATCTATTGAATTTTGTCAAATACTTTTTTGGCATCTATTGATATGAGCATGTGATTTTCTTTAACCTACTGATGTAGTGTATTACACTGAAGAAGTAACTTGTTTTTAGATATCTTTGAGGTATTACAGCAAAGGATACAATATTGATTGATAGCTTGTATAATGCAGAGTCTGACTCAATTTTTGATATTTAACTATTAATATTTTTAAAGTCCCTATTCCTTCCTTTCCTATTTCCTTCTTGACCCACGTCTGGGATAGTTAATAAGAAAGCCCACATGCTCCTTCTTTTGGTGCTGGTAGGATATTGAAACCACACATGCACAAGCCTATGCCTGGAAATCCACACACCAGCCTTACCCTCTTACCTTAATGAAACCCAAGCCAACCTTCCCGCCCTGCTTTCTCAAGCTATTTTCAGATCCATTTGGGGGTCCTCCCTGCTTCCTTCAGAAAGCCTCATTATGTGAATAATAAACTTTTTGTATCCTCTTAGGTTGTGTGTGTGGTTTCATCAGTCCTGACACATGTTGGTTTTGGTGGTCCATCCTGGCTCTGCAAGGTGACTATGACAATTGGTGCAGTGAACAAGGTTCCTAGATAATGATTACCACCACAACCAGGGATGCTTCTTTTTCTTGCCTTGACTTGATAACTGACTCTGATACTTGCTGGCTAGCAGGTTGTTCAAGTCATATTATTGTTTGCTGCCTGCTTGCCAGCTTGTACTCTGAGCTACGCTGCTTTGTGTTACTGAGTTCTACCAAATCTCTCATAGATTAGTCTGACCTAAATTTGCAGTTTCAATAATTAACATTTAGTGACAGGAATATGAGATTGGGCCCTTTCAAACATGGCCTTTTGTATTAGTTTGTTCAGGCTACTATAAAATAACACAGACTGAGTGGCTTAAACAATAGAATTTTATTTTCTCACAGTACTAGAGACTAGAAAAGTCTAAGATCAGGTTTCCAGCTGGGTCCAACTTCTGGTAGGGACTCTATTCCTAGGTTTTAGATGGCTACTTTACACCCCCATGTTTTTTTTTTCTTAATGTGTATGGAAAGAGAGAGAAGGAGAGTGAGCTCTGTGGTATCTCTTCTCATAAGGACAACAATCTTATTGGATCAAGGCCCTACACTCGTTACCGCATTTAACTCTAATTACCTCCTTATAGGCCATATATCCAAATACAGTTATATTGGAGGTTTGGACTTTAACATATAATTTTTTTGGTGGGGACACAATTAGGGGTCTATAGGACCTGACTTGGGTCTCTTGATCTGGACCTACCTGCATGTCTCAGATTAAATTGTGTGTCTTGATTCCAACATAAGCTGTGACTGATGCTGGACTCAGGAGAATAACTCTTACTCTCTGGCTATTGGTTGTGTATTTCAAGCAGGCATTTCCTCTGTTCTATAGATAACTCAGTGGAAAGACTGATGCCCCGTATAATATAGCGCCCATCAGGTGGTCACTCATGTGGAAGAACAGTTACTATGTGGTATGCTAAGTTTAGTAAAAGTAAATGGCTCATTAAGATCCTATAAAATGTCTTTGTTGTTGCTACTGATGACGCTTCTGTCAAAACAGAGATTCTTATCCTTAGGGTTATAAGGAAAAAGCATCCATGTCAGTTGTGTGGCACAGTCAAGAAGACGTTAATTCCAGCCTGACTTAAGTCTGGAGTCATTAAACCCAATAAAGAAACCATTGCTGGCCGGGTGCGGTGTCTCATGCCTGTAATCCCAGCACTTTGGGAGGCCAAGGCAGGTGGATCACCTGACATCAGGAGTATAAGACCAGCCTGCCCAACGTGGTGAAACCCTGTCTCTACTAAAAGTACAATAAATTAGCAGGGTGTGGTGGCAAGTGCCTGTAATCCCAGCTACTCGGGAGGCTGAGACAGGAGAACCACTTTGAACACAGGAGGTGGAAGTTGCAGTGAGCCGAGATCACGTCCCTGCACTCCAGCCTGGGTGACAAGAGCGAAACTCCATCTCAAAAAAGAAAAAAAAAGCATTGCTATAAAGGAGGCCCATAACCATGATGATGGTGATTTGTGTCTTTTTGGAGGAAAAAAACATAACTATGGAATGGATAAAGAAGGTACCTCCCCCCTTGCCCCAAGAAAATAGAACCACCAACAAAATAGAACAAAACAAAACATGAACACAAAGGAAGGAAACAAACCTCAGAGGCCCACAATTTGATCCAATTTGAAATCCAAAATTTACTAAAATCATTTATGCAGTAAAAAGGCTACTGATTTGCTTTTGTGCCTCTACAATGTAGGCTCTGAATTAGGTTTAACATCTGCTACTGTGAATCAATTTGTAAATGTTTGTCCTTAATCTATCCTGGGGATCAAATTAGTGTTTTACCTAGAGATCCTAGTACATTTAAACAAGGTATTCCTTATAATATTAGGGCATTTACTGAACATATAATGGATAACAAACAGGTATGTTTCACCTTAACCATCAGAACTATTGCCTTGCCTAAATTCCTCAATGTCACAGCACTCATTGCCCTAATATATCGCACATTGATCTGAACACTCTGAATCAACAAGTAACAAATTAAGATCAAATGAAATCTTTGCTTGATAAAAGGTGACCCCAGCCAGGAGCGGTGGTTGACGCCTGTAATCCCAGCACTTTGGGAGGCCGAGGCAGACAGATCACGAGGTCAAGAGATCGAGACCATCCTGGCCTACATGGTAAAACCCTGTCTCTACTAAAAATACAAAAATCAGCTGGGTGTGGTGGCAGGCGCCTGTATTTCCAGCTACTTGGGAGGCCGAGGCAGGAGAATCACTTGAACCCAGGAGGTGGAGGTTGCAGTGGGCTGAGATCACACCACTGCACTCCATCCTGGCGACAGAGCAAGACTTTTTTTTTTTTTTTTTAAAGTAACCCCATGGGCCTTCTCCTTTTAGTTAAAATGGCTAATATGTTCCAATCCAAATTAAGACAGAGCCTTCAAGGATTGAAACCCATCATAGAAGATCTATTTAAAGCTTCTCCATTTAACAGTTCAATTTGGCCTGTTATTAAACTTGGAGAGAATGAATGGCACCTCATAGTATATTACCACAACCTTACTATTGAAATCACTAATTCCATCCAATCAGCAACTGGTAAATACTTGGCATCCTAGATTTGGCTAATACACTCTGTTTATTGCCTGTTTCAATAGACTTTCAGATGCAGTTTGCCTTCACCTTTGAGTGGGCAAATGTCTGAAATCACATACGGTCTTTGCAGGCACATTCAACTTTCTCCAGGAGCATAGGTACATGGTGTATAACACATTGATGACATCCTCATCTGAGGAAGTACATTTACTATGCTCATTCAGTACATACAGACACTGACAGAGGAGCTCACAACAGAGAATGGGCCATTGATCTATACACAGTGCAAAGTCCCACCCCTCTAAGTTAAATTCGTGATCATTATTTGGTAAGCTGAAAATCACTCCATTCCTGACACTGTCAAACAGCTATTGACATTCTTACCACACACAATTTTAAAATAAGCTCAACATCTTCTAGGGATCCTTGAGCACTGAAGGCAATGTATTCCTCATTTACAAATTTTACTTAAGCCCATTTATGTTATTCATAAATTGGCTCACCTTGAATAGGGCCCTTTATAACAAAAGACTCTGGAATCTGTCCAAATTGCAACACAGCAGGTACTTCCCAATTGACTCCCATACCGTAGAGGCATTGGCAACCTCCCCTTGTGCCTCCTGTAATCTCGGGACCACCTATAATGGCCATAAATTACCCATGGAGTTCTGGTGCGAGAGACTGTCTTCCTTGGTCTCATGTCATTAACCTGAAATGGCAACTGCTGATCACTTACTGGCCTCTTCTGGAGATAGATGCTATCATAGGCCCCAAGCATATGAACTTCTGTACTCAGCTGCCAATCACTATGTGTTAGGTCATGAAAGTACCACCCCACAAGCTCAGCATGGCCACCAAGGATTCTTTCATAAAACGGAAATGGTTTCTACAGGATAGAGCCAAATCTGTGTCTCCTGGCATGTCCCTGGCACATCATAGGAGAGGCCACTGGAAGAGAGGGTGACCTCTCCTGTCCTCAGTCCCTTGCCAGGTGCCAAGGCTGGAGGAGGCCACCACCCTTAGACCTCTTGGCTACTTCGGGCATTCCCTTGGGATCAACTGAGTGAACAGCAGAGGAACTTCACACACTTCAGGGATGGCAGTCACTATCACATGTGATAGAGCTCACTGGAGAGCCGCTGCTTTTTCTTTTTAACTTAGACATCTCTGATAAAGGACAGGACCCAAGGGTCAGCACAATTGGCTGAACTTCAGGCTGTCATCTAAGCACTGGATGTGCTGGCCAACAACCCCATTTGTACATTTTTATAGATTCTTGGGCCATTGCCAGTGGTAAGGCCATCTGCTCTGGCCAATGGTAGCAACAACAATTCCTTTTCCAAAATTTCCTCCTTTGAGATAAAAACTCTGGAAATGTTTTGCCTCACAGACAGCAAAAGTATAAATCAAGCTCACATATGTCCCTGTACATATTAAAGTCACAATACAAGGCCTCATCAAGACATTCCTCATTTCTGTTGATATTCTAGAAATAATAACCAGAGGGAACACATTTCTTGTCACAAAATATACAACACTGAGTGTTGAACAAGGTAGTCAATAGAACTTTCACCTCCCTTACTGGCCTCAGACCACAAAGCCTCTTGGAGTATAGTAATGGCTTATTTAGGTTCAAATTTGATTAAATGAAACATGGCACATTTCAGTTATCAAAAATCTGGAGTAAGTTGTAGTCAAGAGTCTGACTTCATTTTTGATGTTTGACTGCTGATAGCCTAAAAGTTCCCCCTCCCACTCTCCCCCTCCCTCCTTCCTTGCCTTACACCTGGGCAAATCAGTAACAAAGCCTGCATGCTTTCTCCTTTGATGCCGGCAGGAAATTTAAGTCACATAACCCCAAGCCTGTGTATGGAAAAACTCTTACCCCAGCACCACTCTCTAACCCCAGTACAACCCAAGCCATTCTCCCTTGCCTGTTTTATCTCAAGCCATTTTGGGACCTGCTTGGGAGCTTGCTCAGCATTTTCAGGAAGCCTCATTGTGTGACTAATCAGATTTTTCATACCCTCTTCGTGCCTGCGTGTGTCATCAGTCTCGATATTTAAATTTTGGATGTGAGTGGGATCTATTCCAGCTCTGAGGGTTGCCTATGGCAGTGGCTTAACACCTGGACCAAAAGAAACCACGAGTCCTAGAAAATTTGGCACAAAAGAAGAGATGGTCTGCCTTTCTCTCCAAATACTTTGAGATTATTTCATGAACCGGTAGTCAAACCCACCGGGAGACATCTGCATGGCAGTTTGCTGCTACTCTGACTTTCCAATGTAGTGCTGGAAAAAGTCTCACCAGAAAACTTAATAGCCACTGAGCATTATTTAGAGCTCTTTGCAGCATCCCAGTATAGGCAACCAATACTATGTGGAGATACAGCATTACCTAGGAGGTGGACTAGACTATGTCCTGGGAAGATTAGATGGTTGTGAAAACCTGCTAAATATGAATGAGTAACTAGCTGGCTTACCTAATAGTCTGAATCTAGTTGTGCTGTGTCTTTCTACCATGGTTTACTAAATGTGTTGACTGTGATCGGTCAAGAGATTCATGGCAGCCTCATAGCAAGAACAGCTGTGGTGAGTGCCTATGGCACTCACACATGCACGAAGATATTGTTTAGTGTAATGTCAAGGAAAAACATGGAATGCATTTTTTAAAACCCACCTTGCTTTAGGTAGGCAGGGCAATGTTATTGTTCCACCAAGATGGTGCTCTGATCTCTTGCGTGGTTAACATAAAAATGGAGAAAAGCAAAATACATACAAACACATATCAGAATTTTGTTCCTATTGCTTCCCCACTCTGCAGCATTAGCTTGTCAAACGCCAGTGATTTAAGCACCATCCCAGTGTCCTAGGCAAGCAAACTGTTTGAGAATATCCATAGTTTAACTAGGGTGTTGAAAGCAAAGCAAAGAAATCTTAAGTATTCCAAGAGCAGAGCAGGCACATCTCCAGGAAATGTCACTTCAAAGACGTGGTACCATACTTAGAAATACTGATTTCACCTACCAGGGCAAAGTCAGGTGAGAATTTTATAAAATTTTTCAACAGGACTATCCAGCCTAAAACTTCCTCAAAAGTTTATTTTTCTTTATAAAATCATATATGCCCCTTATCAATAGAGTGTCTAGTTTTGAAATCCATGCTTTATGTAATTTACAAACTGACCTTTACTAGTTCGTCAGAAATTTTCCTTTCAGCATAAATAGCAAATATGGTTAAATGCTACTTTTTGGGTAGAATTTCCATCCCATGACCAGGTTCTATCATTTATTTTACAATCTTTCCTTATTGTAGGTATTTATTAACTGGACAACATTGTATTATGGATTTTCATCTAATCTAGAGGGCTAAAGTTGCGGAGCTGGGTGGGAAGTTAGTTGCCTTGGCAGCTGAAACATGGCTCACTCAATGGGTGACTGCTGCACACTTCAGGTCTCACGTACAGGAAGAATTTCATAGCCTGCTGGAGCTTGATGTGCGTGGCATCTGTCTCTGGTGAAGAGAATTGTGAATCCTGTATTCCTGAGGAAATTTTGTGCCCCAATCCTTAGATTTTTGGCTGTACTAAACCCGTTTTTAATTCTCCTAATATTGTCTTTATCAAACCTACACAGGACTTGGCCACTTCTCAGTAGGAAGACTAGGAGTCATTGTGGTTAAAAGCCATTGCCAATCTCTTACCTACTAATGCCACCCCCACCCCACCCCTTCTCAGCCTTCACTAGAATGAGCGTCAGAGTTTGGACACCCTTCATTGTGATCTCCTTATTGAGCACCACAGTGATTTAAGCATCTAGATCCAACCTAACTGGATCTGTAGAGGTTATGACTCCTACTACCACTTCTGGACTCTGAAACAGCACAATGCTGGTAGGTTGTAAAACTTGGCTTGCACAGTGTCTGCACAGAGTGTCTGGAAAATAACTTGTAATCGTGGTGTTGTTATCATCCCATAGGGCAGACTTCACTGGAAGGAGGAAAGGAATGGGATTTATCATTTCTCTTCTGTTTCTAGCTTCTTATTCATAGGCTCATCCTGAGTGGAGGAGGTTTGTTCCACATGGTCTGTCTGAAAGATTTATCATGGGACTCAATATCTGGTCCTACTTTATTGTGAAATTGTTATCAGTTTGATAACCCCCTTGTATGTGCTTTCCTTCACTTTCTACTTCATGTCACCCTTGCCTTTGTAGGGTTATACCTCCCATCTCAAGAGAGTTTGAATCCACTCCCAGGTTTTCATAGGAAGTAAAAAGTCTGAAGCATGGTAATTATAAATGTCAGAGAAAAGTAAGAGGAATCTATGAATGCATGGCCTCTAAATTGTTGCTTAAAACTTCTGAAAAGCCCCATATTTATAGCTTAAATGAAAAGTTACACTAACCAAATTCAATGGTACATTAAAAGAATCACTCACTGTGGTCAAGTAAGATTTATTCCTGTCATAAAAGGATAGTTCAACACATGCAAATCAACAAATATGATACACCATATTAACAGAATGAAGGACAAAACCATATGATCATTTCAATAGATGAAGCACTTGACAAAATTCAACATTTTCTACGATAAAATCTCATCAAAATTGGTGTGGAAGGAATGCACCTAAACACAATAAAGGCTACATATCAAAACCCAGAGCAAATATTATACTCAGTGGTGAAAAACTAATAGCTTTTCTTCTATGATCAAGAACAAGACAAAGATGCCAATTTTTACCACTTCTTTTCAACGTAATAGAAGTGCTAGCCTGAGCAATTAGGCAGTAAAGATAAATACAGCTGGGCATGGTGGCTCATGCCTATAATCCCAGCACTTTGGGAGGATTGTTTGAGCCCAGGAGTTTGAGACAAGCCTGGGCAACAAAACAAGACTCCATTGCTTAAAAAAAAAAAAAGTATAAAAAAAATTAGTCCAGCACAGTGGCATGTGTCTATAGTTGAAGCTACTCTGGATGCTGAGGTGCGAGGATCCCTTGAGCTCAGAAGTTCAAGGTTGCAGTGAGCTATGATCACACCACTGCACTCTAGCCTGGGTGACAGAGTGAGACCCTGTTTCAAAATAATAAAAGAAATGCAGTTGCTCATGACATAAAAACCTATGTTCTAAGAAATGTGTTATTAGATGATTTTGTCATTGTGTGAACATCATAGAGAATATTTACACAAACCTAGATGGTATAGTCTATCATACACCCAGGCTATGTAGTATTGCCTCTTGCTCCTAGGCTACACACCTGTACAGCATGTTACTGTTCTGAATACTACAGGCAACTGTAACATAATGGTAAGTACTTATATGTCT
Source organism: Homo sapiens (assembly GCF_000001405.40). Classification (NCBI taxonomy): domain Eukaryota; kingdom Metazoa; phylum Chordata; class Mammalia; order Primates; family Hominidae; genus Homo; species Homo sapiens. The sequence continues at coordinate 46,064,529 of NC_000015.10, forward strand.
CAACATAGAAAGGACACAGTAAAAATACGATGATGTAAAAGATTTAAAATGGTACACTATATAAAGCATTTACCATGAATGGAGCTTGCAGGACTGGAAATTACTCTGGGTGAGTCAGAGTGAATGTGAGTAAATGTGAAGGCCTAGAAAATTATCGTATACCACTGTAGGCCCTATAAACACTGCACATCCAGGCTACACTAAATTTATAAAAATACTTTAATAAATAACCCTAGTTTACTATAATTGTTTATGTTATAAACTTTTTAATTTTTAAAACTTTTTGACTATTTTAATAACATTCAGCTTAAAGCACACATTGTATGGCTGTACAAAATTTTTTTCTTTATATTCTTATTCTATAAGATTTTTCCTATTTTTAATTTTTTTCTACTTTAAATTTTTTTTGTTAAAAACTAAGACACAAACATTAGCATAGGCCTACATAGGGTCAGGATCATCAATATCACTGTCTTATACCTCCACATCTTGTTGCACTGAAAGATCTTCAGGGGCAATAACACTTATGGAGCTGTGATCTCCTATAACAATGCTGCCTTCTGCAATATCTTTTGAGGGATCTGTGCAAGACTGTTTTATAGTTAACTTTTTTATGTAAAATAGGAGTATACTCTAAAATAATGATAAAAACTATAGTACAAAAATAAGCCAGTAATGTAGCCATTTATATCATTATTAAGTATGATATCCTGTACATAATTGTATGTGCTGTACTTTTATATGACTGGAAGTACTGTAGGTTTGTTTACACCAGCATCACCACAAACACATGAGTAATGCATTGTGCTATGACATTATGGCTGTGACATCACTGGGTGATAGAAATAATTAGGTGATAGAAAATTTTCAACTTGATTATAATCTTATAGAAATGCAATATATGTGGTTCATCACTGAGCAAAACATCATTACCTGGTTCATGACTGTAGAAGATAACCAAATAGGAAAGGAGGAAGTTAAATTATCTGTTTGCAGATGATATAGTATTATATATGGAAAACCCTAAATACTCTACAAAAAAACTGTTAAACTAATCAACAAATCCAATAAAGTTGCAGGATACAAAATTAACATACAAAAACCTGTAGCATTTCCATACATTAACAATGAACTAACTGAAAAAGAAATCAAGACAACAATCCCATTTAAAATAGCATCAAAAATACTTTAAAATAAAAGTAACCAGAGATGAAAAATATTTACACTGAAAACTACAAAAATTGATGAAAGAAATTGGAGAAGTCACAAATAATGGAAAAATATCCTGTGTTCATGGGTTGGAAGAATTTTACTAAAATGTCCCTACTACCTGAGATGACTTACAGATTGAATACAATCCGTATCAAAATTCCAATTACGTTTTTCAAAAAATAGTAAAAAATTGTCCTAAAATTTGTAACTAACTACAAAAGACCTTGAATACCCAAAGCAATATTGAGCAAAAACCCCAAAGTTGCGGGCATCACACTGATTTCAAAATATGCCACAGAGCTATAGTAATTAAACAGCATGGCATTGACATAAAACACATATACACTACTAGAACAGAATAGAGAGCTCAGAAATAAATTCATGTAATTACAGACAACTGATCTCTGACAAAGGTGCCAAGAACAAACAATTGGAAAAGGACAGTCTCTTCAATAAATAAGGCTGGGAAAACTAGATATCCACATGGAGAAAAAAATTGTACCTTTCTCACTATGAGGCATTTTTGTAGGTCTCATATATACAAAGAGGTATGAGACATACAGAAATGGGTATCTCATATCTCTGTATATATGAGACATAGAAAAATGGCTTTAAAACTTAAACGTAAGACCCAAAACTGTAAAACTATTAGAGGATAACAAAAAAATTTCTACTTGGCATAGAGATTTTGGATATGATTCCAAAAGCACAGGCAACAAAAGCAAAAATAGACAAATGGGATTGCATTAAACTAAAAGGCTTCTGTACAGTGAAGGAAACAACCTAGTGAAGAGACAACCTAGGGGATAGGAGAAAATATTTGGAAACCATACATCAGATAAGGGGTCAATATCCAAAATACGTAAGAAACTCCAACTCAATAGCAAGAAAACAATCTAATTAAAAATAGACAAAGAGCATATGAAGGGACATTGCTCAAATAAAAAGACATACAAATGACCAACAGGAATATGAAATAATACTCAACATCACTAATCATCAGGGAAGTGCAAAGTAAAATCACATTGGTATATGACCTCACACTTGTCAGAATAGCTATTATCAAATAGATAAAAGTTAACAAGTTTTGGCAAGGATGTGGAGAAAAGGGAACCTTTTTACACTGTTGGTGGGAATGTAAATTAGTATAGCCATTAAGGAAACCAGCATGGAGATTCTTTGAAAAATTAAAAATGGAACTACCATGTAATTTAGCAGTTCTTTTTCTGGGAATATGTCCAATGGAAATGATAATATGTCAGAGATATTTGCACTCCTATATTCATTGCAGCATTATTCACAATGACCAAGATATAGAATAAACTTAAATATCTATCAACCAGTGAATGGAAAAAGAAAATATTATATAAAACATGTGTATGTATATATATACATACATACCTACACATACATAATATAGATTTAAAAGGAAAAACTTTAGACGAGTTAAATTTTACAGTTTAATCGAACAAAGGATGATTCGTGAATTGGGCAGCCCTCAGAACCAGAACAGGTTCTAAGAACTCAGGCCTCCAACATGGCTAGATGGCAATTATGGACAGAAAACAGAAATGAGGTACAGTGACAGCTTTATTGGTTATAGCTCAGCATTTTGCATTATTTAGATTAGTTGGATGCCTGTGATCGACTGAAGCTCAGCTGCTGTTATTGACTAAGATTCAACTTTGTTACAAGAGTATACTCCTACATTAGGCTTCAGCTAATTTATGTACTAAATTGATTGCAGTTTCTATGTAAGAGCTTGAGTACAGAGGCATCTTCAGGCCAAATTTAGTTTAACAATTCCCCACTTTTGGTCCACCCCTCAATTCCAAGAGATTGTCTAAAACCTCAGACATTAATACCACTCTCTGCCTTCATTATAGACACTTATTTAGCCTTAGTGTGGAATCTAAAAGTCATGATGTGCATCAGTTGAATATTTATGTTCTTGCTGATCTAATCAAAGACCATTCAACACTACATGAATGGCTGCATACAAACTTTGAAGACTTGAGAGGATACAGTGTACCCCAGGGGTACTATTATAACCATCAAGAGGATGATGAAAAGACTGACGTGTACTTCTTAATAGGAGTCCCTATGAACTGAACCAATCAAAATTTATAAAATCAAATTTCAGACAATACAGACAGTTCAACAGTATTCGAGTCCTACTGTCATAGTCTTTGCTGAGGTTATTGTGGTGACTTAGGACCATAGTTTGCTGGAAAGCAGTCTGATTTAAAGAGGTATTCATTTTCATAGTTAGCCTGGTACCACAAGTCATGGTAACCTTGGACCCACTAAAAGAAACATAGAAATTAGACACTTTGGTAGGCCAAAGTGGGTGGATCAGGAGGTCAGGAGATCGAGACCATCCTGGCTAACACAGTGAAACCCCGTCTCTACTAAAAATACAAAAAAATTAGCCAGGCATGGTGGCAGGCACCTGTAGTCCCAGCTACTCAGGAGGCTGAGGCAGGAGAATGGCATGAACCTGGGAGGTGAGCTTGCAGTGAGCTGAGATCCTACCACTGCACTCCAGCCTGGGTGACAGAGCGAGACTCCATCTCAAATAAATAAGAAAAGTCTGGAAGAGCTAAGATCACCATTTGGAATGCCCACAAACCAACCACTATTAGTTTTCACAAACATATCATGTGTTCTTTTTCTTACTTTCTTTGGTGGCAGTGTCTAGAGGAAGAACAGTGTCAGCTATTTCTTTAATTAAACTGTTGTAGTAAAAAAAGGGAAAAGATAAGTGAAACCTCGATTCTTGTTTAGCACCATACACAAGATCCCAACTTGGGCAAAGAAGAAATTTAAAGCTGCATGGCATTCTTTTAAGAGTTTTTGTTACTGTGATGAAATAATTAATTGGGAAGGTCAGGGTACTGCTTCTAATAAATGTAGGCAAGCAAATAGTATTGAGGTTTACAGTATCATGAATAGGCTTCTACTCTCCCTTCAGGGTTTCAGGGTGGCTCATTGGAAACACAGGCACTGGTATTAATGGAACTGTTTACTGCTTCTCTGCATTAGCATACAAACCCAACAATTGCTCTAGTTTCTTGCTAGAGTATAAGCCTTTGCTAAGCCATCCATGGATTATGCTTCTTTGAATTTTCCTTTGAGGAGAGAAAAAGGATTAGAATAGCAGAAAATAGGAAAAAGGGAGAAAAAAATTGTCTTCATGATGGCAGAAAAAGTCTTGATCTGAGATCTTGGGAAAGCTGTCTGTGTGCATGGCGTTGTCTGCTTCTGGGGAAAAACTCTGGTCAGCTCTACTTTAAAGTGTCCAATAGGTGGTGTACAGTTCAAAGAGTCTGGAGGGGTCCTTTTGAGTTATGAGGTGTGGACCCACATTTTGAGGCCATAAAGCTTTACCTCAGTGTGGGTGGTGGTATGACCCTTTCAAGGTCAGTCTTTCTCTGATGTCACTTCTAGAAGACACAGCCTCCAGGTTGTATATTAAGGATTTGATTGTTTTTAGTCAGTACATCATGGAAGTATAGTATAATACCTGGTGTAATATATTACTGTATTCTGTTACCTGATGTAGTACGGTATATTACTTGGAATAGTGTTTTACCTGGTGAAAATACTATTTGACATAATGTATTAAAGCCATTCAGTATTTAGTCATCCAAGAATTTAGGAGAGCAGGAGACATATGAGGTTCTGTTAAGGACACAGGCCTTCCCTTTGTTAGAAACAAGAGCTGGGAGTCACGAGGAAAATGAGCACTCAAACAAAGGATTTCTCAGCAAGGCAAATTTACTTATACAGAAGGGTGCTGCTCGCACTTCTGGCTGCTGCAAGAGTACACCAAACAAACGAGAGAAGGGGTTTTTCATCCCTAATGCAGTTAGCCCCTGCCTCTGTGTCCTGCCCCCATTGGCTGAACTTGGACCACATAATCTAAACTGACCTGATTGGCTACTGTTTAAAATTGAACATGGCTAATTAGGCTGCAAGGGAGAGGCTGTTCATTACGGTACAAAGCATGTTTGGGCATGTCAGGGTGCAGCAAAGGTGGGAAGGGTAGTTTTGGCAGGAAGAGCTGTTGTGGCAGGAGGGACAGTTTACAGAATGAGTAGCCAGGAATAAAAGAGGACTCTTTCCAAATAAGGAAGATTATGTGAATTACAGACTGGGACTGGTGGGAGAAGTTGTTTACAGAGCAGGTGGCTTAGAAGGGACAAGGAAGTTGATCTCAAGAACAAAGAACAAGGAAGTCAGAAATTAAACCTTTGAAGAGGAACTTACTATATCTAACACCTTATTTCATATGGGGTCAATCTGTGTTTCCAAGTGGGAGTGGATCTGATTGCTATTAAAATCAATGGTAGTACCTTGGGCCAAGGCAACCAAATTGATTGTTAACTTGGTCAGTTTCCATTTTAAAATGCCATTTGTACTTTTGGTCTTTCTAGAAGTCTAAGGATGATAGGGACAATAGTAATGCTATTGTGTTCACAATATTTTGTTTAATTGCTTTATAATTTACCCAATAAAAATGGGTTCTTCTGGTGCTGGAGATTTCTTTAGGGACTCCCATAAAGGAAACATGTTCTAATTTTCTAATAAGTTCTTAGCTACTGTCATAGCATCAGCTTTCCTACACAGGAAAGCATCTATCCAGAAATGTGCAAGTTATTATAAAAACATACTGCTTTCCCACTCCCGGTGGCAATTGAATGAAAATTATCTGTAAATGTTTAAATCATTCATCAGGTGCTAGAAATATACCATCTGAAGTTTTTATTGTCTTCCCAGGATTATGGGTTTAGCAAACCAAACATTGGTTAATAAACCATTTTGCAATTTTAGAATAATCACCACATCAATATTTTTTAATAATTTGGGTCATCTTGCCTGATCCATGATTAGTTGTGGAGTGCAAAGCTCTTAACAATGAAAGCTTTAGGGACTCAGGGAGGACCAAGCAACCATCTGGGCCATCTGTGAGTTCACACTTAACATTGAATTTGCCTCCTTTGAGATACCAATTTTATTTTTCCAAATCTGATGCATGGCATTGTTTATTAAATAAGTCATCATAAGGGAGTTGACTTGGATCAGTCTTATGAAGTTCATTCAACTTGTACATCCTGTTTCAGCACTAGACGATTTAGCACAAAAATCTGTTAGGGCATTCCCTTGATACTCAGGTTTGATTTTATCGGCATTGGCTTTAATCTTAATAATGGCAATTTGTGGTAAAAACAGGATAGCAAGAAGGAGTTCATCTTTTTAGAGTCCATTTTGTATGGGGGGGGGGTCCCATTATAAGTGAAAAACCCTCTGTTTTTCCATAACAGGCTAAAATAATGAACTACTTCAAAAGTATATCTGCCATCTGTATAAACATTTACTAATTATGTGATAAGGTTGTGTAAGTGCAAAAAGCTCTGCAAGTTGAGCTGATTTAAATTGGAGAGGAGTTCTTTTAACTCATTTTGTGTTGTAAACAGCATAACCTGCCTTATATTTTTTCTTCTGAGTTTTTGGCAGAAGACTCATGAACAAAAAGTATTACTGTAGGATTATCTAATGGAGAATTTTATAAATAAATATGAAGGGTCATTAATTCTGATACTATATCACTCACATAATTGCGGTCTTTCTTGTCTTCAGGTAGAGGTAGTAGAGTAGCAGGAGTAAGTTGCAGCATTTTAGATGGTGATCAGGAGACAAAAGAGAATTTCATGAGATGTTAGCCCGTGTGCTAAAAGATGTTCAGTTTGACTGGAATTAAATAAACTTTCCACAGCATGTAGAACTTGTGAAGAAAGTTTATTCCCCTTAAAACCAGCTCAGATTAGATCTCTCCCAATCTGGCTGTACTGCTGCTCTTAAACTGTTGGAATATGCCTTAGCTACTGGGTCTAATTGCAGGCTATGATGTGTGATAGGTCTGTGTTTCCCCCCGCCCACATTCTTGGGTAAGAACTCCTAATGCCTGATCGGTATACTCATGATGAAGGTGAAAGATTTAGTATAATTTAGAAGTCCTAAAATTTGGAGCCCAGTTTCATTTGGTCAAAGGTCTGCTACTAACTATCTTCCCAAGATAAAGCCTCTAGTACCGCATTCTTAGCTCATGCAATGGTGAGACTATTAGGGAATAATTTGGGACTTAAGATAGGCAGTATCTTGCAAGTGTTGATAAAACCTCTTAAACTGTCTTTTAGGTGTAGGCCTAGACAAACCCTGAATAGATTTTATTCTCTCAGGTGAGAGAAAAATTCCTTCAGCAGGTAGATCATATCCTAAATAGTGGACTATTTCCCTTAAAAATGATAGTTTTTTTCTATCAAAACTTTGTGAGCTTTATGTGTGAGTTGCTGTAAGAAGTCAATTTCAGAACATTCTTTAGTGGGACAGCATAGCAACAGATCCTCTACATTCTGAATAAGGGTAGAATTTATGGGTACTTGCAGGGTTGTCAAGTCCGGACATAATGCCTGGGAAAAATAATAAGGGGCTTCTATAAACCCCTTATAGCATTGTAATCCAGATGTACTGTTAATTTTTTTTAGTAAGTGGTTTATCCTTTTTTTTCTTTTGTCTGCCAGATTGTATGATGGAACAATCAGGTGGTTGGTTTGGTTGTTTTTTTTTTTGGAGACAGTCTTGCTTTGTCGCCCAGGCTGGAGTGCAGCAGCACAATCCCAGCTCACTGGAACCTCTGCCTCTTGGGTTCAAGCAACTCTTGTGCCTCAGCCTCCTGAGTAGCTGGGATTACAGGCATGCGCCACCATGCCTGGCTAATTTTTGTATTTTTGTTTTTAGTAGAGATGAGTTTTCACCATGTTGGTCTCAAAATCCTGACCTCAGGTGATCCACCGGCCTCCCAAAGTGCTGGGATTACAGGCATCAGCCACCATGTCCAGCCCTGGGCTGTCTCTTGAGGAGGTTTTGAAAGGCTCTTTAATATCCTCAGGTTCTTTCTATTCTACCGCTGGCATCCATTTTTGAGCTTCACCGAGTCCCAGTATCAATGAATAAAGAGTAAAGGTCAGAGAGTTCTTGATCATGAGCTCCTATGAGGATTATAAATTCCTCAGCAAATTTTTAAGGATTTTCTTTTGGATTAGGAATATCTCTTCTGATGATTCTTAGCTCAGCTTTAGACCATGGGGTAGAAGTGGTTACAGCATGCAGGCCTGGTTGATAAGAAGGTTTCACTTTGTAAAGCACTTGTCTAACCCCCACTTTGTTATTCTCAAGGTAGAAAGGTAATTGAGCAAAAAGGTTGTGGACTTAGGATATTGCAGTATAGAGCAGTTGATGTTAATTTAGTCAGGGTACAATCCTCTTTTGCCATGTTCTCACTTTGCTGGTTAAGCTTTTCGTTGGCTTTCTGCGAGAAAACCTTTAGGGAGGCAATTTTTGAATTATGTAATTTTTTTTAGATGCCTCTGCTTACCAATTAAGAAACGCATACTATTTTTGTCAGACTTTACCACTGTGGCCACTGTAATTCTAAGTCATTCTTAGTAAGGCTAGCCCATTTATTAAAAAAATAATAATTTTAAAAAATGATGAGCCCAGATTCTGGGCTCATAACTTATATATATAATTAGCTGAAGTCCCAGAAGGTGGAGTCCCAGACTCCTTGGATTGTGACAAACCCATTATCAAAAACACCTACCTAAGGCCTCCTAACTAGATCGAATCAAGTTAATTATCAAATTCATTACAATCCTAGACCCTGTCCAGTGAAATAAGAAAAAAATAGCTCAAAAGACAAACTAGTAGAGCCCGAAATCCAAGAGAAAACTCACCCATGACCTCCGGTTGCTGCAAAAGGTAAATGAACACAACGGGCCCCAGTGGGGTACCTTCACTGGGTTACTGGGTGCTCCTGGAGGTCACTGGAGTTTTGATTTGGGTCCTCTCTGGGTTGCCAATCTGTTAAAAGAAGGCTTAGACAGGTTAAATTTAACGTAAATTAATTGAGCAAAGACTGACTAGTGAATTGGGAAGCCCTTATAACCGGAACAAGATTCTAAGAATTCTGGCCTGCAACATGATTAAGCAGCATTTGCGCGAAGAAAACAGAAGTGAGATACAGAGACAGCTTAATTGGTTATAGCTGGGCATTTTGCTTTATTTAAATCAGTTGGCCACCTGTGATTGACTGATGTCTGGCTGCTGTGACTGACATTAAGATATTTGTTATAAAATTATACTTGTGTGTCAGGTTTTCAGTTTATTAATGTCCTAAGGTTGCAGTTTGTTTTGTAAGGATTTGAGTATGAAGGTATCCTCAGGCCAAATTTAGTTTAGTTTATATATGTGCATTGCATTATACGTATTGTATATATACTATTAGAATAGAATACTAATCAGCCTTAAAAAAGAAGGAAATCCTGTAATTTACAATAACATAGATGAACCTAAAGGACATTATGCTAAGTAAAATAAGTGAGACACAGCAAGGCAGGTACTGCATGATCCCACTTTTATGTGGAATCCAAAAAAGCTGAATTCATAGAAGCAGAAAATAGAATGGTGGATACCAGGGCTGGAGAGGGGAGAGAGAAATGGGGAGATGTTGACCAAAGGATGTAAGTTTCAGTTAGACAGGATAATAAGTTCTGCAGATCTGTTGTACAGCATGGTGACTATAGTTAATAATACATACTTGAAAACTGCAAAGAGAGTATGTCTTTAACATTCTCACCATGAAAAAAATAAATATGTGAAATGATATGTTGATTAGCTTGATTTAATTGTTGCATATGCCAAATGTATACATAAACCAAAACAGTATCTTGTACACTATAAATATATACAATTTTTATTCAAGTAAACCTTAATGCAGCTAAAAAATAATAAACTTTGCAAGTCTTGACCTTTGCTCTTCTGCCTATGGAGGTTCTCGTTCTCCTTGAGATCCCTTAAGGACACCTAATTAATGTTTGAAAAAATAAGTACTTAGTCTACTTTTCCATATGACACTGCTGGAGTGTCATATCCAATTACTTAGCCAGATTCTGGAAGCCATCCTCTTAAGATGTAAACAAATTATCACTACAGTGTACCAAGAACCCAGGAGGACATGACAACAAACTTCAATAGGGGATCTGAGAGTAGCAGGAAGGTTGGAGAAATGTGCTGAGAGCCTCTCCCTTTTATTCTGTGTCTCATCATTCTTTATCTGACTAATAAAATTCAACAGGATTTAGTGTTCTTCCCACCTACCCTGAATCTGCTAATTTCTCATTGTTGTGGCTTTGTTAGAGAGTAGTTCAGAATAACAGAAATATCCTTTCTAAAATTCTCTAATTAAATGAGGGATTAGGCTACTTTTGAGAGTTATATTTACTCCCTGCAAATTTTTCAGGTTTACTGAGTTTCTTTATGCAGGGAGAGGGTTCTAGAAGGGGATCTGAGGAAGGGACAAAGAGTGGAATGAGAAGTGGGGAAGCAGAGTATAGCAGATATCAACGCGATGAGAATGACAGTTTTTCTGTCTGGTCATCTACACAATTTACATCCACATATTTAGAGGAAGGATTTGTCATGTTAAGGCTCAAGCTGAAAGGGCTAGGCATGATGTAGGACTTAAGATGCTCTGGTTTGTTTACACCTCTTACCTAAATTATTCCCATAAGCCAGAGGCTGTTTGCCCTGGAGACCAGCCATGGTTATGGGACTAGCTAATAAGGTGGACAATGGGATCCAAATTCCCCTGTAGGAACAAAAAACTTTGAGCTGCTGGAAGTGTTGTGCGAACACAGCCTTCAGCTGTCAGCCCCATCAGGATTTTCTCAGCTAAAGGCAGCCTCTTTACTGAAGCTCATTCCCTCTTCCTGAAGTTGCCTGTATCCAACGGTTGACCTGTATAGGGCTATAAAGACCTGGACCTCTCTGTCCAATTCAGGAAATCTTTGAAATATCATCCCAGTTTCAGAAAGCCCCACAGTTTTAGGCCAGGCTTCATTTTGCTGGCATTGCTGGTCAACTTCTACTTTAGCCCATTTATTTCTTCCCATGGGCATGGATCCCAACAGCACTCAATAATAGGCCTGCTGCCTGCTAATCTTTGTGGCAGGTCACATTCCCTGGGAAGCAGACTATAAGGTGACATATAATTCTGAGTCTAATTTGGAAAACTGGGGCCCCTCTGAAAGATAACCTTTAGGATTGTCATCTTTTCCAACAAGCAAGCTTGCTCGGAGTGAGTTGGCTAATTCCAGGGAAGGCAGTGTGAGTGTGGAATAGTTTTTCTTCCTCTGTGGGTCTAGTTCCTCTTTGATTGGCTTAAGGGAAAAAGGCTAACATTCATTTCCTAGGAATGGCACTGACACATTTCTCAGGACAATCTCATTCATGTTCAAATGCTGCTTATATGAAACTCTTTTCTCCTTAAACTTTCAGAGCTTGTGAACTCCTGTTTTTGTATGTAGGTTTCAACCCACACTGAAGCAGGAAGAAAATCCAGCTTCATACTGACTATAAGTAGAGAGCAGGTTGAGATCTTTTAGCTTCAAGCCTATCTTTACTAAATGAAGTTGTGTGGTGGCACACATCCACAAAGACAACATATAACTCTTTTCGTAAGAGCTTCTCTCCTGAGGGAAACTCCAGGAGAAACTAGCTATGAACAGTTTAATTAGTCTTTTCCCCCTTGACCCGGATTTTGTGACTATTGTGCATTGAAGCCCAATGCTAAATCTTAAATATTTCCCCTCAGCAAAGCAGACTTCATCATCTTTGAGGTCCTAATCCACCTGTGACTACTTCACCTTGAGATCATGAGAGCAGGCCAGTGTCATCTCAGTTGGGAGGATGAGTAAGCTTTGAGGCATGGAAGGCCTTTCCCTCTGTGAGGACCTGGGCCGTTGAGATACAATTAAGTTCTATTTACTTGCGGAGAAGAGAGTGGGTAATTGGCTCTTTTTTTGTTTGAGGGCCTAGAAAAGAGAGGAGGTGAAAAAGCAGTTTTGCTGAGGGAGATGGGTAGACTTTGATATGGCAGACTAGCTGTACCTTGCCATTTTGGATGTGATGGTCTGTCTCTCCTAGTAGTTGAATTGGAAACAATGTATTCTCTCTTAAAAAAAAATTGTTCCCTACCTCTAAAACCTCTACACATTGAGAATCCAGTAATCACAAGCATCCCCACTGCCTAGATAATGGCATCTAAGTATTTGAGGTCCATTTTCATACCCCAAGAAAAGCTTGAATTTCTGCCAAAGAAATGCATTCAGGGATTTCTGTCAAGAATCATGCATTCTTTAAGTGAGAAACCTCTTGTCACACCAGAAAGCAAGGAAACCTTGTCTGTAGTGGAAACTGTTAGTGCTCCACCCAGTTCCCCTCGGATTCATTTTGCTATATTTTGCTGTTTCTGTGTGCCCTTTGCCTAGCTTTGGTGTGCTCTTACTTCCAACAGCCTCTGCCTGCAATTCTTATTCAGAAACAGCTATTTGCTGATGCTCAGAATGCAGGTATAGAAAGCCAGAAGTGCCTGGGAGTTTACTTCCTCTCCCCTATAAGGTGTTCTGCTTAGTAAGTGACTGGAATATAAATTATTCCTCAGAGTTTGCTCTAACTTTTGAGGCAAGAGATCTGCCTTTCAGAGTTCTGTAGCCATCGGTGTACCTGACTTGATCAATAAGCCACCTTGCTGACCTTGTCTCCTACTGCCCTCTGCCTCTCACTGTGTTCCAGCCACAGTGGCCTCCTTGCTGTGTTGTATATCCACTGCAAATCTTGATTTCCTGTTCCCTCTGTGTGGAATGCTTTACCAAGATGGCTGATTAGCTCACTGTCACGCTTTCCATGTCTCTGTCAGAGACCTTCTTTGCAAGGCCTTTTCTGATCACCCAGTGTAAAATGACAGCACTTCCTCTCTCTGTCATTCCTTGTCTCTCTCAGTCTGTGTTAATTTTTTATGTAGAACTAATCAGCATCTGACGAAGCTTTTAGTTACTTTATTATTATAAGTGCAATGAAAGTAAGGACTTGGATTTATTAAAAACCTGTAAAACAGCTTTAATGAGCAACTATTATATACTGGTCACTAATTGTTGCATTAATGAAAGGTGGAAGGATGCAGGGGGATTGGGAAGCTCCTTAGAGACAAACTACTGAACAATGTGGAAAAGACCTTTGCTTGTTGGAGGAGTTGAAAGAAGGCCACTGTGAAGGAAGCATACCAAGCCAAGGGACGATGGAAAAGGAGAGTTTGGCAGGACGAAATCAGGTGGGTTATCGAGGACAAATTAGGATAAATGTTCAAATCCCCAAGAGCCACCAAAAGTTTTAAAACAGACGAGTGATGGTTCATGTACATACTGCACAGGCCTCTCTGATTTTGTGTAGAGAATGAGCTGAGAAATGGCAATTTTAGAGCCCAGTGCAGTGGTCTGGATGGGAGGTGACGTAGCTAGGATTGGTGAGGTGGGGTGGGGGAAGGTGGTGGTCAGAGGTCAGAGATGCTTGGGGAAATTGTCAAGACTTTCTCTGAGAGAGTTAAGTGGAGATTCCTGACATAAGCAACAGTGGCTGCTGCTGTCTTGCTGAGCCTGGGAATCTAGAGGAGTAGGTTATGGGTATTGACCCTTGGGGATGGCAGAGCAGATTATGGTTTCCATTTTAGGTATATTTTCTTTAGGTATAGAGACGTCTTCTGACAGACCTATTTATCTAATCACCTACTTGGCATTTCTACTCACAGTTACAGGCATCTCAAAGCTTAGTATATAGCCTGTAGATGGTATTTGAACTTGCTGGAGAAATCTTCTAAGGAAATGTGTGAGAAGCAAGCAAATGAGAGCATAGGCCTGACTCTTGAGACATTTTAACTTGTAACAGAGATCAAGAGGAAAAGAGAAATCACCATAAGATGGCCCTCCTCACTTAGAGATTCATTCAATCAATTTTTGACTAATGAAGAAACAGGTGCCGAGGGGAGTGAGGAAACTGACCTTATCTTATGGGCAGCTGGGTCGTGAGATTGAAGCAAACTCTTTTTGAAGCAGGGGAGAGTAGAAAGAGTAAATAGTTCAAAATTAGGAAAGGTTTTTGAGCTTTCAGTAGAGTACTTAGTTCATATTACCACTATTTTTGTGGACAAAGGATCTTGAATGTTTTCACCTTCCATCTGAAATCTCTGTCCTCCTTCATTTATAATTGTCTAGAAAAGATGCTTCCATCTCTTTTTTCTTCACTAACCTCCCCTCTGCACTCTCATGACTGCAAAAATTTCCTATGAGTTGCAAACCTTCTTTTAATTAAAAAATTATCTGATTTCTCTTTCTCAGGGATATGTGAAGCTCATGTGTCTACAACTCTTAATAGTGTCAGAAAACAATAAATTGTTGATGGACATGTATTTAAACAATACGCAGAATGTGACAAAAGTGCATTTTTCAAACTTTAATTCTAGAGACTTCTCCCTGTGTTCTAGGGGGAGCTATAATTCTCACTGTTCTGGCTAAAGAACAGATTCAGATCATTAGCATTCTGTTCCTCACAGTAGGGGAAAGTTTTGCAATAAGTTATGCTCATCAGTGCTCCTGCAGACCTTTATGAACAAGGCTCTCTGAGCCCTTAAACGCTACGTCTACCAACTTTATAAAGGTTGTAGAAACCAGTTAAGACAAATCACTAACTACAAATGTAGATCCTATAGGGGACCTGCCAGATCAATGCCATTAGACCCCCTAAATCTTCTCCAAATAACTTTATTATCTCTCCTCTTTAGAGTCGTCATAAAACTAAGTTTGTACTTCATGCCCTTTATAAAGAGCTGAAGTCCTTTGCTCTTTTCGATGAACAACATTTTAGTCAAAATGTACGTGCGCTCCAATTGCTTGGTGAAAAATAGGTCACTGCTAGTCATGTTTAGCATTCTTCTTTCTTCCCCTTTGGGATAGAATCTACTTTCAGACTATTTTTCACAGAGAATAAGGATTAGTGCCTCTTTATCAATG
Organism: Homo sapiens; assembly: GCF_000001405.40. Classification (NCBI taxonomy): domain Eukaryota; kingdom Metazoa; phylum Chordata; class Mammalia; order Primates; family Hominidae; genus Homo; species Homo sapiens. The sequence continues at coordinate 46,079,702 of NC_000015.10, forward strand.
TTGTCCATATCCCCACTCAGTATACTTTATTATCACTGCTAGAAGGTGCTTCTCAAAGGCTGAGTTGTAGAGCCATAAAAAAAATCAAGCTCCCCAAAGCCAGGGAAAATTGAAATGTCACTCTTTACAAGGAGTTTTAGGAGGGAGACTAAGCATTTACTTCAGTACAGACCATCCATTCTATGGCCTAGTTTAGAAACTTTCAAAATCAATTTTAAATCTTTTCTTTATAGCTTTCACATCCCTCAATATCATCCCTTTTTCATTATGAAATTGCCTTGGCCAGGCAGCACAGGCTGGGGTGAGGCAGGCTTGGTTGGGTAGGAGAGAGACTGGTGATTGATTTGTTGTCCAGGCAAGACCCCTCCTGCTGTTTGCAGCGCCGCACACCAGTCTGGCTGCTGGCCTCGGCGCTAGCCCCGGATGCATTAAGCCTGCCTGCTGTTTGGCAGACATTTTCCTTTGTTTGTGCTCCTTGTGCTGCTCTAATAACCCTCCTCAAGGCCAAATTAGATTTAGATGGACGGGGAAGTCAGCTAGAGGCTTCAGAATGACTATGCTAATTAGAAACCAAAATATAAACAGCAACTCCACATGGATCTATTAAATAGGCCAGCATTCTCCATAGCAAATCAAATTAAGAGAAATCCCATTATCTTGCTCAGGGCTTTTGCATTTTTTTCTGACCACATGTTTTAGTGTTTGAGCAAAACGAGGATACAGAGATATTTCATTATATGTCTGGTTCTAAACTACAGCCGTTTCCTCCCCTACTCCAAATTACAATGCTACCGAGCCATTATTCACAATTAAAGCAAACTATTTTTTTAATCCACTGTAAGTTTATGTATCACCCTCTAAAGATTTTAGGTTTTAATATGGCCTCAAATATTTATCCTCACCAGCTTGGCTTCAGTGTAAACTAGTTGCCACAAAGTGTTCTAAACAGCTTTCTGAAAAGCTCTGTGTATCCTATGGGAGTACATGTTTATGAATATCTGCTATAGAAAATGAATATTTCATCCATTAATTTCTAACCTTGTACACTAAGCTGGTTCTACAAGGGAATGTAAAACAAAAGTAGCCTGTTTCTTTATTTAAAATGAGCCAATCCTAGTGGCCAGGAAGTTTTTAGGAACTTAATATTAGAGACAATGAAGCAGCTGAGATGAGCTGTCACTAATAAAGTCAACAGTTGCTGAGCTGGTAACAGGAGGAGGAATAAAAAGTGGGAGGTTTGGCCAGGTGTGATGGCTCACGCCTGTCATCCCAGCACTTTGGGAAGCTGAAGTGGGTGGATCACCTGAGGTCAGGAGTTTGAGACCAGCCTGGCCAAAATGGCAAAATCCCATCTCTACTAAAAATAAAAAAAACAGCGGGGTGCCTGTAATCCCAGCTACTCGGGAGGCTGAGGCAGGAGAATTGCTTGAACTGAGGAGGCAGAGGTTGCAGTGAGCCGAGAAGGCACCACTGCACTCCAGCCTGGGAGACAGAGTGAGACACTGTCTCACCAAAAGAAAACAAAACAAAACAAAACAAAAAACAAGAAACGGTTTGTTCAGAGGCTGGGGCAAAAGGGGGCGGGTCTCTGATAGTCATCCTTAAAATGCTTCTTATTCACAAGGCAACCCTAAAAGGTAGGTATGTCAAAGCTGCATGGTGGAGAATCACAGCTTCTTTCTTTCATTCAACTTTTTGTAAAAATAAGCTTTTCACCACTCACAGCATTTTTCATTAGCACTATGTGTTAGGTGCTCTAGTGACACAATGATCAGCAAGCTGGCAATCAGTCATTGAGGGAGGAGTAGGATGCTGATCACCCTTGATATCTGCTCAAATTCCTCAGCTCCCAGCATCCCCTAGGTGATAATTGATCACCCTGGCCTGCCTTCAGCAAGAATCTTGTTAAGTTGGTTTAATAAGAATCTTCTTATCCTTGACATCTCATCTTATTTTCCATCCTGTGCCTCCCTTTCCCCCAGCTTCTTGGCTATAAATCCTCAGTTGTCTACTATATTCAGATTTAGCCCAATTTTTCCCTTCTATTGTGGTAGTCTGGACACCTATTGCAATAGTACTATTTAAACAAGTGTCAGTAATTTTTTTAATATTTGGCAAGAATAGATACAGGAATGCTCTCTTCTTATAAAAATGCTGAATAAATAAAACGTCTTCCCAACATAACATATTGCTTAAACTAAGTTCTCTGTATCTATCTATCTATCTATCTATCTATCTATCTATCTATCTATCTATCTATCTATCATACCTATCTGTCATGTGTCTATCCACACATAAAATACTCAAAGTTTCTAAAGGAATCTCAAAAGGAATAATGTTAAATATTCTCCACTAACCATTACTGCCTTCAGGGTAATGATTATGAGTCATTAGCAAGCATGTAATATCTTCTTGTTTAAGCCTCTCCCTTCATACCCATTACTTTCCACCTAGGTATCCGTCTGTCTCTCCCACCTTTAGTCTAATGTCAAGGCATTGAAACAGGCCATATTTGAATAACTCTAGATATGTGCTCCCAACATGGGAAGCACTAGCCACATATGGGTACTTATGTTTAAATTAATTAAAATTAAGTAAAATTAAAAATTCCTCAGTCACAGTAGCCACATTTCTAGTACTTAATAGCCACATGTGGCTAGTGGCTACCATTTTAGACAGCACAAATACAGAGCACTTCCATTATTGCAGAAAGTTCTGTTAGATAGTGCTGCTCTAGAGAATTCACACTTGTTGGAACAAAAATTATAAGCAGTTCTTACAGCCACACTTTCAATAGCACAGGTAGTATGGAGAATATTACAGACTAACTTGTACTCATACTCATTTTTAAAGCTCTTTTAGTGTAGTACACTCTGTGACTCCTTTCTTGATTATCCCAGGACAAATTAATTTGTACTGGTTCCTGTGGCTTACAGATTTTTTGGTTTCCTTGATTTAACTCTGAAACCTAAGAAGCAAAGTTCCATTTTTAAGTCTTTAACAGATGGAGGGAGAGGTCTTGTTTCCATAGTATCAGCACAAAGCAATTGTTGAGTCTAGGAAAGCTGAGCTTTTGAACAAGGCTCTGTCATTTATTATCTGGTGCCATACGACATTGTAAAATTACCTCTTCATTTTACAGATACTGAAACTGAGGCTTGAGAGTCAAAATATATCTGCATCTTAGGATCATTGTGAACATTTTGTTTCTGTAAGTCCCTTATGACTTTGGTACATCATAAGTGCTTAAACATTGGATGTTATCTAGTCTAAGTCTTGTTTCTTTAATTGTAAAAGTTTTTATTGGGATATGCAAGCAGAAGATCAAGTTAATATTTTATGCAAAATATTTTATATAAAATACTTTTTAAAAATTTATTTTGGCACCGGCTAAGAATTTGTTAGTCATAAAAAAAGGAAGGTGTATTTTTTAGCTTAAAGAACGTAAGGTTTTGTTTTAAGACTTGTATCCAAGTTGAATGCAAATAATGATTCTTTATGGTCAGAAGGATTTGTGTCAAAGAATCAAGAATAGCTCAAAATTATTTTATCTTTCAAAAGGAGATAACAGTAATATTAACATATTAGACACAGACTCATTGAATAAAGTGTTAGCGATGCAATACTTGTTCCTTTCTTCAATTTTATCAGTTTGCAAAATTCATGAGGTTAATAAGTATTAAAAATCTCATTACTCTACCATATCAAATAGGGATGTAGCTCCAGGGTGTAATAAACTAGTTCTATTGTTGAAACTCCATCAAAAAGCAAGACTGCACTTACACAGCATTATAAACTCGCCCATATCTCTCTGCATTCAACTTAATGTAATGAAAAATATTACATATGGGGTTTCTGAAAGCTCACAATTCAAATCCTGAAACTCATTGACTTCGAGTATAAAGTTATAGCAAGTGGCTATTAGATTTTCAAAAGAGATTCACTGTCAGCAAAATGCTATTGGTTTAGCTATAGATATACTAGGAGGTTATGCCAATAGCCATATTTGCCTTTTTAAAAAAAAAAAATGTGTGACTATGCCAAAGCAATACTAGTTTCCAGTAATTTACATGGTGTAACAATTACCCCTCCTTCCTGCAGGGGATATAAAGCAATATTGATAGGGTATAATAGCTGTTCACCCGCTTTCAGAAAGAAGATTCCCTGGCATCTACCTATATTGATTCCACTAACTCCCCTTCCTGTAATTTTCTGCCTCAGACCCTCTCGGCTCACTCCAGGAACCCACATCACTCTTAGCTAGCTGTCAACCACACTACTGGCTGTCTCAAATGTCACTGTTTCAATAAATAAGATGAATTACGATTAGAGATTCGTTTTGGGGTTCTTAACTGGAAAAGAAAACTGGGGAAAATCCTACATATAAATTTGAGTCACCTTAATAGAATATGAAATATTTGTTCATCAGGTTTGAGTTAGAAAAGACAAGCATAGAGGATATATTGCTTCCCTACAAACGTCTTTTTGACTCCTAAGGAACTCCTAGTTTTTGGGGAGCAGGTAGGGGTTCATCTATGATTTTGGGGAGGTTAGGCTCTTACCCAGCTGATAAATTATGATTTATAGGGAAACACTGGTCTTTTCTTTCAGAAGGAGAAGCCATCCTCAGCAAAGCCTTAGGAGCAATAGGTCTTTTGCTCCTTCCCCATTCCTCTGTCTGGAACTCAAATGGGATGCTTGGAGACCAAACTGAAAAGCTTGTGGACAAAATCCAACATTTTAAAGATGGATGAGTAAAATTCCTGGGTCATAACATCAATGTTGACCTAAGCTCTAGAATTTTTATTGTGTGAGAAAAATAAAACTCTATTTTAAAATTCACCTCCACATTGGATTTTCTTGTAGCAGGAAGCATTTCTAGGGAATATAGTAGCTGACAGGCATTCGCAGTCTTAGGCCACAATTTATTCTCCATTACCAGCATGTGTTTTTAGAACTGGAATCCAGTGCTTTCTACCATGGCTGAATGTGAGCAGACAGCAACTGAACTTTGTCTAAACCTGCATCTATACTATTTTTATTTCTCAGGCTCTCAGAGGGTCTGCATTCATAAGATGTATATGAAGAAACTGATATATACTTCATTAAAAAGGAAAGGCTACTCCTTAAGGTGGCTTCACAGGCTTGTTGGGGCTCATAGGATAAGAAGAGATGATATACTCATGCTTACAGGTTGCACTAGTCTGTGCATTATTATACTATGTTGCTTACTTGAGAAGCTCAGGCATTTGTGTTCTTCCTGGTTCTCTACATTGCCCACTTTGTTCTTGTTTCATTCTGATTCATGTACCTTATATCTAGTCACCTTTCCTAAGTGTAACAGGTATGAATTTCACAGGCCACAACAAATTGAAAACATGCAGTCATATATGTGTGTGTGTGTGTGTGTGTGTGTTTAGAACTGAACTTACCTTATTGAGTCCCCATTAGGTATGAATATAAAATATTCTAAACACTTCAAATCATTGAATAAGTTGATCATTTCAGGCTTAAACCAGGATTAATCCAGGATTTTTATCTTCTTTCTACTCCTGCTCCCTGACGCTTCTTACACTGATGACCAGGGTACTAAGAAAACTTTTAAAACCTAGCAGTGCTTGGAGACATCAGATGAAGTTGTGCCTGGCTTGCTCTATAGTACTCCTCTGCCTCCTATATCTTTGTCCTGGACAAGTGCAATGCTGTCCTTACTGGTCTTTCAACACTGTTTTTACTGTGTTGTATACATTGGTTTACTATTCAAACACTACAGAAAGATAGAAAATTGAATTTCAAGACTTCCCCAGCTCCAGTCCTACTACCAAGAGGCAATAATGTAATACTGATTTTATGTTTGCATCATAACTTTAAAGCTGCTAAGTCAAGAAATAAAAGAGTATTTAGACAATGTATTGTCTCTGCTGGAAAAAATGAAGAATTTACTAAATTTACCCAACCTCTTACCTCTTCTACCAAATCTGTTAATTATAGTTACAGAAAAGATTGTAAATGTCAAAACTTGATTTAAAAATAAATTATAACTAAGTCTTCCATGCTTTGGTTTATAGATTCAACCCATAGATAATGAATGACATTTATCATATTATGCAAATGTTCTTTTAAAACCAATTAATATGAATGGATTCTTACAGAAGCAGACAATCTTAGATTATTGAAACATTGTTGCTTCAAAGGAGAATTTTCCAAGTGTTAAGGTCTAATATAGCCTATTAATTTTCTTCTGCCTAACTTTTCTGGGTACTCATAACGATCTTCTTCTTCTATGATGCTTTGTGCCTGGGGGTGGAATGTTTCCCCCTGTTGTTTAAATCCAGAGAATACTGCATGCCCCACCCCGTGCATTTTCCCCCTTATATCCCATTCATATTTTGAGGAAAGTACAATAACGGGGATTGTTCATAAAATATCTCATTGAGTGTGCCTGCTTCTTATTAGTACCTTAACTTTTAAATCTGTACACAGCCAGACTACATAGAGAGTAGAAGGATAATTACCATAAGGCTGGGAAGGGTAGCGGAGGGTGGGGTGGGGGGAAGGTAGGAATATAAATGGGCACAAAAAATAGAAAGAATGAATAAGAACTACTGTTTCATAGCACAATAGGGTGACTATAGTCAATAATAACTGAATTGAACATTTTAGAATAACTTAGAGTTTAATTGGATTGTTTGTAACTCAATAAATGTTTGAAGGGATATACACACATACACATACACACACACACACACACACACACAGCCAAACTGTCACTCACATGTGAAGGTATCATCAGTCCAAAAATTTCACTCAGAACTTCAGTGCACTGAATGGAAAGACAGCAACAAGACAAGACACAATGGACAAACATTGTTGCTAAAAATCTGACACCAAGTAGGATTATTACTTATAAAGAAATTTCTTCCTGAAAGTTGGTATAATTTAGATATCCAAATAAGATAAAGTTTTCGTTGTGTTTAGGTATAAGTCAAATTTTGTTCTTCCTACTCAGTACTTGGGGGATCCTTTCAATCAAAATGTCTGAAATTAAATTAATACAGCATTAATCTAAGTAATACATTTGTGGAGTTAAAAAGTCAAGTAGTGCTAAAAGATTCAAGAAAAAAAACAATGATCTTTTTCTCTACCTGGTCTCTCCCACTTTATTAGTGCACCCTAGAGGGAACCACTTCCAACTCTTGGCATTGCATCTGAAATTCACCTCCGTGTGGGTAAATAATATGTGTTTTATTTCTTGATTTATTAGTTAGGATATTACATCCTATTGTGGATGTTGATGAATTAGTCCAACTGCCTATCCCTGACATTAGTCTATACAATCTTGTAACTTTCTCAAGATCATTATCATACATTTTTTGTCAAATTCAGTTGGCATTTACAGTATGACTACAGAAATACTCCTCTCTGCTGAGCCAGGTAGTATACTATAATTACGATTCTCTTATTGTTCAATATTTAGTTTTCCATGTATCTATTTTCTAAAAAGTTCAAATGAGCTGTCAAATACCAACTGTTTTTTCTAAATCAAAAATTGAGATCTAGTGTGCTTTTTATTTCCTAGATAACTTCCCCCTTGCAGCCTTCTATTCTCTAGCACTGTCAGGATTGATTATTCTCTGGGCATGACTTATTACTCATCTGAGACTTCATTTCTCTGCTCTCCAATGTTCAAGCTCCTCTTTCCTGAATCAAAAGCTCCTCTTTTCATTCAGGAAAGCTCCTCTTTCCTGAATAACAACAATCTTACTGTTGTTATTGTCATCATTGTTTACAACCTTGGTTTGATGGAATGCATCCTTCATTAGTACCTGAGACAAAGTGCATGAAAGGTATATTTTAGTTCCAGGTCTGAAAATGTCTTTTTCAACCTGGATTCCTCTGCCTATGCAAACCACCAATCAAGTGTGAGGGTAGACCACCATTTTTTTGGGTCAGAATTTTGACGATATTTTGCTATTGCCTTCATATATCTAGTGTTGATGTTAAGAGTTCCAAAGACATTCTGATTCTCATTTCTTTTTTTTGTGACTTACTTCTCCCCTCTGGAAAATTTTAGGGTCTTATATAGTCTCTGTTGTTTAGTAACATAAATTTGAGTCTTTTGTAGTTTTAGGCTTTTACATGATTTTAAAGGGTAGCTGATTATGTTCGTTTTTCCTTACTAAGATTAAAGACTGACATCTTCAGAATAGAATATCAGTTTTAATGCACAAAAGAATGAACCTATGTATACAGTCAATACCACACTCATATTCAAACAAACATGTTGGTTCAACCCCATATTTACAAGTTTATCCCACAAGTTTATATGTACAAACTTGTGATGTCTTAAAGCACGAGTGTACAATGTATTCCATATGTAGTATTAAAATGAATGCACTGTTATTTTTCTGTAAAAATGGAAAAAAGGGTCTATCATACTCAATTCCAAACAACCAAAAAGGCAAGTGAAAACATTTTAATGTAATTAATAATGTCTATATAGGATATACAAATGTATATGTATAGGAGACTGCTTTATCATTGAATACTTATTATATTGTAAGCTTTATGAGGAAGGAGTTTGTTTCTAGCTAAATTTTAGAATGTTATATATATGATTTAACACATAAAATATATTTACATATAGATGCATGTAAATATGTGTATATATAAATATATAAATGTGTATATATTTATATTTACACACATGTATATATGTGTATATATGTGTATATAAATTACATATATACATATGTGTTATAAAGCAAATGTATATACTACATAGATACATATAATGTGTAATATATTTATATACATATGTGTGTAAATATAAACAAGTTATATATTTATATATAAACATACAACATATATAAAATATATGTAAATATATAAATTATTATATAACCATAAATATATATATATTTATTACTGCTGGGTTACTACTGCAAGAACATTTCCTGCTAATGGCATCCACCCAACTTTGAGAAGTACTCTCATTCCTTATACTTCTACAAGTACTTTTTTCCAACTTCTCACATTCTTGCGACTTACTCAGAATAGAGCGTAAGCTTACACATTCACTAACATCCTTATCTTTTTCTAATTCTTTTTAGGCATTATTTTCTTATAAATGATTTTTAATTCTATAAAATGAGAGGACACAGATTTATATCAGAAGAGATAAGGCCAAGGGAAATACTATGTTTTCAGAGGCATGATTAGCTCCTTTAATACTTTTGTTATTTGCTCAGAAAGTGACAGAAACATAATCCTGAATGGAATGTCTACTGCAGCTCTCATGAATGACTTGGTGGTGCATATAGTCTTCGGTATCTGGGGAATACAAGTACATAGAGGAAACATGACTAATTTAGTTTCCTGCCTCAGGAAAATCAAAGTTATGGGTAAACACTTGGCTCCTGTAGACAAAAGTTAGTAAAACAATGGCTTCTATTCTACAGATTTATTTGACTTAACAATTTTCTTGCCTGTAGAGTTAAGAATTGAGACAAAACCTTACCTAGTTGCCAAAGAAAATTCCCAGGGCATAATCTGATCTCAACATAAGGCTTTTGTCACAGGAAAAGAGACACAAAAAATGACAAATGCAGGTACAGTCTGGATGGAACACAGCATGCCTTTCTTGAAATGGAAAGGACATCTGCTTGTTGCCTATTTGTATATGCTTCCCATTCACTTTAATGCTTAGAGAATAAAACAGATTGGGGATCTTGGGAAACAGGGTTCAAACTATAAGAATCCCTACTGGCTGTCCTGTAGAGAGTTAATAGCTAATGTGGATAGAGGCAGTGACCAGCCTCCATTTCATCTTCCTATTGTCTGCTAGAGCAGCATGTAATCTATTTCAGGCATCTGCAACTGGAGGGAAAACATGCCAATTATTTTTATTGATCTAAAGCCTTCACAGGTGGGACACCTTGCCAGGGTGGCATATGGAAATTTAGATAAGGAAATGATTGCAGAGACACGAAAAGGGCTTTGCTATTCGGAAGGAATGTGTAGGCCTTAAAAAAAATGAACAGACACTTGGTATTCCAGAGCTTAAGAGCACCAAAGATGAATTATGCAGTCGCAGCAATGGAAATTGATTACTAAGCCTTCGATGAGTCACATGCCTTAGGAATTAAGTACCCCAATCTATTATTGTCAGTATCCTGATGGGTCAACCAGGCTGTGAATGGGAATTTGCATTAAATTGATTTGAGTGTTTTTTCTTGAACTAACATCACTCAATCAAGGGACACATTCAGACAGAGCTAGATAAGTCTGACTGAATTTGATTTGGAAAAGCAGAGTAGCAAGGAATTAGCAGGCAGAATTTAAAAATGCCATAAATCTGGCATTGCAAACTGGGCTGGGAAAAGCAGGTGACCAATCTCTGTGCCACAAACAGTGTATAAAATCAAAGCAAATTTGTTTCTCATCTCCGTAGCATGTTGACATAGTCATGGATTGCAAAAATCATCAGGTAACACAGAGGGCTGCTTCCATAAGATCTGATCCAGAAACAATGAAGTATTTGCCATCTATTCAGGGCCAAGAGTCTATATTTCTAGCATACATTTGCTGTGCAATGATCTTTTGACCCCAGGAAAGTCACTTACTTTACATGTAAAGAAGCTTTATGTGAAGAGGGTAAGTAAACTAGATGACCTCAGATCCACTCAGGTTTAACACTGTGTGATGATGTGGGTCCAAAAATATCAAGTGACAAATTTCACTTAGACATTTGATGTTCTTTGCAGTTTAGATGCCGGGATCCACAAGGAGCTTTAGTTGTAATGTGTACCCTGTCATGACACATAAGTGATGGTTTAGGGAGGGCATAAATCCCCAGGGGCTATGGTGGGTTGGGAAGTTTTGAGATGGATTTTGAAAGACACTGATTGAGGCATTGATGCTCAAAATGATTTGGATTCATTAACAAATTGTGAATAAAGTAAGTTCTTTTTTATGTACTATTAACCATTCACCTACATATGCTAATAAGGATTCAGTTATTTTCTTAGAATGGTAGGGAAAGGGCATTAAACACTTACAGGATAGTCATTTACAGTAAGAGTAAAATGTGAATTCTCAGAGAACCTACATCATCTTTACATTTTAGCTTGATCTAGAAAACACATGTAACTTTGACGTATTGTAGTGTTGTTCTTAGTTGGTTGAAGAATACTTAGAATGATCATAACTCACTAATGTTCACCTGTACTAACCACTAAGCTAAAAATTTGGTAACATGAGGTTACTGGTTTACTGATCAGGCAGGACTTGGGGGAGTAGTAGATGTCCTGTTATCAGTGTCTAGAGTCTCTTTCATTTCCATTCTGTCTGTTCCTAGGATTGTCATGGTAACATTGTCATGGAATCCTTACTGTTGATCACTGCCTGGCAGAAGTCTGACAAGTATTAGAATATAGGCTGTATTGCTCCATTCCCCTTTTATGGCTCCCTCTGCTATTGCAAAATATAGAAATCACTGACAATGAATGTGTCTTTAATCATGCTGTAACTTAGTATTCATAGAACATACATCTTTAGATGTTTAGGTTATATATTTGCTTGGTTTAAAATACAGGAAATGTTTCTTAAAGATCAATACCTTAAAAATTACTTTATCCCTTGAAATTTGCTCTTAAGCAGAAGTTGGTAAACTTTTGGAGACAAATCATTTGCACAAGAAATCTCATCTTCTGAATATGTTACCATTTGAAGCTATAGCACTCAATATTTTTTCCTCATGGCAAATTAGGGTTGTTCAGTCAAACTCCATTCAGGTTGAAGCACAGGTTCTATTGAATCCTTGTTTGAACTAGAAATCTAGCTATTAAAGTCCACAACAGTACACTAAAGATAAAATTACTGTGTTATAATACCCTAGTGAATGTATGGAGTGTATTGAAGCCCAAATGACAAAGTTAGATAGAAATCACGCAAAAGAAGTTGAGAATCCATTTTCAAGTATGTAAAAGTGTAGTCAGGAAGTGATTTTCAAATAGTATGAAATGTGTATATCATCCTTGTCTATTAAACCTATAGAAAGAGCCTGGGGAAATAAATGTAGAGATAACACTATTTGTATTACTTCCAGTACCAAGGGGAGATGATCTTAGACTCAATATTCAGTAGGTCTTCAGACATGTTTAGGATGCCCCAGGAATGTGCAGATCTGCGTTGGAAGGGTAGAAACGGGAATGAAAGCAAATGGTAAGGATCCATGGAACGAAATATGGGGTGGAGATAGCAGCGTTTCCACCAAACTTCTATCGAAATTGGTAGAAATTAGTCTGGAAAAGTATTTGATTAACATTTCCTCAGCCACTAGGGGGCCTCAGTTGAATGTGTGTTGTTTATCTCCTGGCCCTTCTTCCTCAAGCTGCGCTGCCTCCCCATTCTGATCCTAGAAAGATAAATTGCTGGTCAGTGTTTATACAGATGTCATGGTCCCAGTTGCCAGTTGCATCTATAGTGACCTTCAAAGAGAGGAGACAGAAATAAGCGAGAACGTAGGCTCACTTTTGTGGTTCACCCTACTTAAGAGGGACTGTATTTCTGAATAACAAAATCCTACAGGTGACCGGGCGCGGTGGCTCATGCCTATAATCCCAGCACTTTGGGAGGCTGAGGCGGCGGGGGGGTGGGGGAGAAATCACCTGAGGTCGGGGGTTCGAGACCAGCCTGACCAACATGGAGAAACCCTGTCTCTACTAAAAACACAAAAAATTAGCCGGGCGTGGTGGCGCATGCCTATAATCCCAGCTACTCGGGAGGCTGAGGCAGGAGAATCGCTCCCGGGAGGCGGAAGTTGCCTTGAGCCGACATTGAGCCATTGCACTCCAGCCTGGGCAACAACAGCGAAACTCCGTCTCAAAAATAAATAAAAAATCCTACTGGCTGCTTTTACGTATGAGGTGCGGTGTTGTGGAAAGTCATAATTTTTCAAATAAATCCATGTTTATACTTTAACCATTAAGTCATGGAAAATAATGATAGCCAGGAACCAATCTAAAATTCAGCAAAAAGAAGTCAATACAATATTATGTTCTAGGTTCTAGAATGTATGGAAACCATATCAAGCAACAATTTAAGTCTGGGGTAACTATTAAACTCTTCAGAGACTTTCCCCTGGAGTGACTGAGGCCATGATTACCATGCCCTTCTCTGGCTAGGGTTGTAGGAATTTTTCCATTTATAGTGATAATTGGGCAACTCAGTTCCAAGAAGTACCCAAGTCGGCCACCTGTGTAAAAGCAGTCCTAACTCCTCCTCATGATCAGGGTCAAGTTCCTCTACCAAGATTGTGACTTTTTTCTTACTTTCTAATTCCTGGATACAAGTAGGCCAAAGTGCCCTTGAGCCAACTATAGCTTACCATTCAATGAGATACTTGCTATGTTTTGCATGAAAGTGTTAGCACTTTGGGCATCAGAACCTTTCCCTGCAGCAACTTTGCACTGTCCCCTTCCTGAAGACGAAATATTGTGTTTGATTTACCCCTTTGGCTATTGGTGGGGCAGTTTTAGAAGCTTCCACGTAGCCTGTAGGATTAAAGATTTCACAGGGGAAAGCAGCAACCCTAATATAGAAGTTTCACCAATTGTCAAACATGCTAAGTTCAATTATGTATCCTGGAAGTATGGAGATGATCACCATATAGGTCTGCAGATCAAGCTGACCCATTGTAAAGTGGACATTAGCCATTTATTATCTGGCCCTTATGTGCTTCAACTCTAACAGAGGGCCATCATACTGCTTTGGGCTTCCAGGTTTCATTGTCAATTCATACCCATTTTCAAACAATCCTTAAAATGTTTGGGAATTCTCTTTTTCCTCAATGTTTAGTTTCCTTGAGTAAATGGCCAAAAGACCCTTTGGGGAAAATAATCAAATATTACCATGTATAGTACCTAAGACTTTGTAGGAATCTTCATAATACAGACTGGGTCTGAAAACTGGTTCACATCTAGAAATTGCATAATGAATTATGACTTTTTAATGGGGTGCCCTCCCTCAGACTCCTTGACATCCATCATTTATTTCCTTTGTTGGTACAAGTTGAGTAGTATCCTTGTTGGCTGCCCGCCTGTTTTGCTCCTAGGGTGGTTGCTATGTTCCATCAACCATCAACACAGTTTTTTGTGAGTTAGGTCCCTTTGATTGCCACTCCAGTCTTTCCACTCACCATGATAATTGTGGCCTTTTGGCTTGGCTTCTATGTTTTGGGGTCTTATCCCCTTTACCATAACTAAGCCAAGTTCCGTAACAACATTTCCAAACATCATGCCTGATGTATAGTGTAAAGCTGCTGTTTCACATCTTAATGAGGCTGGTGCCCTTCTCAATAGCATTTTTTTTTTCTGGTATTAGTAAATGGTGTCTGCCATGAGCTTTCTTCTGGAGTATATCACCTGGCAGGTCTTCAAGTGAATATAGTATAGCCATTCTACCATGCTGCCTTTCCTAAGTATTTTAATCCATTCTTCAACCATCTTCCATGTAAAAGCTAGGATTTTGCTTCTCCAGCATAGGCCATTTTTTCTCTGTATTTCTAGGAGTCATGGTAGTAACAAGTTCATACTATTTCCTGGAATTCTTGCTAAGATGTTAAACTGTGTATCTCTCCCATGTCAATATATTTCTTACCCAATTTTAACTCCCTGGAGATGGAGTGAAGAGTTTATTGACTTGGGGGTATTCTGGCCCCCTTAAACCAGCACTGTTATAATTCAGCCTCATGTGTATGCCCTTGATTTCTGCCCATGCATTCTGGCTATACTTTGCAGGTCCTTTGTGGCATAGTCTCTTTCTTCCCTCTTCAACCAAGTATATCCTTGGGCTATGCTGTCAGCTTTGACAACTGACTGCCATCTTGTTCTAGAGGCTGTCTTTGTGTTCCATCTACTGCCAGTGATGGGGTCCTCATTGTGAGCCAGGCAGCCAGCAGTGCTTTAGCTCCAAAGCCCCATCTTATCACCCACTCTCTGACTGTTCTCAATACCAACTCTCTTAGTTTTGGTTTTCTGAAAGGAAACACTGAGATGAAGTTTGGGGTATGTTATATTTATTAGGAATCAATACCTGTGAAAGAAAAGTGAAGGAGGCATGATTGGGCAGAGGAAGAAATAAAAATGAGAGGCAGGCCCAACAGAGCTTTAGCTAACCTTGCAGAGAGCTCTGGTGCAACGACTGCACATCAGAGTTGCATAAGTCAGGAAGGAATTGCCTCTTTTATATTTCTTTACTGAATTTCCAGGTGTGAGCTCTCTGGGGAAGAGAATGACCTTGGGCAAGGCAGCTCTTTGCGGGCAAGGCAGCTCTTTGCAGCCAAGGCAGACTTTGAAGGAGCTGACAGCCAAAGGCTGTTTGCATTATCTATTGTGATTGGTAGACATGGGAAAACTCCCTCCTTCTCCCTGCTTCAAGGAAGGACTTCCTGCCAGGTTGCAGTCAGGAAACTGTACTTTTTGTGCCAGCATTTACTTTTGAGAAGTTAATGGCAGGGGTCGCATGGTAAAGGGAAGTGTTGAAGAGGAAGGGATTTTCTTTCTAGATATGGTATGGTGGGGTACTATCTCTAATTTTAGTGAAATTAACTTTAGTTCTGGCTTGACTGCACCCTAGTTCTACAACTTTTTCCAAGACAATTTCTCTTTCTCCATTAATGGTCGAAGGAGTGAGTACAAAAATGCTGGTCGGATCAGCTCAGAAACCATCTTGCAAATGCTGTCAGGTTACTTCACATGAAGTGCTCTATGAGAAATGAAAACTGTCAGCCTGTGCTTGGGAATCCATACGTTTCATTGTCAATACTTTTTCAGCTCTGAAGTTTCATAGAAAGGAAAGAAGTTGCTTTCCATTCCTCTCTTATACTTTCTCAAATTCTGACACCTAGAACCCTATATGTAGTGGTTTTCTCTTGATGTTTTTGCAATTTGTCAGGGCCCGAAGCCAAGCAGCTTTCTTTGGTGACCATCAGTTCTAGAATTACAACTTTCTGGGGTATATAAATAAGTACTTGTAGCTTGGTGTGGGAAGTCTTGGTATTTTTACATGGAAACATATCTCATGGAAGCAAATCTTTGCATAAGCTTGTTGAAAATAGTTTAAACACATTTTCTCTATGGTTTTCCAGATGGTTTTCTTGGTCACAGTGATTTTTTGTTTTTTTTTTTTTTGCAGAGAAGAATCCTATATTTATGATTATCTATATAGTAAATCTATAAAAATATGGACTAAACAGTATACTTGGCTTTTGTAAAAATACATCAATGTTCTCATACTGTGTATCTTCTGGCACTTACTTCCTCCTGCCTACTTTCTCCCATTTAGTTTTTAAAGAGCTACCTTATCCATGTTTATATACCTATCATATGTATATTTGTGTGTATATAAATATGTATGTAAATATACACATAGGTGTGTCACACAAACATATCTACTGAGAAATTGATTATAGCCCAATTTATCAATTTTTTAAAATTGACATCCAGGTGGATTCCTATTTTTCACTATTGTACATTTTACTGTGATAAATGTCATATATATTCTTGTACAGACACCCATAAGATTCTCTGGAAAGTGTTTCTAGAAGCAAAAATACATGTATTCCATGATCCAGAAGCAAATTTTGAGAAAGCAATTTGGCAATATGTCCTAAAAGGCTGTGCCAATTTATAGTCCTATTAGTAGTTTGGTAACAAATCTGAAAATTACAACTCTCAGTTTTGTCAATCTGATGTCTCTCTATATCCCAAGGTAAATTTATTTTGTATTACTTCGATCAATACTTGGATTGAAGGTCTTTTATGCCCACTGGCCATTTTGATGTTTTCTTATTAATTTTTCTTGTCATTTCTGCCCAGTTTTCTACTGGTTGCCTTTTCTTATCAGTTTCTAGGAATTCTTTAATTACACGAATTTGATCCTTTAGTGTTCTTGTTCCAATTATGTTTCCCTTGATCTGTGGCTTGTATATTTTACATTTCACAGTAATTGCACGTATTACATAAAAAGCAAATAGTTTAAACACATTTCCTTAATTAACTTTGTTTGGTTTATCTAGGAAGCCCTTTCCTAGTGTGTGTTAATCAAGATATTTGCCTATGTTTTCTTTGTTTTTAATTTTTTTCAGACTTAGGCCTCCTGGAAAATTCTTTGAAAAAAAAAAAACTATTCAGTCCATCTCAATAATTGTTTTTATGATGGGAGGTAAGGATCTGAGATTTACTGAGTAGTTCTCCTCCATTAATTAGTGTTTCCATCTCTGTAGATACCATACATTTAAGCCTTTTTTGTGCTTTATGTTTGGTGCTATCGGTCTGGTTATCACCACTTCCAAGCCCCTTCTACTGCAGCATACACAGTCTATACTCAGACCATACCAGTTAAATTACTCTGGCTTTATTTTAAATCTTCTATGAGGTATGGCAAATGCCTTCCTTATTTTTTAAAAGTGAACACGCTATTTTAATTTGTTTATGTGAATTTTATAAGTAGCATGTTTAGTTCTATGAAAAATCCTCTTAGAACTAAATCGCATTTAATTTACTATTTATTTGTGGGAGAACATTGACCATCAGGTTTCATAGTAATGGATGAGAAGACTCAAAATCCTCTCTCCCTTTAAAGTTTTAATAAGGTTAACAAAAGAGCAATATAATTCTTCCCTTAAAATTCTTAGGAGCAAAGCTAATATTAAATCTTTTAGGTTTTTTTTTTGTTTTTTTTTTAGTATTTATTGATCATTCTTGGGTGTTTCTTGGAGAAGGGGGATTTGGCAGGGTCATAGGACAATAGTGGAGGGAAGGTCAGCAGATAAACATGTGAACAAAAGTCTCTGGTTTTCCTAGGCAGAGGGCCCTGCTGCCTTCCACAGTGTTTGTGTCCCTGGGTACTTGAGATTAGGGAGTGGTGATGACTCTTAAGGAGTATGCTGCCTTCAAGCATCTGTTTAACAAAGCACATCTTGCACTGCCCTTAATCCATTTAACCCTTAGTGGACACAGCACATGTTTCAGAGAGCATGGGGTTGGGGGTAAGGTTATAGATTAACAGCATCCCAAGGCAGAAGAATTTTTCTTAGTACAGAACAAAATGGAGTCTCCTATGTCTACTTCTTTCTACACAGACACAGTAACAATCTGATCTCTCTTTCTTTTCCCCACATTTCCCCCTTTTCTATTTGACAAAACCGCCATCGTCATCATGGCTCGTTCTCAATGAGCTATTGGGTACACCTCCCAGACGGGGTGGCGGCTGGGCAGAGGGGCTCCTCACTTCCCAGACAGGGCGGCCGGGCAGAGGCATCCCCCCACCTCCCGGACGGGGCGGCTGCCGGGCGGAGGGGCTCCTCACTTCTCAGGCGGGGCGGCCGGTCAGAGATGCTCCTCACCTCCCAGACGGGGTGGCGGCGGGGCAGAGGCACTCCTCAGTTCCCAGACGGGATCGCGGCCGGGCAGAGGCGCTCTTCACATCTCAGACGGGGCGGCGGGGCAGAGGCGCTCCCCACATCCCAGAGGATGGGCGGCCAGGCAGAGATCCTCCTCACTTCCTAGACAGGATGACGGCCGGGAAGAGGGGCTCCTCACTTCCCAGACTGGGCGGGCGGCCAGGCAGAGGGGCTCCTCACATCCCAGACGATGGGCGGCCAGGCAGAGACGCTCCTCACTTCCAAGACGGGGTGGCGGCTGGGCAGAGGCTGCAAACTCGGCACTTTGGGAGGCCAAGGCAGGCGGCTGGGAGGTGGAGGTTGTAGCGAGCCGAGATCATGCCACTGCACTCCAGCCTGGGCAACATTGAGCACTGAGTGAGTGAGACTCCGTCTGCAATCCCGGCACCTCGGGAGGCTGAGGCTGGCAGATCCCTCGTGGTCAGGAGCTGGAGACCAGCCAGGCCAGCACTGTGAAACCCCGTCTCCACCAAAAAATACGAAAACCAGTCAGGCGTGGTGGCACGCCTGCAATCCCAGGCACTCGGCAGGCTGAGGCAGGAGAATCAGGCAGGGAGGTTGCAGCGAGTGGAGATGGTGGCAGTACAGTCCAGCCTGGGCTTGGCATCAGAGGGAGACCGTGCAAAGGGAGACGAGGGAGAGGGAGAAGGGTATTTTTTTTATTCTCTTTTATTTTTCTACTTTATTTTTGCAAAAATATAGAAATATTTGATTTTAATAAAGTTTAGAGACAAACCTGTAGAACTCATAGGAGTTATTGGTTCTTTGTGGTAATTATAACATTTGCAATCACTCATCTTGTTTCTTTATTCTTTCTTTTTTTTTTAACCATGCCATAAATTATTATTTTAGCTATTTGAGGGAGTGGAGAATAAGAAAAAGAGCCATGTCCTTATAATACCAAAACAATTTGGTAGCTCAAAAAGCTCTGTTAAATTGGTTGTAAAATAGCTGTTTGTCTAATATATTTACTAAGATTGAATTATTAGATCTGGAATCCAGGCAGGTAATTAGATCATGATATCAAAATTCTACCCGAATTATTTCCTTACCAAGGAGGACAGCAGTGGCATGCAGGATGTCTGCAGCATGGTGGAGTTATGGTAGACTTTGGACAAGTGGTAGTTGGCTTCAATGACTTGGAGCTAGGCCTGAAGAGGGGTTTCAGAACAGTTTTAAAATTCACATATTCCAAACCAGAAAAAGGCCTTTAAGCCCAGGTCAACCAATGGCCTTTTATGTGTAACAACCTCCAATTTAAAGATGTTGAAATCCTAACTCTCTTTATTATCGAGTAATTAAGCAATGTAAAGGAGATCATCATTGATGGTGATATGGTTTGGCTCTGTGTCCCCAACCAAATCTCATGTTCAATTGTAATCCCCAATGTTGGAGGTGAGGCCTGGTGGGAGGTGATTTGATCATGGGGGCGGTTTCTAATGGTTTAGCGTCACCCCCCAGTGCTGTCCTTGTGTTAGAGTTCCCACGAGATCTGGTTGTTTAAAAGTATGTGGCACCTGCCCTCTTGTTGTCTTCCTCCTACTCTGGCCATGTAAGACATGACTGCTTTCTCTTTACCTTCTGCCATGATGGAAAGTTTACTGAGGCCTTCCCAGAAGTCAAGCAGATAACAGCAAGCATCATGCTTCCTGTACAGCCTGCAGAACTGTGAGCCAATTAAACCTCTTTTCTTTATAAGTTACCCAGTCTCAGGTATTTCTGTATAGCAGTGTGAGAATGGACTGATATAGATGGTTAGTGGCATCACAAGGTGACTGCAACTCTGGTGCATATTCATAGTAAACTCATACTCATTTCCTGAAAACCTTCCCAAGGCATCAGTCATCAGACCTCTAGAAAGATCACTGGTTTTGAGGGTCTTCATCTTTAGTGGTCAGCTATGAAGAGGACAGTTCTGTGATTTGCAAAATTTCTTAAACCCTATCTAAGGCTTCTGTTACCATGACTTGGGTGTTTTCTTGGGCTGTGCTGATAATATTTATAATCCCTGTGGTGGGAGACTCAATAGTCATGGAGTGGACTTCTGCCATGGAGAGATAGTAATGATTCTATAGGCTTAGTACATCACTGCCTCAAGGAGATATCAAATTCACATCAATGGACTCTTCCCTCCTTCTTTTGTATCTGAACAAATGAGGATCTGTATAATAATTGTCTCCTGAATCATGATGAACTTTGTGAATGTGATTGTGGAGGCCAAGAAGTCCCATGTCATGCTCTCTGCAAGCTGGAGGACCAGAGAAGCTGATGGTGTAACTCCCACATGCATTATCTAACATCAGTTTGAGTCCAAAGGCCTGAGGACCAGAGGAGCTAACGGTGTGACTCCCACTTCTAGACCAAAGGCTTGAGAACCAGAGGAGGAGCTTGTTCTTGAGTCCAAAGGCTGGAGAACTTGGAGTTCTGATGTTGGAAGGCAGGAGAAGATGAATGTCCCAGCTCCAGAAGAGAGCCTTGTTTGTTTTTATTCTTTGTACCTAATTTCTTTTGTGTTAATGAGTTAAATAGAAGCTCTAGTACAATGTTGACCACTAGGAGTTATGCCTTGCTCCTCACTTCAGTAGAATAGCTTCTAAACTAGTGTCACCATTAATCATGAGATGCTCTGTGGTAGACACCTTTTATTATGTTATGTTCCCTTCTATTAATAGAATAGTACTGACTGTGCATTATATTTTCTTCGAGATTTTTGTGACCCTATTGAAATAAGAATATGGTTCTCTTTAAATCTTAGTCTAATGTACTTGTGCATATTATCTGATACCTAACTTTCTTTGCACATTCACAGTACGCTTTATTCAGTTTTGATGTATTATCTATCATAAATACTAGTAACAATCTAAGATTTTTTGTACATATGTTTATAGAAATATTTTATAGATCTGAAGTTTGAGAGACTACAAAAGAAGGGATGCTACTCAAATTTAAGTAACAGAACCATGTCTTTAAAATGAGTATGAACTTGATATAAAGACTGAATGTAAAGATTTCATGGTAAAAGTTACCTATCAAACCATTTGAACCTAGTGGGATATTGTTTGCTTGCTATGATCCTACCCCTACCCCATCCCATACCAACATGTCTCCTATAACCAAAAAGCAGAGTCTTGGTTATTGCTGGTTTCTCATGCCTAAAAGAGTGCCTAGCATATAAGACTCTCAAATATATACATTAATATTTATTATTATTGGTAAGTTCCATTTTTCTACATACCAGAAAATTATCAAGACATGGGAATAAATTATGCCAGTAGATTTGAAAACATAGATGACAGGGACAAACTTGTTCACTATATTTTCATGATGGAGCATCATCTCAATCGTGTTATCCTTTTTCATTTTCATTTAGCTAGAAGTTGGTCACTTGAAAAACAAAGCGAAGGCACAAGTAATAAAACCATTTGTAAATTGGTTCTTAATATTTCTTAGTAGTTTCTTACATTTTAAATGCATTACATCTAAGTTTTAATTTTGAAAATAAGTTCACTTTTAAATATTTGAAAACATTAAAAAATCTCAGACTACAAAAACCCTACCTGCATAAATTAGAAGAAAGGAAGAAATAAAAAGAAGCAGAAATCAGTTGAATGAGTTTTTCTTTGTTGGCCATCCGTAGTTATTTCAAAGTCTTTGCAAAGAACAAAAAAGTTACAAAAGCAGACTTGTAGGATACCAGAATTTTAAAAACCCTATAGGTTACAGCACTTATTTTATTCATGAATATTTCAGTGTGTGCTTCTGAGAGTTGATTTATTAGATTTGCTTCAAAATAATATTGGACTAGGGAAGTAAGTGGGGTATAGATGAAACAAAATTGTCTGAATTAGTAAATGAGGCTGTGTGATGAGTACATGGGGGTTCATTAAACATAAAAGGAGGCAAAATAATATAAGATTTTTGAAATTGTGGAAAATTGCATCAACTTACTTAATTGCATTGCAGTCAGACCATGGTCTATATATCAACTTGAAAACCAAAAATGTTTTATATATGTGAATAAAAATAATACATATATATATGAATCAAATTATTCTTAGTTGCAATGTTATAGATATTTTTATTGGAATAAATTGTTAACAGTTCAAATCCTGTACTTACCAATTTATTTAGGAGAACTATAATATAAATCTAAAGAAAAATTGACAAATGTACAGTCATAATGAAATCTTCTACCAGTGTTTGCTTTATACTGAGGTTTTGTTATATGCACACAAATTCATAGTACATTTTCCATTAGTAAAAATGCATTGTTGGAGATAAACACTGCATATTGATTGATACACAACTACTCAATCTTATGTGAATATTTGACATTGGCATTTTTAAATTTAGTATTTGCTAGGTGTATCTCTTCCTAATCAGCTTATAACAATTTCTTTTAAAGAGCCAGTCAGATTATCTGTCTTTTAAAGGCGTGTTTAATCATTGCATTTGGTGATTCTACTGTTGTATGGATTTTAAGACCTTTTTGTCTCTCCTAATTCTTTTCTTGACTTCTTGGATTGATTGGATCTCTATTCTCTTTTTCCCTTTTCTAGTTCGGAATTTATTGATTGTATATGTAGTATTTTAGTGCTCACCTTGATGTGTTTACATGAATATTGACCTAGAGGAAAATTGATCTTAGACTTTGCATTGTTCAGGAGGAAGAGAAAGATAGAAAAAAGTCTAATACATCTCAGCCTTCATCTTCCATGTTCTTGCTGATATTGTAGTTCTATATTGCTTGGATTCCTGGTCATACACCTGTTATGTCATACACCAGTTTCATCCTCTCCAAGTCACCTGTCTTCTATCAACTATAGCTATAGCAACTAGCTCTTCATTAACATCTTGCCTTCCATCCTGGGACCTTCTTGGAGCCCTCACATATTCATGCTGGGAGAGCAGAGAGTTAACACTCTGCAGGGCAAACCTTTGCCCATTCCCACTGGTAAAACATTTACCCACTGGCTCCCCTTTGTTCCTCCACCCATGCAATATCCCTGGGCACATTTCACATGGCACTTTAGGAAAAGTCTTATGGGCTTCGGCCATCAGTCATGTGCTTATACTGGTCTTTCTCTCCTTTTCTGCTTCATTCCCTTTGTCACTCACTTTTGCTCTCTAGGATCATCCTTCCAATAAAATTGTAGCATCTGAGTCTCCTATCTTAAGCTCTTTAATAGGTAAAGCTTAGGTCCCTGAGATCTGAGATGAAGACTCTGGGATCAATGAGCCTAGGAAGATTAAAACCCTGGACGAGCAGACCTTGTTAAAGTCCCACTTTATAACTTCAGATGCACCTCTAAATTCAGCCAGAACTGTGGTGAAGTTTCCATGTACAATGACAGCTTACCATTTCAGTACCTGTATCTCTTTGCTTCTCTGCCTGAAGGGTTTCTTTAGTACCTCTGAAGTTGGTTTAAACCCATGTGCAGAGCAGCCAAGAAATGCTGGTGCTAAATGCTCCTGGGATAACCTTCATCAATGAGAAATGGGAGTGGGTAGATAAACACAGAAGCTTTCCTGTACCTTGGGTGGACCATTAGGGCATATCCTACAAGGATGCCTAAAGCAGAATGAATACCTGGTTGATAAACACAGGGGAGAACAGGCTCAATAAGGGAGAATTTATGGACTCAGAGTCTCTCATTTGTGGCTTAGAAGTCAATGTACTGGCAAGGACACATGCAGCTAGTCCTAAGAGTCTGTTTGAATGACTCCTTTAAGTTTCCTTTTACGTGGGTTCTCTTGGATGTTTCATGCAATGATGTCCAAGAAATGCAAGGCAGGAAAGAATGCCATGAGATGCAGTAAACGTGCACCTGTGCTAAAGTGGGGGTAGCCCATACGGAAGTGTTATTAGGGGCTAGAATGAGAGGTGAGGCTGAAAGAATTCTAAAGGATCTGAAGTGATGTAGGAGAGGTGCTCCACATAATAGGGATTTTCTTTCTAAGGTATTTTGTAGAGTCCTATACCAACAGTTTGAGCTTTAGTATGAGGAATTAAATTTGTTTTAAAATAAATTATTTTGGCCGGGCATGGTGGCTCATGCCTGTAATCCCAGCACTTTGGGAGGCTGAGGTGGGCAGATCACCTGAGGTCAGGAGTTCAAAACCAGTCTGACCAACATGGTGAAACCCTGTCTTTACTAAAAATACAAAAATTAGCTGGGTGTCGTGGCATCTGCCTGTAATCCCATCTATTAGGGAGACTGAGGCAGGAGAATCACTTGAACCCAGGAGATGGAAGTTGCAGTGAGCCAAGATTGTGCCATTGCACTCCAGCCTGGGCAACAAGAGTGAAACTCTGTCTCAAAAAAAAAAAAAAAAAAAAAACAACATTATTTTGTGGAACAGTTTTAGAATTACGGGAGATTTGTAATAGGAACAGTTCCGGTCTACAGCTCCCAGCGTGAGCGATGCAGAAGAAGGGTGATTTCTGCATTCCCATCTGAGGTACCGGGTTCATCTCACTGGGGAGTGCCAGACAGTGGGTGCAGGTCAGTGGGTGCAGCGCACTGTGTGCAAGCCAAAGCAGGGCGAGGCGTTGCCTCACTTGGGAAGCGCAAGGGGTCAGGGAGTTCCCTTTCCTAGTCAAAGAAAGGGGTGACAGACAGCACCTGGAAAATCGGGTCACTCCCACCCGAATACTGCGCTTTTCTGATGGGCTTAAAAAATGGCGCACCAGGAGATTATATCCCGCACCTGGCTCGGAGGGTCCTATGCCCACGGAGTCTTGCTGATTGCTAGCACAGCAGTCTGAGATCAAACTGCAAGGCGGCAGCGAGGCTGGGGAAGGGGCGCCTGCCATTTCCCAGGCTTGCTTAGGTAAACAAAGCAGCCAGGAAGCTCGAACTGGGTGGAGCCCACCACAGCTCAAGGAGGCCTGCCTGCCTCTGTAGGCTCCACCTCTGGGGGCAGGGCACAGACAAACAAAAAGACAGCAGTAACCTCTGCAGACTTAAATGTCCCTGTCTGACAGCTTTGAAGAGAGCAGTTGTTCTCCCAGCATGCAGCTGAAGATCTGAGAACGGGCAGACTGCCTCCTCTAGTGGGTCCCTGACCCCTGAGCAGTGTAACTGGGAGGCACCCCCCAGTAGGGGCAGACTGACACCTCACGCGGCTGGGTACTCCTCTGAGACAAAACTTCCAGAGGAACAATCAGACAGCAGCATTCACGGTTCACAAAAAACCACTGTTTTGCAGACACCGCTGCTGATACCCAGGAAAACAGGGTCGGGAGTGGACCTCTAGTAAACTCCAACAGACCTGCAGCTGAGGGTCCTTTCTGTTAGAAGGAAAACTAACAAACAGAAAGGACATCCACACCAAAAACCCATCTGTACATCACCATTATCAAAGACCAAAAGTAGATAAAACCACAAAGATGGGGAAAAAACAGAGCAGAAAAACTGGAAACTCTAAACAGCAGAGCACCTCTCCTCCTCCAAAGGATTGTAGTTCCTCACCAGCAATGGAACAAAGCTGGATGGAGAATGACTTTGACGAGTTGAGAGAAGAAGGCTTCTGACGATCAAACTACGAGCTACAGGAGGAAATTCAAACCAAAGGCAAAGAAGTTAAAAACTTTGAAAAAAATTTAGACAAATGTATAACTAGAATAACCAATACAGAGAAGTGCTTAAAGGAGCTGATGGAGCTGAAAGCCAAGGCTTGAGAACTATGTGAAGAATGCAGAAGCCTCGGGAGCCAATGCGATCAACTGGAAGAAAGGGTATCAGCAATGGAAGATGAAATGAATGAAATGAAGTGAGAAGGGAAGTTTAGAGAAAAAAGAATAAAAAGAAATGAACAAAGCCTCCAAGAAATATGGGACTATGTGAAAAGACCAAATCTACGTCTGATTGGTGTACCTGAAAGTGACGGGGAGAATGAAACCAAGTTGGAAAACACTCTGCAGGATATTATCCAGGAGAACTTCCCCAACCTAGCAAGGCAGGCCAACATTCAGATTCAAGAAATACAGAGAATGCCACAAAGATACTCCTCGAGAAGAGCAACTCCAAGACACATAATTGTCAGATTCACCAAAGTTGAAATGAAGGAAAAAATGTTAAGGGCAGCCAGAGAGAAAGGTCAGGTTACCCACAAAGGGAAGCCCATCAGACTAACAGCGGATCTCTCTGCAGAAACTCTACAAGCCAGAAGACAGTGGGGGCCAATATTCAACATTCTTAAAGAAAAGAATTTTCAACCCAGAATTTCATATCCAGCCAAACTAAGCTTCATAAGTGAAGGAGAAAGAAAATACTTTACAGACAAGCAAATGCTGAGAGATTTTGTCCCCACCAGGCCTGCCTTACAAGAGCTCCTGAAGGAAGCACTAAACATGGAAAGGAACAACCGGTACCAGCTGCTGCAAAATCATGCCAAAATGTAAAGACCATCAAGACTAGGAAGAAATGGCATCAACTAATGAGCAAAATAACCAGCTAACATCATAATGACAGGTTCAAATTCACACATAACAATATTAACTTTAAATGTAAATGGACTAAATGCTCCAATTAAAAGACACAGACTGGCAAATTGGATAAAGAGTCAAGACCCATCAGTGTGCTGTATTCAGGAAACCCATCTCACGTGCAGAGACACACATAGGCTCAAAATAAAAGGATGGAGGAAGATCTACCAAGCAAATGGAAAACAAAGGCAGGGGTTGCAATCCTAGTCTCTGATAAAACAGACTTTAAACCAACAAAGATCAAAAGAGACAAAGAAGGCCATTACATAATGGTAAAGGGATCAATTCAACAAGAAGAGCTAACTATCCTAAATATTTATGCACCCAATACAGGAGCACCCAGATTCATAAAGCAAGTCCTGAGTGACCTACAAAGAGACTTAGACTCCCACACATTAATAATGGGAGACTTTAACACCCCACTGTCAACATTAGACAGATCAACGAGACAGAAAGTCAACAAGGATACCCAGGAATTGAACTCAGCTCTGCACCAAGCGGACCTAATAGACATCTACAGAACTCTCCACCCCAAATCAACAGAATATACATTTTTTTCAGCACCACACCACACCTATTCCAAAATTGACCACATAGTTGGAAGTAAAGCTCTCCTCAGCAAATGTAAAAGAACAGAAATTATAACAAACTATCTCTCAGACCACAGTGCAATCAAACTAGAACTCAGGATTAAGAAACTCACTCAAAACCCCTCAACTACATGGAAACTGAACAACCTGCTCCTGAATGACTACTGGGTACATAACGAAATTAAGGCAGAAATAAAGATGTTCTTTGAAACCAATGAGAACAAAGACACAACATACCAGAATCTCTGGGACACATTCAAAGCAGTGTGTAGAGAGAAATTTATAGCACTAAATGCCCACAAGAGAAAGCAGGAAAGATCCAAAATTGACACCCTAACATCACAATTAAAAGAACTAGAAAAGCAAGAGCAAACACATTCAAAAGCTAGCAGAAGGCAAGAAATAACTAAAATCGGAGCAGAACTGAAGGAAATAGAGACACAAAAAACCCTTCAAAAATTTAATGACTCCAGGAGCTGGTTTTTTGAAAGGATCAACAAAATTGATAGACCGCTAGCAAGACTAATAAAGAAAAAAAGAAGAATCAAATAGATGCAATAAAAAATGATAAAGGGGCTATCACCACCGATCCCACAGAAATACAAACTACCATCAGAGAATACTACAAACACCTCTATGCAAATAAACTAGAAAATCTAGAAGAAATGGATAAATTCCTCGACACATACATCCTCCCAAGACTAAACCAGGAAGAAGTTGAATCTCTGAATAGACCAATAACAGGAGCTGAAATTGTGGCAATAATCAATAGCTTACCAACCAAAAAGAGTCCAGGACCAGATGGATTCACAGCCGAATTCTACCAGAGGTACAAGGAGGAAGTGGTACCATTCCTTCTGAAACTATTCCAATCAATAGAAAAAGAGGGAATCCTCCCTAACTCATTTTATGAGGCCAGCATCATCCTGATACCAAAGCCCGGCAGAGACACAACCAAAAAAGAGAATTTTAGACCAATATCCTTGATGAACATTGATGCAAAAATCCTCAATAAAATACTGGCAAACCGAATCCAGCAGCACATCAAAAAGCTTATCCACCATGATCAAGTGGGCTTCATCCCTGGGATGCAAGACTGGTTCAATATACGCAAATCAATAAATGTAAT
The DNA here is from genome assembly GCF_000001405.40 of Homo sapiens. Taxonomy (NCBI): domain Eukaryota; kingdom Metazoa; phylum Chordata; class Mammalia; order Primates; family Hominidae; genus Homo; species Homo sapiens. The sequence continues at coordinate 46,108,378 of NC_000015.10, forward strand.
CCAGCATATAAACAGAGCCAAAGACAAAAACCACATGATTATCTCAATAGATGCAGAAAAGGCCTTTGACAAAATTCAACAACCCTTCATGCTAAAAACTCTCAATAAATTAGGTATTGATGGGACATATCGCAAAATAATAGCTATCAATGACAAACCCACAGCCAATATCATACTGAATGGGCAAAAAGTGGAAGCATCACCTTTGAAAACTGGCACAAGACAGGGATGCCCTCTCTCACCACTCCTATTCAACATAGTGTTAGAAGTTCTGGCCAGGGCAATCAGGCAGGAGAAGGAAATAAAGGGTATTCAATTAGGAAAAGAGAAAGTCAAATTGTCCCTATTTGCAGACGACATGATTGTATATCTAGAAAACCCCATTGTCTCAGCCCAAAATCTCCTTAAGCTGATAAGCAACTTCAGCAAAGTTTCAGGATACAAAATCAATGTAGAAAAATCACAAACATTCTTATACACCAACAACAGACAAACAGAGAGCCAAATCATGAGTGAACTCCCATTCACAATTGCTTCAAAGAGAATAAAATACCTAGGAATCCAACTTACAAGGGATGTGAAGGACCTTTTCAAGGAGAACTACAAACCACTGCTCAGTGAAATAAAAGAGGATACAAACAAATGGAAGAACATTCCATGCTCATGGGTAGGAAGAATCAATATCATGAAAATGGCCATACTGCCCAAGGTAATTTATAGATTCAATGCCATCCCCATCAAGCTACCAATGACTTTCTTCACAGAATTGGAAAAAACTACTTTAAAGTTCATATGAAACCAAAAAAGAGCCCGCATCGCCAAGTCAATCCTAAGCCAAAAGAACAAAGCTGGAGGCATCACGCTACCTGACTTCAAACTACCTGACTTCAAACTATACTACAAGGCTACAGTAACCAAAACAGCATGGTACTGGTACCAAAACAGAGATAGAGATCAGTGGAACGGAACAGAGCCCTCAGAAATAACACCGCATATCTACAACTATCTGATCTTTGACAAACCTGAGAAAAACAAGCAATGGGGAAAGGATTCCCTATTTAATAAATGGTGCTGGGAAAACTGGCTAGCCATATGTAGAAAGCCGAAATTGGATCCCTTCCTTACACCTTATACAAAAATCAATTGAAGATGGATTAACGACTTAAACATTAGACCTAAAACCATAAAATCCCTAGAAGAAAACCTAGGCATTACCATTCAGGACATAGGCATGGGCAAGGACTTCATGTCTAAAACACCAAAAGCAATGGCAACAAAAGCCAAAATTGACAAATGGGATCTAATTAAACTAAAGAGCTTCTGCACAGCAAAAGAAACTACCATCAGAGTGAACAGGCAACCCACAAAATGGGAGAAAATTTTTGCAACCTACTCATCTGACAAAGGGCTTATATCCAGAATCTACAATGAACTCAAACAAATTTACAAGAGAAAAACAACCCCATCAACAAGTGGGCAAAGGACATGAACAGACACTTCTCAAAAGAAGACATTTATGCAGCCAAAAAACACATGAAAAAATGCTCAGCATCACTGGCCATCAGAGAAATGCAAATCAAAACCACAATGAGATACCATCTCACACCAGTTAGAATGGCAATCATTAAAAAGCCAGGAAACAACAGGTGCTGGAGAGGATGTGGAGAAATAGGAACACTTTTTCACTGTTGGTGGGACTGTAAACTAGTTCAACCATTGTGGAAGTCAGTGTGGTGATTCCTCAGGGATCTACAACTAGAAATACCATTTGACCTAGCCATCCCATTACTGGGTATATACCCAAAGGACTATAAATCATGTTGTTATAAAGACACATGCACACGTATGTTTATTGTGGCAGTATTCACAATGGAACCAACCCAAATGTCCAACAATGATAGACTGGATTAAGAAAATGTGGCACATAGACACCATGGAATACTATGCAGCCATAAAAATGATGAGTTCATGTCCTTTGTAGGGACATGGATGAAATTGGAAATTATCATTCTCAGTAAACTATTGCAAGAACAAAAAACCAAACACCGCATATTCTCACTTATAGGTGGGAATTGAACAATGAGAACACATGGACACAGGAAGGGGAACATCACACTCTGGGGACTGTTGTGGGGTTGGGGGAGGGGGGAGGGATAGCATTGGGAGATATACCTAATGCTAGATGACGAGTTAGTGGGTGCAGAGCACCAGCATGGCACATGTATACATATGTAACCTGCACATTGTGCACATGTACCCTAAAACTTAAAGTATAATAATAAAAAAAAAGAAAAAGAGGTATTACAAAGTGTTCTCATACATCTTGTACCCAGTTTCCCTTACTACTAATATATTACATCTGATAAGTATGGTATGTATAATTCATGAGCTAAAATTGATCTATTAATTAAAATTAGTTTATTCAGATTTTCATAGTTTTTAACCTAATGTTTTCACTCTCCCCCTGCCCTAGATTCCATCAAGGATACCACATTACATTTTATTTCTGTGTGTTCTTAGATTTCTCTTGGCTAAAACGGTTTCTTAGAGTTTTCTTGTTTTTGATGACCTTGACAGTTTTGAGGAGTACTGGTCAGATGTTTTCTAGTGTGTCCTTTAATTGAGATTTGTCTGATGTTTAGCTGATGATTAGACTGAGGTTAAGGAGTTTGGGGAGGAAGACGAGAGGTAAAGTGTCATTTTCATCACATCATATAAAAAGCATATGCTATCAACATGACTTATTGATAGGGATAGGAGGCAGAGAAATTCTAGGCAGAAAAGAGTGGGCCCCTGGTGAAGCCCTATCCTCAAGACAAAAAGCCTCAGACCATGGCCTGAAGTGAGAACTTACATCCCTGTTTTCCTGCTTAAATGCTGCCTTTTCCACAACCACCCATGGACCAACCCTGCCCCACCATTCTGTGCCTATAAAAACCCCAGGCTCAGCTGGCAGAGAGAGGTGAAGCAGCTGGACATTGAGATGACTAAGGGTTGATGTCAAAGAGAAGCACTTTGACTTCAGAGGGATAGCTTGACAACTTTGGAGAAGAATCTGGCCGGAGATGGCCAGACTTCAGGGGAAGATTACCTTCCTGCCTCATGCCCTTTTCAGCTCCCTTTCCCACTGAGAGCCACCTCCATTAGCAATAAAATTCCCCACATTTTCATCCTTCAGTTTGTTCACACAACCTCATTTCTCCTGGGCGCCAGACAAGAACTTGGCAACCATGAGTGCAGGTGCAAAAGTCTGTCACACTGACCCTTTCCCCTTACTGGCAGAAGGCAGCTGCCTTATGCAAAAAGGCAGAGGGTCCACTGAGCTGTTAACATTTAAGCCATCCATGGATAGTAGTGCTAAAAGAGCGCTATAACACTCCCTCTGGGGCTTCAGGGGTCACGGGCACCCCCCTTTCCCCCAGACATTGCTGCAGGGGCTGCACAGAGTTGGCTGCTGCCAGCACCCAAAAGTGCTTGTCCCAGCTCCTGCACCTGCTCACCTGCATGCTCCCTCCTGCAAGGGGTGGAGCACAGCAGGTCCCAGTGAGTGGAGTTCACCTCTGTCAGTGCCAAAGTGGCTGGCTAGTTCCTGTGCCCGTGCACTCCAGTTCCTGCTTCATTTGCTTGCATGTTCCCTCCCACAAGGAGTTGAGAGCTGTGGGCTGAGTAAATGAGGCACTTCCTTTGTGAGTTCTGCAGTGGAGTCAGGGAAATATCTTGCTTCATTATCATTATTGATGTTGATCTTGATTACCTGGCTGAGATCTTGTTTATCAGGTTTCTCCACTGTAAAGTTACTATTTTCTCTCCTTTTAGACTCTGTCTTCAGGAAAATGGAATCTAAGATACATGCCTGTTCAGTGATTTTATCATGCAATCTGCTACTTCAAATTATAGCTGGTCTAATAAAAATTAATTTATAAATTTGTCTTGCTCAAATTACTACAGATACTGTCCTCATTATTATAGATGAGATTGTTAAAGTCTAGAAAGTTTGGTCAGCTTATTTTAGGATATATCTAGTGAAGACAGTGTGGGAGAATGGAAAAGTAGAGTGTTCTATCTCGGAGGCTAGAGCCTTTTCTTTTATATCACATGAGTAGAGCTAAGCCAGGAATTGAATATACAAGGAAATTGATCCTACTTGTCAGTAATAATTTTAAAAATTTCTCTTATAATCTTGTTTTTAGTGACATCTTTAGCTGACTGGGATTTGTAGAAAACCAATATTCTAGCACATTCAGTTTTGGAATTCTCAGAGATCAATTATTTGTTATGAGATGACATAAGACCTTGTTACATTTCAGGGCTCTTTGGAATGTTATCACTATTAATATGTATGGACTAAACTGTACAATGGTTCAATCAGTTCATGTGTACTAGTAATCTTTAATAAGTTTGTATTATAATACAGCCAACATTTTTACATTCAGAAAATAATTTTCCACACTACATGAAATTATAGAAATGTAGGATATGGATGGCTAGATCTTTCTATTCTGCTATTTTTGTGGCAAGGTATGCTGGGGGTACTGGTGAAAAATTCTACCTAACCTACATGAATTTTTACTATAGATACGGAAGCTAGAGCTCTTAAGAAATAGGCCAAAAGGCTCCAATAAGCTAATAGCACTATGAAGGATTCATTATTACTAAGTGTGCTAGCACCATAGGCTATATCATACTAAATGATATAATTCATAGATTCTTTTAGTTTAGATTCTAAAGGACTAAATGGGGATAAAGTGGCCTTACATTTCCTCACAGGTCATCTTGTATCTTCCCATTCTAATCTTCACTGATATTATTGTGGCCGATTTCTCATGCCTGGACATTATATACTTATTAATCTGTCTCACTCCCATATATAAGTTATTCTATACTATGTTGTGTTAAATTTGGTAAGACACTCCTTTTATCAATGATGTCATCTTCTTAAACCTTTGGTCTCTTGTTTTGGGGATAGAAGAGATGATCATCTGGTCCCAGCCTCTTCCTGCTTATACTCCACAGACAGTTTCCACCAGGTAGCTGCATCCACCAGGTAGCTGTATCCACCAGGTAGCTGTATTTATTTCTCAGAATACTCTTGAGTATTTTCAGCTTTGCCTTCACTTATAAAATCACCCTACCTGCCTCTAAATGGATGCTATACATTTCCCACAGCCTTTTCAAGGGTCCTACTTCTAAAGTCTTTCCTAAAATTGTTTGCAGTGATTTCCCTTTATTCTAAAACTAAATAAAAGTGGCCTCTACTACATATTTTACAATTCAATATTGCTAATAGCTAAGTAGGTCCATATTGATCTTTTGCCCCCACTACTCTATATTATTTAGGAAACATCTAACTTCATTACTATGGCATAGGGAAACAATGTTTCTCCTTACCAGCTCTCCTTCAATTACGTACAGCTTTAAAAAGATCATGCCTGAACACCAATGAGGTCCTCAGAAGAAAACTGTTTTGAAGAATCACTGGCCGGGCACAGTGGTTCACACCTGTAATCCCAGCACTTTGGGAGGGCTAGGCGGGTGGATCATGAAGTCAGGAGATCGAGACCATCCTGGCTAACATGGTGAAACCCCATCTCTATTAAAAATACAAAAAATTAGTCAGGTGTGGTGGCGGGTGCCTGTGGTCCCAGCTACTTGGGAAGCTGAGGCAAGAGAATGGGGTGAACCTGGGAGGCGGAGCTTGCAGTGAGTTGAGATAGCGCCACTGCACTCCAGTCTGGGTGAAAGAGCAAGACTCCATCTCAAAAAAAAAAAAATCACCTAATAATTTTCCATTTTGAATAGATATGCATGGATAATAATGAATATCTGTTGGTTTCATAAAGAGTACATATGAATATATAAAGGTTATAGTCCCAATCAGGATTAAGAAATAATTTCAGTTAAGAAGATTCACATATATTTCAGCTTGCATACAGACATGACATACTTGTCTTAGACTACAAGTTCAAATTTTTGGAAACTTGAAAATAAATTACTCTCAGATATATATTGAGCAGTGTGGTGAGTACTGTCATATGTTGCTCAGATCCTCCTCCAGTAATGAAAGACCAACTTCTCAAGCTGTGGAGATTGCTGTGGGTGTAGAGTCCTCTGCTGTCAGCCTTCTTGAGGAATCCCAGAGAGGCAGAATTGTGGCTTATTAAAAGTCATGCCTCTTTCCTGGATAGACTGCATCCAATAAATTATTGTCCAGGAATATAAAAAGGCCCAATCTTCTTGTTCCAGCTCTGGGCAGCTTTGCAGAATAATTTTATCTTTAGATCTTCCCACAGGGCTGGCTGTGATATTAGACCCAGACGGCATTGTAGCTTGACTTCTCCTTCTGCTTAGTTCCAGTTGCTTCCCTTCCACACTGGAGGATCCCAAAAGTACTCCCCAATAAACCTTCTGTCTGCTAATTTCCATCTCAGAATCTGTTGCAGGTTGGATTCCCAGAAAGAAATGCGATGAACGCTGCGATGTTACCCTTTTGCTTCAGTTATTACCTTCTCTTAAAAAAATGCAACCCTCTTATCCTATGAAGTAGGACACAGGGAGACAAAAGGGAGGCATAACCTGAATTTGAACCTAGGAATGCAGTGTGACCTGGAGAATACTAGATTTGAGCCTGTAAGATACATATAAGAAATTAGTGCCCGTTATGTTTCTGGTCACATAGTGGTAATATCCATGTCTCCCTTCCCCATTTGACAATTCTTAAGGAAGATTTATCCCCATTTTACAATTAACCAAGCCATTGTAAAGTTTCTGAATTCTTTGATAGAGAACTTATATGCCAAGGCTATGGCTGCTTACCTGACTAGCAGGGAAAAATGGGTCAATCACTTTCCTAGAAATTGATTGCCCTAGCAGATTGTGGGCCTGGAGAGCAAGGGCAGTATAGTAGTATTTGAAAAACATGCTCACAGAGTGGGGGGCCATCAGTCTAGATGGGGTTAAGTGCATTCTCTACTTCCCTTACTATCCCACTGTGCATGGTAAAGGGGAGAACTGATCTTTTGTCCTTTTGTATAGATAAATGGTTGAATTTGCTCAAAGTTCTGAAAAAGGACCCAGCAGGCATGTATAAAACAGAAGAAAGAGAACATGGAAAACAGAACTTGACTTGTAAATTCATCCTAAACTAGCCCACTGAGGCTCTTGGGTTCTCAGACGACTTGAACTCAGGAATGAAATGCTATCCCCACCCCTAACAAAACCTCACTTAAGTGACCAGAGATGAAAATAAGAAAAAATCCTGTATTAGCATTAGAAGGTAAAAAGAATACTACAACATCTAGTGCATTCCTTGAAGTTGTTGACATCATGTAACAAGTGAGATGAGAAAGAAGTCAAGAGTATCCACTGCCTTGTTGCAGATTAATATCAATAGGAATATACCTATAAAATAAGTATACCTCAAAATAATAATAGGAATATACCTATAAAATAATAAGTATACCTCAAAATAACAAGAGCCACTTATGAAAAACCCACAGCCAACATCATACTGAATGGGCAAAAACTGAAACCATTCCCCTTCAGAACTGGAACAAGACAAAGATGTTCACTCTTACCACTCTTATTCAACATAGTACTGGAAGTCCTAGCCAGGGCAATCAGGCAAGAGAAATAAATAAAAGACATCCAAATAGGGAAAGAAGAAATCAAACTATTCCTCTTTGCTGACGATACGATTCTATAACTAGAAAACCCTAAAGACTCTGTGAAAAGTCTTCTGGAACTGAGAAATTAATTCAGTCAACTTTAGGGTACAGAATCAATGTGCAAAAACCACTAGCATTTTATACACCAATAACATTCTGAGAACCAAATCAAGAACACAATGTTATTTACAGTAGCCACAAAGAAAATAAAGTACCTAGGAATTCATCTAAACAAGGAAGTGAAAGGTCTCTACAAGAAGACTGTAAAACACTGTTGAAAGAAATGAGAGACAACACAAATAGAGAAATATTTCATGCTCATGAATCAGAAGAATCAATATAGTTAAAATGGCTATATTTCCCAAAGCAATTTATAGATTCAATGCTATTTCTATCAAAATACCAACATTATTTTTCACAAAATTAGAAAAATCTATTATAAAATTCATTTGGAACCAAGAAAGAGCCCAAATAGCCAAAAGCAATCCTAGCATCGCAATGTCTGACTTTATACTATAAGGTTGTAATTATCAGAACAGTATGGTACTGATAAAAAACAACAGGCACATAGACCAGTGGAAATGAGTAAAGAACCCAGAAATAAACCCACACACCTACAACTATCTGATCTTCAATAAAATCAACAAAAATAAGCAATGGCAAAAGGCTTCCCTATTCAATAAATGGTGCTGTGATAACTGGCTAGCCACATGCAGAAGAATGAAACTGGACCCTATCTCTCACCATACACAAAAATTAACTCCAGATGGATTAAAGACTTAAATGTAAGACCTCAAAAAATCCTAGAAGATGATCTAGGCAATATGTCTCTCAACATAGGCTTTGGCAAATAACTTATGGGTAGATCCCCAAAGGCAATTGCAACAAAAACAAAAATTTACAAGTGGAATCTAATTAAAGAGCTTCTGCACAGCAAAATAAATTACCAACAGTGTAAACAGACAGCCTACAGAATTAGAGAAAATATTTGCAAATTATGTGTCCAGCAAAGGTCTAATATCCAACTCTACAAGGAACTTAAGCAAAAACTAATTTAAAAATGGGCAAAGGACATGAACAGACACTACTCAAAAGAAGACCTACAAGCAGCCAATAACATGAAAAAATGCTTAACATCACTAATCATCAGATAAATGTAAGTTAAAATCACAATGAGATACCATTTCACACCAGTCAGAATGGTGATTATTAAAGCATTAAACAGCAACAGATGTTGGCAAGGCTGCAGAGAAAAGGGAATGCTTATAGACTGTTGGTAGGAATGTAATATAGTTAAGCAACTGTGGAAAGCAGTTTAGAGATTTCTCAAGGAACTTAAAATAGAATTACCATTTGACCCAGAAATCCCACTACTGAATATTTATCCAAAGAAAAATAGGTCATTATGTCAGAAAGACACATGCACTGATATGTTATCACCACACTATTCACAATAGCAAGGCCATGGAATCAACCTAAGTACTCATCAATGTGGACTGGATAAAGAAAATGTGATGCATATACACTATGGTTGTATTAGAGTTCTCTAGAGCAACAGAACTAACAGGATAGATATATGCATGAAGGGGAGTTTTTTAAGGTGTATTGACTCACACAATCACAAGATGAAGTCCCACAATAGGCTGTCTGCAAGCTGAGGAGGAAGGAAGCCAGTCCAAGTCCCAAAACCTCAAAAGTAGGGAAGCTGACACTGCAGCCTTTAGTCTGTGGCCAAAGGCCCAAGAGCCCCTGGCAAACCACTGGTGTAAGTCCAAGAGTCCAAAAGCTGAAAAACTTCCAGTCCGATGTTCGAGGGTAGGAAGCATCCAGCATGGGTGAAAGATGAAGGCCGGAAGACTCGGCAAGTCCACTCTTTCCACTTTCTTCTGCCTGCTTTATACTAGCCACACTAGCAGCTGATTAGATGGTGTCCACCCATATAGAGGATGGGTCTTGCTTCTCTGTGGTCCACTGACTCAAATGTTAATCTCCTTTGGCAACACCCTCACAGACATACCCAGGAACAATACTTTGCATCCTTCAATCAAGTTGACACTCAATATTAGCCATCAGAATGGTACATATATGCTATGCACCCATAAGAGAGAACAAAATCATGCCCTTTGCATGGATGGAGCTGGAGGCCATTATCCTATACAAACTAACGCAAGAAGAAAAAACCAAATGCCACAACTTCTCACTTACAAGTGGGAGCTAAATATTAAATACACATGATCATAAAGAGGAGAACAATAGACCCTGGGGATCACTATACAGGGGAGGTGGGGGGAGGCCATGAGCTGCAGAACCACCTATGGAGTATTATGCTTATGGCCTGAGTGACAGAATTGTTGCGACCCCAAGCTTCAACGTCATGCAATTTAGCCATGTAACAAGCCTGCACATGTACTCCTTAATGTATAATAATTTAAATTAAAAAAATAGCAATGGCTACTTAGGGAAAGGGGAGCTCAGTCTTTTAAGTTCAAACCAGTGATGGCTTTTCCTGATATGGATGGGCACTTGGAAGGAGGAAAACTATGGATGTCATTTGAGGGTTTAACAAATTGGATTAGGAAAACCAGTCACCCTTGACATGGAATCTTCAAATAGTGAAAGCCATGTAGTCAAAGGCAGTTTGTACACTTGCTTCCCTCAGGCTGGAGCGCTAATAGAAATGTCAACTAGTTTAATAGCACAGAAGAATGTGGGAAAGATTTAAAATGCTGGAACATGTCAGGACTTAGTCTTATTTCATCCAGGAAGATTCAGGTCACCTATTTATTATACAAAATTAGACTTTTTTCAGGGTTCTTTTCTTATGCCTCCCTTAACCCTTAAATTAAAAATTTTTTAAAAAAATAACAGCTGTAGTTAACAAATGGTTTTATCTTTTTTCTTTGATTTAGGCTTTAGCAGGCAAAAGTTAGATTCAGCGAAGATAAGGAGATGTGAAAAGAGACATTCTCCTGAAAGTACTAGTTTGAGAATAAAGCACTCTAACTCATTTACTCACTCAACTTATTGAAGGCCTTCCCAGGGAGATGAGGAGTGTCTCCCGAAGCTAGATTAAATCCCCTCTGTGTCTTCCCATAGTGTTCCGTGCGTCCTTTAATATCACTCATATCTCTCATTTCTGTAGTTAGTAATTGCTCCTCATTTTACTTAATAGACAGTAAAAACCATTAAGTCAGGGACTATATAATGTCTCTCTAGTCTGGAACATAGATGGCATATACCACGTGCCACTTTAAACATTTGAAACATCTATTTTCTATGATTCTTATTCAATATTACACTTTTGAGAAAACATGAACTTTATGCCACAGTAAGAGAAGAAATATGGTTTATAAAATGGCTAAATTTAGGGGACAAGAAAATAAACCTGTACATTTGAAAAATTGTCAGAAATAATAAAGTAGAATGAACATGAAGGCCATTCTCAGAAATCTCTTTCAGATTAAAGAGACTGATGAAGGGACAGATGATAGGAAACCTGAATTAAGTTGCAGACTAACATGGCTCAAATCTTAAGATAGTTACATATTAAGGAGGCACAATTCTAGAAGCAAAAGCAATGAATTTTATTCTTTGTAATTACTCTTCTCTTGAAATACCTTAAGTGGAAAGCCATGGTCCATAATGAAATCTGCTTCCTCCAGCTGTCCATCTCTCTGGCTCCTTTCTCTATTTCCTTCTGTTCACTACCAGGGCTTTTATTCCCCTCCCCTCTGTCTTTGGTCTGCAAATTTTTTTTTGGCGGGGCGGGAAAGGCCTAGTTAATCTCTACAAATAAATAATAAACATCTCTCTAAAATTCCTCCCCCCACTCCCCTCTTTAGGGAAACATGTACAGGATTCTTCTTGGTGGCTTGGGGAAAGAGGAAAAAAGGGAGTCTTACTCCCAGGCTCTTAATTTTTATGCTGTCATAGAGTAGGGTATGTCTGTTTGCTTATTACTTCTATTCCCTTATGATATCTTCTGGAACATTTGTTGTGTCCCTCATGTCTATATTTCATCCAGATTTCTCTCCTTTATTATCATTTATTTGCCATGTATGTAAGAAGTGAGTAGTTAAGAACCAGGTAAAGCTCTTCTGTCAGTCTACAAATCCTTTCAATATTCTTGTCTCCATGATGCTGTCTCATGGGTTTCTGCAGCTGTGGCACATGGCTTGCAGCTAGGCATAGAAAGCAGCAGCTTTTCTGTCTAGTTCCAGCAGGGATTGATCAGGCTCCTGAGATGAGCTTATGGATACCCAAGCAGGCGATGTGTCTAACTGATGTGTCTACCTGTTTACATTTAAAACCCCAATGAGGAACCAGTGTATCTGAGGTGAGGCTTAGTCCCATTGTCCTATAGCATTGGGAAAGGGGTATATCATAGGATGAATTGATCTCACTTCAGAACCTGTCACCAAAACACCTCTAGACTCCTGCAAAATTATACCACAGAATACTCTAGAAATCTAAATTCCTAGGTCTTGTAGTTTCCAAACACCCTTGTGGGCAGCACTGATGGAGTCTGTTGTATATGGGTGGTGGGTCTCTCCAGGTGGCCACAGGGCTTATGGCTTTACATGTGGGTTGTTCATGTATGTATCCTTTGAAATAGTGGATGGAAAGGGCCAAACTGGACTGTTGGTCTTATTCCAGTAGTCTTAGATAAACAACTTTTCCTCCTTCTGGGCTGGCATTGAAATTAAAACATGTTTCATCTGTCTTATGACATCCTCTTCTATTCAACTGGGTTAGAAAAATCTGAAACTAATTAGTTTACTGTTGCTATTTTCATAAAGCAGAAACCAGTCTGAGTTTCATTTCCTCTCCTTCTCATCTGGCCTTCAGGGTCAATTTCGAGGGGGTCCGTATTTTTAAGAAGTTGAATTTTCAGTGAACTCACTACCTTATTTGGACCTCGGAATATTAAGTCATACTCTTTGTGTGTATAGATGTCATATTGGAGACTGACTTCTAGAGTGCTGCCACAATGTTACAACACTTAAGGAATTGACTTCTCAAACATGGCTTGGAAGGCAATATTCTTTTAAAGACTGGACAGCCTGGCATAGCAAAAGTTCATAGACCTCGAAGTCATGCCAGGCCCAATTTTTTTAACCACTGTACTGAAGTATGATTGACATGCAAAAAATTTACTTATTTAATATATACAAATGCTTATTTAATGATGGATTTTGGAATAAATTTTAATGATGTTGTAACTGTCACTATCATCAAGGCCATAGATCTGTTACCCCAAAGTTTCCTCCTGACCCCATTGTTATTATTTTGAGAGTTAAGTGTGTGTGTTTGGTATGAACATTTAACCTGAAAGCTACCTTTTTAGAAAGTTTTAAGTATGTGATACAGTATTGTTAGCTATAGACACCATGCTGTATAGTAGGTCTCCAGAATGTATTTATCTTGTATAATTAAAACTTTGTATTCTTTGACAATCACCTCCATATCTTTTTCTCCCCCAGTCATTGGCAATCACCATTCATTCTGTGCCTCTATGAGTTTAGCTATTTTAGATTTCACATATGGTGTTTGTCTTTCTGTATCAGGCTTATTTCACTGAGCATAATGTGTTCCAGATCCATCCATATTGAGGCAAATGGCAAGATTTCTTTCTTTTTAAAGTCTGGGTAACATTACATTATATATGTGTTTACTTTTATATATTAACCTGACTGGGTGGTTAAGGAATACCCAGAGAGCTGGTAAAATACTATTTCTGGGTGTGTCTTTGAGGATGTTTTTCTGTGTCTGTGATTAGCATTTGAATCAGTAGACTGAGTTAAAAGGGTCTGCCCTTACCAATGGAGGCAGGCATCATCCAACAAGTAAAGGCAGATTTTCTCTCTTTTCTGGAGCTGAGACATTCATTTTCTCTTAAAGCTCCCATGGTTCTCAGGCCTTCAGACTCCATGAGTTACACCAATGCTTCCTTTTGGCTTTGAACTGAGAGTTACACCACTGGCTTCCCTGGCTCTCAGCCCTTCAAACATGGACGGATCTATACCACTGGCTTTCCTGGTTCTGCTCCTTACAGATGACATAGCAAGGGATTTCTTGACTTCTAAAACTGTGTGTGCCAATTCCCATAATAAATTCTCTCTTATATCTGTATATAGTCTATTCTGTTTCTTGAGAGAACCCTAATATGCACATTTTCTTTATCCATTCATCTGCAGATTACAGATGAATATTTAGATTGTTTCCATATCTTGGCTATTGTGAATAGTGCTGCAATCAACAAGGGACTGCAGGTATCACTTTGCCTCTTTGAGATACTGATCTTACTTCATTTGGATAAATACACAGAAGTGGAACTGATGGATCATAGGGTTGTTCTGTTTTTAGTTTTTTGAGGAACCTCCATACTGTTTTCATAGTGGCTATACTAATTTACATTCCCACCAACAGTGTACAAAGATTCCTTTTTCTCCACATCCTTGCCAACATTTGTCTTTTGTTTTTTGATAATAGCCATCTGAACAGGTATGAGCTGATACCTCATTGTGGTTTCAATTTGCAATTCTCTGATGGTTAGAGATGTTGAACTTTTTTTTTTCTCATAAATCTGTTGGCCATTTGTATGTCTCCTTAGAAATAATGTCTATTCAGGTTTTTTTGTCTTTATTTAAAATTGGGTTATTTTATTTTGTTTTTTGCCATTGAGTTACAGAATTTCCATATTTTTTGGATATTAACCCCTTATGAAATGTATGGTTTGTCAATATTTTCTTCCACTCTGTCGATATTCTCTTTATTAATTGTTTCCTTTGTTGTGAAGAAGCTTCTGGTTGGATGCAATTCATTTCTCTTTTTTTTACTTTTGTTGCCCGTGCTTTTGGAGTCATATGAAGAAAGCTGTTGCCCAGATCAATGTCAAGAAACTTTCCTTCTGTGTTTTTTTTTATTAGTTTCACAGTTTTAGATCTTACTTTAAAGTTTTTAACCTATCTTGAGTTGATTTTTGTATAAAGTATAAGATAAATGTCCAACTTTATTCATCTGGGTGCAGATATCCAGCTTTCCTAACATCATTTATTGAAGAAACTATAAATTTCCCATTGTGTGTTCTTGGCACTTTTGTTGAAGATCAATTGACTGTAAATGTGTGAATTGATTTCTGTGCTGTCTATTCTGTTCCGTTGGTTCATGTGTCTGTTTCTACGCAAATACCATACAGTTTTGATTACTAGAGCTTTGTAGTATATTTTGAAATTAGGTAGTATAATGTTTCCAGCTTTCTTTTCTTGCTCAAAATGACCTTAGCTATTCTGGGATCTTTTGAGGTTCCCCATGAATTTTAGGATTCTTTTTTTCTATCCTTTTTCTAAGGGTTGCGTTCAATCTGTAGATCACTTTGGATTGTATGAACACTTTAACAATAATAATCCTTAAAATCAATGAACACTGGCTAGCTTTCTATTTATCTGTCTCTCCTTTAATTAAAAAAAAAGTCAAAACTTTTCAGTACACAGATCTTTCACTTCCTTGGCTAAATTTGTTCCTATATATTTTTTATGATATTGGAAATGAGGTTGTTTTCTTAATTTATTTTTTGAATAGTTTGTGGTTATTATATACAAATGCTACTAATATTTTATGTTGATTTTTATCTTGTATCTTTATTTGGTTTTGTTATTGCTCTAACAGTTTTTGATGAAGTCTTTAAAGTTTTCTATATGTAGGATCATGTCATCTGCAAACAGAGATTATTGAATTCTTTCTTTCTAATTTGGATGACTTTTATTTTTCTTGCCTAACTGCTCTGGCTAGTACTTTTAGTACTATGTTGAACATAAGTGGTGAGTAGACATATTTGTCTTATTTTTGATCTTAGGGAGAAAGCTTTTAGCATTTCACTGTTGAATATGATGTAAGTTGTAGGCTTGTCATATATGGCCTTTATTATGTTGAGGTATATTCCATCCATACTGGATTTATTGAGCATTTACCACGAGAGGATATTGGATTTTGTCAAATACTTTTCCTGCATCTATTGAGATGATCATATAATTTTTATCCTTCATTCTCTTAATGTATTACATTTTTCGATTTATGTAGAGTCATACCTTGTTTTATTATGCTTTGTTTTATTGTAGTTTGCTGATTTTTTTCCTTTTCCTTTCTTTCTTTTTTTTTTTTTTTGCATATTGAAGGTTTGTGGAAATCTTGCATCAAGTAAGTCTATTAGCACCGTTTTTTCTAATAGTATGTGCTTACTTTGTGTCTCTCAGTCATATTTTGGGAATTTTCATAATATTTCAAACTTTTTCATTATTATTACATCTGTTATCAGTGATCAGTGATCTTGATATTACTATTATAATAGTTTTGATGTGGCATGAATCGCACCCATAATGCCCGTATAAGACAGCAAACTTAATTGGTAAGTGTTGTATGTGTTCTAAATGTTACACTGACCAGATGTTCCCCTGTCTCTCCTCTCTTTATTCCCTGAGACACAAAAATATTGAAATTGGTCTAATTAAAAACCTTACAATGGCCTCTAAGTGTTCAAGTGAAAGGAAGAGTTGTACATCTTTCACTTTAAAAGCTAGAAATGATTAAGTTTAGTGAAGAAGGCATGTTGAAAGCCAAGACAGGCCAAAAGCAGGCCTCTTGTTTCAAACAGCTAAGTTGTGAAAGCAAAGGAAAATTTCTTGAAAGAAATTAAAATTTTCTTTTAATTTTAATTTAAATTAAAAATGTTTAATTTTTAAAAAATTTTTTAAATTTAAATTTAAAATTTTTAAATTTAATTAATTTAAAAAAGTAAATTTCAATTTCTTTCATGTGAAAAGCAGTGTGGTGATTCCTCAAATAAGTTAAAACATAATTCCTATTCAACCCAGCAATCCTATTATTGGGTATATACTCAAAAGAATATAAATCACTCTATCATAAAGACACACGCACATGTGTGTTTATTACAGCATGGTTCACACTAGCAAAGACAGGGAATCAACTTAAATTCTTATCCATGGTAGACTAGATAAAGAAAATGTGCATATACATCACAAAATACTATGCAGCCATAAAAAAGAATGAGATAATGTCCTTTGCAGCAACATGGATGGAGCCAGAGGCCATTATCCTAAGCAAGCTAATGCAGGAACAGAAAACCAAATACTGCATATTCTCACTTATCAGTGGGAGCTAACCAATGAGAACACATGGACACAAAGAGAGAAGCAATAGACACTGGGACCTACCTCAGGATGGAGGGTGGGAGGAGGGATGGGATCAGAAAAAATACCTGTTGGGTACTATGCTTATTACCAGGGTGATGAAATAATCTATATACCAAACACTAATGATACAAGTTGATTTATATAACAAAAGTGCACATGTCCCCCTGAACCTAAAAGTTATAATAAAGAAACTGAAAGTGCTCCTCCAGTGAATACATGAATAATAAGAAAGTAAAACAGCATTATTGCTGATATGAAAAAAGTTTTAATGGTTTGGATAGAACAAACCATTAAGAAAAAACCTAATCCAGAGCAAAGCTGTAACTGTCTTTCTTTTTTTAATTAAAAAAAAATTTTAGTTTCAGGGAGCACATGTGCAGGGTTTTTTAATGGATATATTGCATAATGGTGAGGTTTGCAATTCTAGATACCCATCACCTAAATAGTGAACATAGTACCCAATAGAACAACAAAGCCTAGATGTCGGCTCATCTGTTTACAGCATGGTATACTGAGTATTTTAAGCCCAATGTTGAGATTTACTGTTCAGAAAAAAGATACCTTTCAAAATATTACTACTCATTGGTAATGTAACTGGTCAGCCAAGAACTCTGCTTGAGATGTACAAAAAGATTAATGTTTTCATACTTGCTAACACAACATCCATTCTTCATTCCATGGATCAAGGATTTTGACATTCAAGTCTTGTTATTTAAGAGATACATTCCTTAAGTCTATAACTGGCTTAGACAGTGATATTTCTGATCAATCTGGGCAAAGTAAATTAAAAACCTTTTGGAAAGGATTCACTATTCTAGGTGCTATTAAGAATGTTTATGACCAGGCACAGTGGCTCATTCCTGCAATTTGAGCACTTTGGGAGGCCAAGGTGGGAAGACCGCTTGAGTCCAGAAGTTTGAGACCAACTTAGGTAACTTAGTGGGACTCCATCTCTACAAAAAAATTAAAAAATAGGTCGGGCTTGGTGGCTCACGTCTGTAATCCCAGCACTTTGGGAGGCCAAGGTGGGAGGATCACTTGAGCTCAGGAGTTTGAGAACAGCCTGGCCAACATGGTGAAACCCTGTATCTACTAAAAATACAAAAATTAGCCAGGCCTGGTGGCATGCACTTGTAATCTCAACTACTGGGGAGGATGAGGCATGAGAATTGTTTAAACCCAGGTAAAGGAGGTTGCAGTGAGCCAAGATTGCACCACTCTACTCCAGTCTGGGTGACAGAGCGAGACTTCATCTCAAAAAAAAAAAAAAAATTTTTTTTTTAAATTAGTTGGGTATGGTGGTGTGTGCCTGCAGACCCAGCTACTTGGGATGCTGAGGCGGGAGGTTGATTTGAGTCTGGGAAGTTGAAGCTAGAGAGAGCTGTGTTTATGCCATTGCACTGCAGCCTGGGTGACAGAGTGAGACAGTCTCAGAAAAAAAAAAAAAAAGACATTCATGATTCATGGAAGGAGGTTAAAATATCAACATGAACAAGAAGTTGACTCCAACTCTCATGGAAGACTTTGAAGGGTTTAAGTCTTCAGTGGAGGAAGTGACTGATGATGTGGTGGAAATAGCAAGAAAACTCAAATTAGAAGCGGAGCCTGAAGCTATTACTGGGTTGTTGTAATCTCATGATAAAACTTGAAAAGATGAGGAGTTGAATGAACAAAGTGGTTTTTTGAAATGGAATTTACTCTCGGTGAAGATGATGTGTACAGTCTTTAAATGACAACAAAGAATTTAGGATATTACCTAAACTTAGTTGATAAAGCAGTAGTGGTGTTTGAGAGGGCCGACCCCAATTTTGAAAGAAATTCTTCTATGGGTAAAATATTAATATTATCAAATAGCACTGCAAGCCACAGAGAAATCTCAGATGAAAGAGTCAATCACCGTGGCAAGCTTTATTGTTGTTCTATTTTAAGAAGTTGCTACAGGGCTGGGCATGGTGGCTCAGGCTTGTAATCTCAACATTTTGAGAAACTGAGGAAGGAAGATCACTTGAAGCCTGGAGTTTTAGACCATCCTGGTCATTGTAGGGAGCCCCATCTCTATGAAAATAATTTTAAAAAAATCAGGGCATGGTGGCACGCTCCTGCAGTTCCAGCTACTTGGCAGGCTGAGGTGGGAGGATTACTTGAGCCCAGGAGTTTGAGGTTATAGTGAGCTATGATCACGCCACTATACTCCAGCCTGAGTAACACAGGAAGACCCTATCTCCAAAGAATTAAAACAAGAATATTGCTACAGTCACCCCATTTTTCAGCAACCGTTGTTCTGATTAGTCAGCAGCCATTAACATTGAGGCAAGACCCTCCACCAGCAAAAGATTGTGACTCACTGAAGGCTCAGATGGTTGTTAGCATTTTTTAGCAATAAAGCATTTTTTAAAAGGTATGCACATTTTAAAATATGTTGCTATTGTACACTTAATAGACCACAGTATAGTGTAAATATAACTTTTATATGCACTGGAAAACCAAAAAATTTGTGTGACTCACTTTATGGTGATATTTGCTTTATCATTATGGTCTGAACCTGCAATATCTCTGAGGTATGCCTGTACGTTGAATCATGCTTATGTTGCAAGGACAAGTCCCACTTGATCATGGTGTATGCCCCCTTTAATGTACTGTTGAATTTGATTTCTAGTATCTTGTTGAGAACTTTTTCATCTGTATTCATCAGCGTTAATTTTTTTTTGTGTTGTCCTTGTCTGGGTTTTGTATCAGAGTCATGCTGGCCTTATAAAATGAATTTGAATTTTTTTACCTCCTCTTAATTTTTTTTTTGTATGAGTTTGAGAAGGATTGGCATTACATCTTTCTTTAATATTTGGTATAATTTACCTGTGAAGCCCTCAGGCCCTGGAATTTTATTTATTGAGAGGCTTTTGATTGCTGATTGAATTTTCTTATTAGTTATTGGTCTGTTCAGATTTTCTATTTCTTTATGAGATCTTGATAGGTTGTATGTTCCTAGGAAGTTATCCATTTCCTCTAGGTTATCCAATTTGTTGACATACAACTGTTCATAGTAGTCTCTTTGATCCTTTGTATTTCTGTGATGTCAATCGTAATGTCCCCTCTTTTATTTACAATTTCACTTATTTGAATATTTTCTCCTTTTTCTTAGTCTTGCTAAAAATTGTCAACTTTATCTTTTTTAAAAATCCCAGTCTTAATTTTCATTTATTATTTCTATTGTTTTTTCTAGTCTCTTTATTTCATTTATTTCTCCCATTTTCTTTTTTACATTTTAGAATTTTATTTTAATGTCATGAAATGCTAGTATTAATAAGATATAGCGTAAGAATGTTCACACAATTTTAAAACAAGTGAGGCAGAATATTTAATACTTTTTTCCATAATGTGAAAAGTATTTGCTGGAAATGCATCTTATTTTTTTTTTCAACTTTTATTTTAGGTTCAAGGGGTAGATATGTGGGTTTGTTATATGGGTAAATCATGTGTTGCAGGGGTTTGGTATACACATTATTTTGTCACCCAGGTAATAAGTATAGTACCCAATAGGTAGTTTTTTGATTCTCATCCTCCTCTCACCCTCCACCCTCAAATAGGCCCTGGCGCCTATTGTTCACTTGTGTATGTCTATGTGTACTATGTTTAGCTTCCGTTTATAAATGAGAACATGTAGTATTTGGTTTTCTGTTCCTGTGTTAATTTGCTTTGGATAATGGCCTCCAGCTCCACCAATGTTGCTGCAAAGAATATGATATCATTCTTTTTTACAGCTGTGTAATAGTCTTTATCCAGAATACTGGAGGTATATGTGTCACATTTTCTTTATCCAGTTCACCACTGATGGGCATTTAGGTTTATTTTATGTCTTTGCTACTGTGAGTAGTGCTGTGATGAACATACATGTACATGTGTCTTATGGTAGAATGACTTATATTCCTTTGAGTATATACCCACTGATGAGATTGCTGGGTCAAATCATAGTTTTGTTTTAAGCTCTTTGAGAAATCTCCACACTGTTTCCTTTAGTGACTGAACTGGTTTACATTCCCACCAGCAGTGTATAAGCATTCCTTTTTCTCTGAAACCTCACTAGCATGGGTTTTTTTTTATTTTTTAATAATAGCCCTTCTGACTGGTATGAAATGGTATCTCATTGTGGTTTTAATTTGCATTTCCCTAATGATTACTGACACTGAACATTTTTTCATATGCTCAGTGGCTATACATATGTCTTGAGAAGTGTTTGTTCATGTCCTTTGCCCATTTTTTAGTGGGGTGTTTTAGTTTTTGCTTGTTGATTCGTTTAAATTCCTTATAGATTCTAGATATGAGACTTTTGCTACATATATACTTTGCAAATATTTTCTCCCATTCTTTAGGCTATTTACTCTGTTGTTAGTTTCTTTTGCTGTGCACAAGCTCTTTAGATTAATTAGGTCCCACTTGTCAACTTTTGTTTTTTTTGCAATTGCTTTTGGTGTATTTGTCATGAAATCTCTGCCGGGCCTTATATTCAGAAAGGCATTTCCTGTGTTATCTTCTAGAGGTTTTTGTAGTTTTAGGTTTTACATTTAAGTCTTTAATCCATTTTGAGTTGACTTTTATATGTGGTGAAAGGTAAACATCCAATTTCAATCTTTTGCATATGGTTAGCCAGTTATCCCAGCACTATTTATTGAATAGGGAGTCCTTTCACCATTGCTTTTTTTGTTGACTTTGTTGAAGATCAGATGGTTGTAGGTGTGTGGCTTGATTTCTGGGTTCTCTAACCTGTTCCATTAGTCTATGTGTCTGTTTTTGTACGAGTATCATGCTGTTTTGGCTATTGTAGCCTTATGGTATAGTTGAATTGGATTGTGTGATAACTCTGGGTTCATTCTTTTTGCTTAGGATGGCTTTAGCTATTTGGGCTTTATTTTTTTGGTTCCACATAAATCGTAGTATAGTTTTTTATAATTCTGTGAAGAATGTCACTGGTAGTTTGACAGGAATAGCATTGAATCTGTAAATTGCTTTTGGCAATATGGCCATTTTAATATTGATTCATGCTAACCATGAGCATAGAATATTTTTCCATTTGTTTGTGTCATCTCTGACTTATTTCAGCAGTGTTTTCTCATCTTATGGTAGAGACCTTTCACCTCCCTGGTTAGCTGTATCCCTAGGTATTTTAATTTTTTTGTGAATATTTTGAATGCCATTGTGTTTTTGACTTGGCTGTCAGCTTGGATGTAAAATGCTACTGATTTTTGTACATTGATTTTGTGTCCTGAAACCTTGCTGAAGTTGTTTATCACATCTAGGAGTTTTTGGGCAAAGATTCTATGCCACTCGGTGTCTTTTAAGTGGGCTGTTCAGCCCATTTATATTCAAGATTAATATGGATATCTGTGGATTTAGTCCTGTCATCATATTGTTAGCTGGTTATTATGCAGACTTGATGTGTAGCTGCTTTACATTGTCAATGGTTATGTATTTAAGTGTGTTTTTGTGGTGGCTGGTAATGCTCTTTCATTTGTATGTTTAGCACTCCCTTAAGGACTTCTTATAAGGCAAGTCTAGTGGTCACAAATTCCCTTAGCATTTGCTTGTCCAAAAAGGATCTGACTTCTCCTTCACTTATCAAGCTTAGTTTGGCTGAATGTGAAATTCCTCGTTGGAGTTTCTTTTTTTTTTTACAATGCTGAATATAGGCCCCCAATCTCTTCTAGCATGCAAGGTTTCTTTTGAAAGGTTTGTTGTTAGTCTGATGGGATTTGTAGGTGACATGCCCCTTCCCTGTACCTACCTTTAATAGCTTTTGTTTCATGTTGTCCTTGGAGAATCTGATGACTGTGTATCAGGGAAAGTTGTCTTGTATAGTATTTCATAGAGGTTCTCTGCATTTCCTGAATTTGAATGTCAATCTTTCTTGTGAGGTAGAGGAGATTTTCCTGTACAGTATCCTCAAATATGACTTCCAAGTTGCTTTCTCTTTCTGGGACAGAAATAAGTCATATGTTTGGTCTCTACATTATCCCATATTTCTCAGAGGTTATAGTTCATTTCGTTTCTTTTTTTTTTTTACTTTTGTCTGACTGAGTTGATTTGAAGAGCCTGTTTTCAAGCTCTGAGATTCTTCTGTCGGCTTGGTCTTCTCTGTTAATACTTCTGATTGTATTATGAAATTCTTGTAGTGTGTTTTTCAGCTCTATGAATTTTGTTCGGTTCTTTTTTGAAATAGCTATTTCTTCTTTCAGCTCTTGTATCATTTTAGTGGATTATTTTGAATCTTTGGATTGGGTTTTAACATTCTCCTAAATCTCAACGATCTTCATGCCTATCCAGATTCTGAATTCTGTGTCTTTTTTGTTTTGTTTTGTTTTGTTTTCAGGCATTTCAGCCTGGTTAAGAACAATTGCTGGGGTGCTAGTGCACTTATTTGGAGGTAAGAAGACACTCTTTGAGTTGCCAGAGTTCTTGTGCTGGTTCTTTCTCTTTGGGCTATGTTCCTGGAATGTTTGAAGTTTCTGTCCTTTGTAAGGGTTTTTTTGCTTGTAGTCTTTGATGCCCTTGAGGGTTTAACTGGGAAAATACAGGTTCAATCAACTAACCCTTTCTGGAAGATTTCAGGGGGCTAAGGCTCATGTCAACATTCCTGATCTGCGTGCTTTAACCTGAGGGGCTGGTACCAGGCCCATGGCTTTGTTCTCAGACCCCTCAAGTTACCAGCTGCCACACTGGAAGGCATGAGGTGTTCCTGTTCTGCTGACAACACTTCGATGAGGGGTGCCAGCCAAAGTGCTTTGGTGGGGCAGTGGCCATGGGGTCTGCGCTTGCACATGCCAGCAGTGGCACTGTGTGGTGGAATGCATGCATGTTGGCGGGTGCAGGGCATTGATGGGGGCAGGGTAGGGTTGATGTTGCATGCATGTGTGCACCAGTCTGTGCAGTGGTAGAGCGGGCAGCATGTGTTCTCCTGAGGGGATATGGTGGTGGCATCTGCATTGAGGTGAAGTGACATCTGCACATTCGAGTGTGCCAGAAGTAGTAGCAGCATGGTGGAGCATTTGTGTGTTAGCTGGGGCAGGGCACAGATGTGGTTGGGTTGAGGTTTCCATGTGTGAATGAGACAGCAATGTCTGCATTGCAGGCATGTGCTGGCAGCAAGCTATTCCCATTGGAGGGGGAAGGGCAGCAGGGTGCCTGTGTGCCAGTGGGGATTCGTTGGTGGCATCTGTACATGAGCACTGATGCTGACAGCAATGGCATGGTGGGGTGTGCATACACATGTTCCAGTGGAGCAGTGGTGAGGTCCGCCTATGTGTGCATGTGTGTTGGTAAAGTGGTAGAAGCTTGTCAGCTGGAGCTCCCTGAAGGTCAGGTGTGGTATGCCTGTGAAGGAGTTATGGCTGTGGCATCCAGACAGTACCCTGGTTGGGTGTCCAAGGCTGCACTGGAAGCAGACATGGCCAGGCAGGGACCCTGGGAGAGGCTGGCACACAGGGTGATGCTCAGGTCAGACTGGCCCCATCCCAGGGGCAAGACTGCCCTGCTCTGTCCAGATTTGACGTCAACAAAGGCCAAAGCCACCTAGAGAAGTGTGGTGAGCCTTGGGGCATTTGTCCTTTTATTATTGTCCTCCTTTTGCTGATTTGGGGCTTCTTTTGTTCTTTTTTTTTTTTTTTTCTTTTTGAGACAGGGTCTCACACTGTTACCCAGGTTGGAGTGCAGTGGCATGGTCTTAGCTCACTGCAACCTCTGCTTCCTGGGCACAAGTGATCCTCTCACCTCAGCCTCCCTAGTGGCTGAGACTACAGGTGTGCGCCACTATGCCTGGCTAATTTTTTATTTTTATTTTAATTTTTGGAGAAAGGGTTTTGTCTTATTGTCCAGAATGGTCTTGACTTCTGGTCTCAAGTGAGTCACACGCCTTGGCCTCCCAAAATGCTGGAATTGCAGGCGGGAGCCACTGTGCCTGGCCCTTTTTCTAGTTCTTTTAAGGGTACAGTTAGGTTGTTTATTCGGGGACTTTTCTTCTTAATGTAGGCATCTATTTCTACATTATAAACTTACCTCTTAGAACTACTTTTGTTGCATTCTATAAGTTTGGGTAGGTTATGTGTTCATTTTAGTTTATCTCAAGATACTTTCTGATTTTCCTTTTCATTTCTTCATTGACCTATTGGTTGTTCAGGAATGTGTTGTTTAATTTCCACATATTTGTCTATTTTTTTTTTTTTTTTGAGACAGGGTTTCACTCCTGTTGTCCAGGCTGGAGTGCAGTGGTGTGATCTTGGCTCACTGCAACCTCCACCTCCCAGGTTCAAGTGAGTCTCCTGCCTCAGCCTCTGGAGCAGCTGGGATTACAGGCACCTGCCACCACACCTGGCTGATTTTTGTATTTTTAGTAGAGGCGGGGTATCACCACGTTGGCCAGGCTGGTCTTGAACTCCTGACCTCAGGGGATCCACCTGCCTTGGCCTCCCAAAGGGCTGGGATTACAGGTGTGAGCCACCACACCTGGCCTATATTTGTGAATTTTTGAATTATCATCCTGTTACTGATTTCTAGTTTTATATCACTGTGGTCAGAAAAAATACTTGATATATAATTATTCTTGTTAAATGTAGTAAGACTTGGTTTGTAGCCCAACGTATATCTATCTTGAAGAATGTTCTGTGTGCATTTGAGGAAAATGTGTATTCTTCTGCTGTTGGATGGAATATTCTGTGTATGTCTTCTAGGTTACTTTCATCTATAGGGTTGTTCAAGTCTGATGTTTCCTTATTTTCTGTCTGGATGATCTCTCTGTTGCTGAAAGTGAAATTATCCTACTATTATTGTATTGCTATCTGTTTCTCCCTTCAGTTAAAACTGTCAATATTTGCTTTATAAATTAGGTGCTCCAATGTTGGGTGCATATATATTTAGAATTGTTATATCCTCTTGATGAATTAACTTTTTATGGTTATATAATGACCTTCTTTGTGTCTTATGACAATTTCGGACTTAATGTCTATTTTGTCTGATGTAAGTACAACCATCTCTGCTCCCTTTTAGTTATTTGCATGGAATATCTCTTTCCATTCATTCAGACTATGCATTTCTTAAAGCTAAAATGAGTCTCTTGGAGACAGCAGATTATTAGACCTTGTTTTTTCTATTTTTTCAGCCACTCTATGACTTTTATTAGAGAATTTAACCATTTACATTTAAAGAAATATTAATAGGTAAGGAGTTATTGCCATTCTGCTCATTGTTTTGTGGCTAATTTGTAGTTCCTTTCTTTTGCTTTTGCTGTCTTTTTTTTGTTATTCAATGTTTTTTTTTAGTGGTATGCTTTGATTTCTATTTTTTTTTTTGTACATCTGTTACAGGTTTTTCCTTTGCGATTAATGTGAGGCTTACATAAAACAAATTATAGTTGCAACAGTCTATTTTAAGCTGATAATAATTTAATTTTTGCTCACTCACAGAAACTCTATTCTTATCTCCAGCATGTTTTATGTTATTCATGTCACAAGTTATATCTTTTATATATCAGGTATACATTAACAAATCATTATAGCTATAGTTATTTTTAATGCTTTAAAATATTTTAAACTAATATTAAAAGTTATTTACACATTGCCATTGCAGTATAAGAGTATTCTGGATTTGTCTATACCCCTGCCATTACCAGTGAGTTTTATAATTTACTTTTTTTTTTAACTTTATTGGTTCATTTTTCTTTTATTTTTTCTTTTTTGTTGCTTTTAAAATTTACTTTTCATATTGCTAATTAACATTCTTTTGTTTCAGTTTGACAATCTTAGCATTTCTTGTAAGAAAAATCAAATGCTATTGATATACCTTTGTTTTTCTTTTTCTGAGAAAATCTTTATTTCTGAAGGAAAGATTTACTAGATAAAGTGTTTTTGGTTTACAGTTTTTTTGTTTTCTTTTAGCATGAGGAATATGTCATCCTAGGCTTTCTTGGCCTGTGAGCTTTCTGCTGACAAATCTGATGATAGTCTTATGGATGGTCCCTTGTTTGTGATGAACTGCTTTTCTCTTGGTGCTTTCAAAATTGTTCATCATTGGCTTTTCAGAATTTAATTATTGCCTTTTTTCACAATTTATTTACAAAGTCCTGGTGAATGTTCAATGTATTTGCAGTTCTTTGGACTTCATGGACCTGGATGTTCATTTCCATTTTTAAATGCGGGGAGTTTTCTGCCATTCTTTCCTTAAATAAGCTATCTTCTTCTTGGTTTGTTTCATCTGGCAACAAAGCATAATGCATATGTTTGTTTACCTGATGATGTCTTATGGGTTTTATAGCCTTTCTTCACTCTTTTTCACTCTTTTTTCTTTTAGTTCTTCTGACTGGGTAATTTCAAATGTCTTTAAGTTCATTGACTTTCATTCTGCTTGATCAAGTCTGTTAAAGCTCATGGAATTTTTCAGTTTAGTCCTTTTGTTCCTCAGCTTCACAATTTTTGTTTGGTTCCTTTTCATGGTTTCTTTCTCTTTGTTGAAGTTGTCTTTTTGTCTTCCTGATTTTGTTTTGTTGTCTATGTATATCCTCTTGTAGCTCACAAGTTTCTTTAAGATTATTATTTTGAATTCTTTATAGGACAATCTGTAGATCTCCATTGTTTTAAGATCAGTTACTGGTGCTTTATTTTTTTTCCTTTGGTGATATCAAGTATTCCTGCTTATTTTTGATCCTTGTGGCCTTGCATTGCCATCCATACATTTGAAGAAGTAGTCACCTCTTCTAGTCTTTAGACTGGCTTTGGGAGGGAAATCCCTTAACCAGTCAGCCTGCCCAGAGATTTTGGGTGCAGTAGCACCCAGAGATTTTGGGACCCTGGTCAGGCTTGCTTTGGGAAGGAGAGCATGGTTATTATTTCTGTGATCAGGTGACCCTTGTATCTGGGTTCATGGAAGATCACTGGGGTGGGCCTGGTACCTTGGTATGTGCGTGTAGGTCTAGAACATGTGGATGCTGGAGTGGGCCTGAAGCTTGGGGTCCGTGGGGGACAACCTCTTCTGGGACCAGCCTGGCATTGGGGTGCTTGCTCAGGTTTTGATTTTGGTTTCCCCTCATTTCTAAGATCTCTAGTGGAACTATCTGGGTCATAGCTTATTTCCTTTCTGTCTTAGCTTCTATGCATATTCTTATGATGAGATGGAGGAATGATTTGAGAACTGTAGAGGGCCTTAGTGTGTCAAATAGAGGTATTTTGACATAGTCCGGCATGGAGTGCCAGAATAAATGAAACAGCCTCATTTCCTTTGTTTAATTACTGGTTATTCATCTCATTCTTAATAGGTCCCATGAGAAAAACTACCTGAACATGGTCATTATCTTCAAATTTGGTCAGTGTGACATCACTTGACTTAAATTTAAGCAAAGAAACAGCTTTTCCTGTTATGCTACTAATCACCATTTTCTAAATTTCTGCTATATTTAATTTTTAAAAACAGCTTATTAAGACCTCATTATACAATAAACAAACTTTATATATTTTGTGTATGTGATTTAGTAAGTTTTGACAAATATATACACTAGCGAACCTATCACCACAATGAAGATCATAAACATATTCATCATTGCTAAAAGCTTCCTTGTTTCACTTTGCAATCTCTCTATATTAGCTCATTCTCATACTGCTATAAAGAACTGCCCAAGACTGGGTAATTTATAAAGAAAAGAGGTTTAATTGACTCACAGTTCTGCAGGGCTGGGGATGCCTCAGGAAACTTACAATCATGGTGGAAGGGGAAGCAAACAAGTCCTTCTCCACATGGTGGCAGGAAGGAGAAGTGCCAAGCAAAGACAGAAAAGCCCCTTATAAAACCATCAGGTCTCACGATAACTCACTATCATGAGAACAGCATGAGGTTAAAGACCCCATGATTCAATTACCTCCCAGTGGGTCCCTCCCACAAGAAGTGGGGATTATAGAAACTACAATTTAAGATGAGATTTGGGTGGAGACACAGAAAATCATATTACCCTCTTGCACACTGATTTACTCTGTCACTATATATTAACTTGCATTTTCGAGACTAGAATCATACAGTATACACACTTTCAAAAAACTATGTCTTCTATCATTTAGCATAATTATATTGAGATTTATCCATGTTGCTATGTGAATAATTTCCTCATATTGCTAAATAGTATTCACTGTATGGATATACTATAATTGGTTTATCTACTCACCTCTTGTTAAGTATTTGGGTTGGTTCCTAGTTTTGCCTATAAATAAAGCGGATATGAACATTCATGTACAAGTCTTTGTATGGACATATGCTCTCATTTATCTTGGATAAATACCTGTGTTTGGAAAGACTGAATTATGTAGTAAGTGTATGTTTAACTTTTTTTATGAAACTGCCAAATTGTTTACCAAAGCGATTGTGCAATTTTATCTTCCCATGGGCAGTGCATGAGAGAAAAGTTTGCTCCATATACTTGCTAACATTTGGTATAGGTCAAAACTAGAGAGCAAAAATAAGTTGTATTAGTACCCCTCCTTCTTGAGCCCAATTCAGAATATACCATGTCCATTTTGTGAGGTTAGACAAGCTGAGCAACAGTCCATTGTGACTTAATGGGCAAGATATAACCCAGCTCATAACTAATGTGACAGTGACAAATAGTCACTTGGAATTCTGTGATAATGCCTTCCATCTATACCAGGCCCCAGTAAAAGACCAGAAACCATTTTCTGAAGGCATATAATTCTCTTCTCCAGATAATATGACCTTGCTTGCTTCAGAAGCCCAGGTCTTTCCACAAACTGTAAAATAAACCTTTATTATAATAACATTGACACCATCAGATCTGCTGAATTCTCTGACTGAAGGGGTGTAAAGCTGCTTACATCACAGTCTAGACCTGCAAAAGAGCACATTTCTGTTATAGGTCCCACTTAAAACTGGTAGGCATTTTGTCACCAGTTTATAGGCCAGACAAATATCCCTGAAGATATATGCTACCCTCCAAACCCAAAGAGGCAGACCAGACATTGTGCTCCCTTCTTTGTAACAGGTCATGCAAGATGCAGCAATTTATGTTTTGGTTTGGAGATAATCCAGGAACATCATTGACCACTGTATATCACTTAGATACTTTATTAAAATAACAATGTGATAAATCCTGGAAGGGTTCCTCTCTTGCTTTCCAGAGAACATAGTTCTTACCCAAGGCCTTCAGTGTGCCACCTCTTACACATCTTGCCTCATCAGCTTGTTGGCATGATTAAAATGAATCAATGTGATGTTTTTCACATGTTTATATGGCCCAGCTATCTTCTGATTGGATTATGACAGTGAGGGAGAGTTATTATAGTTTATAAATGTATTTTATTGTTCACCTCATGTGAATGAAGTTTTGCTAAGAGCTGTTTTTATATTCTTTCATGAATTAGATAGGGAAAAAACACATTCATGTAATCAATGGCTGCACATAATTTACCCATTAATCTGATGTAGATATTATCTCCAGCACAGCAGCCACAGTTATGGTTTCTACTTGGCTAAGTTTGCAGTAGTATATAGTCATTTTCAAGATTCATTCTTGCCAGGATATAATGAGGCACTCCATAATCTACCATGGCAACTCAGGCATTTCAACTTTACTCAGCATAGGTCATCATTTGCTCTAATGTAAATGCCATTTTAGCAATGAGTTTTCCCTATTCCCTGGGACAGTTGGAAAAGTGCTGAATCCTGTGCACCCAAATCAGTTATGTTTATCTAGTATTATATTCCAGTTTTCTTGATCAGGAACTTTCAAAATCCAATCCTACAGGAACTTCCTTGGCTAGCACATGCTGGCTGATTCTTACCATTCTGTATGGTAATCTCTTTATTTTCTGTGTCACTGGTATTCCCAACCATGTTAAAATGGGATAATACTAATCATATGCTTCTGGAAAGTTTCTGATGGGAGCTGCTATAGCATGTATGGAGGAGGATTACACAGTACTTGACCAAAGTGGGCATGTGGTTGTAGACTAGCTCCATAGGGTGAGTTGCACTGACTCTGAAGGCCCTGAGGGTTTAGGGAAGTCTGCAGGGCCACAATTTTCAGGGGCATCTACCCAGATATACATATCCTATGTGTCACATTTCTAGGTTTTCCCAACCAGGGAACTACCCTTAATAGACCTGCCTTGGCTGAGAGTTGACTCATCTTTGAAGGTCAGCTACCCTAACTATCAAATATTTAGTTTGTTTATCTGCTGTGCCTACTCTGTCACTGCAGGAAAAAATTAGAAAAAGCATCCTCCTGCTCTCATATTTAGACTTTATTTGTTAACTACCTTTATTTTCTCATTATCTCTTTCATTATACATTATATATGTATGTATACATATATGTGTATAGCTAGAAATGAAAGAAAATAAGACTTCAAAAATAATATATATGCACATAAATATATACATACACCTCACACACAAACACATGTGTGTGTGTGTATCTATCAATATACACATATATGAAACTAACTTACAAGTAATAAAAGTTCCAATTAGGGGTAGACACATATGTACCATTAACATGGATATGTTGAATAAAAAAGTAATAGGGCAATTATTGAATAAAAAATTTTCCATGAAATAAAGACTGAACTAAGTTCAACGATTAAAAGGACTCATTAAATTCCAGGATAGATTCATGATAAAATAATCCACTTATGCACATTTTAATAAAACTTTTTTGAACTCCAGTAAAAACTCTCAAAAGCTTCTATGTAGAAAAACCAAGTAACTCACAAAGAGAAAAGAAACAAATGGTAATAGTGTAGATGCAATGTCACTTTCTCCTAGCTTCCAGACTAATAACAGAATATCTTGGCTTCACATAGGAGCCCTGGTTTGCAGTTCTTTTAATTCAGAGAATAAAAGGAGATATAATCTTGGAATTTGGGCATACATTTAATAGATCTGAGAAAAATCTTTGAGAAGAATCTCCAAACCACTGAGCAGAAACAGAGACATAGATGGGGAAAATGCATAGGGGAAACAGTGGCGAATAGTATAACTTGAAATATAATTAAATCTAAATAGATAATAGAATATCTGGGAATATATAATATAAATGCAAAATAAGGACAAACTTAAGTGTAACCATAGACATGAAATTACTAAACTGTTTTAGCAATATCTAAAAGTTGTCATGGGGGGTTGAGGGAGATGGCTATAATAAAAAGGTGAAGTAAAAACATTGAAAATTCTCATGAGAAGAGGCAGCAGCAAAAAAAGGGTAAGGGAAATAAAAAATTCTGTGGGTCTTATTGGGTTTGGGTAATAACTATTTGCTCTGTTATTTCATATTCATATAAACAACTGATTGTGGGGGGAAAATGCTAAGTATTAATGAAATAGAAAAGTATGTAATGAATAGCACATTGATAAAACTAGAAGGATATTAGGAAAAATAATACAAAGAATACGAAGTTGAAAAAACTGTCATTATATTAAATATACCAGACTGAATATATGTTCTCTTTTTCAAAGATAGACTGCCAGACTGGCTTAAGAAAATGAAGCCCAGTTACACATCTTTTAAAAGAAAGACTTAAACTTGGCTAACATGGTGAAACCCTGTCTCTCTTAAAAACAGAAAAAATTAGCCAGGCATGGTGGTGGGCGCCTGTAGTCCCAGCTACTCAGGAGGCTGAGGCAGGAGAATGGCCTGAACTCAGCAGGCGGAGCTTGCAGTGAGCTGAGATTGCGCCACTGCCCTCCAGCCTGGGCGACAGAGAAAGACTCTGTCTCAAAAAAAAAAAAAAAAAAAAAAAAAAAAAGACTTAAACCAAGTGATAAAGGTTAAAAATAAAGGTATGGGCAAAGAGATTAACTAAAAATAAAGCAGTGTTTCCTGCAGCATTTTTCATAATAGCCAAGATATAGAATCAACCTAAGTGTCCAATGATGGATGAATGGTCAAGGAAATGTGATTTATATATTTATATATCTATATCTATATAAAAACACATAGGCACACACACCTATACATTAAATATATATCACATGTTGAATATTTTTAAGTTTTGAAAAAGAAGGAAATCATGTCATTTGTGACAACATGGATAAACTTGGAGGATATTATACTAAGTGAAATAAGCCAGGCACAGGAAGACAAATACTCAATAATTTTGCTTATATGTGAAATACATAAAAGTCAAACTCATAGAAGCAGAGAGTGGAATGGTGGTTGACAGGGGCTGGTGGTGGGGAAATGAAGAGATACTGATCAAATGGTAAAAAGTTTCAGTTATGCAGAATAAATAAGTTCTGGAAATCTAATGTACAGTATAGTGGTTACAGGTAATAATAATCTATTGTATACTTGAAATTTGCTAAGAGAGTAGCACTAAAATTTCCTACTACAAAAAAGTATGTGAGGTGATAGAAATGTTAATTAGTGAAATGATTGCCATAATCAAGCTATATATATACATTCTGCCACATTGTATACTTCATATACAATTTTTATTTGTCTATTATAACTTGAGGAAGCTGTTAAAAAGTAGTGTTGTCAATATTATAATAGCAGTCCCTAAGACAAAATACATTAAGTTATAGCATGGTTATGAAGTCATAAGCCCATATTATAAACATGTATACATATAAAGCGAAGAATTATTAGAAACGGAAGATGTTGATACGAATGTAGTAGAAGACCTCCTATATATCCCATAATTGAACAGATCTGGAATACAGTAAAGACATAGAAATGAGATTGAGTTTTGTAACTATTCCAAGGATGTGACATAACAATATGTATCATTTGAAGACTGTTTCTCATAATTAAATTTACCTTATTCTTGGCTACACATCAAGCCAGGAGATAACCCAATAAATCTTGTTTACCTTTTACTTCAAATCTATTTGGAGAGAAATAATATGCCTATTCATTCTTTTTTTATTTTTTATTTTTTATTATACTTTAAGTTCTGGGGTACATGTGCACAACATGCAGGTTTGTTACATAGGTATACCTGTGCCATGTTGGTTTGCTGCACCCATCAACTCATCATTTACATTAGGTATTTCTCCTAATGTTATCCCTCCCTCAGTCCCCCACCCCACAACAGGCCTCAGTGTGGGATGTTCCCCTCCCTGTGTCCATGTGTTCATTGTTCAACTCCCACTTATGAGTGAGAACATGTGGTATTTGGTTTTCCGTCCTTGTGATAGTTTGCTGAGAATGATGGTTTCCAGCTTCATCTATGCCCTGCAAAGGACATGAACTCATCGTTTTTTATGGGTGCATAGTATTCCATGATGTATATGTGCCACATTTTCTTTATCCAGTCTATTATTAATGGACATTTGGGTTGGTTCCAAGTCTTTGCTATTGTGAATAGTGTCGCAGTAACCATGAGTGTGCATGGCTCTTTATAGTAGAATGATTTATAATCCTTTGGGTATATACCTAGTAATGGGATCGCTGGGTCAAATGGTATTTCTAGTTCTAGACCCTTGAGGAATCGCCACACTGTCTTCCACAGTGGTTGAACTAATTTACACTCCACCAACAGTGTAAAAGCGTTCCTATTTCTCCACATCTTCTCCAGCGTCCGTTGTTTCCTGACTTTTTAATGATTGCATTCTAACTGGCGTGAGATGGTATCTCATTGTGGTTTTGATTTGCATTTCTCTGATGACCAGTGATGAGCATTTTTTCATGTGTTTATTGGCTGCATAAATGTCTTCTTTTGAGAAGTGTCTGTTCATAACCTTTGCCCACTTCATTCTTGGTAGGAAGTCCTCCAATCTTGTCTGAGTCTTTGCCTTAATTTTACAGTTGGTATAATCAGCAGCAATAACCAGATAAAACATGCTATGGACCTTGGGTGAGACTCTGAGGTGGGCTGGCCTCAGTGTAACTCAGTGTATTCACAGCTGTGGTGCCTATGAAGAGAAACTCCCTGCAAATGTTGCCAGGACTTGGGGATATATAAGGTCAGAAGAAAGAAGGGGACACCTTCTTTTCTGTCCTTCATGTACCCCCAGGTATTCACTGGAAAAAGAAAGAAACAAAGGGTTGCCTTTTGCTGTCTTTGCAAACGGGTAACCAATCATCCTCTGCCTGCACTCCTCTTGAGTGCATCCTGAATCACTGGAACATTTTTGACCGTCAGACATACCCAATCTCTTGAGGAAGGACTTTTCTTTGTCTGTTCCCCCTTCACAGGACTCCAGGACTCCGGGGTTGATGGGGCTCCATAGCTCAGGGGAAGGGAACCCAGAAGCCTGACATGAAGTTTTTCCCAGTCGGACTTCTGGCTTCTCTCTGTGCAAACTGGTTGTAGGAATGATAAAAATTCACTGTGTTCTCTGCCCCTCCATAAGTTCAAAAGCCAGAGGTATTGGCCATTTGGTATGGCTAAGGTTGGGTAACAAGAGATTTAAAAGGACTCCTTAAAAAAGAGTGCTATGATTAAAAGTCAGCTTAATTAAAGGTAAATACCCAAGCTATAGGTATATTTAAAAAGCCTTTATGTCTATTAGCGGTTCTTGTTTTTCTGGTATTTTTCTTCTCGGTTGACTGAATTATTTTTCTCCATTTTGTCTTGCCACTCTTAATGCACACATGAGAAGGCCCCATGATAACTTCTGATGGTCTGGGACTCCTTGGGAAAAACAGAAGGCACCACTGACCCCATTTTGGGAAAAACCTCTGTTTTCCTCATGGAACCCCAAGAATTAGGGGCAATGGATCCCTCTCAAAATCTGTTTTTGTCTTCCAGCTACGCCTGCTTATTAGGCCCTAGAAACTGCATGTTTTCCTAGCCTGTTTCTTGAGGGGCTCCACTCTGAGGCCAGTAATCCAATTAAGAGATTGGCAAATGAAACAACTTACAAGTACTGATCTACTTCTGTCTGTCTGTGTAGTTATATACATGTTGTGTGGTCTTTATATAAAAAGAGACCTCTAATTGATTGGCTTAAAGAAAAGAAATCACTTAGATCAAATATTTTTAAAGAAAAACAAAGCTGTAATGCCTTTTAGTTCATATGACTTTAATCTTTGAGAAATAAAAACAGCTTCAAAGATTATTGGTAAAATAAAAATGTCTTCAAAATGTAAATGTAGTCTAAATTACACAGGTCAAAAACCAGGTTTGTTAAATGCTTTAAGATCATAAACTGCTTCTTTAGCTTTTGAAAATTGTTTGACTTGCCTGCTTTACAGTTTGGCAAGGCCTAGGGATGTAGGAGTTAACCACGCCCCTAGCTATGCTGAAAAGAATCAGACCTTATCCACACCTAGTACCTAACTAAAATACCTTATCAGGTTTTACACCAGAATTAAAAATTGCTAAGAGTTAACATTATAACATGTAATTGAGATGACTGAAAATAGATTGACCTGGAAGGTGTGTAAGGAAAGTAAATGTGTATTTAGTAAAACATAAGAAAATTTTTGCTTAGATGGTTAAAGAATTGTCTTAAATTATATAAGATAAAGCCAAAAGTTTAAACAAGTAGTGGAAGGTTTGTAAAAGTTAGTCTTGTAAAAAAAAAAAAAAAATACTGTGTGTGAACATATTGACTAAATTCAAAAGGGTATTATTTGGTTTTTCCATAAATTAAACATTGGGAATAAAAGTACAGCAAGGGTTTCTTAAGTCACTGATCTGTTATTTAATAATACCAAGTGTTTTAAAACTTTAACATATTTGATAGGCTTCCTAAAATCAAATTTCAGTCTCAAAATTGTCTTTTCTGACCCCTAACTTTGGGATGCTACAGAGGGCCCCTGGAGCATCCAAAAGAGAGGTAAACAGGATTATTTGACATGTTTAGTTTCATGGGATTGTCAAAATAAAAAAGGTTTAATCTTCAGGCTATATTTTAGTGAATAATATCTATATATTCCAAAATTGTATGGGACTTCTAAAATTCAAATTTCTGAGTATATGCTATCAATCATAATTAGGGTTATTATGTTGTTGTAAACCACAGAAATAACTGAATTTCTTTGTCAGTCATGTTTTTGAGTGTGACTACCTAAGACATTTTGTCATTCACAGACAATTGTTGTCTTGTTTTGATCCTCTTCAAAATATAGTTTATAATCAGCTATAGAATTTTGACAGGTGCTCATTAGTTGTTTTAATGTTTTGGACTGCATTTTAGACTAACCCTGCTTATTCCTGTGAACCAACCAGTGATTTCTGACTGAAGCTCAGAAGACAGAAAGGGATGGGTAATGTCAAAATCTGGAACAATATTCTGATTCTGGGCATGTTGGCAGCTTCAGGATTTTTGAGCTGTCCTTACCCCCTTGTTTCATTTTGATCCATGTCTTCTAATAACTTGGTTTGTCTCTTCTTGCCTTCAGACCGTCAAACTCCAAATGGTGTTGCAAATGGTACCTCACACGATGGCTCCCTTTTACTGGAGACCTGTAGATAAGCCTCTGAGGGAAGATCTGACTGATATTTTCCCCCCAACAAAACAATGCTCCTTTGTCAGCATAAAGCAGTTAAGACCAGTCATCATCCCTATCCTAATGGAAGTTAGATGAACCTCCTCAGAGGTGGGATTAATGGCAGCAGTGGCCCATCTGGAGTGGCTGCTGCCATGATACCAGCTGCAGTCAGGGAGGCATGGCTGGGGCTGCACACTCCATGGACCCAGCAGGAGCTGCAAACAAGCAGAAGCCCCATCCCCTTCTAAGTTGGAGGGGCAGGAGCCCTGCCCTCCAGGATGCAGCTACAGCTGCCCAGCTGCAGCTGTAGACCCAGGCATCTCTGCACTCTTGGGAGCCTGGGAATTCCCCCTGTCACCACAGACTCAGAAATGTCTGCTCCCGCTGCCTGGCCTCTCCCAACTCCTGGTGCCAACTCTGATTTTGGAGTAAAGTGGCTGAGCCTGGGTGCTGTCACGACTTGGCCAGGTGTGTGCACACTCAGGGCAGTGCTGACATACAAGTCCCCTGACACCATGGCCCCCTCCAGATGTTGGGTGCTGACAAGCATGGCAGGGAGGTTGAGGTGGGGGTTGAGGGCAGCTTAGCATGGGCCTGCAGGCACCCCTCAGCACAAACAGCCTGGGTGCAATGGGCACCGTGGATGACAGGTTAATGGCAGCAGGAGGCAGACAGGCTCCTGGGCAAAAAGGGCCAGGTCCTCAGTGAAACCTCACCTTCAGGCCAGGGATGGCCTCAGGCCTGGGGGCTGTGCTGCCAATTCCATGGACCAGAGTGAGAACTTACAGTTCTTTTTTCAGGTCCACCCATGGTTGCCCATGAACCAATTAGCACACTCTTCCTCCCCTCTGAAGCCCATAAAAACCCCAGACTCAGCCAGACACAGGCAGATGATATTATGATCTGCCTGCAGAGAAGAGCTACCCACTGTGGGTCTCCTCTCTGTTGAGAGCTGAGCAGATGACAGGATGATCTACCTGCAGAGAGGAGATACCCACTGTAGGTCTCCCTTGAGCTGTTTTGTAGCTCAATAAAGCACCTCTTCACCTTGTTCTCCCTCCACTTATCCACTACCTCTTTCTTCCTGGATGCTAGAGAAGAACTTGGGACCTGCTGAATGACAGGGCCTAAAGAGCTGTAACAGAAACAGAGCTGAAACATGCCCCTTACTTGCCATATTGTGGACAATGATGGGGAGAGAAGAGAGGAGGAGAGAAGAACTGCAGCCCTTTGGGGAGCCCAGACTTAGGAACTTCCCAAGCCAGGGCTGTAACACTCTCTCTGGGGCTCTGTGGTTCCTGGCATCTCCAAGCCTCTGGGCACCACTGCATTCCCCAGTGCCCCACTGCATTCCCCAGTGCCAGCTGTGGAAGCTGTTTGTGGTACACCTGGTCCATCTGCAGCCTCCCAGGGGCCCAGCACCTGGAACTGCTCACTCCACTGCAGCAGGCATGCCTGGCTGTATGCAGTGGCTGGACTCTGAGCTTGCTTGCTTGCTCACGCACCCCTCACTGCTCCATGCCTGGCTTGCCCTTGGCAGGCATGGGATCCAGGCTGGTAGCATGAAGCAAGTGCAGCCTGACAGGCCAAGTGGGCTGAAAGAGCCCAGCAGGCCCCGGCAAAACCTGGGTGAAGGCACCACTGTCCACAGAGGTTTCCAGCTGATGAAGTGACACCCCAAGTATCCTGTGACATTTCACAGAATTTACAGTGGTGTGCTGCTTCTTTTAAAGGATCTCCAGTTAATTATTTTTAATATTGCTACATAGTTTGCAACCATAACCACTATCTAAATTTAGAAAATAATTGGCTGGCATGGTGGCTCACACCTGTAATCCCAGCACTTTGGGAGGCTGAGATGGGTGGATCACAGGGTCAGGAGTTGGAGACCAGCCTGGCCAACATAGTGAAACTCCGTCTCTACTAAAAATGCAAAAATTAGCCAGGTGTGGTGGCACACGCCTGCAGTCCTAGCTACTCAGGAGGCTGAGGCAGGAAAATCACTTGAACCCGGGAGGTGGAGGTTGCAGTGAGCTGACATCATGCCATTGCATTCTAGCCTGGGTGACAGAGTGAGACTCCATCTCAAAAAAAAAAAAAAAAAAGTGAAATCCTCACCCTATTAGTAATCATTCCTCATTTCTTCTTTCCATCAGTCTAAGTCAACCAGTAATCACTATTCTGTCTCTATAGATTTTCCTATTCTGGACATTTTATATATGTGGAATTATATGTAGTCCCATGTGGCTAGCTTTTTAACTTTGTGTGTGTGTGTCTGTGTGTGTGTGTGTGTGTGTGTATACATATATATATATATTTTTTTTTTTTGACAGAGTTTCACTCTTTGTTGCCAGGCTGGAGTGCAGTGGTGCAATCTCTGCTAACTGCAACCTCTGCCTCCCAAGTTCAAGTGATTCTCCTGTCTCAGCTTCCCAAGTAGCTGGGATTATAGGCACCTGCCACCACGCCCGGCTAATTTTTGTATTTTTAGTAGAGGTGGGGTTTCACCATGTTGGCCAGGCTGGTCTCAAACTCCTGACTTAAGGTGATCCACCCGCCTCGGCCTCCCAAAGTGCTGGGATTTCAGGTGTGAGCCACTGCGCCCGGCCAGTATAATGTTTCTGAGGTTCATTCATGTTGTAGCATGTATCATTACTTCATTCTTTTTATTGCTACATAATATTCCATTGTATGCATATACCACTTTATCTGTTCTTCATTGGATGGACATTGGGTTATTTCCACTTTTTGGTTATAGTGAATAATGTGAACATTTATCTGCAAGTTTTTGTGTGGACACATATTTTCATTTATCTTCCATGTGCAACTAGAAGTGGAATTGCTGGGTCATATTGATTTTGTATTCTGCAACTGTGCTGAACTTGTTTATAAGTTCTAGTAGTGCTTTAGTGTATTACTTAGGATTTTCTTCTTACAAGATAATGTCATCTACAAACAGAATACAGTGTCATCTATAGATAGAAATAATCATCTTTTTTTCCAACATGGAGGCTTTTTATTTCTTTTTCTTGCTTAATTGCCATCTCTGCAACTTCTAGTACATTGTTGAATAGAAGCAATGACAGCAGACATCCTTGTCTTGCTCCTGATTAGGGATAAAGCTTTTGTCTTTCACCATTCAGTATAATGTTAGTTGCAAGTTTTTCATAGATTCCTTTAATCAGGTTGAGGCAGTGTCCTATTTCTGCTTTGTTGAGTATCTTTATCATGAAAGGGTATTGGGTTTGTCAAATGCTTTTTTTTTTTTTTCGGTGTTTATTGAGATGCTCATGTAGTTTTTGTCCTTTATTCTGTTAATGTTGTATAATATAATTTATTGGTTTTTCAGATGTTAAATAAATCTTGCATTCCTTGGATAAATCACACTGGTTATGGTGTATAATCCTCTTTATACATTACTATATTCGGTTTGCTAGTGTTTTGTTTAGGATTTTGTATTTATATTTATTAGCAATATTGACAAGTCATTTTCTTTTCATGTGATGTTTTTGTCTGGTTTTGGTATCAAGGTAATACTGGCCTTGTAGAATGAATTGGGAGTATTTCCTCTGCTTATACTTTCTGGAAGAGTTTTTGAAAGATACATATTAATTCTGCCTTAAATGTTTGGTAGAATTCAACAGTGAAGCAATCTGGGTCTAGGCTTTTCTTTATGAAAAATTTTTTGATGACTAAATATTTTTACTTGTTATAGGTCTATTTAAATTATCTGTTTTTCCACTGCGTCTAATTTATCTAATTTGTTGGCATACAGCTGCTTGTAGAACTCTCATGATTTTTTATTTATGCAAAATTGGTAGCGATATTCCTTCTTTCACTTTTGATTTTGGTAATTTAACTCATCTCTTTTTTTTTGAAATCTAGCTAAAGCTTGGTATTCTTTTTTGTTCTTTTAAAAGGAACATCTTTGAATTTCGTTGATATTCTTTACTCTTTTATTATGCTCTACTTCATTTATTTTGCTCTACTTCATTTATTTCCACACTATTCTTTATTTCCTTCTTTCTGTGCATTTTGGTTTAGTTTACCCCTCCATTTCTCATTTCTTAAGGTGAAATGTTAGGTTATTAATTTGAAATATTTCTTTTTTAGTATAGACAATTTTGTGGCTATTCAGATGATTTCTTATTGATCAGTTTTTGTAGTTTGTATCTTTCTAAATTTTTCACTCCCTGTACATTATCTGATTTGTTGTTGGCATATGGTTTCTTTTATGTTGTGTTTTTATTTTATTTATCTGAAAGTATTTATAATTTCCACTATGATTTCTTTGAATCACATATTCATGTGCTGTTTATTTTGTCCATATTTATGAATTTAGTCAATTTCTTTCTGTTGTTGATTTCTAATTCAACTTCATTATGTTCAGAGATCGTGCTTGTATGATTTCAAGTCTTTTACATTTGTTAAGACTTGTTTTATGGCTTAGCATATGGAGTATTTGAGAAAATGTTTCATTTGTGATTAAGGAATGTGTATTCTGCTCTTATTGGGTGGAGTGTTCTATAAATGTCTGCTATGTTGAGTTATTTTATAGTGTTGCTCAAGCATTCTTTTTTTTGGTTGATCTGCAAAATTGTTCTATACATTTTGAAATTGAGATCTTGAAGTTTCCAAATACTGACTTTTCTCCTTTTATTTGTCAATTTTTATATTTATTTTGATACTGTTTTTAGAAACATATGTTTATAATTATTTTATCTTCCTGATGTATTGACTTGTTATTACACAGTTTCTATGTGAGAAGGCATGTCTTCAACCTAAAGTTTTTTTAATCTTCTCCTCGCACAGAATCTTAACATGAGCTACAGGAGAGCTGAGTAAATTCTCCTTTCTCAGGCACTATTCAGATTCTCAGGAATATTTCTGAGCTTTTAAAAGTTTCCTTTTGCCATCTAGTTTTCCTGGATTTACTCTTTCCTGGACAGGCTCTTATTTTACGGCAACTGAAATCACAGCCTTAGGCAGCTGTGGTATTGGCAGCAGATTACTATTATTTTTGGTAAATGCCTTAAGGTTAGGACTTATTTTTTTTCTCCCTTGAGATGAGCTCTGAGAAAAATAACATAGAAACAATAACCTGGGAATAGAGATTTCCCTGGAAGCTTCTGATTAGAATAAAACATTGTTCTCTCTGGGTGATTCATCCAAGCAGCTTCAAAAGAGGTAAGTACCCTCCATTAAATGTGAGGCTGCTGGCTTTTATTACTACTGCATCAATAAAGTGGGTAGAGAAGGAAGTGGAATAGCCCCAAATTAAAAATTGTGAAAAGATAAAAAATTTTAAAAGCAGGCACCATTGTTTTATCATTTAGTAGTTGCTCTGGGGTAGATGATTTTCAGTTCAAATCTGTAGTTTTGGTTAATTTCCAGAATTCTGAAGTGGTTAATTAGTAGTTTTGCCATTATTTTCATGGTTTTTTGAGGATGTTCACCAAAATTCTCACTGTGTCATCTTGGAAGTTAATATTTATGTAGCCCCTGTACATTTCAGCTGAATAATGGACCTGAGGAAGAATACTGAGAGTTCACTGGGAGAACTATGTTCATTTTCAGGTTGCCTTTACATTATGAGAAACAGTTGTTTAAAAATGCCACCTGAAAGACCAGGTTTTGCTGTAACAAACAACTGAACACAACTGAAAATCTGTTTTTATAATTTAAACAGGTTAAAGACCTACTATTCTGCAAAACACTGCATCACTGTGTATGTAAAGATTAAGCCGAAATATGGATTTATTTATTTTCCAAGATGTTACACATAAGAAGCAGCTTGCTATTCTTGTATGCAAACAGAAAGTTAAAGTAGCAATTAGAAAAAAGATAAGTAAATACAGACCGACTAAATCTCTTTTCAGGAAAAAAGAACAAAACAAAAACAAAAACAAAAATCAAAACAATTGCCTTAAAAGGCTGTTGTAAGAGGCACTGAAGGCGGGTGTGGTGGTTTATGCCTGTAATCCCAGCATTTTGGGAGGCCGAGGCAGGATAATGACTTAAGCCCAAGAGTTCAAGGGCAGCCTAGTGTGAGACCCTGTCTCTACAAAAATTAAAAAAACAAAAAAAGAAGTGCTGAGCAAGTTTAGGGTATTTAACTATAATGAGTTAACTTAGTGCTGATAGGATATTCATGACCCCATGGTTGATTGAAATGAGCTTGCCTGCCACTTGAAGCTTTTTGTTCTTCAAAACAAGATTGACCAGCGGGTCCTAATGTTCTTAACACTGAAGATTTCTGGGGAGATTGAGTTCTTGTTACTCACTTAGCCACTCTTCCTTGTTTCTATCTCTGAGTCATACTCACTGTTTCTCCCTTGTAGATGTTGGGATTGCTTTCCAAACAATTCAGGTCCCTTTCTCAGGCATGCTTTTCAGTGCCACCCAAATTAGCCTCTATTCCATTTATAGTGCCTGTAACTGTTCTGTCTCCCTGATAATTACCTAATAATGAGTCAATAAAATTAAACCAGGCCTTGTTTAATATGTGACTATTTTGTATAGCTCCTTTCTTCTGGCTGTCTGACTGCTCTGCCCATTTTCAGTTTTGCAACTCAATTTAATTGTACAAGTTCAAGTCAAAATTTAGTGTTAGGCCACAGATAAGTTTCTGAACAAAAGCAGTATGAGGAATAAAGATAAATTGTCAACTGGAAGATGATCTTGGTTTTAAGTTAACTTGTCTTTCCCGACCATCAGTACCCTAAGAAGCCACTAGAGAGGATTAGCCCATGATTCACTTGCAATTCAATCACAGCTTGTCCCACATTTGCCTCTCATTTCATCTTTACTTTTGTAATCTTCTCTACTCTTCTCATTTTGTTTTCTACGTTTACTCATGTTTTGCATAGGCCCACTTCTTTGCTTCATACAACTGAAATTCTACATCCAGAGCAGTTGATGGCATTGCTGGTGACATACCACTTAAAAAATCTTTCCAACAATTAACTGAGTTGAACAGAGTTGTCTTAGATAAGGCTTAGTATGGTAGACAGCTAAGGAACTCCCCCAGTGAAATTTTTTTTGCCACCCAAGAGATTATAGTATTTAATTAAACTGGGATGCCATTT
Organism: Homo sapiens; assembly: GCF_000001405.40. Lineage (NCBI taxonomy): Eukaryota > Metazoa > Chordata > Mammalia > Primates > Hominidae > Homo > Homo sapiens. Next base: position 46,152,760 of record NC_000015.10, read on the forward strand.
AATATCCATTTCCTTATTTTTGATACACAGCAAATATTTGCTTATCTTTTTACAATGTATATGAACCTTCCCAATTTAGGCATTATTTCAAAATGGTTTTACATCATTACAATATACTTACAAGTAGGTAGAAGATAAAGTTTGTTAAGGCAACGTTAATCTTATCACTATGATCCCACTGTCTTTTTAAAAATAACTTACATATATTCTACAAGCTATAGAATTATTAAATTGTATGTGTGTTAATTTCTAGATAGTAAGTGCTTAAATTTTAAAATAAGCCTCAGATTCATTCATATAATATGTATATGAATGAATCAAATCAGGATAATTGAGATATCCGTCACCTTAAACATTTATCTTTTCTTTATGCTGATAACTTTCAGATTATTATCTTCTAGCCATCTTGAAATATATGATAGATTATTATTATCACACAATATCCTGAAAATATGTACATCAATTATGTATCAATAAAAATAAACTATAAAAAGAAAATAATAACCCTCAGAATTTCAAATCATCCTTTTGCTTTTTTCATGTTATATTCCTGGATTCTAATGAACAGCCTCAGTAAGATGCATAAACAGATCTGGAATGAGACATTAGAAATGAATTCAAATCTTAAAGCAAGGATCCTTTTTTGAGGAGAGATTGAGCATACAGCATTAATAGTCCTATGGTTTAACTTTTGTCTTTTTAAGCAGGTTCTCAGGCCCAAGAACAGCCCAAGTATCAGAGCAAGTTAATTGTAATATCCTCTATTCTTCTGGATTTCCACCACCCTGCAGTCTCTCCCCCACTCACACACCTCTAGAGTCTACCCCTATTTCCAAGCAGTTTGAAGCAAGTTCTTTGGTAGTAGGTGGCACCAGTAATTTATTGTGAAGAAAGCCGAAGTTCTTTTCTTGAGGTTATTGTCAAGACCAAAGGTGATGGAGAAGAGGGCACAAAGATGACCAGATATGAATACCAGCACCACATCTTCTGGCACTGCTTAGAGACAGCACAAAACTTTAAGGTTGCATTCCGCAAAATTTACCAATTAATCCCATGGCCTTCTCCCCGGGAGCCTGGTTGCAAATAGGGAGCTGACTGATTAATCTCTACTACATGTCCTTAAGAAAAAAATGAGTAAAAGTGCATGGTAAGATCAGTTTCAACCTGTAGTTCTGCAAGAGTAGAGCCCTGTATAGAATTTAAAGTATACACTTCCCAAGTGAGCTGGAAGTATTTCCTAAAATAACTACTCATGTAGGAGATAGATTTCTATGAGAAAAAAAAAATGCTTCTATTTCCCTTCAGGAAAAAGTGAATATATGTGTTATATATACACACACGTGTATTTCAGTTCAAGATTTAGAGCAATATCAATTATAAATATTTGCTTTGCATTTGTGAACAGTAGTAGAGCATATGCCCTGTGATTTCTTGTGAGAAACTTGACTGAAGAACATAGTAGAAGACACGCAGCTATAGAATATTACAAACGATTAAAATAACTGTACTAAAGCTTTATATGTCATGGAATAAAATCACCTTTTAAAAAAATTATTCAATATTCCATTCTTCAGTGTTTGTTTTTGGAGATGGAATCTCCCTTTATTGCCCATGCTGGAATGCAATGACACGATCTCAGCTCACTGTAACCTCTGCCTCCTGGGTTCAAGCGATTCTCCCACCTCAGCCTCCCAAGTAGCTAGGATTACAGGCTTTCGCCATCATGCCTGGCTAATTTTTGTATTTTTGTAGAGATGGAGTTTCACCATGTTGGCCAGGCTGGTCTTGAACTCCTGACCTCAGATGATCCACCCACCTTGGCCTCCCAAAGTGCTGCGATTACAGGCATGAGCCATCATGCCCAGCCCAATTGTTCAATTTTTAAGAGTAGATAGAAATTGTCCACTGAACAAAGATGTCTAAAATTCATTTTAGAGAATTTATTATATTTCCTTCAAATATAAGTGAACAATACAGTTCAGGATGTAGTTATGTTATAGGGAGAAAGATGGGCTATGGAAGGAACACATGTAAATTATTCAGGATTCTCAAATTGCTGGATTGAAAATTTGGCCCCTTGGATTTTGTAATGTATACTTTTTTATAAATAAGAAAATCTAAGATTGTAACCTATATATCTAATATAAGCGGTTTTGCCTGTACACTGCTCGCCAATTAGGTCACATTGGGATTCTCCTACATGTTATGACTTATGGCTTCAAAGTCTCCCTTTTCAATATCAATTCCACATTTTACACTTTCTAGACATTCTAACACTATCTGAAGTGACAACTGGGAATTGCCACGACAGATTCAGTCCTCACTGTGACTGCAGTACACTCAGGCAATACTTTATCCACATGGATCTTTTATTGCATCCAGCCTATTCATCTGTGTTCACCTGCGCCTGTAGTTTTCACCCTATTACATTACCACCTGAAGTATACTCTTGTTCCTTTAAAGGAATTTGTTCATCTTCCTCTACAGTCTTTTAGTATCTTGCCAAGCTACACACACGAAATCCTGCGTAGGGCAACTTGGGGAGGAAATGGTCTGAAAACTATTCTGATCTAACTACAAACTCACTTAATCTTAGTCTTTTTAGTCAACTACTGCCTGTACTATAAACACTTTGTCAGCTTTTCCAGGTTAGTTCATTGTTAATTTCTATTTATTCATTTTCTCCCTTGTCTACTAAATAAAGGTAGCCTTACTTCACTGCAGAACAGAACTTACGATGTATATTATAGGACCCATCTGAAGAAATACTTTTATGTAGCGTTAGCTGTCTTATTTTAAAACTTATCCTTGTATTCTTTGCAAGCATCAATGTCTGGTTCTTACAGAAATTGATGGAAACCTCTATGACTGCCTCTAAAAGAGATACCATTTACCTGGGTGCATGTGGCTTTCATGCTGAAGGCATAATACAACTGAGTAAAAGTTAACCCTCTGATTATAGACTACTAGCCCCACAGTAACATTAAATTTTTTCTTAGATTTGAGTATTTGCCTTAAGATCTAAGATTTCTTAGATTTGAGTATTTCTTAGATTTGAGTATAATTTGCATTTTTATACAGGAAAATTACATGTGTTTTGGTATTTTTATGAATCAAAAAGGGTGTGTTAGATAACCCCTTTGTCCCAGGTTCCTATGGAAAAAGTAAGATTTTATAATGGAGTATTTCGAATTCAGTATCACCTAGAGTCCATGACTGTGATAGATTCCAAAGTGATCTGAATTAATAGATTAGAGACGTGGCAGCAATTTGGCTGCTAATCAGTTCAAAGAACACTAAATCTAATAATTCCCTATAATACCTACATCCTATAACATATGAGGATCTCTACAACATCATTCATTGTTTCTTTCCTTACTTAGCAACTTGTTCTGCTCTGGTACGCCCAATGATTCAGAAACATCCTGAGCTCCCATTTTTGCCTCTTTTCACTGCTGTATTTCTTTTCTTAGGTTTCAATACCTAATACATCTGATAAGTCTATTAGAAGTTATCCCAAGAGGTGGAGCAAGATGAAAGAATAGAAGGCTCCACTGATTGTCCCCCACACAAGGACACCAATTTAACAACTACCTACACAGAAAATATACTTTCATAAGAACCAAAGTTCAGGTGACACTCATAGTATCTGGTTTTAACTTCATATCACTGAAAGAAGTGCAGTGGCATTGTTTTCTGGGATAAATACCTGGGATTCATCATCTCACGCCAAGGGAATCAAGGATGTGGACATAAGAAGTCGGTTTAGGAGTGCAGGTTTAATAGGCAGAAGAAAAAAGAAAACAGCTGTCTCTCCTGTGAAAGAGAGAGGCACCTGAATGGGACTTCCAGCCCACAGTGGGGTGCACCGGATTTTATAGACAGGCTTCAGGGGGTGGTGTCTGATTTACATAGGGTCCACAGATTGGTTGGACCAGGTGTGACATTTACACAGCCTGCAGGGAAGCTGGCCACCCCACCCCAATTTTATTATGCAAATGGGCTTTCCACTTGGCCAGCACCACATTATCTTCTCCCTACTGCACAGGTGGTTGGAAAGAAAAAGGGAAGATGGAGCCACCATCTCAAACATGGCTATTCCCAGGTAGCCGTTTCCTAGTGGCACAACTGCCAGCATTCACCCGTGAAAGCTTCCAGCTTGTTTGTCTATGTCTGTAGCTTGTTTTTACAGGCTGCTCTTTGTTAGAAAAGAAAATGATTTGGGGGCTGCTTTTCATTAAAGGAAAACCTTACTGAAGACTTCATTTCTTCTTCACTATCTGCCTAAGTAATTTCTTAACTCCTATATCAGAGACACTGAGAGTAGCAGTCGTGAATCATGGATACCACCCCTCCCTCATCCCTTAGTAGCAGCTGAATGGCATGGAGAGCATCTCTGGGCATTGGGGAGGGAGAACACAGCAATTGTGATGCACTGATCTCAGTGCTGTCATTTTAGAGCGAAAAGGAAAACCAGACCAAACACAGCTGATGCCCTCCCATGGAGGCAGCATTTACACCAATACTAGCCAGAGGGGTAATTTAAACCAGCCCTAGCCACTGATCCCCACGGTCAGAACTTGAGTTCCCACAGTCCTTGCCACCAAGGGATATAGTGCTGTCTGTCTCCAAGTAAACTTGAAAGGCAGTCTAGATCATAAGGACTGCAACTCTTAGGTGAGTCTTAGTGCTGTACTAGGCTCAGAAACAGTGGAGGAGTGAAAAGTTCCTGAAAGCCCAGTGGCTCCACATGCGACATACTGAGACACCAGCTGGGGCAGCCAAGGGAGTGTTGGCATCACCCCTTCTTTAACCCCAGGCTACAGAACTTGAAGCTCCAAAAGAGACCCCTTCCTTCCTCTTGAGGAGAGAAGAGGGAAGAGTGGAGAGGAGTTTGTCTTGCATCTTGAATGCCAGCTCAGCAACAGCAGGATAGGGCACCAGTCAGAGTAATGAGGTCCCAGTTTCAGGCCCTAGCTCCCAGACATTTTAAGCACCCTCTGGGCCACAAGGGAAGCTGCTGCTTTGAAGGAAAGGACCCAGTCCCAGCAGCATTTGTCATCTGCTAATTGCAGAGCCCTTTGGCCCTGAACAACCAGCAGAGATACCCAGGTACTACATTGAGGGCCTTTGGTGAGCCTCTGAGACTTAATGGTTTCAGGTGAGACTTAGCACATTACCAGCTGTGGTGGCTATGGGGCAAAACTCCTTTTGCTTGAGAAAAGCAAAGGAAAAAGTAAAGGGGATTTTGCCTTGCACCTTAGGTGCCAGCATGGCCAAGAGGGGTAGAGTACAAAGTGGGCTCTTAGGGTCCCTGATTCAAGGATTTGACTCTTGGATGACATTTCTGGACCTGTCCTGGGCCAGATGGGAGCCCACTGACCTGAAAGATGAGTCCTAGGTAGCATTCACCACAAGCTGTCTTTAGAGCCATTGGGCCTTAAGGGAACATCATTGGTAGTCTGGCAGTACTCCTCCTGGCCTGCAGTAGTGGTGGCTACTGGGTGAGGCCCCTCTTCCATTGGAAAGAGGAGGAGAGAGTGGGAAGAACTTTCTCGTGGTTTGAGTGCCAGCTTAGCCACAGTAGAATAGAATGTTAGGCAGACTTCCAAGGTTTTTGACTCTAGTCCCTGACTCTTAGTTGATACCTCTGAACCTACCTAGAGCCTGGGGTACCTCACCTTCCTGAAGGGTAGGACACAAGACTGGCTGACTTTGCCATCTGCTCATTGTAGAGCCCCAGGTCCTTGAGTGAACATAGGTGTTAGCCAGGGAATTGTTACAGCAGATCTTGCCAAGACCCAGTGCCTTACTGATTTCAGGTCTGACTCAGTGCAGTCATAGTGGTCATGGGAACAGGGATGCTTGTGTTATGTCTTCCCCAGCTTTAGGTGCTCAGAACAAAGAGAAAAAGAGAAAGAGGAAAAGAAACATTCTCTCTCTGGTAATCAAGATAATTCTCTCAGATGTTGTCCAAGACCATTAAGGTGGTACCTCTATGAGTCTGCAAGAACAACAATGTTACTGGGGCTTGGGGTGCCCCCTAAAGCAGATATAACTTAGATCACAACACCCAAGTCCTTTTAAATATCTGGAAAGCCTTCCCAGGAAGGACAGGTACAAATAAGCCCAGACAGCGAAGACTACAGTAAATACCTAACTTTTCAATGCCCAGACATCGAAGAACATCTACTAGCATGAAGACCATTCAGAAAAACGACCTCAGCAAATAAAGTAGGTAAGGCACCAGGGAACAATCCTGGAGAAACAGGTAGGTGAACTTTCAGAGGCAGAATTCAAAATAGCTGTGTTGAGGAAACTCAAATACATTCAAGATTACACAAGAAATTCAGAATCCTATCCTATAAATTTAACAGAGAGATTGAAATAAGAATCAAGCAGAAATTCTGGAGCTGATAAATGCAATCAGCATACTGAAAAATGCATCAGAGTCTTTTAATAGCAGAACTGATCAAGCAGAAGAATTAGTGAGCTTGAAGACAGGCTATTTGAAAATACACAGAGCAGATAAAATTTTAAAAAAAATGAAGCATGCTTGCAGTATCTATAAAATAGCCTCCAAAGAACAAATCTAAGAGTTATTTGCCTTAAAGAGGAGGTAGAGAAAGAAAATAGGAGTATAAATTTTATTCAAAGGCATAATAACAGAGAACTTCCCAAACCTAGAGAAAGATACTAATATCCAAATACAAGAAAGTTAAGGAACACCAAGCAGACTTAAACAAAAGAAGACTACCTCAAGGCATTTAATCGTCAAACTCCCAAAGTTCAAGGAAGGATCCTAAAAGCAGCAGGAAAAAAGGAACAAGTGATATATAATAGAACTCCTATACTTTTGGCAACAGACTTTTCATTAGAAACGTTACAGGCCAGGAGAGAGTGGCATGTTGTATTTAAAGTACCGAAAGAAAAAACTTTTACCCTAGAATAGTATATCTGGTAAAAATATCCTTCAAACATGAAGCAGAAATAAACACTTTCCCAGACAAACAAAAGTTGAAGGAGTTCATCAATACCAGACCTGTGCTACAAGAAATGCTAAAGGGAATTCTTCACTAAGAAAGAAAAGGATATTAATGAGCAACAAATAATCATCTGAAGGTACAAAACTCACTGGTTATAGTAACACACAGAAAAACACTGTTTTAGTTATAACACTGTAACTGTGGTATGTAAACTATTCTTATCCTAATTAGAAAGACTAAATAATGAACCAAATACAAATAAGTACAACAACTTTTGAAGACATAGTACAATAAGATAGACACAACAAAAAGTTAAAAATTGTGAGGACAAAGTTAAAGTGTAGAGTTTTTATTAGTTTTCTTTTTGATTGTTTATGTAAACACTGTTAACTTGTTATCAGGTTAAAAATGAGTTGTAAGATAGTATTTGCAAACCTCATGGTAACTTTAAACCAAAGAAGATACAATGTAGATACAAAAAATGAAATGCAAGAAACTACATCTTATCACCAGAGAAAATCACCTTCACTAAATAAAGACAGGAAGGAAAGAAAGACAAAAGAGAAGACCAGAAAACAAACAACAAAATGGCAGGAGTTAAGTCCTTACTTATCAATAACGTTGAATGTAAATGGACTAAATTCTCTAATCACAAGACATAGACTAGCTGGATGGATTAAAAAAAACAAGCCCCATTGATCTGTTGCCTACATGAAACATACTTCACTTATAAAGACACACATAGGCTGAAAATAAAGGGATAGAAAAAGATATTTCATGCCAATGGAAATCAAAAAAGCAGGAGTCACTATAATTGTATCAGAGAAAATACATGTCAAGATAAAAACTCTAAGAAGAGACAAGGTCACTATATAATGATAAAGGGGTCAATTCACCAAGAAGATAGTACCCAGATATATAAACAAAATCTTATTAGAGCTAAACAGAGAGATAAGTCCCAATATACTATAGACAAAATAGATCTAATAGCTATCTACAGATAATTTCATCCAAGAGCCACAGAATACACATTCTTTTTCTCAGCACATGGATAGGCCATACCTTAGGTCACAAAACAAGTTGAAAATATTAAAAAAACAAATTATATCAAGCATCTTCTCTGACCACAATGGAGTAAAACTAGAAATTAACGAGGAATTTTGGAAACTATACAAATACATGGAAATTAAATAATATGCTCCTTAATGGCCAGCAGGTTAATAAAATTGAGAAGGAATTTGAATAATATCACAATATACTGAAATCTATAGGGTACAGCAAAAGCACTACTAAGAGGGAAGGTTACAGTTATAAAAGCCTACATCTGAAAAAGAGGAAAAGCTTCAAATGAACAATCTAATAATGCATCTTAAAGAACTAGAAAAGAAAAAGCAAACCCAAAATTAGTGAAGAAAAGAAATAATAAAGATCAGAGCAGAAATTAATGAAATTGCTATGAAAAAACAATAAAAAAGACCAATGAAACAAAAAGTTGTTGTTTTGAAAAGTTAAACAACATTGATAAAATTTTAGCCAGGCTAAGAAAAAACAGAAAATATTAAAATCAGAAGTAAAAAAGTTATCATTACAACTGATACTGCAGAAATTCAAAGGATTGTTAGTGGCTATTATGAGCAACTACACACCAATAAATTAGAAAATGTAGAAGAAAGGGGCAAATTCCTAGACATGTAAAACCTACCAAGATTGAACCATGAAAAAATTCAAAACCTGAACAGACCAATAAATAGTACACAATCAAAACCATAATAAAAAGTATCCCATAAAGAAAAGCTCAGGACTTGATGACTTCACTAGTGAATTCTATCAAACATTTGAAGGAAAACTAATACCAATCTTATTCAAACAATTCCAAAAAATAGAGGCGAGAATACTTCACACTTATTCTACTAGACCAGTATTATTGATACCAAAACAAAAGACACATAAAAAAACCCACTACATTTTGATGTATTGAATGTTGATGCAAAAATCTTCAACAAGGTACTAGTAAACCAAATGTCACAATACATTAGAAAGATCATCATGACCAAGTAGGATAGATCCCTGGGATGCAAGTATGGTTCACCATATGCAAATCAATGTGATAAGGACAAAACCCATATGATCATTTCAATTGATGCTGAAAAAGAAGTTGATAAAATCCACAGTCGTTTCACGACAATAAACCCTCATAAAACCGGGGATAGAAGGAACATACTTCAACATAATAAGAGCCATATATGACAGACCCACAGGTAGTATCATACTGAATGGGAAAAAACTGAAAGCCTTTCATCTAAGATCTGGAAGAAAACAAGGATGCTCACTGTCACCACTGTTATTCAACATAGAACTTGAACTCCTAGCTAGAGCAATCAGACAAGAGAAAGATACAAAGGCATCCAAATTGGAAAGGAAGAAGTCAAATCATCTGGGTTTGCAAATAATAAGATATTTGATGAAAACTAAAGACCTCATAAGAAAACGATTAGAACTGATAAATTTAGAAAACTTGCAGGATACAAAATTAACAAAAATCAGTAGCATTTATACCTGCCAACAGTGAACAATGTAAAAAAGGAATTTAAAAAGTAATCCCATTTACAATAGCCACACATAAAATGGAATATCCAGGGATTAACTTAACCAAAGAAGTGAAAGATTTCTACAATGAAAACTGTAAAACACTGAAATAATCAATTGAAGAGGACACCAAAAACTGGAAAAATTTTCCATGTTCATGGATTGGAAGAATCAATATTGTTAAAATGTCCATACTACCACAAGCAATCTGTAGATTCAATGTAATCCCTATCACAATACCAATGACATTCTTCACAGAAATAGAGAAAACCATCCTAAAATTTATGTGGAACCACAAAAAAACCAGAATAGCCAAAGCTTTCCAAAGCAAAAAGAACAAAACTGGAAGAATCACATTATCTGACTTCAAGTTATACTACAGAGCTGTAGTAACCAAAACAGCATGGTACTGGCATAAAAACAGACACACAGACCAATGGAACAGAATAAAGAATCCAGAAACAAATTCACACACCTATGGTGAACTCATTTTCAACAAAGGTGCCAAGAATATGCACTGGGGAAAAGACAGTCTCTTCAGTAAACAGTGCTGGGAAAACTGGATAGCCACATGCAGAATGAAACTAGATGTTTATCTCTTACTACATACAAAAATCAAAATGGATTGAGGACTTAAATCTAAGACCTCAAACTATGAAACTACAAGGAAAAGTTAGGAAATTCTCTAGGACATAGGTCTGGGCAAACATTTCTTGAGCAATACCCCATAAGCACAGGCAACCAAAGCAAAAATGGGCAAACGGGTTCACATCAAATTAAAAAGCTTGTGCACATCAAAGGAAGCAATCAACAAAGTGAAAAAACAACCTACATAATGGGAGAAAATATTCGCAAACTACCCATCTGACAAGGGATTAATAACCAGAATACGTGGTGCTCAAACTACTGTATAGGAAAAAAATCTAATAATCTGATACAAAAATGGGCAAAAGATTTGAATAGACATTTTTCAAAAGAAGACATACAAATGGCAAACAGGCATATGAAAACGTGCTCAACATCATTGATCATCAGATAAATGCAAATCAAAACTACAATGAGATATCATCTCACCCCAGTTAAAATGGCTTATAACCAAAAGACAGGCTAGTGAGGATATGGAGAAAAGGGAACCCTCACTGTTAGTGGGAATGTAAATTAATACAACCACAGTTTGAAGTTTCTTCAAAAAACTAGAAATTGAGCTGCCATGTGATCCAGACATCCCATCCCTGGTATATACCCCAAAGAAAGGAAATCAGTAAACCAAAAAGATATTGGCACACCTATGTTTGTTGCAGCACTATTTATATAATACCTGATTTGGAAGCAACCTGTGTCCATCAATAGATAAATGGATAAAGTATTGTGGTATATACACAATGGAGTACTATTCAGCCATAAAATAGAATGAGATCCTGTCATTTGCAACAACATGGAAGGAACTGGATATCATTATGTTAACCAAAATAAGCCAGGCACAGAAACACAAACATCGCATATTCTCACTTATTTGTGGGATCTAAAAATAAAAGCAATTGACCTCATAGACATAGAGAGTAGAAGGATGATTACTAGAGACTGGGAAGGTAGTGAGGGGCAGGGGAGAAGTGGGAATAGCTCGTGGGTACAAAAAGATAGTTAAAAAGAATGAATAAGACCTATTTCATAGCACAACAGGGTAACTATAGTCATATATATAAGTATATTATTATTATTATTTTTTGGACAGAATCTCACTCTGTCGCCCAGGCTGGAGTACAGTGGCACAACCTCCGCTCACTGCAACCTCCACCTCCTAAGTTCAAGTGATTCTCATGCTTCAGCTTCCCTGGCAGCAGGGATTACAGGCGTCCACCACTAACTTTTGTATTTTGTATTTTTAGTAGACATGGGGTTTCACCACGTTGGCCAGGCTGGTCTCAAACTCCTGACCTCAGGTGATCCACCTGCCTGGGCCTCCCAAAGTACTGGGATTAAAGGCGTGAGCCACCATGCTCGGCCAGTCAATAGTAATTTAATTGTACATTTGAAAATAATTTAGAGTGTGTAATTGGATTGTTTATAACTCAAAGGATAAATGCTTTAGAGGAATGAAACCCGTTCTCCATGGTCTGCTTATTTCACATTGCATGCCTGTTTAAAAACATCTCATGTACCCCATAAATATATACACCTAACATGTATCCACAAAAATTTAAAATGAAATGATCCAGTTAGTATGTATATGGAAGGACAGACAAATTTTTAATATGTAAAGGTACATATTAGCAGTTCATTGAGCCAAGGAAAGGGTTAGGTACTGATTAAGTAGGGTGCACTTGACATTTAAGAACCACTGATGAGCTTGGAAACCTGTTGTCCAAATGCCATGATTACATTAGGGGGAAAGAGCTCAGATGATGCTGACATTGATTTTTCCGTAACTTTTTGCATTATATTGTCCATACTTGCAGACTTCAAATAAAAACTGTATATATAAAAGAAAAGAAAACATTATCCCATGACCCAAGGGTATCTGCATGGTTTAGCTTACAGAGCCACCTATGTAGCTATGAATGCCTCAAATAACAAGACAGCTCTACAGACATTCAGTACATTCCATACACTAGGATAACTTTCTATTAAATACATTCCATAGAAAACAGAGAACAGTTCAAACATACTGGTAACCCTTTGTGTTCAAATTACTGTCTGTGAAGATTGGTGGTCTAATTTAATGAGCTCAAAACACATAAAAACCATGAATAAAAATATAATTTCTATGCAAGTAGATTGACTTCATTTATACTTTCCAATTTCTGAGGTTATCACAGCTATTGGTTAATAAGAGATTTAGGAAGGAAAACATCCTGAAAGATACTTGAAAAGCTAGAATAATCTTCAGGTCACAGATGCTATAAAATATTGGAAGATACCCCACATTCTGCTCAGAGTAATTTCTCATACCACAGCTATCCCATGGTTATTCTGGCAGGTATAAATGCTCCATAATTGCATAAAGGGCACTGGGGATTTGGATTGGTAACTTGGTGTACAGCCGAAGTGACTAAGGTGGCTTTTCATGAAGTTGTATTTGTAGAGCAAGAACACATTTGGTTTATTAGAAGGATAATTTCAGGTAAGATTCTTCTACCGTTGCATAGTCACTCTTTGGAGCTGCCATTGTATGGGAATCAGAGGAATTATTTTATATCTTAAAACAGTGTTTCTAGTTACCCAGACTCTAGAGTATCTTCCTTTAATTTTACTTCCATTTTCACCTACTCTTCCAATTTTAACGTGTTAAGACAGTGACAGTACCGAGACTCGGAGTTCCCAAATGCTGCCCAAAATAAGTACAGAATGTAGATTAGGAAGTGAGAACTATGTTGGAGGATGGACAAAGGGAAGATGGATGGACAAGAATGGAGAGACCAGGAGTAGGCAACATGATTTTTTAGGTTTCCCATACAATTCTTATGGTGGTACTTTATTTTTTAAGGTGTTTTCACCAAACAGGAAGAAGATATTAAAAGAAATTATTTCAGCTGGAGAGTGGACTTTGATCAAGAAAATAGTGGGCCTGGGGAAAAACATGTTAAGTTTGTTAGTTTGTTGGGATAACTATTTTTTTATTTTTTAAGAGAAATTGATTAGCAACTTTTAGATTTTTTTGAAAATGCTGTTTAAGGTCACCGTCCTAAAGGTCAGGTTTTGCTGGGACAAACAATTACATCTTAAGTGGCCATGAGTCTTTCTAAGCCAAACAGGTAACAAACTGGCAATTTTGTAGAACACTGCCTCCTATTGTGTGTAGAGATAGGGCTAAGATATAGACTTATTCCTTTTCCAACGATGTTACACAAGGTGAGCCTTGTCATTATTATACTCATATGGAAGGTTGAGGTAGAAATTAGAAGCAGATAATAAATATTGACCCACTAAATCTCTTCTTAGGAGACAATGAAACATTTTAAGATATTTAAGAATGATGAATTAACTTATAGTTGATAGAATATTTATTATGCCATGGTCCACTTGGATGAGCTTGCCTGACACTTGAATCTGTTTGTCCTTCAACACAAGACTGGTCAGTGGATCCTAATGTCCTTAACATTGAAAGTTCCCAGGAACTTTGAACTCTGTTTGCTCACAGCGCCAGTCTTCATTGTCTCTTCTTCCCTGTCTTGTTCTCCCTGCTGCCACCCCTGTGGCATCCTGGGATCACCTCCCAAGCCAATTATCTGCGTTCAGTTGTCTGTCTCGGGTGTCCTTTTCAATGCCTCCCAATTTAGTCACACAGTCTTTACTTCCCTTCTACAGCCTGTAAGTGTCTTGGCTTTCTGAGAAATTACCTGATGAAGAACCAATACATTAATCCAGGTTTTCCTTGCACTTTGTGTATTCTGTGTTGCTACTTGGTTTTCCCACTGGCTTCCTGACTACCCAAGTTCAATCTTTGTGTTGGCAGCTCAGTTTTTGTTTTACCAGTTCAAGCCAAAACTAATATTGGACCATACATAAGGTTCTGAGAAAATGCTTTGTTATGAATAAAGATGTATAATTAACTGAATATCTCTCTGGATTTAAAGGATCCCTGTTTTTACAACCTAGCAGTACCTTAACAAGCCACCAGGCACAACCAGCCCTTGATTCACTTGCAATTTAGTAAGTTCTTGTTTCACACCTCTCTCTCACTTTCTCTACAATTACTTCCTTCGTTTTGGATTATTGGTTAATTAATCTTTGGCATGGCCCACTCCTTTGCTACCTACAACTGGAAATTTACACCTAGGGCAGTTAATGGCACTGATGCTGATGGACCAGACTATTGTCATCTTCCTAGAGAATACCACTAAGTTGATTGTCTCAGCATCCTGGAGAGTTAAGGAATTCATTGGTGAAATGTGTGCCACCCAACAGAAATATACATATATACATACACATATGTGTATGTATATATGTATATATACATGTATGTATATACATGTATGTATATGTATGATACATGTATGTATATACATGTGTGTACATATACATGCATGTTATATATACATATGTATATACACATGTGTGCATATGTGTATATATACACACATATTTACATATATATGTACATATGTGTATATATACACACATATATACATATATATGTACACACACTATATATAGTAGAGAACACATATATACATAGTGTGTATTTGTGTGTGATACAATATACATAACATAAAACTTAACATCGTAACTATTTTTCAGTGTACAGCTTAGTGGCATTAAGTACATTTACATTGTTGTGCATCCATCATTTCTGTCTGTCTCCAGAAATTTTTCATCTTCCCAAAGTGATACTCTGTACTCATTAAACAAGGATTCCTCATTTTCCCTCCTTCCAGCCCCTAGTAGCCACTATTTTACTTCTACCTCTATGAATTTGACTGATCTGGGTGCCTCACATAAGTGGAATCATACACTATTTGTTCTTCTGTGTCTGGCTTATTTCACTCGCTGTAATGTTTTCAAGTTTCCTCCAGGTTGTAACATGTGTTAGAATTTCCTTTTCGGGGCTGAATAATATTATATTGTATGTGTACACCACATTTTATTTATCCATTAATCCATTGATGGACACTTGGGTTGCTTCTGTCTCTTTGCTATTGTGAATAAATCTGCTATGAATACAGATATACACACATTAGTTTAAATACTTCCTTTCAATTTTTTGAATATAACCATAAGTGGGATTGCTGAATCATGTTGCAATTCTATGTTTAATTTCTTAACCAGCCTACCATTTTCCATAATGGCTGCACCATTTTACATTCCCACCAGCAGTGCACAAGAGTTCTAATTTCTCAACATCCTTGCCAATACTATTTTTTTTCTTTTACTTTTTCCATTATTAGCCCTTCTAAAGGGTCTGGAGTATCTCATTGTGGTTTTGATTTGTATTTCCCTAATGATAAATGATGTCAAGCATTTTTCATGTGTTTATTGGTCATTTGTATATATTCATTGGAGAAATGGCCTATTCCAGTCCTTTGCCCATTTTTTGAATTGGGCTGTTACTTTTTGTTGTTGAGATGTAGGAGTTTTTTATATATTCTGGATATTAATCTCATCAGGTCTATGGTTTGAAAATACTTTCTCTCCAGTGTTAGTTGCCTTTTTACTCTGCTGATAGTGTCATTTGGTGCACAATGTTTTCAGTTTTGATGAAGTTTAATTTTATCTATTTTTTGTTGTTGTTGCCTGTGCTTTTGATGTTATATCCAAGAAATAATTGCCAAGCTCAACGTCATGATCCTTTTCGCCTGTTTTCTAATAAGAGTTTTATACTTTTGTCTGGGCATGGTGGCTCACTCCTGTAATCCCAGCACTTTGGGAGGCTGAGACAGACGGATTGCTTGGGGCCAGGAGTTCAAAACCAGCCTGGCCAACATGGTGAAACCTTGTCTCTACTAAAAGTACAAAAAATTAGCCGGGCATGATGGCAGGCACCTGTAGTCCCAGCTACTCAGGAGGCTGAGGCAGAAGAATCGCTTGAATCCAGAAGGCGGAGGTTGCAGTGAGCCGAGATCGTGCCACTTCACTACAGTCTGGGCAACAAGAGTGATACTCCATCTCAAAAAAAAAAAAAAAAAAAAAAAGACTTTATACTTTGAACTCTTATGTTATGGATGTTCGTATATGTTGTAAGAGTCCAGCTTCATTCTTCTGCCTGTACATATCCAGTTTTCCAAGCATAATTTGGTGAAAGAACTGTCGTTTTCCCACTGAATGATCTTGCACGCTTGTCAAAAATCATTTGGCCATGTATGCAAGGGTTTATTTCTGGACTCTTTCAACTTATTTGATTGGTCTATATGTCTTTATGCCAGAACCACACTGATTACTGACTTTGTAGAAAGTTTGGATATCAGGAAATGTGAATCCTCTGATTTTGTTTCTTCTTTCACGATATTTTTGCTGCTTATGGTCCCTTGAGATTTCATGGGAATTTTAGGATAGATTTTTCTTTTGCAAAAAAAAAAAAATCATTGGGATTGCATTGGATCTGTAGATCACTTTGGGTAGTATTGGTGTCTTAAGAATATTAAATTTCATAATCTGTGAACATAGATTATCTTTTCATTTATTTATGTTTCCTTTAATTTTTTTCAGCAGTCATAGTTTTCAGTGTACAAGTCATTTGATTTCTTAGTTAATTAGTAAGTATTTGATTCTTTTTAATGCTATTTTTTTTTTTTTTTTTTTTGAGCAACAAGGCTGTTTATCTCACCTGGGTGCAGACGGGCTGAGTCCGAAAAAGGAGTCTGCAAAGGGTGGTGGGATTATCATGACTTCTTATAGGTTTGGGATAGGTGTACAAGGTACATTCTTAAGGGCGGGAGGAGAATATTACAAAGTACCTTCTTAAGGGCAGGGAGAATTTTTTAATGCTATTATAAGTGAAATTGCTTTTTAATCCCTTATTTGGAGTCTTTATTGTTACTATATAGAGATGTAACTGATTTTGTATAGAGATGTAACTAATGTATTCATATTGCATCCTGCAACTCTGCTGAATTTGTCTATCAGTTCTAATAGTTTTTTTGTGTGGAATTTTTAGTTTAGTTTTTTTTATGTAGATTTAAATAGTTCTTATTTAACTAGGATGCCTGTGATGGATCTGTTGATATTAGAATATAGTGACTCAACATTGCCCTAGAGTTTCTAGAGTAACGTGCAGGAGTTTCTAGAGTAACATGCATAAATTTCTAGTTTCCCACATTTTTTGATGAAGCTGCAGGATATTCATGGGGGCAGGTAGGGAAGCATCTCAATATTTAGGTTTCTGTTTATAACCAGTATAGCAGATATTTTCCCTACACCTCTTTGATCACATTGACTTTTCTATGCATGCCAGCCTGATTTCCAATGGCCAGGACCTGCTTTATTCTCAGAATGCTGTCCTTGTGCCATCAAGAACAAATTTTCCTACATGACCAGAAGGTAGGAATTATAGTAGTACCCGCTTATCCATGGTTTCACTTTCCTTGGTTTCAGTTACGCATGGTTAATTATAGTTTGAAAATATTAAATACAAAATTCCAGAAATAATTCACAAGTTTTAAATTGTATGCTGTTTGGTGTAGCAGTATAAAATTCCATGCCGTCTCACTCTGTTCCACCAAGGACATGAATGATCCCTTTGTTCAGCATATCCATGCTGTGTACATTACCCACCCATTAGTCATTCAGTAGCCATCACAGTTATTAGATTGACAGATCACAAGAAGAAGGGTGAGTAGAGTACAATAAGATATTTTGAGAGAGAGAGAGGGAAAGAGACTATATTTGTATAACTTTTATTATAGTATATTGTTATAATTGTTCTATTTTATTTTTATTGTTAATCTCTCACTGTGCCTAATTTATAAATTAAACCTTATTAGTATGTGTGTATAGGAAAAAATGTAGTATGTGTAGGGCTCAGTACTATCTGCAGTTTCAGGCATCCACTGGGGATCTTGGAACATATCACCTGCGCTATTCATGGGAACTAACATCTGTTTCGGTACATGCAGCCTTTAACTTTTGACAGGCAGGAGATACAAATAGCTCAGCTCTCTCACTTCTTTGCTTGAATAATTGAGACATGAGAAATGTGGCATAGCATCTCCCATAACTCCCCTATACTATTAAACTGTGGTTTTTAGCCAGTATCACAGTGGATGATTGGGCCCTTTATAGTTATTTTCACTTCCCTCGATTACCTTCCCACTTCCCTAGCACTGTCTTTCTTCTTTCCATATAAATAACATGATATCAATATTTGTCTTAGTTTTATTATCCATGGAAGCATACTCTAATAATAGCACAGTCAAGGCAAATAAACACTTAGATTACTTGTTTTAATACAGTGAATCAGCTGTCCAACAGAAACAAAGCCAGCCACTGTAAGATAGATTTTATCCAGTACTATTGCAATAGGGGAGAGACCTCAGTGTAACCTGAGCTTAATTCCTCAATCCTAAGAAGCAAAAGGCAGGAGGCCTTTTAAATGTAGAGTGTGCTAAAGGAAAAGTACTGAAAGACTTTAAGAAATGTGATTAGTCTCTCTGTTATCTGTGTCTGCAAACTGGTGCTTATTGAAGTTAAGCTCTTATCCTTCCACAGAGACAAGGACACCAGAAGCCCTATTCTTTTTGATGACTACATTTCAGAAGAATGGCTCCCTGGTTCTTGAGAAAGCCATTCCTGGGTTGTGGACTATACATATACATGTCAAAGAGACAGAGAAAGGATTTATAATTGTGTGTTTTCGAAAGTAAATTGCCTAAGAAAAGAGAGATTAGAAGCCTATCTCTAGATATTGGCTGAAACAAACAGTAAAAAAATTTTTTTTGGCAGTCTTGACCTCTCCCAGGCAGGAACTCAAGGGAGGCTCATTCCTCTTATACATATGATCTTAGGCTAGCAGAGGCCATGCTACAGTTTGGCCAACTCTTTTGGTGTGGGAGATTGGACAGAATTGTTTGTGCTGGGAGTTTTTTTGCATTTCTCACAGCACACAAGGCATCTGAAAATCTTGAGGTTTGTTACTAAATATCTAGAAATAGAGAGGTGTCAGGGTCCTAAGCCCACTTTTATAAGTCCACTTCCAACCTATAAGTGCCTTCCTAAGGCACCATGAATAGTAATTTCCTGTCAGAAAAAAATCAAGGAAAACTTTTTATTGCTTTAGAAGAAAAATCTGTCTAGGAATTAAATGGGACCAAGCCTGAAACCAGTGCTTTACCCCTGAATGAAATAGGCAATAATACCAGTAATGTTAGAGAACACTTAGTACCATCTTTTATGATCCCTACATTGAGATGACCCAATACTGAGTAAAGGCCATCAGGAATCAGTCATTGGACTTTCTAGGAATGCACATGGCATCAATGACACTGACCTAAAAGGAATCCCAACTACAGGCAACAACTTATACAAAATTCTTAGAGACAGTGTTTGTAATATTTCTCTCTCTCCTTAATTTGCCATGAAATTTCACAGCCTCTCTATCTACATCCCACATAGCAAGGTGAGCTCCCTTGGATCACGTGGCCTAGAGGACTGAGGAAGGCAGCATGACTGGGCCAAAAGCCTCATCAACTGGCTTAACTTTTTCCTTGAAAATGGAGAAATTAATTCTTTAGGGCTGAGGTCAAATTTCTAATGACTTTGATTCAGAGGACTAATTCATATTCCTTTATATACAAGTTGTTGTCTGTGAAGGACGGTGTCTAAGTAAAAGAACCAAAAATGCACTAAAGACATTATTAAAAATATAATTTTTCTATGCAACTAAATTGACCTCATTGGTTCCTTCTTATTTCTGAGATCATCACAGCTATTGCTTAATGAGAAGTTCACTGAGGAAAATGTTCTGAAGGATATTCAACAAGCTACCTTCAGGTAACGGCTGATGTGGCACACCGAAATCTACTGTACACTGAAGTTAGAATGCTTCTTCAGGCCACTGCTATTTCACTGTTATTTTAGAAAGTATAGATACTCTACAGTTGCACCAAGGATACCGAGGGTTTGGGATGGCAACTTGGTTTGCAGTAAGAGAGGATAGGTGACTTTTTAGTGGAGCAGTATTTGCAGAGAAAATGCACTTCTAGTTAAGTATCTTTGAAGGGTAGTTTTAGTTGAGCCTCCTCCACCCCATCAAAAGTCCCGCAGTCACCTCTTAGAACTATGTCTGCTTCCCAAGGAGAGAAATGATTTTACATTTTTAAATGGTGTTTCTGTCTACCAGACTAGAGAGTCTGTCTTCAATTTCCTACCTGTATGATCATCTCTTCTGTTTTATTCATTCCTTTTACATATATGGAACAGTCCTATACTGAACTATATAGAATTATGATATTTGATCTCCAATCTTCCAGCAAAAACTATACTTGTAATCTCTATAATGATCTTGTCCCAGGTATTATGTAATTTGTGTTGATTTTCAGGGAGGGGATCAAAGAAAATTTATAGCGTGTTTACGGAACTCTCCCTATGATCTCAAGTGTTCAATAAACCTGTGTAAAATCAAACACAATTTAAATCAGGATAGAGAGTGAAGCAAGAAATAGAGATAATCTTCAGACACTTCTATCTCCTTTTGTACTGGGCTTTGCTTTGTTCAAGCAGGTGTTAAAACATGGATGCAGCTTGACAGGGTGGGGACGGGGGAAATGGTCCTTTCCATTTATTAAAATGAGTCAGAGAGAGGCCATGGGGATTTCAACCTGCAATTCTCTCCTGGGTCAGGATGATCCAGTTATAAAGAAGTGTTTATTTGATGATAGATAACACCCAGAGGGTTTTATTCAACTAAATGAATGACAGAAATTGATCAACTTCACACTGCAGAGAGGCCTGAGATGTTAAAATACAAACTGCTAGGAGGAGAAATAAAGTGGGGTAAAAACTTTCTATGCCACCAATAATATGCTCTTCCAGCACTTTTAGATTTTGTCTTTCTGATGTCCTATGTTACTTGGGTTTCAGAATAAAAATTTTGGAGAGGAAACTACCAAAATACGTGTTGACTAAGTTCAAGGAAAATTTACTTCTGGTGGTTACTTTTATGTGTCCCTCCTCCAATTTGAGTGGTGCAGAGGGAATGGAGATTTATACATTATAAAGTAACTTCCAAATTCATCAATGCTTCTGAAATTTACCAGAGAGGATTCTTTTTTTTTTTGTCATCCATTCAAATCTTGGTAAAACAGCTATTCTTTAAAAATTAATGCCATCTCATATTTATTTAAAAACACTGAAAAAGAATGCCAGAGAATGGTTGAAGGAGAAAAACCCACCAAGCGGTTATCTCAAGTCTTCACGTTTATGAGAGAACAGCTCAAGATGACTGCTCTTCAGGGAACAATAGCTTAAAGCTTTTATGGGTTAGATTGAAGAAGTTCAAAGTTCAATTTTGTTCCCAGAATTTTTCACCATTTATATTCTCAGAAAGTATGAGGAAATTGACATTGAGTTAATCACAAGAGATGATGCAATACTGGGGCCACTGCATAGCAGATAGTGGGTCAATTTGGGTTTAGGAAGGTGGGTGGAGAGGAATAGTTAGGGCTAAGGTCTTGAGATAGTCAAGTACAATGGCCTTTTGGATAGACATCACACCCTAAAAACAGAGATTTGTTCTCTGAAGATCCAAAGGTAATAAAATAACTGCTGATACTTGAATGTCACCTAGATCTTGAACACATTCTTTGCCATATCATGAATTGCCATATCTTCAATAATTAAATGAGGAACAGATGCCATGGAGGTATTTTTCTCAGACGTGCCTTTGTTAATTGCTGGTAGTGGGGGAGCATGCACTGCACAGCTTTGGATGTATGGTGGTATCCATGCCACGTCCAGTCTTCCCCAGGGCTCCTCCTAGCCATTGAGTGAGCACAGTAGAGGCACTCAAGGTAGGCCATGCCTGCCTGACCCACCTTGGATTTCTTTAACTCACAGAATTCCCCAGTGGTAACTTATATGCTATGTGCCATTAGTAGTTTCCTTCCTTTCCTTTCTTATATCTCTACACTAGTATTTCCTGAGAACATTTCCCAAGTAAACCACTTGTAACTGAGACCTTGTCTCACGATCTGCTTCTGAGGAAATCTAAGCTAATCTCAGACAGTAGGCAAGTGGAAACTGTTTGCCTCTCCTAGGTATTGCTATGCCTTAATGTATGGGTAGCATACATAATATTGGAAGAACAACTTGCTTGAGATGAACATCCACTTCCATTTCTATATGTGAGTATATTGGCTCCATGAAAATTTATGTAATGAAAAGTTAATGGAAGCTTTTGTTATCGTATCTGCATTGCTCAGTGTTTAGAGCTCCTATG
Source organism: Homo sapiens (assembly GCF_000001405.40). Classification (NCBI taxonomy): domain Eukaryota; kingdom Metazoa; phylum Chordata; class Mammalia; order Primates; family Hominidae; genus Homo; species Homo sapiens. The sequence continues at coordinate 46,175,200 of NC_000015.10, forward strand.
GTTAAATCGTTCTATCCTGAGTAATTAGTGGTTAAGCCACTAAAGTCAAGGTTATTCCAAATGACAGACACAGTTCTGCCTAAGACAGATTCCTCAATTCACATGATCCTCTCAAGCACTGAAAGAGCTGGTTCACATTTCTATCACATACCTTCTTCATGCTGGATAGACTAATTCAGGAAAGACAGGTGGCAGAGTTAGCTCAACATTGCCTTGCTACTGAAATTGCTTTCAGTGCTCCACAAACCTGAAACATACACGCCATGTTTAGCAATAGACCTCATCCTCTATACTTATCTCCTCTTCTGACGAATCAGAATCACAGATCATATAAAGAAATAGAAACATCAGAAAGTTGAGAAGCATCAAGTACCGATATTCAGTAGAACAAGGGGAAATAGGGCCACCGATCCTAATAGATGACACTAGGATGGCCTTTTAGGGCCTTAGTAAATAAACACTGCAGTATTTTGTAGTACTGCAAAAGCCACACATTAGAGCAGAAGTAGACCATGGAAACTGGTTAATGAATAAACTGCTCTGAGGGCAGCACTTTTGAGTGACGCCTAGGCCATTGGGCAGTTTCATGAGTGTACCTTTGGAGTAGGGAACGTCGAGGGTATCAAGAGAAGACAAAGTCACAAGGACCAAGCTCCAGTGGAGGGGGAAGTCTTGGGATTTTTTCCTAACTCAGATACAGAGTCACTTCAGTTCTGAATAGGGGAGTATGTGTTACATTCAGCTGGTGTGATGAAAGATTAATATCTGAAGGTCTTGGTGGGGAACAGGGTTAATTGTAATAAGAAAGACACATCCTCAATACATCAATAGGGTTCTGATCTGAGGGAAGGATGAGCATATCTTTGGGAGATTCCCAACAGAGGGAATAGATGAGCTTTGAATTCAAGGAATAACTTTCTCTTTCAGGCAATTATATGAACTAGAGGCACAATAGTTTAACACTTGTTTGAAGAAAACAAAACAAAACAAAAAAAACCTACCTCTAGATCAGGTAAATCGGTAACTAAAAGACATTAATGTCACTGGATCTAGAAAAGAAACCCTAAATTAAAGGTGTTAAAAAGTGAATTAAATGTGTTTAGTTCTGTGCTGGCTTTGTAGTGTGTATTTGGCTAGGCTATATTTCCCATAATTTATTCTTGTGTGTTTCCAGTTAAAAAAAATGGGCCACAGGGGAGAATCTTGGGATATTTAGAGGGCAGAGAGGAACCAGCAACCACTGTGTAATTTACACATGTCATTGCTTATCTGCTGACGTTCTTCCTTGGCATAAAGCAGCAGCTGGGCTTGTGACTCCTTTACCTTTCCCTGGTTTCCTCTTTGGCTTCTGTAAGTCCTGGATTAGGTATGTGTATTTAATTCTGTGAAGGACCCTGGATTCTGCAGGACATCCTCATCACCAAGGTCAGAGGCAGCAAGAACTGACACGGATTTTCATTTGTCCTTGTGGGGTTCCAGCTTGTGCTTATGAGATCAGCTTGTTCTTGATTTCTCCAACTTCAAATCTATCTTCCCTTCCTGACTGCCTGCTCTGTGGACTTCAAGCTTTAGCAGATTCTGAGAAAACAGCTCAAGAGGTTTAGTTTATATTGTAATACTGTTAAGCAACTATAATCAGGATTCAGACTCAAAATTGAGTTTCATATATTCAGTATAGTATGAACTATACTGTTAAATAGCATCATTAAATATAAACACTTAGAATAAAGGAATGAAGAAACAGGATTACAAAATGAGGTCTAGGTTTTGTTGTATTGTGTTTGACATAGTTAGAACTTCAGAAACATTAAGAGACCCTGGCTTCTGTCAGTGCCCAAGGATCTTGGCCCTGGACTAGAGCATACCAACATTAGGAACTTTATGAATTGAATGACAGTCTCACGTCTGAAGAAGGGGCCTCATTTAGATTCCAGGTTAGAACCTGTGTCACATTTGAGCCTTATTCTCAAAGTCAGTCTCTCTCACATTGACCCTCATGCTCAGTTAAGTACCTCAGTGAAATTTAAGGGGGTGATATTTTAATATCACAGAACTTTCAGGACAGGTATTTTCTGCTTGCTCTGAGTAGTGAGTGACAGAACCCAGAGGAACTGTTCCTATTCTTTGGGGACAGAAGAGAGCATACAGTATCAGTTGTGCGGAAGTGAGTTCCTAGAGAAGCCTTCCTTTCCTCTGCTTAGAACTCTGTTTCAGCACCAAGGTCAGTGTAAGTGAGAAAACAGGAATACTTTGCTTACCTCAAGGAAGGTTAGAGTAGGATCCTACTTTCTACTGGGGAATTGAAAACCATCTTGCAGACATGAAAGAATCATGGAGAAGGGGTATAGTGGCTGAAAAAGTGAATCGCCAATTTCTCAAACACTTCATTGTCTTTCCCTCTCTCACTGTTTCACTCTCCCTGCTTCCTTACTCGAGCATCTTGGTATCATCTCTGAAATTACTACTTGCACCAAAATTCCTCTTCCAGGCTCATCTTTCAATGCCACTCAAACAAGACCATCTCCATTTCTACTTACAACCTCTCAATGCTCTGATTTCTCAATGAGAAATTAAGGGATGAAGAATTAGTAGAATTGAGCCAGGTCTTGGTTAGTTTTTGCGTATTCTGTATAGATGCTTTGTTTTCTTTTTGGATTAATTTTTAGCTCTAGCAGCCTGGTTTATGTTTTACAATTTCAAACCAACATTTAATGTTGAATCACAGAAAACAGCCTGAACAGAAGTTTGACGAAAAAAGAAATCAATCATAGGTTTTTTTTTTTTTTTTAATTCCTTATAGCCTAGCAATATTCTACTAAGTCATACCAGAGCTGTACCCCACCCCGCCTCTACTCCCCAAACTTTCTGTTAGGAAGGGGACTTGCATCAGCTTTGATCTGCCTGGACTTCATGTGTAATTCCTTGTCTATAGCTATTTTATCTCCAAATATTATGACTGCTATAGCCTTTTAATTTTGGTTTCTTAGTTAATGAGTCTTTTGCAAAAGAAATTAGTTTAGTGGATTATTTGCTCACTACATATTGGCCTCTATACTCAGTGTAGCTTGACAGCATTGCCAGTGATGAATCTGTTATAGATTCAGGAATGTCAGTTCCCAAGGAAGCAATGCTATTAGACAGGATCACTTTGTTGGAGAGCTACAAAATACTCTAGTGAAGCTAGACAAAATGAATTTATCTTATGGCAACAAAATTGTAGGGTTTTACTGTAATAATTCTTTGAACTCTGCAAGGAAAACCATTATTTCTGGAATGAAACCACATGATGTCGCTTGATGGGAATGGGGAAATCAGGCCCTAGATTTTACCTTATAACCAGTGCGTCAAACATTTGCTTCGACTATGGCAGTTGTTAATGTTGTAAAGCAGCTTATAAGCTCCTAATAATCCTGAGGTGGGTTACAGAAATTTGAAAGTCAGAAGAGGCAAGTGTCACAGCATTGCGAATTTCAAGAATACTTTTTCGTATTTCTGTGAAAATTTTCATTAGAATTTTGATAGGGGTTAGATTGCTTTGGGGTAGTATGACCATTTTAACAATATTCACTCAATCCTTGAACATGGAATATCTTTTCATTTTTTGGGTCTTTAATTTCTTTTATTAATATTTATTGTGTTCAGTATGCAGATCTTTCACTTCCTTGGTGAAATTTACTCCTAAGAATTAAATTTTATTTTCGATGTTATTGTAAATGAGATTGTTTTCTTAATTTATTCACTGTTAGCATATAGAAACACTACTGATTTTTGCATGTTGATTTTGTATCCTGCAACTTTACTGAATTTGTTCATTTGTTCTAACGGTTTTTGGTAAGGTCTTCAGGGTTTTCTGTATATAATATGTCATCTGCAAACAGAAGATTTTAATTCTCCCTTTCCAATTTGGAAGCCTTTTTTTTTTTTCTTTTTCTTACCTAATTGCTCATGCCAGGACTTCTAGTAATACATTGAACAGAAGTGGTGAGAGTGGGGATCCTTGTCTTGTTCCTGATTTTAGGGGAAATACTTTCAGGTTTTCACTGTTAAATATTAGGCTAGTGGTGAGTTTGTCATATATGGCCTTTATTATGTTGAGGTACAAGTCTTTCTGTACCTAATTTGTTGAGAATTTATGTCATAAATGATGTTGAATTTTGTCAAATGCTTTTTCTTTATCAGATGATCATATAAATTTTATACTTCATTTTGTTAAAGTGGTGTATTGCATTTATTGATTCGTGTATGTTAAAACATCATCGCGTTCCAGAAATAAATCCCACTTGATCATATACTATGATTGCTATAATGTCCTGTTTAATTCATTTTGCTAGTATTCTGTTGAGGATTTTTGTGTGTATACTCATCATGGATAGTGGCTTATAACTCTTTTTTTTCTGTAGTGTCCTTGTCTGGCTTTAGTATCAGGATAATGCTGGCCTTCTAAAATGAATTTGAAAGTATTTCCAGTCATCATGTTTGGGGAACAGTTTGAGAAGGATCAGCATTAATTATTTGAATGTTTGATAAAATATGCGAGTGAAGTCCCCAGGTCCTGAGAGTTTCTTTGTTGGGAGATTTTTGATTATGGATTCAATCTCCCCACTCATTTTTGGTCTTCTCAGATTTTCTTTTTCTTCATGATATCTTGGTAGGTTGTATGTTTCTAGGAAATTTTCCATTTCATCTATGTCATTCAATTTGGTGGCATATAATTGCTCACAGTAGTCTCTTATGATTCTTTGTATTTCTGTGATAGTAGTTGTGATATCTCCTCTTTTATAATTTTACTTGAGTCTTCTTTGTTTACCTATTTAGTCTAGCTAAAGGTTTGTCAATTTTATTTTTAAAAAACTCAGTTTCATTGATTTTTTTCCCATTATTTTTCTCGTGTCTTATTTCTGCTCTGGTCTTTATTATTTCCTTCCTTCTGCTGACTTTGGTCATAGTTTGGTCTTTTTTATAGTTCTTAAGGTATAAATTTAGGTTGTTTCTTTGAGATTTTTCTTTCTTCTTTAATACAGGCATTTATACAAACTTCCTTCTGAACTGCTTTTGCTAAATACCAAAAGTTTGGATATAGTGTTTTCTATTTTATTTGTCTTAATATATTTTTTATTTCTCTTTTTTTTGACCCATTGATTGTTCAGGAGTATATTTTTAATTCCATGTATTTGTGAATTTCCAATCTTCTTCCGAGTATTGATTTCTAGTTTCATGCCACTATAGTTGGGAAGAAAACTTGATATAATTTCAGTCTTCTTAAATTTGTTAAGACATTTTTGTTGCCTAACATGATCTAACCTGGAGAATGTTTCATGTGTACTTGGAAAGAATTTTTTCTGTTGCTGTTTGATGGAATGTTCTTTATATATCTGTTAGGGCCATTTGGTCTATAGTGTTGTTTAAGTCTGCTGTTTTCTTATTGATTTTCTGTCTGGATGATCTGTCCATTGCTAACAGTGAGGTATTGAAGTACCCTACTATTATCGTATTGCTGTCTATTTCTCCCCTCAGTTATATTAATATTAGCTTTATAAATTAAGTGCTCCAATGTTGGGTGACATATATTTGAAATTGTTACATCCTTTTGATAAACTGACACTTTTATTGCTATATAATGCCCTTGTTTCTTGTTACAGTTTTGGACTTCACTTTTATATTGTCTGATATTAATATAGCTACCCATGCTCTCTTTGGGTTATGATTTGCATAGAATATCTCCTTCTATCTATTTACTTTCAGCCTATATTTGTTCTTAAACCTAAAAATGACTATCTTATAGGCAGCATATAGCTGGATCTTTTTTAAAGATTCATTTAGCTACTGTATGAATGGGTAATTTTTGATTGGGTAACTTATGTGTGGCATAAATCACTTTTGCTTACTCAATGTGTTCTTTAATTCCTGGGTAGCTCTTTGATTCTTTTGATTGGGTAATTTGTTTAAATTTAATGTAATTTTTGGTAGGAAATAACATCCTATTCCATTTTTTTTTTAATGTTTTGTAGTTCCTTTGTTCTATTCTTCCTCTCTTGGTGTCTGTTAGTCTGTTTTGTGCTGCTGTGAAAGAATAACAGAAGCTGGGTAATTTATAAAGAAAAGAGACTGGTTTTCCCCATAGTTTGGAAGACGGTATAAGATGCATGCCACCAGCAGCATCTGCTCCTGGTAAGGGCTTATGGGAGCTTCCAGTCATATTGAGAGGTGAAAAGAACCAGTGTGTCACATGGAAAGAGAGGGAGCAAGGGAGGGGGGAAGGGTGTGCCAGGCTTTGAAAAACAACAAGCTCTTCCTTGAACTCATAGAGTGGCAACTCACTCATTATTGCAAGGACAACGCTAAACCATTCATGAAGGATGTGCCCTTCTGACTTAAACACCTTTCACTAGGCCTTACTTCCAACATTAGGGATCAAATTTCAACATGAGATTTGGAGGGGACAAATATCCAAACTGTATCAGTGTCTTACTTTGTAATTTATTTATTTCTAGCGGCTTTCTTTGATTTCTTTATCTGTTGCATATCTACTTTAGTTTTTCTTTGTGGTTACCCTAAAGCTCACAGAAATATCTTTTATAGTATTGGGTAACCATATTTTAAACTGATAAGCAACTTAACTTTGACTGTGTACAAAAACTCTATACTTTAACTTCTCCTCCCCTCACTTTTTATGTTTTTATTTCACAATTTACATCTTTTTATACAATCTTCCCATTACCACAGTTATTGTGCCTAGAATTATTTTTGTTTTTTAGCTTTTATAACACAATAAAAGTGATTAATACCAAACATAAGTAATACAGTATCAGAGTAATCTGAATTTGATAATACTCCTATTTTTACTTTGCATTTTATATTTTAATCTGTTTTTGTGTTGGTAGCATCCTTTCGTTTAACCTGGAAAAACTTCCTTTGGCATTTCTTATAAGGCAGATTTAGTGATGGTGAAATGCCATAGCTTGTGTTTGTCTGAGGAAGTCCTTATCTTGCCTTCATTTTGGAAGGACAGCCTTCTGTATATAGTAGTCTTAATTGACAGTTGTTTTCTTTCACGGTTGGAATATATCATCCCATGTCCGCCTGGCCTGGATGGTTTCCACTGAAAATCTGCTGATGGTCTCATGAAAGTTCCTTTGTGTGTGATGAGTTACTTTTCTCTTACTGCTTTCAAGATTCTTTGTCTTTGACAATTTTATGATGTCTGAGTAAAGATTTCTTTATATTTGAGGTTCTTTGGGCTTCATGGATCCATTTGTATATTCATCTCTCCAGATTTGGGAAGTTTTCTGTCACTATTTCTTCACATAAGCTTTTTGCCCCTATCTCTTCATCTGCCCCTTTGGGACGTAATGTATGCTTTGGCTGGTTTGATGGTGTCCTGTAAGCCCTGTAAGCTTAGTTTACTCTTTCATTCTTTCTTCCCTTGGTCTCATTGGGTAATTTCAAGTGACCTGTCTTCAAGCTGACAGATTCTTTTTTCTGCTTTATCAAGTCTTCTGTTGAAGCTCTCAATGAAATTTTTTAGTTTGTTCACTCTGTTCTTTAGCTCCTGAACTTTGTTTCTTTTTTAATTGTTTCTCTTTGTTGAATTTCTTATTTTTTCTTGTGAACTATACATTTTGTTTAGTTTTCTATATGTGCTCTCCTGTAGCTCACTGAGTTTCTTGAAGATAATTTAAATTATTTGTCAGGCAGTTTGTACATTTCTTTAGGGCTAAGTACTGATTCTTTATCTTTTTTTTTTCCTTTGGCAGTATGTTTCCCAGTTTATTCATAATCTGTGTGGCTTTGCATTGGTGTCTGCGCATTTGAAGAAGTAGGCATCTATTCCAGTTTACATCCTGGTTTTGGCAGGGAAAGCCCTTCTCCACTCAGTGTCCAGAGATTCTGGGAAGGGCATCTGGCAGAATCTGCAGGTCGGGTTGTGGCTGCAGCCCTTCAGCAGGCTGTCCTGGCCACTGGATTAGCAGGTAGGCTGGTCTGGCACCTGGGTCCTTAGAGGATGGCCTAGTACCTGGATCCACCAGAGCAAGACTGGAACTTGGGTCCCCTGTGGCAGGCCTGTTTCCTGGGTCCAATGGCTGCTGGCCTGGTGAGCTGCAAGTGCTGGCCTGGTAGACAGTGGCATGGATTCTGGGGCCATGTAGGCTGACCTGAAACCTGAGGCTGCAGGAGGCTGCCTAGAGCCTGAAGTGGCAAGAGCTGGCCTAGCATCATTAAGTTGTGCCTGGAATCTTGATCTCTGTTTCTCAGGCCTGGGGTTGTGGGGTTGGCCTGTTTCTGGGTTTCACTGGGGCAGGCCTGGTGCTGGGTTCAACAGCAAAGTCTAGTGTTTACTTCACTCTCATCCCTCTACTCAGTGGGTATCTCTCTCTGGGCTGTGCTGCCTGGGCTTATTGGGTGGGGGGGTTTACATGGTAATATAAAACTATTATTCTTACCTTCTTTAATGTATCTTCTCTTGTTTCTCTGCTACACTCCAGTGCTCTAATCTCTTATCTTGATTCCTCAGCTCCTCTGAAGGTATTTTTATGTGTGGATAGTTGTTTGAATTAATTTTTCTGTGAGAGAATGAGTGCTGGAAGGTCGCGTTGTGCTATCTTGCTGATGTCACTCCTTATTGTTCCCTTTTGGAACTATGTGAAGGCATGCATTTAGATGGGATCAAGACCCCAAATAGTGCTTAATACCCTATAGGAGTGACCAATAACAAGGATAATAGAGGATCTTCAGTCCATTTCTAGAGCACTAAAAGCTGCATAGAGGAATATCAGAGCTCTGTTACTGGAGGTAAACATAATCATTCTGAGACATGAGGTCCTTACTTAGAAATAAGTACCTATTGTTACTGCCAACTTCCCAGAGTGTCAGAAATTCTGCTGTTAAGTGTCGGCACTTTCCCCTACCCCAAATTGGAATGAAATGTAACATCATTCTGTTCAAAGTTCCCATAGAGCTTGGAAAGCTGCTTATGGTATTAGTTAGCCAGGGTGCCATCTTCAAGCCTCCACATCATCCTATAATGCTCAATATGCAGCTTGAACTAGGAGTAATCGATGCATCAAGATTGAGGTCCAATCACAGCTTTCTAAGATGAGTGAGTTTGTTGTCAACTGGCAATTCTGCTTGTTTTATGAAAAAAGAGGAAACTCTGGCTTCTTTTACCTGAGTACCTGCCACTAGAACATCACAGCTTGAGGGGGTGCACATCTCTAAAAATCAGGGCCAAGCTTGTGACCGTATATTTTCCCCCTTTCTACCTGTTCACATTTTATATGATTTCCATGTAGGGAGTTTATATCCAGAGGTTCATCTTCAGTCAACTACCACCATGCTTAAGATGTTTTTGTGGAGAATTGCTCTTTTGTGTCCACTGGGCCTTCCATTTTGGGAAGCAAGTACTCACTTCTCCTCTGCCATTACATTCAAATCTATACTTGGCAGCCAGCATTGTATCACACATGTCCACACATAGGCAGAGTTTATTATTTATGAGAACATTCTATCAGCAAGATGCCAAGAAAGATGTTTTCTCCCTTGCCTACAATCTTCCCATTTCACCCCACTCACTGTTGGGCCTATAAATGCATTTCATCCTAGGTAATCAAGGATTAGGCCAATAGTCTCCTAAGCAGGAGACATAGACTTGCTGGAGTTCAGATTCTAAGTTTGGGTCACTTTCTTCATAAATATATAGAAAAAAATTCCTCTGTTACATAGTAGGGAAGCAAGCTATAGTCCCCTGAAGATTTGTTGTACAAACTTGAAAATAGCCTGAAACCTATTTTGCTGTTTACAGTTTTTATTTTTTTTAAAAAAGTCCTTTGATTTATTTAGGTTTAACTATTATAATTAAAGCAAAATTATGTTGAAGACTACATAATAATTACATATTAAGACATTACATTCTCAGAGTCTGTGAAACAAGGATGGCTTTATAACTTAAAAGTGCTAAAACCATGATAATCTTTGTCACATAGGATAAATTACCTGATGACACAGCTGCAGCCTCTTCCTCTATAAAATGTAGCTTGCATCTACTTTTGAAATAACCTAGCCTTTATAATATGAACTTAATATAGAATATAATATGAACCCCATATAGAACTTAATATGGGACCTGACACATAGCAGGTGTTGAGTAATTATTGTTGAATTTAAATATAGAAAAGGAACTCAGTTGAAACAGACAACTTTATTAACAACCTGCAGGGGAATTTCTCTTGTCATTACCTGCTCAACAAATAGATCCATACCATGGGTGCCATGGCCCTGTCTCCTCTCAAAAGCCTAATCCTGCTTGGGCTAGTTGTAAAGCATGTTGTCTACATCATAGAGGAGAAAAGGCAATGATCCAGAGCTCCATTTGCCTAAATCACATGAGAAAGTTTTCCTGCATTTCTAATAATTACTGGCAGCCCCCAAGAACCTAGATATTCCCAGCTAACAAACATATGTTAAAGCCAGAGTCCCTCTTTCACATTTGTTCTGCAGGTTTATAGCAGAATATTGTGGTGAATTGATCCCTGATCCCTCAATCCCCTTATTTAAGTACAGCTTTGGTGCAAACTTTTATACTTATTGAACTTATTGCACATGCTTATTAGTTGCACTCTGCTTTCTTGCTTTAGGGCTTTCTCTGAAGCCATAGAAGTCTCCTCAGTCTACTTATAGTTACAGTCTGAAAGGTCAGGAGCATCAACCAATGAGTTATGGGAATAGGTTGATAAATGCTTTAATATCCTTGTCCCTCAGTGGAAAGGATCTGAGGTGTGTTCCACATGGTTCCTCTAAGGGTCACCAGAGGAATGGAACCCTGGATATCTACAGTATGGTAAAGGGTGTTCCTTTTCTTTCATTAAATCTCTGCCTCCTGGTCAATGTCTATGGTAGCACCAAAGGCCGTATAGAATCAAAGAGGCTGTCGGTTCATTGGAAAAGGGAGTGTTCCAGATGACAATGAAGACAAATAAGGCCAGGGCATTTGGCCCTTCTTAGATTTTCTTCCTCTTCTGCCTCACTGGCCCACCTCCTTCACCCCTGTTTCCTCAGGAAAGCCCTCCCAGAAAACAATATGGAATCATGACCTGTCTTGGGCTTTCTTCCTGGGGTACATAGACTAAGGTAGAGGCTGTGATGCCCTACAAGCACTGGTTCTTTCGACCTCACATAACGGAAGAACTTCAAATAGAGATTTTATGCTGGCATAAAGATACTGGCAATAAATTGTCAAGTCAGAAAAATACCTACAGATGGAAATTAAAAGTCACTAATCCACTTTAAACATAATACCCATTATGGACCCCACTGCCTTTGGTAACAGTATTGCCTTTGCAGATCCTGCAAATCTTTTATAAACTATACAATTTAATACAAATATAATGCAATTTAATGTTTACATTTAAGACACTAACCTTTAAAATCAGCCTTAGGCTTTGGAATACTTTTGAAATTTTTTTTATTTTTGAGGTGCCATGAGCTTTCAAATACCTGGTGTCTGTCAGTATCTGAGTCTTTGCCCCTGGCTTATTCTCTCCGTAGAGAGGGATTTCCATCGTTAGAAGCACTTTTTTTCTCTTAGAAATGAAGCACAGTTTATTCTTAAGAACTCGCTTGGGACTTGCTCAAAGGATTGTACCAAGATGCTTGTTCAGACATGGTGACTTCCTTCAAGGTCAGTTTTGCACTCATTTTGATCCCGTTGCCAAGTTGTTTACCTCAATGAAATGTCAAGGTTGTATCGTTTTGGCACAACATCACAATCTGAACAGGCAACTCTGCCTCTTGCCTCCCCAAAGACTTGGAAAATTAGGATGATGTAGTGATGTAATTTTTCTTGTGGGGTGATAGATCCTGTGCCATGATTCATTGTCTAAGTTCTCAAGGCCAGTGCTAAATAGCAGAGCAGATGAACTCATATCTCCTGAACTCGAATATTTCCTGAAATAAATGATAGATTCTAGCCCAGAAGCATATAGCTAGGGAAGATCTACAGGGTGGAGTAATTTTGGGCAGATCACTTAGTAACAGAACTTCAGCTTCCTCCTTAATAAAAGCAAGAATCATCTACCAATGAGGTTTATTTGTAAGGATTTTTAAAAGAATGCCTAGGAAGTACAAGCAAAACAGGATGTTCTTGGTAACTGCTGAACTTTAAAAGGCTACAGTGAACTCCTAAACTGAACTATCATAATAAAAATTTGCATGGGTTCTGGCATATGGATGGTAGAAGTGAATCTTCAGAAGTGAGTCCCAGTAAAAAAAAAAATACTCGGGTAGAAGGAAAGGGAGATTAATTTAACTTTTATCACAGACCTGCAGGTATTGATTGGGGTGGAAGGGTCTTTTTGTATATTAATGTGTTAGGTATAAAATCATGTAGATTATAGGGTCTTTAGCACAACTGACTGAGCCAGTCTTCCAATCGCCCACATCTAATTTTGAGTTTATGAGGACGTTCATTTCCCTAGATGCTATAAATTAGCTTAATTACATGCCAGATTTAAAGGGATATCATTTGAAAATTCATGTTTTTCCTCCTTCCCCAGTCATGTAAGACGTGCCTGCTTCCCCTTCACCTTCCATTATTAGAAGTTTCCTGAGGTCTCTCCAGAAGCCAAGCAGATGCCAGCATCATGCTTCCTGCACAACCTGTGAAACCATGAGCCAATCAAACCTCTTTTCTTTATAAATTACCCAGTTTCAGGTATTTATTTATAATAATGTGAGAATGAACAAATACATCCATGTAATTTAGTAAACTTGCATCCCCTATAGTAAGCAACCCATGAGACAGGAATACATGCTGAGATCAATGTAAACCTCTGAATGTGTCAAAACTAGAGAACAGTATAGGATTGGGGTTATATCCTTCCAAAATGAGCTCCAAATAACCAACAGGTTAACTAAGCTTCCTATCTCAAACTGCGAACTATGAGAAAATGTCACTGGCTCCATCAGGTATGTTTGTGTCTGTGTAGATATCAGGTTAAATGGAAACTTTGTCATGATCTAGGACTTTTTTTCCCTAGGACTAAATGTAGAGTTTATTTTTTCACATTCCTTGTAGGAACAGAAAGTTTGATGAAAGAAAATACTAAATGTTTAATAAATGCAAAACCTAAGGGATATTATACAGCAATAAAAATAATTGAAGTAAAGCTACACATAACTTGGAAGTTAATAAAAACAAATCCATAACAATTGCATAGCATATCATTTATTGATAACATTAAAACTAGCAAAACTAAATATTGCTTAGGCATATGTTATGAAACCAAAAGAAAGGGTACAATGAAGATCATAAGAGTGATTATGGTGAGAAACGTCAGGAAAACGGGATTTGGTAAGAAAATGTGTATATGTAATTAATTAGCGATGCTTTAGTTTTAGGACTAGATGGTGAGTTTATTATTTATATATGGGAGTAACATCGGTATTATACAGATGAAGAGACCTAGACTTGTTCATTACCTTCCAAATAGATTGTCAACCATCTCTTCTCTCACTGATACCAGCCTCTTTGCCTTGTCAATGATGACCACCTCCAACTGATCCTTCTCTTACTGTAACAACAGTAGTCTAATTCTTCTTTTACCAAGACTTGTAGGGAACCTTTCTCTGTTTTTCAATTGTTTCCATTGCACTTTGCAGACCAGCATTTGATAATTTGGCCACCAGTCAAGCTGTTTGGCCTCCAGTGTTGACACAATGTCTCAAATCTACTGAAAAGCCTTCAGTGGCATGAACAAAAAGCTGACTGTATACTTGAACATGATAATGGTATAATTGAAAGCATTTGCATTTAATCTTAGCATTACCACTTAATGACTTCTGGTAAATCACTTAGTGACACAGTTTTAGCTTTATCCAAAATAGACGTGTGTCCTCTCAGGTATATAATGAGGTTTAGTGGAAAAATTTAGCCATCTAGCAAGTTAATCTATTCAGTAGATGGGGCAATGTTTATTCCTTTTTTGGTATAAATTTAAATGGTACAAGTACAGTTTTGTTATTAAGCTAGAGACCCCAGGCTCTGATCTCTACCATACACACATTCAGGGCTATAAATGCTTTGACTAAACAATCTCTTTAAAAATACCTAGTTCAGAATAGTTAATTTTATTATGTATTTTCACAAATCTATCTGAGATTAAACTGGATGGTCCCAAATTATACTACCACATTTTGAAACAAAAATCTCAAACCAGATCTTTCTATGGTAAAACATAGGGTGTTCTTGGTATTAGTGCCTGTTTATAAATCATTTCATCTTAAGATATTTGGTCACCTCTAGATTGGAATATCTCAGAGCCTTTTCCAGATAGTGTTAGGTAGCCTTTCACCTTTTGTCCTATAGAGCTATCTACATACAAAGATTCTCTACTTTACCAATCTTCAGCGATATCACCACTGATATCACCAAAGATTTTACCTTCTTGATGGTCTCTCTCCTAAGTTCATCATGGTTGGTAATCACTAGAGAGAAGTATGATGTGAGGAATACAACATGATTCTTCCCAGCGAGACAAAGAACTTAAAAAATGTACACATACACCATTGAGGGAAACCAATGATGGGATTAGACCTGGCTATTAGAAACTGACTCAGCTTGGAGTCAGAAGGGATATAGTAGGTCTTATATAAACAAGATGCTTGCCTACAGCTTCACTTCATGCTTCTTTCACTATTCTATTAGAATCTACTACCTTTTGTTATTTCAGTTTTTCACTCTATGCCACACCCACCCAGGGAGCAAACACATGGTATCATCCATCTTATAATACCTGATCTTACCAAGGACAAAGGACCATGCTGAATGGGAAGTGGTACACTTCCAGCCTGCCCTCCTCAAAACTCATAATGAGCTAAGACAAGTGCTAACTTTATACTGGGTAGAGAAAAAGGTCCAGAATGGGTAGGGTGAGAAAATATTTTATATATCTTACCTTAAAATGTAGAATGCATTGTTAAAGTCATGAAAGGTAACTGACAGGAGATTTAACAATATCTCTATGAAGAAATCACTGCTTTTGTCCCTGCCCACCAAGTAAGTTGGCAGGGCCCAGGATTTGTTCTATCTCATGAATGACTCTTATATTATGGGTCCATCTCCTGGAAATCCTAGGTTTTATATACAAGTTATTAACTTAAAAAATATAATTCTGACAAGGAATGCCATAGCCTTCCATATTCAATTCCATGATAGCTTATCCCCTAGAGAGGATGTCTTAGGCCTGGCTGAGCCAAAGGTTTATATAACCCCCAAAAGAGCTACAGCAAGGAGTCATCAATGCAGTAGGCCAAGTTCTCATGATTATTAAAACTCATATGGTCAAGAACAGAGAACTGAAACCCTAACCATTGTGGGTACTTATAATGTTTTCTGTGTTTACCCATATTGTGGCATGTATTAGCCCTTTATTCTCTTTTATGGCTGAACAACATTCAATTATATGGATATACACCAAGTTGTTTATCCATTTTATCAGTTGATAGGTATTTGGGTTGTTTCTGCCTTTTATGTTTTGTGAATAGTGCTGCTATAAATATTTGTGTATAGCAGCTTGTTAGAATACCTGTTTTCAGTCCTTTGGGGGTACATACCTAAGAGTGGAATTGCTGGGTCACATGGTAATTCTATGTTTAACTTCGAGGAAGTGCTAAACTGTTTTCCAGTGGCTTCACTATTTTCCATTTCCACTAGTCATGTATGAGGTTTTCAATTTCTTTACATAACAACACTTGTTTTCCTCTTTAAAAATTAGCAGTCCTAGTGGGCATTAAGAAAAGAAAGAAATTTTTATCTGAAGAATACAAGTCATTTTACTTATCAGGTCCACATATACATTAAAATGAGATTAAAATTATGCTCTACTTCTTGCTTTCAGCTATGTATTCATCTCTTGAAACTGCAGGCTATTGCCACAAGTAACTATAAATTAACCTGATAATGCCATACTGGACACTATAACCCACATCATATAGCTTAACTTAACATATACCCAATCACTAATCAATGTTATTTCTGTAAACCAGTGAGAATTCCTGGTGAACAACTTTGTGTCAGTCCACTCCCTGTCTCTGTTTTTTTTTTTTTAAACCTTTAAAAATTCACTTGTAACTACTGCTAATTGTATATTGAGTATATTGAGGGCAACTCGAATCTATGCTCACAGGTTGCAGTGCTCAAGCTTTGCCCCAAAAAACGCTCTACTTATATTAATTTTGCCTCAGTTTCTTTCTTGTAGGTTGACAGTGTGAATCAGTATCTCATTATGGTTTTGATTTATATTTCCCTAATGACTACAGGAGTTCGGCATCTTTTCATGTGCTAGTTGGCAAGTTATATACAGGCATACCTTGGACTTGCAGGTTCAGTTGTAGACCCCTGCAATAACGTGAATCTAATGGTTGGTAATATCAAAATTAACACAAAATTTATACAATTATTTTGGGCATTCCAAAGCATGTTAAAGTTACGTTTGCACTATGTTGTAGTCTATTAAGTATGTAATAGCGTTATGTCAAAAAAAAACAATGTACATTAATTAAAATACTTTATTGCTTAAAAATCATCATCTGAGACTTCAGCAATTTGTGGGGAAGGGTCTTGCTTCAATGCTGAGTGTCACTAACTGATCAGACTGCTCAAGATTGTGGTAGCTATGACAATTTCTACAAATACGACAACAATGAAGTTCGCCACATAGATTGATTCTTCCATTCATAAAAGAGTTCTTTGCAGGATGCAATGCTATTTGATAATATTTTATTCATGGTAAAACTTCTTTCAAAATTAGAATAGAAAAAACATAGTCAATGCTCTCAAACTCAGCTGCTGCTTTATTAACTACATTGATATAATATTATAAATTCTTATTTATTTATTTATTCTATATTTTTTAGAGATGGGGTCTTGCATATTTCCCAGGCTGGCCACAAATTCCTGGCATCAAGTGATCGTCTCGCCTCAGCCTTCCAAATAGCTGGGATTACAGGTATAAGCCACCACCCTTGTCTATGTAATGTTCTAAACTCTTTGTTGTCATTTCAACAGTGTTCATAGAATCTTCACCAGGAGTAGACTCCATTTCAAAAAACCTTTCTTTGCTTATTCATAAGAAGCAGCTGCTCATCTCTTCAAGTTTTATCATGAGATTGCAGCAATTCACCTATATCTTCAGCCTCCACTTCTAATTCTAGTTCTTTTGCTATTTCCATATCTGCTGTCACTTTCTACACTGAAGTCTTCAACCCCTCAAAGTGATCCATGAGAGTTGGAATCAACTTCTTTCAAACTCCTGTTTATGTTGATATTTTGACCTCCTCCCATGAATCACAAATTTTTTTTTTTTGAGATGGAGTCTCACTCTGTCGCCCAGGCTGGAGTGCAGTGGCACGATCTCAGCTCAATGCAAGCTCTGCCTCCCGGGTTCACGCCATTCTCCTGCCTCAGCCTCCAGAGTAGCTGGGACTACAGGCGCCCGCCACCGCGCCCGGCTAATTTTTTGTATTTTTAGTAGAGACAGGGTTTCACCGTGTTAGCCAGGATGGTCTCGATCTCCTGATCTTGTGATCCACCCGCCTTGGCCTCCCAAAGTGCTGGGATTACAGGCGTGAGCCACTGCTCCCAGCCTCACAAATGTTATTAATGGCATCTAGAATGATGAGTCATCTCCACAAAGTTTTAAATTTACTTTTCCCAGATCCTCCAGATCCTATCTATGGGAGGAATCATTATCTATGGCAGCTATAGCCTTAAGAAATGTATTTCCTGAATAATGAATATGGCCATTTTCATGCTATGATTCTTTCTATCCATTAGTATGGAATATTTTTCTATTTGTGTCCTCTCTGATTTCTTTGAGAAGTGATTTGTAGTTCTCCTTTAAGAGGTCCTTCACTTCCCTTGTTAGCTGTATTCTTATGTATTTTATTCTCTTTGTAGCGATTGTGAATGGGAGTTCATTCACAATTTGGCTCTCAGCTTCACTGTTGTTGGGGTATAGAAATGCTTGTGATTTCTGCACATTGATTTTGTATCCTGAGACTTTGCTGAAGTTGCTTATCAGCTTAAGAAGATTTGGGGCTGAGACAAAGGGATTTTTTAGATATAGGATCATGTAATCAGCAAAGACAATTTGACTTCCTCTCTTCCTATTTGATTACCCTTTATTTCTTTTTCTTGCCTGATTGCCCTCGCCAGAACTTCCAATACTATGTTGAATAGGAGTGGTGAGAGAGAGCATCCTTGTCTTGTGCCAGTTTTCAAGGCAAATGCTTCCAGCTGTTGCCCATTTAGTATAATATTGGCTGTGGGTTTGTCATAAATGGCCCTTATTATTTTGAGGTATGTTCCTTCAGCCTTCAGTACCTAGTTTATTGAGAGGTTTTTTTTTTTTTTTTGAGATTGAGTCTTGCTTTTGTCACCCAGGCTGGAGTGAAAATGGCATGATCTTGGCTCACTGCAACTTCTGCCTCCTGAGTAGCTGGGACTACAGGCACCCACCACCATGCCCGGCTAATTTTTGTATTTTTATTGGAGATGGGTTTCACCATATTGGTCAGGCTGGTCTCGAACTCCTGACCTCAGGTGATCATCCTGCCTTGGCTTCCCAAAGTGCTGGGATTACACGCATGAGCCGCTGTGCCCGACTGAGAATTTTTAACATGAAGGGATGTTGAATTTTATCGAAGGACTTCTCTGCATCTATTGAGATAATCATGTGATTTTTGTATTTAGATCTGTTTATGTGATGAATTACATTTATTGATTTGCATATGTTGAACCATCCTTACATCCCAGCAATGAAGCCAGCTTGATCATGTTGGATAAGCTTTTTGATGTACTGCTGTATTTGGTTTGCCAGTATTTTATTGAGAATTATTACATTGATGTTCATCAGGGATACTGGCCTGAAGCTTTCTGTTTTGGTTGTATCTCTGCCAGGTTTTGGTATCAGGAGGATGACGGCTTCATAGAACGAGTTAAGGAGGAGTCCCTTCTTTTCATTTGTTTGGAATAGTTTCAGAAGAAAGAGTATCAGCTCCTTTTTGTATTTCTGGTAGAATTCAGCTGTAAATCGATCTGGTCCTGGGCTCTTTTTGGTTGGTAGACTATTTATTACTGCCACAATTTCAGAACTTGTTGTTGGTCTATTCAGGGATTCAATTTCTTCCTGCCTCAGTCTTGGGAGGGTGTATGTGTCCAGGAATTTATATATTTTTTCTAGATTTTCTAGTTTATTTGCATAGAGATGTTTATAGTATTCTCTGATGGTTGTCTGTATTTCTGTGGGGTCAGTGGTTATATCCCTTTATCATTTTTTGTTGTATCTATTTGATTCTTCTCTTCTTTCTTCTTTATTAGTCTAGCTAGCAGTCTATTTTGCTAATTTTTTCAAAACACCTGCTCCTGGATTCATTGATTTTTTTGAACAGTTCTTCATGTCTCTATCTCCTTCAGTTCTGCCCTGATCTTGGTTATTTCTTGTCTTCTGCCAGCTCTGATGTTTGTTTGCTCTTGGTTCTCTAGTTCTTTTAGTTGTGATACTAAGGTGTAAATTTAAGATCTTTCTGGCTTTTTGATGTGGACATTTAGTGCTATAAATTTCCCTCATAACACTGCTTTAGTTGCATCCTAGAGATTGTGGTACATTATTATTTCTTATCGGTTTCAAAGAACTTCTTGATTTCTGCCTTAATTTCATTATTTACCAAGGAGTAATTCAGGAGCAGGTTGTTCAGTTTTCATGTTGTGTGGTTTTGAGTGAGTTTCTTAATCTCGAGTTCTAATTTGATTGCATTATGTTCTGCTTTCTATGATTTCAGTTCTTTTGCATTTGCTGAGGAGTGATTTACTTCCAATTATGTGATCAATTTTAGAGTAGATGCCTTGTGGCACCAAGAAGAATGTATATTCTGTTGTTTTGGGGTGCAGAGTTCTGTAGCTACCTATCAGGTCCTCTTGATACAGAGCTGAGTTTAAGTCCTGATTATCTTTGTTAATATTCTTTCTTGATGATCTAATACTGACAGTGGGGTGTTACAATCTCCCACTATTATTGTGTGAGAGGCTAAATCTCTTTGTAGGTCCCTAAGAACTTGTTTTATGAATCCGGGTGCTCCTGTATTGGGTGCATATATATTTAGCATATATATACTAAATTGTTGTTGAATTGACCTCTTTACCATATGTAATGCCTTTCTTTATCTTTTTAAATATTTGTTGGTTTAAAGTCTGTTTTGTCAGAAACTAGGATTGCAACCTCTGTTCTTTTCTGTTTTCCATTTGCTTGGTAAAGTTTCCTTCATTCTTTTATTTTGAGTCTGTATGTGTCTTTGCATGTGAGATGGGTCTCTTGAATACAACACACAGATGGACCTTGACCCTTTATCCAGCTTCCCATTCTGTGTCTTTTAATTAGGGTGTTTATTCCATTTACATTTAAGGTTAATATTGTTGTTTGTGAATTTGATTCTGTCATCATCACGCTCGCTGGTTATTTTGCAGACTCTTTCATGTAGTTGCTTTATAGTGTCAGTCGTCTGTGTACTTCAGTGTGTTTTTGTAGTGGCTGGTAATGGTTTTTCCTTTCCATATTTAGTGCTTTCTTCAGGATCTCTTGCAAGGCAGGCCTGCTGGTGATGAATTCCTTCAGCATTTGTTTGTGTGAAACAAATTTTATTTCTTCTTTGCTTATAAAGCTTAGTTTGACTGGATATGAAATTCTAGATTAGAAATTCTTTTCTTTAAGAATGTTGAATATTGGCTCCGAATCTCTTCTGGTTTTTAGAGTTTCCGCTGAGAGGTCTGCTGTTAGTCTGATGGACTTCCCTTTATAGGTGACCTGGCCTTTCTCTCTGGATGCCCTTAACGTTTTTTCCTTCATTTCGACCTTGGATAATCTGATGATCATGTGTCTTGAGATTTATCTTCTCATTGAGTATCTTACTGGGGTTTTCTGGCTTTCCTGAATTTGAATATTGGCCTGTCTGGCTAGGTAGAGGAAGTTCTCCTGGATGATATACTGAAGTGTGTTTTCAAACTTGGTTCCATTTTCCCCATCTCTTTCAGGTACCCCTATCAGTCGGAGGTTTGGTCTTTTAACATAATCCCATAGTTCTCAGAGGTTTTGTTCATTCCTTTTTACTCTTTTTTCTCTAATCTTGTCTGCCTGCCTTATTTCAGCAAGATGGTCTTCAAGCTCTGATGTTCTTTCTTCTGCTTGGTCTATTCGGCTGTTGATACTTGTGTTTGCATTGTAAAGTTCTTGTGTTTTTCAGCTCCATCAGGTCATTTATGTTCCTCTCTAAACTGGTTGTTAATAGCTCCCGTAATGTTTTATCATGGTTCTTAGCTTCTTTGCAATGAGTTAAATAATCCTTCAGCTCAATGAAGTTTATTATTACCCATCTTCTGAAGCCTACTTCTGTCAATTCATGCATCTCAGCACAGCCCAGATCTGTGCTATTGGTGGAGATGTATTATGATCATTTGGAGGAGAAGAGACACTCTGGCTTTTTGAGTTTTCAGCATTTTTGCATTGATTCTTTCTCATCTTCATGGGCTTATCTGCCTTTGATCTTTGAGGCTGCTGACCTTTGAGGCTGCTGATCTTCAAAAGGGGTTTTTCTGGAGTCTTTGTCATTTATATTGTTGTTGCTTTCTTTTGTTTTTCTTTTAGCAGTCAGACCCCTCTTCTGTAGGGCTGCTGTGGTTTGCTGGGGGTCCACTCCAGACCCTATTCATCTTGGTCCCTCCTGCCCCTGGAGGTATCACCAGTGGACTAGCAAAGATAGCAGCCTGTTTCTTCCTCTGGGAGCTCTGTCTCACAGATGCATCTACCTGGTGCCAGCTAGAATGCTCCTGTATGAGTTGTCTGGAGACTCCTGTTGGGAGGTCTCACCCAGTCAGGAGGAGCAGGATCAAGAACCTGCTTAAATAAGCAGTCTGGCTGCCACTTGGTGGAGCAGGGGTGCTTCACTGCGGGGAATCTCCTTCGTCTGGGTTCTCCTGACTCTCCAGAGCCAGCAGGCAGAAAAGACTAAGACCACTGATCCATGATACCACAGCCATCTTTTCTCCTAGGAGCTCCTGTCAGGGATATCAGAGTTCTTCCCATAAACCCCTGGCTGGGGATGCTGAAATTCCCACAGAGAGGCTCTACTTAGTGAGAAGTGGACTGGGGTTTGGCTTAAAGAAGCAGTGTGACCCTGAACTGATTCAGCCACTGTCCTACGCTGTGGGGAATTGCTCTTGGTCCAGACTTTCCAGTCTCACTGGCACCAGCAGCAGGGAAAAATGGCCAACTGGAGCCACAGTGATGTCGGCCACCCCTCCCCACTGGGAACTCAGTCTTCTCAGGTAGTCTCCAGCCTGCTGCGCTGGGTGGCAGGGATTCTGAGCCAGTGGGTCTTAGCTTGTGGGGTTCCATGGTAGCCAGGCTGCTTGGCTTCTTGGCTTCAGCCCCCTTCCCATAAGTCTTGATGGTTTTCCTGCCTCACAGGAATTCCTAGAGCTGGAGTATTCAAATACTCCTGTGTCTTAGTGCCTGCTCAAATGGTCACTCACCTGAGCAGCTGCTGTGAGTCTTCACAGCTCTGTGCTTGAAACCCAAAGCCCTAGTGGAATGGGCTAATGAGGGGTCTTTCTGATCCATGGGTCACAAGGATCAGTGGGAAAAGCATGGTTTTCAGCGAGGGGTAGCACAATCCCTCATCACCTCCCTTGGCTGGGGAAGGGAGCTCCCTTTGCCCTGTGCAGCTCCTTGGTGGGCCCTCACTCCACTCTGGGTTTTCTTGCTCTCTGTGGGTCATGCCAACCACCTAGTCAGTCCCAATGAGAGAACCTTGGTACGTCAATTGAAGGTGCAGAGTTCACTTGTCATTTTTGTCCTTCTTGGTGGGAGTTGCAGAGTGGAGGTGTTTCTATTCAGCTATCTTGTCTGTTTCCCCTGTATCTTCTTAGAAAAGTGTCTGTTCAAGTCCTTTTTCTGTTTTTCAATTGGGTTGTTTGTGCTTTTGTTGATGAGTTATAGGAGTTCTTTATATATTCTGTAAACTAGGCTCATCAAATAGAAGATTTGCAAATATTTTCTTCCATAGGTTGTATTTTTACTTTCTAGATAACGTGTTTTTGTGAACAAAAGTTTTTAATTTGGTGAAGTCTGCTATATCTATTTTTTGTCACTTTCGTTTTTGGCGTTATATGTAAGAATCTATTGTCAAGTCCAAGGGCATGGAGATTTACCCGTATGTTTTCTTTTGTGAGCTTTAGTTTTAGCTCTAAAATTTAGATCTTTGATTCATTTTAAATTAATTTTTATATCTGTATATTATGTATATGTTTCTGTGTAATAGTATATATATTTTATATAAGGGTATAACTTCATTCTTTTGCATGGATGTCAATTTGTCCCAGCACTATTTGTTGAGGAAACAATTATTTCCCCATTAAATGATCTTAGCATCCTTGTCAAAAATAGATTGACCTTAGACGTATAGATTTATTTCTTTATTATATGTTTTATTCCATTCATCTATGTGCCTATCTTTATGCCAGTACCATACTGGTTTAAAATTTTCTAATTTATAGAAAATTTCTTTAAAATTATTTTTAATTGACAAGTAAAATTTGTATATATTTATGATGTGCAACATGACGGTATTGTTACTGAGGTAAAATATACATACATAATTAAGTTTATTACCATTGTACAGTTTATTATTACCATAATACAGTTCATTACCATTAAACTGTATATATAATAATGTTAAAGGTGCTAAAAATTATATATTTATTAATTTACATTTTTTGCCCTTTATCCTCCTCTTCCTTTCCTGGCCCTGAGTTACCACCAATCTACTCTATATCTTCTTGAGGTCCACTTTTTTAGGTCCCACAAATGAGTGAGAACATGATATATTTCGCTTTCTGTGTTTGGCTCATTTTATTTAATATATTGGCCTCCAGTTCCTTTCATTTTGCTGAAAATGACAATATTTCATTCCTTTTATGGCTGAATCATATTCCATAGTGCATATATCCCATATTTTATTTATCCATTCATCTGTTGATGGACACTTAGGTTGATCCCGTGTTTTGGCTATTGTGAAGAGTGTTACAGTAAACATGGAAATGCAGGAATTACTTTAATATATTGATTCCCTCTCTTTTAGGTATATACACCTAGCAGTGGAATTACTGGATGATATGGTATGTCTGTTTTTAGGTTTTTTTTTTTTGGTGGAGGGGAAGCTTCATATTGTTCTCCATAATGGCTATACTAATTTACATTTCCACCAGTTGTGTCCAAGTGTTCCTCTCTCTCCACATGCTCTCCAGCATCTGTTTTTGCCTATCTTTTTGATATAAGCCATTTTGACTGGGGTCAGATGATATCTTACTGTGGTTTTGATTTGCGTTTCTCTAATAATTAGCGATGCTCAACTTTTTTTTGTATAGCTGTTGGCCACTTATATGTCTTCTTTTGAGAAATGTATGTTAAGGTTTTAGCCCATTTTTAAATCAGATGATGATGATGATGATTATTTTGCTATTGAATTGTTTGCGCTCCCTCTATATTCTGGTTATTAATCTCTTGTCAGATATATAGTTTGAAACTATTTTCTCCCATTCTGTGTGTTGCCTCTTTACTTTGTTCATTGTTTATTTTGCTGTGCAAAAATTTACTACAAAACTATAGTAACCAAAACTACACTACTGGCATAAAAACAAACTA
The DNA here is from genome assembly GCF_000001405.40 of Homo sapiens. Lineage (NCBI taxonomy): Eukaryota > Metazoa > Chordata > Mammalia > Primates > Hominidae > Homo > Homo sapiens. Next base: position 46,199,946 of record NC_000015.10, read on the forward strand.
ATAGATTAGTGGAAGATAATAGAGAACCCTGATATAAATTCATGCATTTACAACCAATTCATCTTGGCAAAGCTGTCAAGAACATACAATGGGGGAAAGGACAGTCTTTTCAATAAACAGTTCTGGGAAAACGGGTTAACTACATGCAGAAGAGTAAAAGACCCCTATCTCTCATCTACACAAAAATTTAATCAAAATGGGTTAAAGACTTAAATCTAAGACCTAAAATGATGAAACTACGGAAGGAAACATTGGGAAAATGTTCCAGGACATTGGCCTGGGCAAAGTTTTTTGGGTAAAACCTCAAAAACAGGCAATCAAAACAAAAATAGACAATTGAGATTACATTATCATTTGGTATATGCACGCATTGTGGAATAGATAAACCAAACTAACACATGTGTTACATCACATACCAATTTTTTTTATAGTGAGAAAACTTAAAGTCTACCCTCTTAGCAATTTTCAAGCATATAATAGATTAACTATACCTACTATAATGTATGCTAGATCTCTTGAACTTATTTCTCCTGTTCAGTTGAAATTTTGCATCCTTTGACTAACATTTCCCCAATACCCCTTCCCCTGGCCTCTAGTAACCACCATTTTACTCTGTTTCTGTGAATTTGACTTTTTAGATTCCAAATGTAAGTGAGATAATGCAGTATTTTTCTTCCTGTGTCTGGCTTATTTCACTTACCCTAATGTCCATCAGTTTTACCCATGTTGTGGCAAATGTTAGAATCTCTTTTTTAAGGTCAAATAATATTTTACTTACACACACATGCACGCACACACACATATAGTTTCATTCATTTATCTGTCAACACACACTTAGGCTGTTTCCCTATCTCAGTTGTTGTGATTTGCCGCAAAGGACATGATAGTGCAGATATATTTACAACATGGGGATTCCATTTTCTTTGTATATATATCTAGAAGTGAGATTATTGAGTCATATGATAGTTCTATATTTCTTTAGAAACCTCCATAATGTTTTCTATAAAACCCGCATCAATCTGTGTTCCCACCAGCAGTATACAAGTGTTCCCTTTTCTCTACAGCCTTGCCAACATTTGTTATCTCTTGTCTTTTTGATAATAGCCATCCTAATAGGTATGAAGTGATACATCATTGTGGTTTTAATTTGCATTTATCTGATTAATGATGCTGAGCAATTTTTCGCATGCAATTTTGCTGTTTTTATGTTTTATTTGAAGAAATATATACTTAGGTCCTTCCTCTTTAAAAAAAAATGGGTGAATTTTCTGCAATTGTGTTGTGTGAGTTACCCATATATTTTGAGTATTTTTTCTCTTATCAGATAAATGGTTTGCAATATTTTCTCCCAATCAGGCTGCGTTTTCTTTTTGTTAATTGTTTCCTTTACTGTGAGGAAGACTTTTAGTTTGACATAGCCCCACTTACTTGTTTTTGCCTTTGTAGCCTGAGCCTGAGCTTTTGGAGTGATATCCAAATACCACAGGCAACCAACGTCAGGAAGCTTTTCCCCTGTGTTTTCTTCTAGGAGTTTTATGATTTTAGGTCTTATTGTTTGGTCTTTTATCCATTTTGAGTTGACTTTTGTGCATGATGTAATGATCCAGTTTTATTCTTTTCCGTGTGGAAATCTAGTTTTCCCAGCATCATTTATTCAACAGACTATCCTTTCACCACCATGTCTTCTTGGTGCCCTTGTCAACATTCTGTTGACCCTGTATGTTTGGATTTATTTCTGGGCTGTAGTAAGGTTTGAAATTAAAAGGTGTGAGTCTTCTTACTTGGTTTTTCATTATCAAAATTATTTTGTCTATTTGAGATCCCTTGCAATTCCAATATGTTGGAAAAGACTTTTCCATTTCTGACCCAAATGGTCATTGGGATTTTGAGAGGAATTCTATTAAACCTATATGTTGCTTTGGGTAATATTGCCATTGTAGCAATTTTAAGTCTTACAACCTGTGGACTTTCGATTTCTTTCCATTTATTTAGGTTTTTAAAAATTTATCTCAGCAATGTTTTACAGTTTTTGTTGTACAGGTTTTGCACCTCCTTGGTTACATCTATTCCCCAAGTATTTTATTTCTTTTGATGCTGTTGTAAATGGGATTGTTTTCTTTATTTCATATTTGAATTGTTCATTGCTAGTGTATACAAATGCCACTAATTTTTGGTGTTTTTATCTTGTATCTACAACTTTGCTGAATTTGATTATTAGCTCTAATTTTTTTTGTGCATTCTTTAGAATTGTCTATATATAGGATCACGTCATCTGTGAACAGAGATAATCTTACTTTTCCTTTCCAATTTGGATGCCATTTATATCCATTTCTTGCCTAATTGCTCTGGATAGAACTTCCAGTACACCGTTGAATAGAAGTGGCAGAAGTGCACATCTTTGTCTTATTCCTGATCTCAGGATGAAAGCTTTCAGTCTTTCACCATTGAAGGTAATGTTAGTGTAATTTATGCAATTTTAATAAGTGCCCTTTAAACGACTAAGTTCCCTCTATTCATAGTTTTTTGCATTTTTAAAAAAATCATAAATAGGTGTTAGATTTGGTTAAATGCTTTTGGTGTATCAATTGAGATGATTATGTGCGATTTTCTCCCTTTTATTCTATTAATGCAGTGTATTACATTGATTGGTTTACATACATTCAGTCACTCTTGAAATCCTGGGATTAATCTCACTTGTTCTGTATACTTCTTTTTAATATGCTGTTATATTTGTTTTGCTAGTATTTTGTTGAGAGTTTTGCATTTATATTCATAAGAGATATTGGGCTATAGTTTTCTTTCCTTGAGATGACTTTATATGACTTTAGTATCAGGTTATGCCACTCTTATAGAAAGAGAATTATTCTCTCCTCTTCTAATTTTTGGAAGAGTTTGAGAAGCACTGGTGTTATTTCTTCTTTAAATGTTTAGCATAATTTACAAGTGACATCTGTCCTGTGCTTTTCTTTGTGATTATGGATTCAGTTTGCTTACTTGTTCTAGGCCTGTTCATATTTTTAAATAATATTTTTTATTTCTGTAAAGCCATTGTAATACCCCAAATTTCATTGTTAATTTTAGTAATTTGAGTCTTATCTCTATTTTCTTGGTCAACCTAGCTAAAGGTCTATCAATTTTGTTAATTTTTTCACAGAACAAACTTTCGATTCTGTTGATTTTTTTTATTGTTTTTTTGATTTTCTATTTTGTTTATTTCCATTCCAATCTGTATTATTTCCTCCCTTCTGCCAGCTTTAAAATTGTTTTGTTTTTGCATTTTCTAGTTCCTTCAGGTATAAAGTTAGGTAATTGATTCAAAATTTTCTTTCATTTTAAAAACATCAGTGTTTACCACTGTAAATTTCCCTCTGAACACCACTTTTGTCGCATTCTTTAGGTTTTGGTATGTTGTGCATGTTTTTTAGAAAAATTCATCTCAAAATATTTTCTAATTTCACATATATCATTGCCTTTGACCCACTGGTTACTTAGGAGTGCTGACTTTATTTCCACCTAATTTAAGTTTTTGTGGATTTTCCAGTTTTCTGTGTTACTGATTTCTAGTTTCATTCCATTAGGGTTAGAGAAGATGCCTTTTCTGATTTAAATATTTTAAATGTATTGAGACTTGTCTGTGACCTAGCATAAGGTCTTTCAAAGTTTTTAATCAGATGGAGGCTGGTTTCCTTAGATAGGGGAGGGGTTGTTTTCCAGGAAAACAAGTTTCAGAGGGATTTTAGAGAACCATAGCTCCAACCTCCTCTGTTTAATCAAATATTTGCATGCTAAGTTTCAAGATACCAACTTATTTTAACTAATACCCTAATATCGGCATGGATTTGACAGCTATACAACTCCACGTGATGTACAATTAGGTATTAGACATGATGTTCAACCATGTTTTGCTGGTGGCAACATATAATAAGATTCCTTTATGGTTTATAAAAAATTTTTCGGAGATTCTCCACCAGTAACTTCAGTTACGAAAATCAAGCCTCTAGCCTCTAGCCTGTTACCCTTTAGTAGGCTTTTAAAATACATTCAGAGGCAGGCAGTCTATAATCTTCATACTAACCATTGCTCCATTGTAGTCAAATGGCTATGAGGATTTCCTAACTCCTTTTTCTACAATGACATTCCCTTATATACACTTACCAGTACTGCTTTGAAGAATTATTATGCCACTTAATGCTTCAGATTACCAGTGTCCCACTATCTTCCTGGAAGAAGGTTATCTATGCCTTAATATACCAAGCAACACAATTCCCAAGTCCCAGCTGAAGGCCTATTTGCTGAGGCTGTTTCTAATATCAAACTCTAGGTCACTAAGGATCTAGATTAGGAATAGAAGGCAGATTCTGAAAAGAATTTATGGAAAGGGCCATCACACAACATAGCCAACTAAATCAAAATGAGATGTTAAGATACCCACAGGCAAGCAAGGTCAGAAAAAAGTTATCCTCAGAACTGCAGGGACCAGAGGCAAGTAATGTTCCCAAATCTTGGTGAAAGCTGGAAGCATAAAGAAGGGGCTTTTTTTCCCTACAGAAGGTTTGGTAAAACCTGATCCTGGCTGGGCATGGTGGCTCACACCTGTAATCCCAGCATTTTGGGAGGCCAAGGCAGGCGGATCATGAGGTCAGGAGATCGAGACCATCCTGGCTAACATGGTGAAACCCCGTCTCTACTGAAAATACAAAAAAATTAGCCGAGCGTGGTGGCGAGTGCCTGTAGTCCCAGCTACTCGGGAGGCTGAGGCAGGAGAATGGCATGAACCCAGGAGGCGCAGCTTGCAGCGAGCCAAGATCATGCCACTGCACTCCAGCCTGGGTGACAGAGTGAGACTCCATCTCAAAAAAAAAAAAAAAATCAACAATAAAAACAACAACAAAAAAAACAAAACAAAAAACCCTGATCCTAGTTAATGAGTTAGAGATGATGAGGAAAGGCAAAGCTAGTTTTGAGGACAAATATTCTCTTGCAAAGGATCCAGGAGCTACATACATAGACTTGACATTTGTTGCTTCCTCTCCTGATATGGAGAGGGTTCAGAACAAATAGGGGTTCAGGGTTCTCAGGTTTGTCTGCTCAAAGCCCCATACTACTTATAATGGTTCTATCTTTTCCATCTTTTGACTTTGCCTTTAACAAGTAGAACTGTCTGTGTGCATTCAGTCACTTTTGCAGCCACACTGTACTTGTGAATTCTGGACCTACTTTTGGTCCATTTGCCCTGTGGCAGCCAGAGGTGAAGAACTATGTAGACCATGTGGCACAGCACACACTGGGTTCATAGCTGGCTGCCAAGAGCTTTTGTCTTTTTTAAGACTTATAAGTCAGTGAAAAGCAGTGAACTCTACAATCTTTATTATAATTACTTCTATGTCATTCAAGTGGTAAGTTTGTAGTTACTTCTAATTCTGCCTCTTGACCACTCTTATCCACTACCCATAAGAATAGAAGTACTGGAATGCTATAAAGTGCTAAGGATTATTATAAACATATATTTCCAGGTAAGGGGGCCCTTATTCTATGACCATCAAATGATCCAGTGTCTGAGTATAATCCTCAAGGTCTACCTTCTAGCACTACTTCTGCTGCCAGTTTCTTTAGTATAGGTAACTCTCAAGAGTATGCTCTGAGACAGGGATATGAGTACAATTATTTTATTTGAGAGGTGGTACAAGTAAAGAAGATGGAGGGAGAAGAAACTGTTGAGGAAAAGCCAGTGGAATAATGTAATTTTAAGGCGATCAATGTGAATAATGAAGGGCTCAATCCCAGCAGGATCTTCTGAATCACACAGGATACCTTCCAATATAAATACTTTGTCTATTGGAGGCCAGAACATTTATCCATGACTTCTATCTCTAATGAGTCAAAAGTTTTCATCAAAGCTATTAACTGTGCATGTCTCTGCCGTACTTACCTAAGTACCCAGCGGGATTATTTGGCATTAGAAGGTCCAGGAAATATGCACAGTGGATACTTGAGGTAATGTGCTCTTAGCAAGATATGAGTGTGCATATCCATGAACTGTCCATGAAGGCTGAAATCAAGTGGGCAGATGGAACATGACAAAGAGTGTCAGGCTTATCTGCACATATGGATAACTGAGCAGACAAGGCAACCATAAGTGCAGAAATGATGAAGGAGGATTTCATGTCTGTTAAGGGCCTACAAATACCATGTAAATTTCCATACAGGGATTTTTTTTTTTTTTTCTGAGGCTTCTTAAGAACAACATTGCCCTTAAATGTGTGGATGAGTCTTTTAATGCTGATGCGGTCTATGCTTGGAGACCAGGCTCATCATACATAATACAGGGCTTCCGTACAATAAAGATGAATAAATGAGTTAAAACAGATTTTAATTTGTTAAATATAAACATATAATTAAAATACTATTTATATGGCTCATAAAGTTGTTGCAGTATTTATAAAAATTGGCCAGGCACGGTGGCTCATGCCTGTAATCCCAGCACTTTGGGAGGCTGAGGTGGGCAGATCACTTGAGGCCAGAAGTTTAAGACAACCTGGCCAACATGGTGAAACCCTGTCTCTACTGAAAATACAAAAATTAGGCAGGCATGGTGGCCCACACCTCTAATCCCAGCTACTTGGGTGGCTGAGGCAGGAGAATCACTTGAAACAAGGAGGTGGAGGTTGCAGTGAGCTGAGATCGCACCACTGCACTCCAGCCTGGGTGATACAACAAGACTCTGTCTCAATAAATAAATAAATAAATAAATAAACTCACAATGGTCTACTAGTAGTGAAAATCAGAAATAATAATTGTTAAAGTTTTCTAATGACCTTTGTCCTTCAATCTATCAATATTTCCAACTACATAATTTCACTTAGCAATAACAGCTCAAATACATATTTGAGCCCCTCATAAATAGTGGTAAGGACTAAATGGCCCCAGGATGATGGGTCGGAGTGGATTACTTTATCAATAAATTTGCCTTTGATAGTTAAGAGGAAGGTTTTTGTTTACAATCATGGTTGAGCTTAAGTCACTGAAACACCTCCCCTTCCACACACATGATCCTTTCTTGGTTCGGGTACTATGAGCAGGAGGCAACTCACTGTCAATATGTATTTAATTCTACAAATATTTGGAAAGGTAATCTTTGCCTCCTCAATTTTTCTACCTTAAAGTGATTAAAATTTTCTGTGTCATAAGGCAAATGTTCTGGTGGGAAAATATTTAACCCAAGTATTCTTATCTTGGTTCTGCTACTATCCCTGATCTTGGGCCACTTGCTTAATTACCTGGAGCTGCCTTTACTACATTCCATGTATCTTCACTCCACCAATATAGAAGGTGCTGACTTTTGAGAAGTCATAAAAGGGTGTAGATTATATGTCACTTCTGTGTTAGTAAAAGTTATGTAATCTAATGTAATTCAGATAGATTTTTTTTTCTTTTTTTTTTTTTTTTTTTTAACTTGAGCTAGAGGTGAGAAGTTGCTTGAGTCAAGCTGGGAAGAACTATTCTGCTGCTCATTCTCATAGGCTGTAGAAAATTCTTGGCTTTCTCCCCTGGCAGAAGGGATAGGTCAGCCCTAAATTTTCTCATCCAAGAAGTATACACATAGAAGTCCTCTGTGAGATGCTTGGCGGAATAAGGATGCTTATAAAATTTCAAATGAGGCCAGAAAGCTCATTCACACATCCAACTCATAAGCAGGACCAAACCCAGGGCTGAAGCAGACTTATCCCTAAGATTGAAAAAAAGCCTCCGTCTTCCCACCCCAGTGGAGCCCCTTGTGCTTTGGTTTTTGTGTGGTCTCTTGTCTCAGTCAAGATGTGATTGCAGAAGCAGAGTTGGTAAAAACAATATAGAAGGAATTTACCATAGGGATTAGAATTTGTACAATTACAGCAGCTCTGGAGAATTCTATACCAGGCTGTTGCCCCTGAAAGTGATGTTGCACCTGAATATGCTCTAGGTCAGCTGGTCTGGCAGTTGGAATTGAAAAGTAAATATGCAGCAGAGGAATTGTAAAGATAAGCTAGTATATCACTTTTCCACAACTTCCAACCATTATGAAATGGGTAACCTATAGGAGAAACTGGTGTCTTTTTCTGCAGAGCTATAATGTGCCTGGCCCAGAATTTGAAAGCTGAAGGAAGAGATCTCATGGACCTGAAAAAGCCACAGGTCCCCAGGAGTCCCCAAATTAAGAAAGGCCAGCAGATCATGATGATTAGCATTAGCTCCTACAGGTCATACAATACATGAAAATAGGTTGTGACTTTATTTCTACCTCCTGCAAAATTTTTTACGTGATCTGCTGTTATCCAGAACTGTAATGCACAGGCCTCATGCTCCAATAGGTCATCCTAGTGTTCATAGGCGTGTGATCCTATTTCTTTTTGTGCTCCTGAAGAACACTTGTCTCCTGTCAAAGATCTTTTTCCTCCTAGTCAGAGGCTCCCATGCAACTGCAGAAGATTTGAATAGCCAGGATGAAGTCTGTAGATAAAGAAAGACCGGGTTGAGGAGGTATGACACATAGATTGAAGGAGGATGGAGGAAGAAGCTCAACATTGCTTTACTGCTGAGCATGCCATCATGGAAATTATCCCTCATGTTTGGGAGAGATGTGAGATGAAAAGCTGAATCAGCTACTAGAATGTATCAAGGGACAAATGTGGCACAAATGCCTGGAGTCTGTCCTCTGACACAAAATGGGAACAATTCTAGGTGGCCCTGCCACAGCTGTCTCCTTGCAGGATGCCAATAGCAACCTTCAGAGTTGGCCTGGGAGGCTACCCCAAAGGCAGGTATCCTCCCTATGTAGTGACAGGCCATGTCCTGGGTTGGGTTTGGAACTGGCAGCAGCCTGGAGACTATCACTGTGAGAGGTAAAGCCAGCTAGACTTCTGGGTCAGGTGGGGACTTGGGGAACTTTTCTGTCTTAGAAGAGGATTGTAATATGCACCAATGAGTGCGCTGTAGCTAGGATTGTAAAACACACCAATCAGCACTCTTTGGCTAGCTAGAGGTTTGTAAAATGTGCCAATCAGCACTCTGTAAAAATGTACCAATCAGCTGTCTGTGGCTAGGTAGAGGTTTATAAAATGGACCAATCAGCGCTCTGAAAAATGGACCAATCAGCACTCTGTAAAATGGACCAATCAGCAGGACATGGGTGGGGACAAATAAGGGAATAAAACCTGTCCACCCCAGCCAGCAGCAGCAACGTGCTCGGGTCCCCTTCCACCCGTGGTGGCATTGTTCTTTAGCGCTTTTTTTTTTTTTTTTTTTGAGATGGAGTCTTGCTCTGTCCTAGGCTGGAGTGCAGTGGCGTGATCTCTGCTCACTGCAAGCTCCGCCTCTCAGGTTCATGCCATTCTCCTGCCTCAGCCTCCTGAGTAGCTGGGACTACAGGTGCCCGCCACCATGCCTGGCTAATTTTTTCTGTGTGTGTGTGTGTTTTTTTTGTTTTGTTTTTGTTTGTTTGTTTTTTTTTTAGTAGAGACAGGGTTTCACTGTGTTAGCCAGGATGGTCTCGATCTCCTGACCTCATGATCTGCTCGCCTCAGCCTCCCAAAGTGGTGGGATTACAGGCGTGAGCCACTGTGCCCGACCTCTTTTGCTCTTTTCAAAAAATCTTGCTACTGCTCACTCTTTAAGTCCTCCTCACCTTTAAGAGCTGTAACACTCACCGTGAAAGTCCGCGGCTTCACTCTTGAAGTCACCAAGACCACGAACTCAAGAAGGAACCAACTCCGGACACGATTGCACTTCTGCTTCTCTGACAGCGACTTGGTGGGCTCAGTCTGGCTACCCTGCTGGCCCATGAGGGCATCAGCCCTGGCCTGCACCTGGGCTCCAAGCTTCCTGCAATCATGTTCCGGGCTCCTCTCTGGCCTCTTGACACTCCTGCTGCTCTTGTTCCTGTCACTGCCACCATCAGCGCTGCTCTAATGCTTGTGTTTCTCCTGTTCAGGGGTGCGCTGTGGCTGCACCTTCCTCCTTGCCATCGCTACATCAGCCTTACCACAAAGCTTGTTTGACCACCTCAAAGAGGCCCATCTGCCATGAATCCTGCTAGAGATGCAGAATAGGAATGCTCCCAGGTTCTCCCGCAGACAAAGGTGCTGACGGGGACCTGGAGGGGCTGCTCCAAAAGTTCTTGGGAAGGCCCAAGATAAGATCTGGCTACAAGTTCACGGTTCTCTGGGCGTCTTTCCTTCTGTGGTTTAAGTAACCATACTCTGCTCCAGACCTGTGAGCACTTGTTTTGGGTAACTCCAGATGGGAGAGTTACAAAGTAGGTAACATTTTTTTTCCTCCTATAATTTAATCTAGTTTAATTTATGAAGTTTATGTAGTTATTCATTAGTTGCATTAAAGTTAAATTGTATTAAATTTAGTTCATTCAAATTATTTTCTTTGGTTTGAATTCATTTCACTTAGTTAATTTTAGTTCACTTCACTTAAGTTTTTTCTTAGGTTAGTATATAGGTTCAGTATATGATTTATTATTTTTTAACTTCATTTTCTTTTCTTTATATGTCCTGTAATACCGTTTGTCACCGTAAGTTTGTCTGTAGTTTACAAAGATTTTTTCCTAAAGTTATTTATTTTAAATTCTTAATAATTGCTGACACTTTTTGTATTTTTGTATTTTAGAAACTATTTGAGGAAAAATTTACTTTTTATTACTGTTAATCAGAATGTAAAATAAAAAGGAAATGGGCTTCCTTACTTTCCCTTGTCATTCATGAGAAGAGTCATCTTAAGCAGAAGATATAGAATAATTTAGGTTGCGTTATTTTTGGATAGGAAACTTCAGGACTGATCTCTGTGCTATGCCTCTGGAAGACATTCAAGAGCTTTGTACAGTGTACTTACATAACAGTATTCTGTTCCATTTGATGAAAGCATCTTCCCACATCTTTTATCGGTAAGCTGCCTGGAAAAAAATAATGATACAAAACTATCTGTGTTTTACTAACTCAGAAGTTGTAAATATTATATGTTCAATATTATTACTCTTCAAATGACATCACCTTGTAGATTGGTAGAGTGAAGACAAGATGGGATGAAATAAACATAGCTAAAGGAGACTAATAAAGGGGTCCAAAATCAGGAGTAATAGCAGAATCAAGATAAACCCATTTTAGTTGGAGTTTGGTAAAGATTCTTTAACTGAGAAGTTTGGAAAATTTAAGTACTTTCAGCTGAAAGAGTAGACAAAGTATTGAAAGATTACCTCTACATTTCTTGTGGGGTAGAATATAGGAGAATGACAAGTCAGGAAGTGGGAGGAATTTTATGTTGTAGACTTGAACTTAACCATAGTCATTGCCAAAAAGCTTCCTCTTGGCTAATCAAAGTCAGCTTTATCTCTAAGGCATTCATTCCTTTTCCACTCCATCTGGAGACCATCATTCTGGGTCCTTTTAGCCTGTGCATCAATTATGAATGGCCTCAAATGTAGATTTGCAGTGTTATTGCCACATGTGATTATGCAGTCAGAGAAACTGACATATCGAAAGACAAAGGTCTTTCGAAAGACAAAGTCAGTCTGAATTTTTATCTTTATTGAGGTATAATTGACAAATATATATATTCAAGGTGAACATGTTTTGATATACATTACGAAATAAATCAAGCTAATATATCCATCACCTTACATAATTACCTTGTGGTGTGTGTGTGTGGTGAGGGGGAGAATACTTATGATCTTTCTTAGCAAATACTCTTAGCAAATTTCAAGTATTCTTTATTAGGTATAGTCACCATATTGTATATTCGATCTCCAGAACTTATTCATTTTATAATTGCAAGTTTGTATCCTTTGACTAACATATCCCCATCTTCCACACTCCTGGCCCCTGACAGCTACCCAACTACTTTCTGTTTCTATGAGTTTGACTCTTTCAGATTCCATATGTAGATGAGAGCATGAATTTGTCTTTCTGTGCCTGGTTTATTTCACTTGGCATAATTTCCCCTGGGTTCATCCATGTTGTTGTAAATAGCAGGATTTTTTTCTTTTTTAAGGCTGAATACTATTTTATTTTTTACACATACACATACATTGTATATGTGTAATATATATATTTTTATGGTATTTTCTTTATCCATTCATTTGTTGATAGACACTTAGGTTATATCTTGGCAATTGTGGGTAATGAGGCAATGAACATCATGGGAATGCAACTATCTTTTTCAGGATCCTGATTTCAGTTCTTGTGGTATGTACTCAGAGGTAGGATTTCTAGATCATTTAGTGGTTCTATGTTTAATTTTTAGAGAAACTTCCATACTGTTTTCCATAGTGGGTGCACATTTTACCTTCCTACCAGCAGTGTACAAGGGTCCCAGTTACTCCACAACCTTGCCAACACTTGTTATCTTTTGTTTTTGTTTTGGATAATAGCTATCCTAAGAGGTGTGAGGTGATGTCTCGCTGAGTTTTTTATTTACATTTCTCTGATGGTTAGTAATGTTGAACACCTTTTCATATACATGTTGGCCATTTGTGTGACTCTTTTTGGGTAGGCAACTTTAAACTTGACTATTGTTTCTGCTTCAAACTGTCAGTAGACCATAATGAATTGATTTTTATAAAACTTCAAACACCCTATGAGCCAAATAATATTTAAATTCAGTGTTTACATTTAATAAATTAAAAAGTTGTTAACCTAATTGACTTGTTTATCTTAATAGGCTAGATCATCTGTGTTATAAGTGATGGACCTTATCCTCACACTTGGACTACATCAGCCTTAAAGGGTTCATTCATAAATTTAGGGGCAATGTTATGCTTAAGAATCCTCAGAAAAACCTCCAGTGCAGAATCTTGTGTAATATTTTTAGGCCGTTAACATATGTGGGACCCTCCACTATCACATTTACATTCATGATAGCTCTCCCCACTCAGTTACCCATTTGTGCAGATAATCCTAGTGTTCCTTGTCATATCTCTTTTGTTTCTTGACCTCAGTTGTAGTAGACATTTGTGGAAACTCAGACTTATTTCTTGTTAAGAGCACATTACCCATTACTTCAAGTTATATGCCCTGCTTCTTTCCACTTTCTGCTCTTGGGCCTTCTGACACCAAGTGAACCTGATGTGCCTTCACGCAAATATAGCACGGAAGTATGAAGTTAATAAGATTGGGGTGAAATTTTGACCAATTAGAGACAGGAGTCAGTGGATCAATATTCTAGTCCCCAGTAGTCAAACTGTATTGGGATTTATCCTCTATCAATCTCAGAAGATTCTGATCAAGTAAGACACCTCACTGGCCAGATTGATCTTTTTAAAAACGTATTCTTACACTGGCTTTTTCTCATCACTTTCTTTCTCCTTTCACAATTATCTTTGGCATCAATTCTCAAAATACTTGTATTCAAAAACGTCTCTTTCTAGACCTTTGGGGTTACTCATATTAGATCAATTTATACAGAAGTGTTATTAGAAAGCAGAAACACAGAAATGAGTACAGATATTAGATCATTTGATGATAAGAGAGTAAAAGAAGCCCCAATTGATGAGAGTAATAATAATTCTTCTAACAGCATTCCAATACTTAGAGTTGACCTTTGGGTGGATTATGATGATATATAGATAGAAGAGGAAGTGACAGCAAACCTATTACTTGAATGCCAGAGAGGCAGTAATAATAAGGATTGTGAAGTTTGCTGTTTTTTGTAACCTACTTAGACATGATCACTAAAAATAAGAAAAACAGACTATTATCAGCCAGCTTTGAACACAAGGTGTGTTGAGCCTTATTTCCTCATCTGCTCCTGCAACAAAATGGCCATGTGCCAAAAGAAGGCCATGTTCCAAAAGCAGGTTCATGATTCACTAGTAATAATTTTGGAGCTGCAAAGGAGACTGAATATACAACAGATATCAGTTATTCTAGGATGTTTAGTTATTGGATAATTTAACAATGATTTTTTGAAACAAAAAATGTTACCATATTCCACTGTTGTAAGAGGAGGCTTGTACATGTTATTTGATTGAGTCTTGATCCAAGTCCAAATTGCAGTAGACCTATATTTTGGTTATTTTCCCCTAATATTTACATATTACAGGAATGGTTGTATTTAGCCTTGACAGAATCTACACATTGGTTTGTTGACCTGGGGGTAAAGGCTGTGATAGTAGGAAGGATCTAGAGGCCTAATTTATTTTATGAAGTTAGTGATGTCCTCATATTAAAGTGAGTTAAGAACAATTTAAAGTGAGATCATGTTAGGAATATATAAAATGTTAATATTATATACAGATAATATATGATCTGATTATATATTATATATAAATTTGGTATTATATAAATTGATCATGCATATGTGATTATATAATTTAATCATATATATTCCAAGTATTTTAATTCCAATTGGATTGTGTATATATATGTGATTGGAATAATAAGATTATATATAAATTATAATTGATTATATGCATAATCAAATTATATATAAAATCTGGAAAAACTCTTCTAGACACTGGCTTAGGCAAAGACTTCATGACCAAGAACCCAAAAGCAAATGCAACAAAAACAAAGATAAATAGATGGGACTTAAGCTAAAAAGCCTGGGCACAGCGAGATAAATAATCAGCAGAGTAAACAGGCAACCTACAGAGTGGGAGAAAATCTTCATATCTGACAGAGGACTAATATCCAGAATCTACAAGGAACTCAAACTAATCAATAACAACAAAACAAACAATTCCATCAGAAAGTGGGCGAAAGACATGAATAAACAGTTTTCAAAAGAAGAAATACAAATGGCCAACAAACATATAAAAGATGCTCAACATTACTAATTATCAGGGAAATGCAAATCAAAACCACAATGTGATATCACTTCACTCCTGCAAGAATGGCCATAATAAAAAAAAATGATAGATGTTGTCATGGATGTGGTGAAAAGGGAACACTTTTACACTGCTGATGAGAATGTAAACTAGTACAACCACTATGGAAAACAGTGTGGAGATTCCTTAAAGAACTAGAAGTAGATCCACCATTTGATCTAGCAATCCCACTCCTGGGTATCTATCCAGAGGAAAGGAAGTCATTATATGAAAAAGATACTTGCACACTCATGTTTATAGCAGCACAATTCGCCATTGCAAAAATATGGAGCCAGCCCAAATGCCCATCAATCAAGGAGTGGATAAAGACAATGTGGCGTATATATATCATGAAATAGGACTCAGCCATAAAAAGAAACAAAATAATAGCATTTGCAGCAACCTGGATGGAATTGGAGACCACTATTCTAAGTGAAGTAACTCAGGCATGGAAAAGCAAACATCGTATGTTCTCACTAATATGAGGGAGCTAAGCTATGAGAACGTGAAGACATAAGAATGATACAATGGGCTTTGGGGACTTGGAAGAAAGGGTTGGGGGGATGAGGGATAATATACTACACATGGATTCAGTGTACACTGCTTCGGTGATGGGTGCACCAAAATCTCAGAAATCACCAAAGAACTTAAACCAAACACCACCTGTTTCCCAAAAACCTATTCAAATAAAAAAAGGATGACATATGTATATATATCCTATTTTTTTTTTTAAAAAAAAGCCCATAGAAAGATACCTTTTTGTTTCCATATTATATGGTTCTTCTGAAGATGGATACCTACTTAATTAGACTATCCATACTCTAAGAATGTATCATTTGTGATAGCTAAGACAAAAATCTGTCTTGTATCCATTGAAAAAGTTAAGGATAGAGGTCTTTAATGGAAAGCCTCATTCTAGCAGCTTTGATTCTGTAGAGGACATTCTCTATTTTCTTCTGGGCAAGAAATCAGGAATTTATGGGGGATCATACAAGGCTTGTGTGTGAGCATCCACTTCCCAATCCTGTTTGAGAAATGAGTTGTCATGGCTTTGCCACATCTGTGATCTTAAGGCAATGATCAATTAAGAAATGTTCTGTCCTAATTTTATCACTTTTCTAGTTTGAGTGCTCAGGGAAGGCATGGATCTCAAATATCAGGACCCTAGAACGTCTTGGTTGCATAGGAATGGAACTGTTGAGAAATCATTAAAAGCCTTGCTTTAGTCTCTGCAGTTCTACTACCACTATGTCCAAAAACATATAAAACATGTCCTTCTTCACATAGTTGCAGGAGGAGAAGTGCTGAGCAAAGGGGGAAAAGACCCTTGTAAAAACATCAGATCTCATGAGAACTCACTCATTGTCATGAGAACAGCATGGGGGTAACAGCTCTTATGATTCAATTACCTCCCACCAGGTCCCTCTCACAAAATGTGGGGATTATGGGAACTACAATTCAAGATGAGATTTAGGTGGGGACACAGCCAAACCATATCAAGACATTTGGAAACAGTCATCATCCACACATGCAAGCACACAGCTGCCACTAAAGTATGCTTGTTATTGTTACTGCCAATTAAATATTTTATGACATTTTCATAATAATGAAAATGAAATCCTACAAGTTAGAACATCATTAAGAAATATTTAACAGGCCTTTAATGCAAGTATAAGATGTCAGTTTTTATGTGCTGAGGCAAGAGAATGAGTAATTACTTAATTCAAGCAGCCAAAAAGGTGGTAAGAAATAAAACTATGAATTGAGTTTTGTTGGATTGGCAGTTTGCCCACAGCTCCTTATTTGTCAAGAAGTTTGCATAAAGTCTCAGAAGCTTTTACACCATTTTCAATTAAGGCACAACATTCTGGTAGGCCATTTGACTCTTTCTAGGTAAAATAATAATGTTTTCTAGCATAAAATTATTAAATTTTGTCCTAAGAGGTAGAAAATCTGAAACCAGAGGCCCTTACATACACCCGGCATAGGAAAAACAGATGGGTGTCCCTACTGCTAAGAACTTTGTAGGATCAGTAGTGAGTTAGTGGCAAACATTTGTGCTCAGAGAAATATCAGGATGAGTTACTAGCAAAATATCACTTATCAATGATAAGGTAAGTGATCAAGCAACATTTGTACTTTCAGGTATGTCTTTATAGTGAGACATAACCCACTGAGGTTCAGAATACAAATTAGCTATCAATAAGCTTTACGGGGGGAGAACCCTTCAGTGACTTCTGTTTGTTACTGAAAACTCATGTCGTATGAAAACAGTTGTGATTTCTTTTCCTATGTGTTTGAACTATTGTGAGCCATAGTGAAGACTTGGAAAAGTGTGTAGAAATAAGTACCGAGTTTTAGCCAGGTCTGAAGCACTTGATGGTATTGCTAGATGAGCAAGAGGTTGCCTCTGCAAGCCAGTGCATATTATTTTGTTCACAGGAAACAGCTGTTAGCCAGCAATTCTTCTAAATCTTGATGCAGTATTGAATGAAAGTAAAAGTTAGAAACACATCTACTCAATATGTCTCGAAATATAATGTACAATAACTTG
This sequence comes from Homo sapiens, assembly GCF_000001405.40. Classification (NCBI taxonomy): domain Eukaryota; kingdom Metazoa; phylum Chordata; class Mammalia; order Primates; family Hominidae; genus Homo; species Homo sapiens. Next base: position 46,217,342 of record NC_000015.10, read on the forward strand.
TATAGTGTGAACCAGTTTGAACCAAATTTTCAGGCTGTCCAAAGGAAAAGCTACTCAATTTTTTTTTTTGCTTTTAATGAGATAAAACCTGCCCAAATAAAATTGTCACAATTTAAAAAAAAAGAAAAGAAACATTAGTTCATAACATCAAATATTTTTAAAAAGTTACATTTCTTCAAGTGACTTTTCAGTGATAATAGCTGAGAAAACTCAAGCTTATTACTCTAAGGTTGAAACTATGATATTAATTCAGTAAGATCAGAATTTCCCAAGTGAATTATTGGTAAGTTGTTGCTCTATTACCAAGACTTTTATACTTTATTTGGAAAGAAACTGACATTTTGACATATTTCAAAGCAGTATCCAAGTACTATTAGGGAATAAATAATTTCTTCCCAGAACTTCATGCAACCAATGGGTGATTGAAAACTCTATTCACTATTATCTCTCTTGTTGAAATAGCACACCTTCATAAGCACACCTTCGTGTTCAAATAGCACAGATTCAGAGTGACATGTCTATCAATAGTATCTAAACATGTAATGAAAGTGGGGAGATGTCTTAGTCCATTTTCTGTTGATATAACAGAATACCACAGAATGAGTAATTAATAAAATAGGTTTATTTGGTTCATGTGTCTGGAGGTTGGGAAGCCTAAGATTAAGTGTTAAATCTTGTAAGGACCCTCTTTCTGCATTATCCCATTGTAAAGGGCACATAAACATGTGAGGCAGAGAGAATTTGAGCTGAACTTTGCCGTTTATCAGAAGCCCACTTCGTGATAACTAATCCACTTCATCAATAACAGCATTTATCCCTTCATGAGGATAGACCTCTCATGGCCTAATCACATCTTAAATCTTTACCTCTTAATATAGTTACAATGACAATTACGTTCCCATCACATGAACTTTAGGGGACGTATTCAAACCATAGAGGGAGCATTCAGTGCCCCTATGTTAAAATTAAGGAACAGTTATAATATCTCCATGGCTGGCAAAGATAAAACAGCATTTATGTGTTCAAGAGAGTTTTCTTCAGCATGAACAGTACATATCAAGAAAGCCTTCCAGTGACTAATGGAATTAGGCTTTATGGAATCACATTATTTGCAAAGTGTAATTTACCTGGACCATAATTTGTTCAGCAAGATTCTGGAAGAGCAAAGCTCTTTATGTATGGAATGTATCTGATTCACTTGATGAATGAGAATTCTTCCTCTCAGTGGAGTTGAGGGCATGGTTCCACACAAAGAATGAACTTCAGGTAACTGAAACCCCAAGTCAATCATTGCTTTTCTAGATGGAGAGAGGACTGAGAAAAGTTCTGTGGGAAAACTCCTAATTGCATAAGACCGTCAGAGGGAAAAGTTTCACTATCCAGTTTAGACAGAGTCTGCTTTTCTCCCAGTAGATATGGAGGGCCCTACTGAGACCAGAACAATTTATCTCAAGCAGTGTTCTATACTGAGGATTGCCGTGCTCTGAACAAGCTGGGGGAAGCAGTTGATTCTGTACAAAACACAAAATTCTAAGGGCATGAGAAGACTGTTTAATTTTTGATATTTGGGGTAGGAACAGCTATTAGGACAGAGGAGTACAGAGTCATTGGACAACATTGGCAGATAATGGCAAGCTCAAATTGGCATCTCTATATGGAAGCTGTTGTTTTTATGTCTTACAGATAGTCTAGAATCCAAATCATGTCTGTGGTGAAAGACTACTTCATTGACTGACAACCAGTGACCGACACACCTCAAAAATTACCCAAGTAATTTTTTTGAGGAGGGGGCTGAGGGAAGAAAGATTAGTACGTGCATTTCTAGATTGAATGCATTCAGATGAAGGGGTAGCCAGTTTCTATATAATACCTTATGAGTAAAAATAAAATTCTAGTACCATTGTTAATGACTCACAAGGGGATCCACAATTGGAAAACCACTTAACAGAACATTGTTGAACATGTTGGGAATGCTGTGCCTTGATTGAGAGGGAAGATAAGGCAATGTAGACCTTTTCTACTGTCTGTGCACAGTGCCACTCAGATTCTTATGTGAGAACCCTGAGTACTCATTGACTGCTATTTTAGGATGGGCAACAGGTAGAGAGCTGTGGACATCTGCAAAACCCACAGAAGCAGAAGAATAAACTTCAAGTCCCTTATCTATTTTCTCTTTTAGTAGTCTTTACTAAGAAGATAAGTGACAGGTAAATGTATTTCTGGGATCTGTAAGTTATGAATGTAATTCTACTGAATTCCTCGTGTCTCTTCAGTAAGCATAAAACCTATGAGTGGAAGATTGCACCTTGTGTAATAAGCAGCCAGTTTTGATCAATTTTTGGACAAGTTATACAGAAAAACAGGCACACAAATGTCATATTAAAACCCTGCCTATTGAGAGGCTTGTGGAATGGAATTTTGATCCAAATTTGAATCCTTGTTAAAAATGCACAAGGCAAAGTTTTTAAAAAGCCTTTTGGAAGAGCCAAAAAAGGCCATTTTCAACTCCTTGGGAGGTTGTGTTCAGCTCTTATGTATTCATTAGTCCTCCTCTGGCTTGATTCCAAGCCTTTGGCATACATTATAAATCATAACTTGGAAAGACAGAACAGATAAGGGAAGAATATGGCTTCTGAAACAGAAGAGTCTGGAGAGATAAGAAGGTGAGAATACAGGAAAGCTGGCCAGATATGAGGAAGAGGGAACGCCCATGAGAAATTTATTCATTGATCTGGTGCTCATTGTTGTGAGGACATAATTACTTCTTCTGTTCTCTGCCTTACCCTTGCTTTTGGCAGGTAAAATATTCTCCTAGACTACGTACACACTGCTATGGAAGAGTACACTTTGGTGTCAGAGACCACATGAGCCATCCTATTTATTCCAGAGGGCTCAGGTAAAGATATGTCGGTGAATGCACGACTTTTACAGCAAGAATTAGTCCCCAAAGTGAACCTTTCATCTTGAGGGTGAAGAACCAAAGTTATTTGTAAGAAGACTATACATTTGAGTCTAGATTGCATGGTTGACAAAATTAAAGTAGTAACATATTTGCCTTTAAAAAATTAGGTAGGAATTATTGAAGCCATAATTGAGATGTAGAAATGGAGTTGAAACACTTACTGGGACCAAACTTAAACTTCCACCACAGCAGTACAAGCAGAAACCAGAGACATGAACTTCATTGACTGTGGCCTAAAGCATAATTATTAGCACTCAAGAAGAGACTGAAGATAGAGGTTTCTTATCCTAAGAGGAGAATCTTAAGAAAGGTTGAGGCCTGAGGGAGAAAGATGGAAAATTACAGAAGGGAAGTTAGCACTGGGGACAGAGAAAGGGAAAATAATGCTCATGTGAGACACTATCAGGTTTAGAGTAAGCCTGGATTCTTACCCCCAAATCAGGAAGATGCTAAATGTCACATCTAGATTACAATTTAAAACATTTAAAAATTTTGCTTCTAAATTCTTCCCTTTTGGGAAAGTTAAAAGTTGGTAAACTGAGGTAGACCAAGAGTAAATGAGGAGGCTTTACATTATTAGCAACCCAATCAGCAGGGTAAGATGAAATATCTTTGCCAGTCAGTGTATAGTTAGCCCTCTGTTTCTGTGGGCTGTGCATCGGTGGATTCAACCAAACATAGATCAAAAATATTCACAAAAAATCTCAATAAAAATAGCGATAAAACAAAAAATAATGCAGATAAAAACCATACAGTGGTTACATAACACTTACATCGTATTAGGTATTATAAATGTAGAGATTATTTAAAGTATGTGGGAGGATGTGTGTAGGTTACATGCAAATACTCCATTTTACATGAGGGATTTGAGCATCTTCAGATTTTGGTATCCCTGTGGAGTTCTGGACCCAATTTCTTGGAGATACTGGGGGACGACTATATTCATAGTGACTGAGCATGGTTTGTTCTAAGAATACAAAGATAGTTTTATCATACCATCTGTCACCAAGAAGATAAGGAAAGCTCTGCAGAGATACTGTTTGATCACATTTAGTATCTAGTTTCCATCAAGGTAATAAGCATGGACTGGACCTCATGTTATAGGACCTACCCAGAATACCTTCCACATGGTTACTGGTATGAGTAAATTGAACTTGGGGTAAATCTGCATAAATTAGTTAATGCAGAATATTCTTTGAGTTAGGGATAGGAGTCTCTTCTCTGTATTCCCATAACAGGGCTATTGCACTTGGCTTACTTTGGGGATCTCAGACCCTTAAGAAAACTGATTGTGCTGGACCACAGTAATGACTCAGACAGGAGTCAAAATAGGTAACCTAGCATTTGAGTTGCCCTAAGTGTTTGAATTTGTTTGTGCTGTTTTAAAGCTTCCTTAACACACTCATGGGTGGCTCTACCCCATTCACTTCTAGCACTGCTCCCGCAGCTCCCTCTGTCCTGTCATAGAAAAGTGAGGACAAAATGCTGTGAGGAAAAGAACCTCTATTTCAAATCTAAAAGTTTATTATAGGAAACAAAGTTATACTTAACATTACCTAACAATGGCCCTGAAAGACTAAGATGAAGAATATTGTTCTAAGTGATAATTATTGCTTTTAAATTTTAACTGTTCGACTTACTCTTCTTCACCTGTTATACTTCAGAGTTGTGTCTGTCAGTCCCTATTTTTAGTATCAGAACCCCTGAATAGAGAGAGGCAAACTATGTATTTCATGCTCAAGTTTCAGGAGAAAATAAATATGTTTTTGACAATGTTTTGTGATCAGGTCAGCAAGAACTTATTTTCTGAAAGAAAAAGCTCAGGAAGGCCTATATAGAAAAGTCATAAAGAAGCCTGTACCATGTTTATCAGTAACTTGGAGCCTTTTTCTTAGACACATAAAGAGTCAATGGGTCCCATTCTTAACTTCTTTCAATCAGTTTCTTTTCCTTTTTTTTTTTTTGTAAGAGGGGGCTCAACCTCATTAATTTTCATGAAATAGAATCTAGAATGACTCTCAGGGCAACTGTAGATATTGTTACTCACTTGAAACAATAACCACAAAAGCTATTATTGGAGTCTTGAAAGCTGTGGATCCTTTTCCCAGAAGGTGCATATGCACAGGCTTGTGTTAACGTACACATCTACTATGATTTATAGGATGCTCTGAAATTCATCTATTTGAGATCAGGATAAGAAATCTGCTCCCTGGAGATCTGTCCGTAGTAGTGTGCTAAGAGACAGATAGTTATAACTAGTGAAGAACCACTGATCTCTGACACGTTAGTGACAGGAGGTACCTTTCAGGGCAAATGGATGGAAATACCTGTAAGGGCAAATGGAAGGAAAAGGAGGTAGCCAAGGCCAGAGGAGACAAGACTGAATCCAAGCCCACACTGTTTCCATGTCCTAGTGTCTAAAGGAAAGGCTCAGGAAATTCCCTTTAAAGAAGGCAATTCAGGGCTAAAAATGTCCATTGATTCCCACTTTAGTATAACTTCATACCACATTAAGCTACCTACAAATTTCCAGTTTTGTAAGAAAATTCCAGGAGGAATAATGAACGCCCTTTATTAAAAAGCAGTTTCAGCTACCGTGGGCTAAGCATCTTCCCTAGAAAATAGAGCCAATGAATCAATTTTTCCATAGTCACACAGACCAGCTTATAGGAGGAGCTTGAACTCCTTGAGGAACTGCCAAGGACACATTTATCTCTCAACAAAATTAGATGTTTGAGAATGCTGCTCCTTCCTTGGGCTTAGACTTTAAGGAGGCTTTAAAATCACCCACCTTTTTCCTCTCTTGGTGAGTTCAGAGCAGCTGGCACTTCTAGACCATCTGTCTTTTCTTATTAGGATCTCTTCACACAAGTGACTCAATAGGTGCTATTCCTTAGTTATTTCCTTGGCATCAGGTTCTTGGTTCCTAAGGAGACATTTTACTCTGTCCCTTTTTCTTTCTTTTTTTTTGATGTTAATTTTTTTTACTATACTTTAAGTTCTGGGATATATGTGCAGAACATGCAGGTTTGTTACATAGGTATACATGTGCCATGGTGGTTTGCTGCACTCGTCAACCCGTCATCTACATTAGGTATTTCTCCTAATGCTATCCCTCCCCTAGCCCTCCACCCGCCGACAGGTCCCGGTGTGTGATGTTCCCCTCCCTGTGCCCATGTCTTCTGGTTGTTCAGTTCCCACTTATGAGTGAGAACATGTGGTGTTTGGTTTTCTCTTCCTGTGTTAGTTTGTTGAGAACGATGGTTTCCAGCTTCATCCATGTCCCTGTCCCTTTTTCTTTAACAAGTCTGTCAACTCGCTGGCTTACTCTCAAGGCAGCCTGTTTGCCTCCAGCACATGAGGTCAACCTGATCTCTGGGCAGCACTCTTTTACATGAGCTTTCACTCCCTTCACTGGTTTTGGGCCAGGCAAGGCTCATCTTCAGTTTTTCCTCTGCTTCACCTGTCTTCTCATTTAACATTCCATGCCTGGCTCTTTCATGGTGAAGCTGTTTTACACTTTCCTCCCGTTTTCCCCTCTCTTTAAGTTCTGGCTGCCTCTCTTTTGCCACCCTCTAACAAAGTAGCTTCTTCACAATACTTTTATTACTTTACCAAGGACCCTTTTCTATCTTTTTTGATGTCCTTTCCTATGTTTTCTTATCATTTCCCTCATACTCTTCCCTGATCATCAACTAAATCAACACGTTTCATTTTTTTTTTCTCCCAGCACACAGACATTCTCTCCCACAACTTTGAACACCATTCTCTGCAACTTGTCTCCCAGCTGGTTTCTTGGTCTTTAATACAAAATACTAAAGCCAGCCTGGACTGCAACTTCTCTCCTTGGTTATGAAAATCTGTGCTTTTGTGATTTGTAGCCCCCACAAAAAGTTACTCCCTACACAGATTCTCATTTGGGTGGTCTAGGGTGGATCCCAGGCATACGTATTTTTTTGTAGCTCTCTAGGTAATTTTGATTTGCAGCCAAGGTTGAGAACCACTACCTCCATATCTGTTTTGCATATGAATCAAGCATGCACATGTTATTTGCATCCAGACAACATTAATAAACTCCACAGAAAGATCAGATTGCAGTGAGCTGCCTCTGCAGTTAGGTTTTAGATTGGTCCTTGAATCAAATATGAACTATTTCTGTCCTTTATCAGTTTCTTAAAAGTTATTGACCTCTCTCATCATGTGGCCAGGATGTACTTCTCAAAATAATTGACTCCACAGCTGAAGAAAAGTTTTCTGATTCTTCCAGGCTGATGATACCTGCTCCATTTTCCTTGTTCACCATCATGATGGTCATGTCTTTGCCTTAAATTGAAATGGAAATGTACCTCTTTTAATCTAAGCCTATTTATTTCATGTTGGCCCTCCTGTGCACTTGAAAAAGCCAATAAGCTTCTCTTTCATAAATTGGGGGAACTATTGAATATGTGAATCAAGTCACATCTTAGCCTTCTGTTCTCTGGTTAAAAAGTCCCCAATTAATTAATAGAACAAAAGAATACCTAAACTGGGAGGAACTTTAGGGATCTTCTAGTCTAGTATTTTCAAACTTTATTTTTAAGCAGTGGAATCATGTTATTAAATGCCATCTTAAAATTGACACAGGCAGAGCTGCTTTGGGGGAAGTGTTCTGGGAGACTCTCTGTGTGCTGTCGTAATTGAAGCTCCTAAAAAGGAACCTTGGTATTTTGCAAAATGGAGTTCACAAATCTATTTTGTGTTCCAGAATTTCAATTTTATAAACAAGAAAGCTGAAGTTAAGGTGCTTTATGTGGATTTAAAATTTTCTAGTAATAGTAGACTTAGTACCTTGGAGTAACACTATTAAAAAGGCTTAATGGGTAGCCACAGGGAAGTTTGTTTTAAGCTTTGGTTCAATAACAACCAAGTCTTCGCTTTACTGATGATAAGCCCAGACATAGATTGTATTCCCACTAATGAAAAAGTACCAAGGACAGGAGAGTGGCTAATATTAGGGAATATAAATAAAGCTCAAATGCAAAGAATGATTGAACTTCTGTTCCAAAGCAGCCCCAAGAGCCTCCCAAACTCTTCATGATGTCCTCTTGGTGAAGCAGCTACATGCTCCTGAAGGATATCACCCTATTCCTGGAGGCTGAATGGTGGCTGGAAGACCGTTAATTTTTCTCTAGCCAGACTTACAGCATTGAAGGTCTCTCTGTATGGTCTCTATACCATAAGTCAGTCTCTCTGACTTACAGCATTGAAGGTAAAAATTGAACTATCAAGACCCCCCTTCCAGACTCGGGATTTTGACTTTTAGTGAGCAAGAGGACAATAAGATTCCATTGATAAGAAAGTAAAGAGCCTGCACATGAAAACTGCGTTCCTAAATACTTGAATTATTTCTTTCCCTCTCTTCTCTTACTACATTTCTTTTAAGGGAGGCAACTTTTAAATATTCTGATTTGTTTTCTTTGTGTTTCTTTTCCTACATTTCTTCTCCAAGAATGTCCTTCAGTTCATAAAGGATGAACAAGCCTAGAACTAGCAGAACTAGGTAATATGACGGGGTAACATTCAGCCCCAGGAAAATGTATTCTGTGGTCAGAACCAGACCAAGACATAAGAGTATCCTAAAAAATGTAGTAATTTGGAATTTTATCAAGCAAATCTTCTTTGCAAATTTGAACAGCATTTATTAAGTGAAAAGGCCATGCACTTATGAGGAAACAGAGGAAAAGGATGGTGCTCCTGGTTGATCTCAGTCTTTCTCCTCTCTATCATCTTCAGCAATTCTGCTCCAAATAGGCACAGACCATGCAGTGAAATAGCCACTTGATGGATAGGTGGACCTGCCAGTCCCATCCCCTTGATGGCAAATTACTGGTCATCTGTCATCTGTCGTTCCTTGGGCCTACCCTTTGTTTGAGGTTGGGGGGCAGTGAAGTATTTACTCTGCCCCTCATCCTAAGCAATTTATCAAAATGTTCCTTACAAAGACAAGTAGAGATGTGTTAATGCCTCCTATGAATTGGCCATGTCTTCCTAATGAAGCCCCTTAATCCACTGCTTGTTAGGTACAATATGCATCATAGGAGCATACTTAGAATGTTCCCTGGAGCCACAGATTTATGGTTCTCTGTCTCTAATCCCATGGGATTAAGATTTCTCACCTGCCTGTCTTTGAGCTTCTGGTATCAGTCCAGCTTCACAGCCTTTCTCTCTTAGGAGGATTTCCTCTAGCATAGCTCTTTCTAGATGCCAGGTAATGTCCTAAGCTCTTTACACTTTTTATACCATTCATTCCCTTATAACAGTGTTGCAATATAGCTAAATTTGTTATCACCACTTTATAGATAAGGAAACTGAAACTTCCAGAACATAAGTAGTCTTTCTGAGGTGAGATGGCAGTGCTAGTGGAAATGTTATTTGAATTAAGACAGATGAACTTTAGAGTTTACAAGTCCGTCCACTTCTCTGAGCTGACTTCCTATAGTAGTTTCTAGAAACCCTGCTTATTTCCATCTGAAACTTTTCCATAAAATTTCCTGATGATCTTTCCAGTTGCCTTTTTTCTAATAAACAATATCTTTTTCCCGTAATCCTGATTCTCCGTATGCTTTATAAAAATTTATATTCAACTATACCCACACTGTGCATTATAGGAGAGAAATAAGTTGAGCCCCTGGAAATTTCCTTCTATTCTTGTGCCTCATCATTTTCCTCATGTGTTATATCTGTATATATATGTATACATGAATGTGTGTGTATGTGTATACATATGTATATGTATGTGTGTGTGTATATTTATGAGTGGACAATATTATGTTTGCAACTATTAAACTTCAGCTTTTTCAAAAATATTTTCCCCAATTTTTTCAAGATTAAAGTGTATTAAGTCTTTTTATACCTGAGTAATTCTTAATTTAAGGACATTAGCAATTTGATGAATATATTTTTCAAAGTCTTTACCAAGTCATTGATAAAGACATAGAATCATTTTAATCTTGGTAGACCACCTGTGACACTTCCTCTAAGATTAGTCTTAAGCTTTTAGGTATTTTGGAGGGAGATCAACTATTTCACTACCTAACAGTCCTGGAATATTCCAAGCCTTCCTATGATATTGTCACAAGGGGCTAAAATTTAACAGAAAGCTTGTATAACTTGTATATTTTTTATGAGGTCTCAAAGTTTCCTAAAAATGGAAACTCAATTGTTAGTGGTATGATTTAATTTTCACACTGCCAAATGACTGCCACTTATGATCTTTGAATGTTTTGGGGATAGATCATTGTGTGCTGAATTGTATTAGTGTTTTTCCATGTTTTAATATTAAATTGACCATTTCTTAACTCTATGGGTTAACTTCCCTAGAAATACTTCTAAGATTTCTACAGGGCCTATAGTTTTCGCTTAGTATCTAAGGGTACATGATGTCAGATTCAGTTGATTTAAATACATTACATTTGGGAAGTTTTTTTAGTAAATATATATGTACAGAAATGTGTGTATATACACACACACATACATATGCATATAATATACATTTTGGCTGGCATCATTCCTCCCATCAAAACTTAGGCATCTCATAAACTCAATAGTAAACAAAGAAATAGCTTGATTAAATAATGGGCAAAGGACATGATTAGAAATTCTTGCAAAGACATACAAATGGCCAACAGGTATATGAAAAGGTGCTCAACATCTCTAATCATCAGTGATGTGAAAATCAAAACCACAATGAGATATTGCCTCACACTTGTTAGGATGGCTATTATCAAATAGATGAGACCTAACAAGTATTGGCAGAGGTGAGGAGAAGATGGGAACCCTGTGCAGTACACTATTATGCACTGCATTAGCCATTATGGAAAACAGTATGGAGGCTCCTAAAAAAAATAAGACTACTGTATAGTCCAGCAACCCTGCTTCTGAGTATTTATACAATGGAAATGATATTAGCATCTCAGAGATATCCTGTTTCTCTATTTTCCTTATAGCATTATTCACAATAGCCAAGAAATGGAAATAACCTAAGTGTCCATAGATGGATGAATGGATAGGGAAAGTGTGATACACACACATACACATGAATATTATTCAGCCCTAAAAAGAAGTAAATCTTGCCATTTGCAACAACATGAATGGACCTGAAGGATATTAGGCTAAGTGAAACAAGCCAGACACAGAAAGACAAATAGTGTATGATCTCATTCACATGCAGAATCTAAAAAAACTTACAGAAACAGAATAGAATGATAGCTGTCAGGAAGTAGGGGTGGGAGAATAGGGGAGATATTGCTCAAAGGGTATAAATTTTCAGTTATATAATGAATGAGTTCTGGAGATCTAATGTACAGCATGGTGACTATAGTGAATAATACTGTACGTATACTTAAAATTTGCCAAGACAGTAGATCTTAAGTGTCTTTACCAACCCCTCAACACACACACAGACATACACGATGATAACCAAGGGTTGTGACGGATGTGTTAATGTTAATGATTGGAATAATCATTTCACAGCGTGTATGTATATATCAAATCATGTTGCATACTTTGTGTATATACAATATGTATTGGTCAATTATTCCTCATAAAGCTAAAAAACATAATAGGCATATTAACTAACAATTTGTATCCGAAGGACAAGGACTGGGAGGGTAGAAATAAAATTGTCAATCTTTGCAGATTGGGCTGGTTACCTTCCATTTTCCCCTTTGCATCCTCATTCCACCCACTCTGTTTTACTCTGTGTTTTAGAAGACTGGTCTGAATGAATTGTATCAATGTGTTTATTTTCTGGCACTTATTTGAATTTAGCCAATATGACACACCAGTATGATATTAGAGGGTTAGTGGGGAGAGAAGGTAGGGGTATGTGTTTTCCTGGCTTCCTCCCTTTGTCCCTCTAACAAAGGCCATGAATCCTGCCAGGTGGCCCTCCCCATATTTATTTTTTGAAATTTATGTAATTAGTCCCCTTCTTTGCCCCTTCAGGTTTAGTGACCAGTAGTACAATTTCTGTTCCCAAATCAACCACCTACCCAGGTCCCTAGATTACTAACTCTGGTTTTTGTATCATGAATTTTTGCTTTTCTTAAGCCTCGCCCCACTTTGTAAACTTTTCAAAAGTTCTCCTCAATTACCCAGTCTTAGGGTGCCATTTAGTTCCTGCTGAGACCTTGATTAACACACAAATGACATGATTATATACTTAGAAAGTCCAAAAGAAGCTACCAATGAGAGAACAAAGCAAGATTGTTTTCAAATGTTTGTTATGCAAAAATAAGTTACATTTCTATACCAAAAACAAAAATAGAAAATGAGAATCTTTAAAATATATCATTTGAAAAAAGCACCAACTCATTTAATGTACTCAGAATAAACCTAAAAGTAACCTCTAAGATTTTATGAAAAAAAACTATACGTCTTTGACATTTTAGAAAATCTAAATATGAGGTATATTATGTCCATGGATTGGCAAAGCACAATGTAGTGGTTTTAAAATGTGTACATTTTTAAAACTCCTCCCTCCAAATGCCATCCCAATAGATGCCCCAATATGTATTTTTGTATAACTTGACTTATTGTAAAATTTATATGTAAATATGAATATTTGCTTATGCTCTTGAATAAGAAGAGATGAGAGGACTGACCCTAACTGATAGGGAAGTTTAATATTGGTGCAGTGAGAGATAGATCAATGGAATAAAACAGATATCACAAAAGGAGACTTAATTATAGAGAGGTGGTTGATTTGGGAACAGAAGCGATACTACTGGTCAGAAGGGAGATAGTGAGTTTTTAACAAATGGCATAGGGTACCTTTATAGTCCATTCAGGAGCACAACCAGAAAACAACAACAAAAAATTGGATCCACTCTTAGTTTTGGTTTACGCAAAAGCAGACCTGGAGACAAGGACTTGGGTGCAAGTTATTTGAGAGATGAATCTGAAGAAGCAGAGTCAGAGGTTGGGAAAGTAGGACAGGGAACAGAGGAAAGCAAATGATGGGTGTGTTTATGAGTCATTTGCTTCTAAAAGCAATGGGGACTCAATCCTTCTGATAAGCCCCCGAGACACTTTATAGAACACATGTCAAAATGTAAAGGATAAAGAAGCTGAGATATTAATTGGCCAACTCCTATCCTTCATTAGCTAAGTGTTATTCCCAGGGGTAGACTCGGGTTATTGATTGCTCGAAACAAACTACCCTAAGATTTAGCAGCATGAAATAAACAGCTCTCTTTATTATACTCACAGGCTCTATCAGTAGGAATTTGGACAGGGCATAGTGGGGATAGCTTGTCTCTGCTTCACAGTGACTGGAGACTTAACTAAGAGGACTCAAATGACTGAGGGTGACTCGAAAAAAGGGGTCAGAATCACCTGGAGGCTTCTTTCATCATATTTGCCACTTGATTGAGGGCAAACCAGAGGTTGGAGTCAGTGGAAACTAGCAACCAGAACACCCATTTCTCATCTTTCCATATGGGTTCCTATCCTGGAAGTCTGATCTCAAGCAAAAAGGTGGAATCTGCATAGGCATTGCTAACCTAGCCTCAGAAGTCATGCATTGTCACTTCTACTTCAAATTTGTCATCAAAGCCAGCCCAGACACAAGGGACAAGGGAACAGACTCTACGTCTTGATGATAGGAGTATTAAAGAATTTGTGATCATCTTTAGAACCACATCAGGTCATTCATGACCTCTCTGAAATTTCTGTCCTGCTTGTGTGCACAGGCTGAATATGTTTCCACAGTCGGAGAAAAATCTCAGACATAGAGATGCAGACACTTGAGGTATGCCATTGTTGGTGTATACAGAAATTGTTCAATAAAGCTTCATGGGACCTTTTGGGTAGGAAAAACGGGTATGAGCAGGGCTCCTATAGCACTGCAATGCATCATTTTAATACTCAGTTCCCTTTGTGCCTCACTTTAAATCCACTATGTTCTATCTTTGATTCTTCAAGGTGTTGATTTTTTACAATCTTAAAAAACAAAAACATCCCCAGGAATGCAGTGAGACAATATATGGTTACTTTCATGGAGTCAATTATGAGAATGAAATTAATATTCAGTATCTCCTCTCCCTTATTCTCATCTAATATTTCTGCTTTTGCACATTGGTTGTCCAATAGAGAGGAAGAGATCTTCATCCCTTCAGGGTCTGACCTCTAGTTACCTTGCCCTTGTCAATCTCATTTTTTACAGTTTCTCATTTACTACTGTCACCAGGCATGTAAGAACCAAGAGATACACCAGAGAATCCTCAGAGTTTTTGACATATTTCTCTTTGCGTCTAACATAAAGTAGAAATCCTTGCTGCTTATATTTACTTCATATTTACTGGCTAGGTTACTATATCCAGTATAATAACTTTTTCTTTTACCTGTTGGTTCAATGACAGAAGAAGTCCACAACAATCAGATGGCAGTCATGGTTTTAAGTTTATTTGAATACTTACTATAACTCTGATAGAAATGTTACACCTGCGGGAACCAGGGCCTCTGCAGGTTATATGTAAACTTTTTGATACTCCGTCCCGATGCATATTAAAAAGAACACATTGAGGAAATTAATTGCTACCAGAAACCGAAGGCTGTGTTTATCTGCTCTAGTAAAGATACTATCTTTAGCACAGCATGTATGATTGGGGTTACCATTTGTTAAGTTTACTGTAGTCTATCACCATCTGCCATATCCATCTGTTTTTTGCAGGGCCATACTAGTGAATTAAACGGGGATATATGTTGAAGACTATCATCCCTACCTCCTTTAAGTCTTCAAGGGTTGCACTATTTTGTGAAATCTAGCTGGGTTATGATATTGCTTACAACTGAGTCTTGACTAGGGTAATGTAGTTTCAATTGCTTCAGTTTGGCCTTTTCTATTAAAAGGCTCTTACTTCACAGGTTGGAAAATAAGTTGAGGGTTCTATTAGCTCCTAAATATATTTATCTCATCCAGGCACTGGGGAAGTGAACAAAGAGTGGTCTGCAGACCAGTTGGACCCAGTGTGTGGTAGATTTATATATATTTGGTCCCGGACTCCATTGATCACATTCTCCATTTGGCCCCTGTCTAATTACAGAGAACGCTGGCATTTTTGGACTCTGGTATTGCTGTCACCTCAAACCCTGTATTCAATAGCTCTCAAAAGACCTGTACCTTCGTGTTTTTTCCAGTGTTACCTGTGTAAATGCATGTAAGTCCTTTTGGGTAAGGACTGGGGAAATATTTTGTACATACTACTGTGGGGATGCAGGGTCCTTCCTTAAGAGTGTCTGACCTCTGCTTCAATTGATGGACTCTGTGTCTAAGAACTGGCTCAAGTCCGGAAACAGCTTGTGATTTTTAGATTGCATCACTTGATATCAGCCTTCTGTTTTCCATCTCAAAGCATTTTAAAAAATTACATAAGTCAAGCAACATTCTAATTGTTTTCCATCGGTTTCACTCCTGTGAATACCATGGTATTTTAGCCATAGTGAAGATCCCAATGGGTTAGGTGCCATGGTTGCCATTCTCTTTTGCTGTCCATTAACATAATCATCTCCACCTTTCCTCTGACTGTTACGTAGCATAATTTGGACTCTGCTGTTCTGGAATTCTATCATCCATATTGACACTAGGGAGCCTAGTTTGTAATGGTATCCTCCATCATTCATTCAAGCCTACAGGGGACAGACTGTGCCTCCCCGACTTGTGCATTTTTTTATTGCTTTAATAAATTCTAGTGTCCTCTGCTCCCTCCCAGGACACATAGTGAACTGGTGATTCTCTGATTTTATATAACAAATCCATTTTAGTAAGGATACCTCCTCTCTGAGTTTTCTAACTCCTTCTTTTGTATACTGACAAGGAAATTTCAGGAGCTACACTTTATTTACTATAGGCTAACAGTTCTCAAAACTATTTGGTCTTGAGACCCATTTACACTTTTACAATGTCTGAGAACTGTGAATAGTTTTTGCCTATGTGGGTTATGCCTACCAATATTTACCATATTGGAAATTAAACGAAAATATTAAAATACATTTGTCTTAATTCATTTTAAAATGACAAAATAAGTCAATTACAGGTAAACATATCTAATATATTTTTATAAATTAGAAAAATTATTTTACCTTACGTTCTGGGATACATGTGCAGAATGTGCAGGTTTGTTACATAGGTATACATGTGCCATGGTGGTTTGCTGCACCTGTTAACCTGTCACCTAGGTTTTAAGCCCCACATGCATTAGCTATTTGTCCTGATGCTCTTCCTTCCCCTCATCACCCCCTGACCATATTAGAAATTAAACTGAGAAATTTTACTGAGAAATTAAACTGAGAAACTTTATCATATTAGAAATTAAACTGAGAAATGTTAAAATATATTTGTGTTAATTCATTTTAAAGTAACAAAATAATTACAGCTTAATATATCTAATATATTTTTACGAATTTTTTAAAGTATAAAATAGAAGTGAGAACAGTGGCATTCATTTACATTTTGCATGTCTTTTGAAACTCAACAGAAGATATCTAGATTTTTCTGTTTTTGGATTCAGTCTGTACTTAAATGCTGTTTTGGCTGACATATATGTAGAAAATGAAGCTTCACAAAATATGTAGTTGGAAAAGGGAAGAATACTGTAATAGCCTTTTCAGATAGTTGTGAATATTCTTCAATACTACACAAAAACTTGGCAAGTAGTAGTTTCTTAAAGTACAGCTTTGATATGGAATCTGAAATAATTTCCATGAACTTTTCATTTTCTGCTGGATTAAAATTCACTGGCCTATCTTGCACCTTAAATAAATTCTTTAGCTATGCATGGTCTTGTAACATCATACACTGATCATTTGGAAAATATTAGCTCACTGAGTTATACAGACCTTCGAAATGTTGATGTATTCCATTCTACAATATTTTAAAAGTCACTTTAATAAAATCACCAGTCTCATTAAAAAGTCTTCAAGTACTGGGAAGTGGGTCAAATTCAAGGTGTAACACAGAAACTTGCCACAGTTCTAATTTTTACTTGAAGCCTCCAATTTCATCATTGGTAACAATTTATCAGTTGTTTTCTTTGACTTGACAGGCTTATTCGCTCATTTTTGGGAAAATGACTGCCAAATAACCAAGTCTGAATAACCACTATATGCCTGTCAGTTGTTATTTCAAGGCAAAGTGTTGTTCCATTTAAAGGGGCTTATTCAGCCCCTTTATGGAAATAATTTTGAAATAATTTCAGAAGTGCTTTCCCTTGATATAACTCTCATACTTTGGTATGCAGTAAAAGCTCTATGCATACTTCTTATTTTGTCACATTGAATATTAAAAAGACATGTTCCCAAGGATCGATTTTAAAAATTAATAATGATTTTGACTGCTTCATCAAGTAAAACCCTAGAAAAACTGACTTTAAATATTGGCAATGAAGAATATTAGTACAGTGTGGTGCCACTGCTTTTTTTGCGAAGGCACCAGAAATTTAATACACCATTGCTTTGGTACTCTCAGTGGAAATGTCAACCAAGCACAGAATAGGCAAAGAACATCTTAGGTTGAAAATCATTTGACCTTGTGGACTCCCAGAAAGCTTTGTAAAATCTGTAGAGATTTGTAGACCACACTTTGAGAGCTACTGACGTGGAAGCATTGTTTCCAAGTGGCAAGGTGCCATTCTAGCAGTGTATCTGGACTGGCTCCAGGAACCTAGATATAATCAATAAGGTGAGACATTGAATTAACTGTATCATTGAATTTTATTTAATTGTTTGCATTGAGGAGAGCAAACTCATCTTGTGAATCATCAGCTTTCTGTGGTTTTCAAGTTACGGAATCTGCTCTTCTCTAGCAAGGAAGAGGTGTCTTCTTCTGCTGGCCCATAGCGCTCAGAGCAATCTGGGAGCTCAGATATCTCCCTCCGAGACTTGCCTTATCAGGACTCTATTTTTGACATAGAAGACTTGCAATGGCTATTAATTCAGCTTCTTCTTAACTCCTACCATCCTTACGATCAAATATGAATCCTGTTTTGAGCATATTCTGCCTTCTGGCTGCAGGAGATAAGGGTCTCTTTAAAGATACAATAGAGGCCTTCTGCTTTCGTAGCAGGCCCTAAGCTAATATTTGGGTGACATGAGCCTGTTATTTTTTCATCCTTCCAATATAGTTGAAAAAACCCAGCCAACCTCACTATCCTCAGAGATACACACACACACACACACACGTGTGTGTGTGTGTAAATTGTAGAACTTTTGTAGACTGCATATATATATTTTATATATATAGTGTATTTATATATATGGAAATATGTATATGTCAGTGTTTCCTCTTTTACCTGTGCTTCCTCCCAGTCCACATAGGTGAGATTCTCAGTAAAGTGATACTGAAGAATAAAAGTGTTCATTACTATCCCATTTATTACAGCATTGGAAACCCTTTGCCATATGACTGGTAAGTAACCTAGTTATAGTATCTCAACCTGAAGGTTTGCTTTCTAGAACATTTTGGGTTACTGCAATAACTGAAATTGAACCAAGGATTCAAATAAAAGTATTTATTTGGGAGGTGATCTCAGGAAGCAAGTCAGTGAGTGAGGAAATCAATTAGAGGGAAAAATAATAAAATGTATGTTAATAAGTTGGCTATCAACTTATTAACAAGGGCTAATGTGGGGAACAAAGGCTCAAGTCTACTGTGAATCTCAGAGACACTACAAAGAGTACCTTACAATTGTCCCATTCAGGGGGTGAAGAAATGCATGTTAAAAGTTAGTAATCATTGTGGTGAAGGAGGTCATCACTGTGGGGAAGTTCATACATATGAAGAAGTTGGGATGCTTTTCTTTCTTAGGCTGAAGGTCACTCTTGGGATTTTGGTCCTTTTTCAGACAGTTCTTTGTATGGGCCAAGCCTGCTTCAGTAGCCACAGAATACCCTCAATCAGATGCCTAAGGTAGAAAACCAAATGTAGAACTCTTCTTCCCTAAAGTTCTGGGAGAGCTCTGGGAGAGAGTTGGGAGGGCCGAAGGAGCATGGATGGGGCTCTGAAAATATATATCACAGATCTCTACTTCACATCCACATGGAAACCAAATTCAGGAAGATAAAAGGAAAAATTATAATATGTTTAGAAGAAAACCTTGCAACTGATGGACCTTTTAGTAGAGAAAGATTTCTTTAAATAGATACAAAAAGCACAGAACATAAAGGAAAATAGCCAATGATTTCTCTTTCCTAAAAGATACCATAAAGAGAGTGAATTAAAAGTGCTACAAACTTGGAGGAGATATTTGCAATACATGTAAACAACAAAGGATTAGTGTGTAGTATATCTAGATACTTCTGTGAATCAAAAAAGAAAAAGAAAAAAAGGAAAATAAAACCCAGTAGAAAAATGAAAAATAGAGAAAATTGAACTATTAGAATGTATGAGGTGCTGGCAAGAATGTGGAGCCACAGAAACTCCTGTTCACTTTTGATGAGGGTATAAATTGTAACACTTCTGCAGAATGCGGATTGGCATTTCATAGTAAAGTTGAACATGCTTATTTCCTATGATCTGTCAGTACCACTTAACACTATATACCTAAGGAAACTTTTGCACACCAGGATATCCACGAATTTTTAAAGGATGTACACTATTTTTTAAAGAATATAGCCTTTAAAAATATAAAACTGTAAACTAACTGACATAACAAGGATGTTGAGTCTTGGTTCTCTTTCTTACTATTTGAGTGAACAGGTACTCAACCTCACTAAACCTCAGTTCCCTCATCAGTAAAATAAAAATAACGTAATTCTTAACTCACAGGCTTATTATGAAAATTAAATAATACATGTAATATCCTTATTAATGTGCTTTCTGGTTATTGGCTCAATAATTTAATAAAATGAAAGATTCTTATGGAATTCCAGAAAGGACCATTTAAAGAAAAAAGTGATTCTTACTCCTTTGAGATTTTGCGAACTTGTTGAATAGCATTTTAATTTTCTTTCTTTCTACTCACCTGGCCTTAGTAATAGTACCTACCCCATGAGGTTGTCAAGAGAATTAAGTGAGATAAGGTACGTAATGTACTTAAAGCTTCTGTGCCTGATGGTAGTCATGCAACATGTGCAGCCACTGTTATTATTTTTCTATTGTGCAGGACTATTTTCTATGTTTCTCAAATCTATGAGGGTTACCAAAAAAGTGGGCAAAGGAGATAAACACTTTTCAAAAAAAGACATTTATGCAGCCAACAAAAAAACTCAACATCACTGTTCATTAGAGAAGTGCAAATCAAAACTGCAGTGAGATACCAGCTCACACTAATCAAATGGCTGTTAAACAGTCAAAAAAATAATAGGTTCTGGCAAGGCGGTGGAGAAAAAGGAATTCTTATACACTGTTGGTGGGAGTGTAAATTAGTTCAACCATTGTGGAAAACAGTGTGGCCTTTCCTCAAGACCTAAAAACAGAACTACCATTTGACCCAGCAATCCCATTATTGAAAGTGTACCCAACAGAATATAAATTGTTCTATTATAAAGACACAGGCACGTGTATGTTCATTGCAGCACTATTCATAATAGCAAAGACATGGAATCAACTTAAATGCCCATCAATGGTAGAATGGATAAAGAAAATGTGGTACGTATACACCATGGAATATTATGCAGCCATAAAAAAGAATGAGGTCATTTCCTTTTCACGAATGTGTGTGGAGCTGGAGGCCATTATCATAAGTGAACTAATGCAGGAACAGAAAACCAAATACTGCATGTCCTCATTTACAAGTGGAATCTAAATGATGAGAACACGTGGACACAGAGAGGGGAAATACAGAAATTGGGGCCTACTGGAGGTTGGAAGGTGGGAGGAGGGAGAAGATCAAAAAAATAACTAATGACTTAATACCTGGATGATGAAATAATCTGTACAACAAACCCCTGTAACACAAGTTTACCTACGTAACAAACATGCACATGTACCCCTGAACATAAAAGTTAAGACATTAAGAAAGTTGGAGGTTAGCTCACTCAATTTGTTTTTTATTTCTGGGGGGCCTCTGTCCTCACATATTTAGAGTAATTTTTCTCTTAAAGCACCAACCTTCTAAACAACATTTCGACTTTACTTGCTTCTTAGACTTAGACTTTTTCAATATTTTTTTTCTGTTGATCTATATCTGGTTTAGATTTTTCAAAGTTTTTAAAAATCTTTTTGAATTATTTTTTTCTTTATTGTCTTGCATATTATTATTTTTTGGTCATTTCCTCTTACGTTTCTATATTGAACGTTACTTTTCTCAAAACATTGCCAGGACTGGTTTTTGGTGGTTGGTCTATATGACTTTTAAGTCTAGGGAGGCCTCTTTTGTGGCTCACAGGTCAGGAAGGTAGGCTTGGTGCCAAAAATGACAATGCAAAATAATATAACATAATAAAAACAAAATAAGATGAAAATTTCTGAAGTTTTTATGAGAAAAAAAACCCTGCCTGCAATATTTAGAATTTATTTAATCATTAAAAAATACTTGATCATCAAATAATGAGTACACAAATTAACTTAAATCCACTTATATGCTCACATAGGATGAAAGAAACTATCAGTATAGTTATATGCACAGCAGTAGATACTTTGGTGTTCAGTTCCCTGAAAGCCACCTTACACTGCATGGAGCTAAAGTGCTTGCAATTCTTGCCACTGAAAGTAAGATCCAAGGACCAGCAGCATCAGCATCAGCATCAGCATCAGCATCACCAGGGAGTTTGCTAGATTCACAAAGTCCCAAATACTGCACCAGAACTGCGGACTCAGAATCTCCATTTTGACATAATCCCAAAGGTATGTCTGTGCGTGATGGTGTTTGTGAGGCTAGAAGCTGGAGTGAGATCTGGTAGTGCAAGACACCTTCCTCCTCCTCAAATATTCATAGATAAATGGTCAGTTTCTCTAAACCAGCATATAGGTAGGGCAAAGAAGCATTTTGGATGATAGCTACAATTAAGTGAAATGTTAAGCACCTGTGCTTATAGTGGATAATTAGTACCCAAGTCTCTTACTCAGCAATTTAATTCTTAGTGGCATTTTATCTTGCAAACATTTGCCACATTTTAGTATGTGACTTTTTTACACCTGCCTCACTTGAATATTTGGTAAAACATTACTTTTGCTATAATCCTGTTGAAGTAATAGAGGGAAATATATTTTCATGTACTCATTCAATAAGCATTTGATTATTGTTCTGTCCTGTACTACCGACTAGGAACACGAAGATGATTATATATTGAAACCTGTCCTCAAGGAACTCACCATCTAATGGGGAGTGAACACATAAACGTGCACTTTTCATGACATGGTAGAAATACTTCGGTAGAGTACTTACAGAGTCATATGGAGGCATCGTTGAAGTGCAGCTTATCCACACAGGAGGCAGGAGGGCACATGGAGGGAGATGGATGGCATGACAAATTCAGAGAGAAAGAATATGATTTCATCTGATTTCCAGTAGTTAGGTGCCAATGAAGCCTCATGTGCAAGAAAAGCAGTGAAGTGGGCTGAGGCTGGAGATCCAGATAGGGCATTTCAAGTTCATGTGAAAGAGCCTGAAGTTTATCATATAGGGTGGTACTGAAAAGTTTTTAAATAGGGGAGAGCCCAGTCTTATCATTATTGATGGAACACGCTGCCTATAGAGTGAAGGAAGGAGGAAGGATGTAGAAACATAAAACCTAAGGCGGACAGACCAATTAAGAGGCTGTTAAATTCTTGCTGGCAAAAGATGGCAAGGGCCAAAGGTGGGGCCAGAAGTTCTCGAGCTGTTAGATGGTGAGATGTGAGCTTCATAACCAGCCAGAAGGGCAAAGGTACAGAGAATCCACAGAATCTGAAGGCTCCTACGCACTTTCTCTACAGTGTTCTTCATGTCATATTCCACTTTGCGGTATAATATTGCAATCACTGCTTTAAATGAACAAATTTCTAAGATATCCTCCTCCTCTATCCATCCATTACACTGTAAAAAATGAAACAAATCCTTTATTATACATGCATCTTAAACAGAAATGAAATGTAATTCATCCCACATGCTGTCAGCTAATTAAAGTATTTGTACTACAGATTCCTCAGCCTTTTACACAACCTTGGAGGAGCCCTGGGGTCTTATTCCAGGAGAAAACCAAATCAATCTCCATGTTTCCCTTATTTAATTTATGCCACAATAACAGTAGCTTCAGTGCAGAGCTGCAGCTTCAAGCTTTACGTTTACCCTGAAAGCTAAATGTGCACCTTCAGAAAACTGCCTGCAAGTAAAAAGAAGGAAATTACACATTAAAGAAATTTTTTTAATTGGGATGAACTGGTTTTTCCTTCTTCTGCTACATTCAGATTTCTGTCTTAAGTATCATTCCCCCTCACCTTGCTATTCACTTTTCTCTCTGATCTCAGTCCAGTGGGAACTGAGATACTGGAGAAAGTGTGTTTTTTCTCCTAGGTTTACAGTGTGACAGAAGAAGGTTTAAGTGATAGGCAAATTAAGGAAATGCAGTTCCTCAGTATTCAGAACTAATTTACCAGGTTCTTGGCATGCTGAGAAACTCACTAGGTTTGTGGTCTTTTTGTGAATAATAGCACATTTTCACCTACGACTGGCAGGTGGTCACAACTCAGCTGGAGAGAGTCCCACTGGAGAGCACACTCTGCTGCCATGTAACTAAGTGATTTTTTCCCCCTGAAAGTTTATGTACTATATTCTATATAGAACATTTGCGCCTTATGCAGGGAACTTTAGCATTTTGACTTAAAAAAAAAAAACAATTATTGGGCAAGTACTGTGTGCAGGATGCTCCTAAGTAATTGGCAGTGGATATAAATAAGCAATTTTTCCAACCCTATGCTGGGAAGAATTCCTGCCACAACATATCATTAACGGTAGTAAGGACCATAAAGAGCCCTAGAAACTCAGTGTTGAAAGAAAGATCTACAGGTTATCTACCTTCTGATGCTTAAATTCCCTTCTGCAATAGAATGGTTGAATGTTAGTTCAGTCTCTACTTGACTGTCTGTGGGGACAGGGAGCTCTCTACTTAATGAAGGATCTTTAAACCTCTCAGACACCTTAGTATGTTTGTGTCCTCACCCCATTATTTCATGGTATACTTTGTTTTAACATAACAAGTCAATTCCCTCTCCCACATTAGGCCCTTTTACATACTTTAAGATACTTATTTTTAATTTTCATGATATCTGTCTTATAGCTTAAAAATCCCTAGGCTATTTATTATTATTATAATATTATTTTTCTCATATATAACATGACTTCCAAGTCTTAACTCATCTGGTCATTTTTCACTAGATGCTAAGTTGTCTCTTTTCATCTTAAAGAGAGATTCTTAATACAACGTCATTCTCAGGCATGGCCAGACCTGTAGGAAAGAAGGTAGAACTTACTCTTTTTCCCATTTTAAATATTCTACCTTTATTAATAGAGCCCCCATTTTTATTAATTATTGAATCTGGTTGGATTTCCATATAATGTCTTTTCATACTGCTTTGCAATACTTCAGACGTACTTGTATGGAATCTGAACATTAATGCTTCCCATCAGGGTGAAAGAATAAAGGGAATAAGATAGTACACTCTTGAATTACAAGCTAAGTCTTTGTATTAGTCTATTTTCATGCTGCTGATAAAGACATACCCGAGACTGGGAAGAAAAATAGGTTTAATGGATTCACAGTTCCACATGGTGGGGAGGCCTCACAATCATGGCAGAAGGCAAACGGCACTTCTTACATGGCAGAGGCAAGAGAGAATGAGAAAGAAGCAAAAGTGAAAACCCCTTATAAAACCATCAGATTTTGTGAGACTTATTCACTACCACGAGAAGAGTATGCGGGAAACTGCCCCCATGATTCAATTATCTCCCACTGGGTCCCTCCCACAGCACATGGGAATTACAGGAGTACAATTCAAGATGAGATTTGGGTGGGGACACAGCCAAACCATATCAGTCTTAGTTCCAATCTGAAGCTTGCCCAACATTTTCTCACGGCACCTTAATTTGCAAAAGTGGAGCTTGGGTAAAATGAGGAGTGAAAAAGAGAAACAGAAGGAGGTCATATTGAGTGTAAAAAATGTGGCAATATAATACAGGAGAAAAAATGTTGGCTGTGGAGTAATAGGGGAAAATAACACAACAAATGAGTTCTAGTCCCTGAGCTCTCATTTGTCAACCCATTGATCTTGGGAATTATAGATAAGTTATCTGATCTTTAATTTTGTCATTTTTGAAGTGAAAAATACTATAATGCATAAAGTGGAATAATAAAATGAGATATTATGTGAAAGCATTTATCTTATATACATGTGTATTGCAAACCTTCTTTCTTCCTTTCTCATCCTTGCAGTCGCCTTCTCTTCCTTTTGCCTCTTTCATTCCATTTAAGTGTCAAATAAAACCACAAGTCTGGGAAAGGAACAACATGTAAGAGTGAAGATGCCTACTAAGTGGGCACATAGAGAGCTCCTGGTGGGACAGGGACTGCAGTAGAAGAGCCACTGCTTGGAGAGGTTTATCAAAAACTCTATTCCTTCTTATCTAAATGAATTTCAACAGCAAAGTGAAGACATATCCACACATTTAAATGAAATTCTTCCCCCTTTCCCTGGCAGTTAATATACGGAAATACTATAGCATGTTTATCAAGGGAAAACACCACCAAAGACCTGCTTTTTATTCTTGGCAGATGTCCCTAATTCAGAATGACACTATTCCCACTGGCCTGGACAGGCTTTCTGGTTATCAAGTTCCCCTTCCAGGTAGCCATTAATAACTATTTCAAGTTGGCATTCATCACTGCTATTAGAGACTAAACTAGATTGTCATAATTGGTCCTGTCTAAGATGAGAGCCATGGGGAATGCCCAATTACAATTGGCTATGGCTGTTTCCTCCCATGTGTGTGTGTGTGTGTGTGTGTTTCCTGATGAGGTGGTTATCCAGATACTTGTATCTGGTATCCAGATTTTCTCTGCTTTTCCACAGCAAGAAATGATGTAGGGCATCTCTAGGCCAGTCTTTTGCCCCTAATCCAGACTCATGGGTCTCAGGGATTAAGGGTCCTCCACCAATTCGTAAGACCTTCACCTATTTTCCTTGTTACCATCATCACAAGATTTCTGTTTCTGATTACCCCTGCTCCTCTCCCACATTTTTATTTGTCTTAGAGAATACTTGAATTAGTTTAGGTTTTCATGTAGCTTTTTTTTTGAGTTGTTCGTATGGTCTTCCTTGACCTTAATGTTTTTGTTCCATGTTGTTACATATACTCTGTTGGGTTCGCAAGAGTCTTTTTATTCTGAGATCTCTAAAGGTAACCTAAGAAATACATTTTTATTTGATTGACAATGAAAATGTCTACACAGTATGCAATTATGACACATAGATTAGTTTTCAGAAAGTCTTTGGATAGTATATTTAATGTTGGACAGTGCTTCTTTAACAAGTTTATTAAACCCCTCCAACAAAACTTGGTAAAAGAAAGTCTTCTTCAGTTTCCTTCCTGGAACTTAAGCTCATCATGGTAGGATACCCAGAATAGATGGAAAATTGTCACTTTTCCATTGCTTGACTGGTCTGTCTTACATGTATCCTGATGCAGGCTTCAGGCAGACAATCTCTCTGTTACTAGCTTTGAAATTTTCCCAAGATATTGTAGTAATGCCTAGTGATGAAGTAGGACATTCTAGAGAATACCTGTAAGGGGTTTTCTTCTTCCTCATAGCACCCATAGGACCTACTCTCCTCCCTCACATACACAATTTTTACCTCAGTTTTCCATATGTGGGTGCCTGGAACCTTTCTCCTGTCTCCTGCTGATGTGCCCCATTACCCAAACCCACAAAGAAGCCGGAGGGGCATAGGAGGAACCTGGTGATATAACCCAAACAGGCAGCCCTACCGGGTGAAGAACATTTTGGAGATGGGTAGAAAGTGGATCTATAGGATCAAATTGAAGATACATGACACACTCTTCATCTGCTTATTTATCAAGTACACACACACACACACACACACAGACGTGCTACTTTGCTGTTAAAACACACGTATATTTAAAAATTAGCAAAAATTGAAGCTAAAGTCAAGTAATTTCAAACTTGACATAAAATCATTTGGATACTAATAATTCAGCTATATGCAAAGGACTTGGTAGGCACTGCAAGCAGCAAAGATGTTTATGAGAAAAGGTAGCTGTTCCCAAAGAGCATATAGTTAAGTCATGAAATCAGATAGCATTTTATCTCCTAGAAAGAAAAGTGTTAAGTGTAGGTGAAACTTGGACAGTAGGATCCAGGTTCAAATCCAAATAGGAACTTCTAAAATCAGAAATGTATTAGCACTGAGGATATGCCTATTTGAAAACAGCTGAAGCAAATGAGGAGACAAGCATTCTCTTTTGGGAAAATTGTGGACTACACAAATCCAGCAATGACATGATTACCTGGACCCCAAAATGTTCTGAAACCCTGCATAATGACCACCTGCAAGGCTTATGACTCCTCTAGAGTGAAGCTTGCTCATCCTTAATCTTTTTCTCTAATTTCTTCCTTACTTCTTTTTAAATTAGAAAAATTAAAAGATAGCTCCTTTGTTTACAACAATTTTCTAAGTCTGGGTGTTAATTTTTTCATCATATCACATGAAGTAAGACTCAAGGGTAAAATCAGTTTATGTATTTTGTTTGGAAGTCATTCTTGAAGTGAAAAGACATTCTGCTGTCCTTTAGGTTTCAGCCTCTCTTTATGT
Organism: Homo sapiens; assembly: GCF_000001405.40. Lineage (NCBI taxonomy): Eukaryota > Metazoa > Chordata > Mammalia > Primates > Hominidae > Homo > Homo sapiens. Next base: position 46,245,088 of record NC_000015.10, read on the forward strand.
TAATGAATACTAAGGAAAACAAAAGTAACCATCTAGTCGTAAAGCAGGCACTTGTTAATCACATCACTACAGAAATCAAATAAGGCTATTTACACAATTGCAAAGAATCTCTTTACATTCAATTCACTGTTTTCCAAGCAGCTCATGTAAGAAAGGTGTTAACAGATTACATTTCCCTTAGCAACACTCTACACCCAAGATCAATGGATCATCTACTGGCACTGGCTCTACAACTTTATTTATTTGTTTATTTTTTAACTTTTATTTTAGGTTCGAGGGTACATGTGAAGGTTTGTTACATAGGTAAACTTGTATCACGGGGGTTTTACAGATTATTTCATCACTCCGGTATTAAGCCCAGTACCAAATAGTTACCTTTTCTGCTCCTCTCCCTCCTCCCACCCTCCCCCATCAAGCAGACCCCAGTGTCTGTTATTTCCTTCTTTGTGTTCATTAGTTCTAATCATTTTGCCCCCACTTATAAGTGAGAACAGGCAGCATTTGGTTTTCTGTTCCTGTGTTAGTTTGCTAAGGATAATAGCCTCCAGCTCCATTCATGTTCCTGCAAAAGACATAATCTTCTTCTCTTTTATGGTTTTATAGTATTCTATGGTATATATGTACCACATTTTCTTTATCCAGTCTGTCACTGATAGGCATGTAGGTTGACTCCACGTCTTTGCTATTGTGAATAGTGCTGCAATGCATACTGTGCACATGTGTCTTTATGGTATAATGATTTATATTTTCCTGGGTAGATACTCAGCAATGAGATTGCTGGGTCGAGTGACAGCTCTGCTTTTAGCTCTCTGAGGAATCATCATACTGCTTTTCACAATGGTTGAACTAATTGCTTTACACCTTTAAATATAAATCACATATCATCCAGGTGGCTTACCCAAGACTAAGGAAGGTTTCCCACACAAGGTGGAGGAGAAAGTGCTAGAATTCTTATATGAGAGGACCTCATGGACAATCTCTTGTTGGAATGTTAGGATGTTGGGAGAAAAGTAGAGGTAGTAGGGCAGTGCTATGAGGTAGTTTTATCGCAGAACTGCTTTTAGCTAGTTATTTAAATGAGATGGGGAATAGATTAATTGTCCATATCAAAGAGTAGTGGTAGGATTCTAATGAAGGTGAGATGGGAAAATCTCTCTCCAAGCCAAGTTCTGGTGTATCCATTACCAGGCTGTAGAACATTAAAAAATGAGATAGATTTTATAACAACCTGACCCTAACTTTATGAATAAAGAGATAAAGAGAAATGTGTTGGGCATAAGGGACCACATTTATGCATTGGATGTTAAGCAGCCAGGATAATGGCTACTGAGAGCAGAAATAGTGTCAGTCCTAAAATTATCCTTGACTTACTTCTTGGAGAGAGTTTCCAGGCTGCAACTTAAGAGAGAAAAATATAGGCAGAACCCAACAGTGTTCCCGAATAAAAAAAATGAAGCTGGGATTCCTAGGAGGCCAAAGTAGTTATACTTTAAAAAGACAGGGTAAGGAAGAGAAAATAGATACATGGAGAGAGTCCCATCAATTTGCAGAAGGCACTTGTTCAGTCATTAGCTGAGTAGTGATCAGCACATGTATGTGAGGAAACTACTTGAGGCCAAGAACAAAGCTGTATCAGACAAGCAGAGGGAAAAAATCCTTGCAGCTTGCATAAGGTCAGGAATATTTCACATGCCTCATAGCCAGAAAGAAAAATCTCATAATTCTCGAGGCATTGAACAGAGTATTTAAGCTCTAGTTACAGCAAAACAAAGCTTAAAAAGCAAGATTGGAGAGGAAAATAAATAATTCCAAGTAATTTAACTGTATCCCATAATAAAGTTTAAGAATATTTATAGGAATTAAAAGATACAGCACTCAAAAAGTAAAATTCATAATGTGTGTCATTTAATAAAAAATTAACAGGAATACAAATAAATTACAATTCATAATGAAGAAATTAATAAAAAGACCCAGAAATGACACAGATAATAGAATTAGTAGTAAAGGCATTTAAATAGTCAAGAGGATAAAGGTTTAGCATGTTAAGCAGAGATATAGATGTTTTTAGAAAGATCTAAATACAATTCCTAGAAATAAAAATATACTGAGATTATCAGATTATGCATTGCAGAAGGTTAGATTAGTGATCTTGAAGACATAATCATAGAATGTATCAAAAATGAAAGAGAGACAGAATGGCATGCTGGTGAGTGGTAGGATAACTTCAGACAGCTTACTCTATGTATAATTGAAATCCCAAAAGAGAAGAAAGAGAAGAAAAAAAAATTAGAAGAAATAATAATCTGCAATTTTCCAAATTTGATGAAAACTGTAAGTCTACAGATCCAAGAAATTCAACAAACTCCAAGCACAAGACACTAGAATAAAATTACATGAAGACCCATCATGATCAAATTATTTAAAATAAGTGATAAAGAGAAAATCATAAAAGCAGCCAGATAAGAAAGGCACAGTGGGTATAAAAGAATACAGGTAAAAATGAAAAGAGGCTTCTTGTCAGAAACAAAGCAAACCAGCAGACAAAGGATCAAAGTTTTTAAAGTGTTGGGAGGAGGCAATGATTATCTTAGAATTCTACAACTAGCAAAAATATATTTGAGATAGGAAGATAAAATAAAAGGTTTACATACATTAAAAAAAAATAATTTATCCCCAGTCAATATGCACTACAAGAAATAGTAAAGGAAGTTCTCCAGGCGGAAGGAAAATGATATCAAATGGAATCTGGATTCACATTAAGAAATGAACAGCACTAGAAATGCTAAATATGAGAGGAAATATAAAATTTTAAAAAATATTTTAAAACATCTTTATTAAGTAGTTGACTATTTAAAGCAAACCAATAGGATTGTATAGTGGTGCTTATAATATATGTAAAAATAAAATGTATTTCAACTCTAAATAAAATTTGTGGGAGGCCACTGTTTTGGATTGAGCTCCTGCACTAAGCTCCAGCAGACCAGAATGGAGTCACTGGTGCTAGGCACCACATAACCAAATTGAACTTAAAAACAGGCTAGTTTTCCAAAAAGCAAAAGATTCATGCAACCAATCAAAAGAGACCCAGGCAACCTGAACCAGCATGATTAGGAACCCTTCCTGCCTTAACCCACACTAGGAAAGTAATCTGAAGTAACTTGATATTAACCAATCTGCTTTTTCTACTATATTGTTTCCTTGTTCCTGATCAAGGTCCCTACAAAAATCTACTGTTCTGCCATTCCCGGTGGGGCTTATGTCTGCTTATAGACTGGATGCTGCCTGGTTCATGAATAGCTAATAAAAGTCAATTAGATCTTCAAAAATCAATTTTTGAAATTTTGTTTTTTGACACCACAAAAGCCAAAATTCTAGGAAGGGAGAAATGAAAGTACACTGCTATATGCAAAGTGGTATATTACTTGAGAATAGACTATAATAAGTTAAAATTGTGTATTATAAACCTTAAAGCAGTGACTCAAAAACCAAAAGTACAATTACAGCTCTTAAACCAAAAAGGCAGAGATAAAGGCAAAAAAAGAAGGAAAAAGGGGAAACAACTAACAAATGGAAAAAAACAAAACAGTAACATATCAAGAGGGTAGATTTAAACACCATTATCACAATAATCATATTAAATAAATTGCCTAAACAACCTAACCCAAGCAAAAGGTAAGGATTTTTAGGTTGAACAAAAAATGAAGACCCAAATACATGTTACCAGTAAGAAGCTAACTTTAGGTTGGGTGTGGTGGTTCACACCAGTAATCCTAGCACTTTGGGAGGCCGAGGCGGGCAGATCACCTGAAGTCAGGAGTTTGAGACCAGCCTGGCTAACATGGTGAAACCCTGTTTCTACTAAAAAAAAAAAAAAAAAAAAAAAAAAATACAAAAAATTAGCCGAGTGTGGTGGTGTGTGCCTGTAATCACAGCTACTTGGGAGTCTGAGGCAGGAGAATTGTTTGAACCCGGGAGGCGGAGGTTGCAGTGAGCCAAGATAGTGCCGTTGCACTCCAGCTTGGGCAACAAGAGTGAAACTCCATCTCAAAAAAAAAGAAGCTAACTTTAAATATTAAAACAGAAATGGGTTAAAAGAAAAAAGATTGATAAATATAGGTCATGCTAACTTTAATAAAAAGGAAACTTGGATGGCTATATTAATGCCAGGCAAAGCACTTTGGGAGGCTGAGGCGGGTGGATCATGAGGTCAGGAGATCAAGACTATCCTGGCTAACATGGTGAAACCCCATCTCTACTAAAAATACAAAAAAATTAGCCGGGCATGGTGGCAGGCGCCTGTAGTCCCAGCTACTTGGGAGGCTGAGACAGGAGAATGGCATGAACCCGGGAGGCGGAGCTTGCAGTGAGCCGAGATTGTGCCACTGCACTCCAGCCTGGGTGAAAGAGCGAGACTCTGCCTCAAAAAAAAAAAAAAAACCCAAAAAACAAAAAAAACACCAGGCAAAGTAGATTTCAGAGAAAACAATATTACTGAGGATAAAGAGGGAATTTTCCATAGACAATGGGTTCAATTCATCAAGTAGACATAATAATTCTAAATGTATGTGCACCTAATAATAAAGCTTGAAAACGCATGAAACAAAATCTGGTAGCATGACAAGGAGAAACAGGCACCATTAGAGTAAAATATTACAACATTCATCTTTCAATGATTGATAGAACAAGCAGAAAATTATTAAGGATATAGAAGGCTTAAACAATACCATCAACCAATTAGACATAATTAAAAATTATAGAACATTCCACAAAAGACAGCCAAATAATTATTTATTTACATTTTTTACCAGTGTACTTTAAAATTTTACCTAGATAAACCTTGTTCTGGGTCATAAAACAAGTCTCAATAAATTGAAATAATTCAAATCATACAAACTCTATTCTCTGACTACAAAGGAATTAAGTTAGAAATCAATATCAAAGAGGTCTGTGTGATATAAGCTATTTGGAAATGATATTAAATACTTGTAAATATGTCCTACTTCAAATAAGAAATCAAAAGAGGACTTACAAAGTATTTTGAACTGAAAGAAAATGACAACGTATTATATTAAAATGTTTACAAGGCACCTAAAGTAAAACAGAAGTTTATGGCACTAACTACCTGTATAGAAAAGGAGAAAGGTCTCAAATCAATGGCTCTGGCTTCCACCTAATGATAATAGAAACAAAAAGAGAAAATTAAACTCAATGTATGCAAAAGAAAGAAATAATAAAAGAGTAGAAATCAAAGGAAAAAAAGTAAGCAAAAAAAAAAGAGTAGTAGATAAAAATCAATGAAACCACAAGCTGGTTCTTTGTGAATTTCAATATAATGATAAATCTCCAGCCAGACATATCAGGAAACAAATGAGAGAGAGAGACAGAGAGAGGAGGGAGAGAGGGAACAAATTTACCAGTATGAAAAAATGAAGGCTAATATTTATAAATATTCTACAATAATAATGAATGATTGTGAACAACTTCATGCCAATAAGTTCAAGAACTTTAATGAAATGGACTTTACTGAAAGATATACGCTATGAAAGCATATTCATGAGGAAATAGATTACTTGGATAGCCTTATATGTATGAAAGTAATTGAATTTATAGCTGAGCACTTCCTACAAAGAAAACTCCAGACTGAGATGACTTCATTGGTGAATTCTACAAAACATTTCAAGAGGAAATAGTACTGATTCCATATAAAAACCCTTCAGAAAATTGAAGAGATCATACTTTTCAACTAAACCTGTGAAGCCATATTACGATGATATCAAGACAAGAGAAAACATTACAAGAAAAGGAAACTACAAACTAGTGTCTGTTATGAACATAAATGAAAAATTATTCACAAATCCAATCCTGCAATATATAAAAATGATACTGCATCATAAATAAATGGGCTTTATCCCTGAAATGCAAGATTGTTTTAACATTCAAAAATAAATCAAGGGGACTTTTATTTTCAGCTTTGACACATAAAGAGGTTGAAACTTTTATTCCTGACCTTTCAACAGGAAATAGCTGAACAAACTGAAAATCATTGAATTTCTTGGGCCCATGAGATAATTGAGGTCTCAAGGCAGACTGCCACCAGAAATCTGGAGGTGAATACACGTAAACACAGGGAGTCACAGCCCAAATGGAACAGAAGCTACTGGAGGCCTAAACTGAGAGGAAGACTAAAAATACTAACTGATGACTCCCTGGAGGCTGAATATGGTCTAGTCTGAGAGTGAGAAACATCTGGGAAGCCTGCATTTTTGTGGATTTTACTTGGAGGTACTCATGATGAAGAGCCATGAAAAACCTTCATGTTTCTGGCAGGGGAGGAAATAAGTAAAACTTTTGAGATACGGCCATAATACTTTGTTCTAAAGGTCTGCTCAGCAAGAGAAAAGACTTTACCAGAACGTTATCTGAGGTGGGGGAATAGAAATTACACAACTTCACCCTTCTGTAAGCGTTTCTCTCATACCTAAGGGAGGAGGGGGGGAAGCTGAGAAACCCTTGTGAAGATCACACTAGTGACACAGGCCCACTTAAAGACTGAGACTTAATCATAGGATGACGGACTGCTTCCCCCTTCTCCATACCTTACCATCACAACAAGCCTCCCATATAAAATAACAATGGATAAACCAGGTGTGGTGGCTCACACCTGTAATCCCAGCACTCAGGAGGCTAAGGCAGGAGAATCGCTTGAACCCAGGCGTCCCAGGTTGCAGTGAGCCGAGATCATGCCATTGCACTCCAGCCTGGGCAACAAGAGTAAAACTCCTTTTCTAAATTAATTAATTAAAATAAAATAAAATAACAATGGATGACACTGAAAGAACTGCAAGGCTCAGACTCTTATTTAAGAGCATTTTTAGGGAAACCCAAAGACAGAATAGGAGCCAATTTACAAGAACACAAGAGGAAATTGAAGGCTCTGGCATCTGCAGCTATAGCAAACATTAAACAAGGCCTATCTCGCCAGATAAGCATAAGACCTGTCATTAAAGGCCTATTTACCTCGGATCATATTACATGTTATGTACTAAATGGTTTTCAACTGAAAAATTATGAAGTGTGCTAAAAAGCAAGCAAAAGCATAGCACGAAAAGACAAATTAAGCATCACATCCAGACTCAGATATGGCATGGATTTTGGAATTATCAGACAGAATTTCAGTTGATCTTAGCCAAAAGGCCAAGAAGGATAACAGAATTTAAAATAACTCTGATTAATATGTTAAGAACTATAACGGTAAAATAGAGAACATGCGAGAACAGATAAGTAATGTAAAGAGACAGCTAAAAATACTAACAAAAAAATCAAAAGAAAATGTTAGAAATAAAAAAAAGCACTGTAACAGACATATTTTGGTGGGATTGTTAGTAAACTATACCTGACCAAAGAAAGAATAAGTGAGCTTGAAGATATGTCAGTAGAGACTTAACCTTAGAAAGCACAAACAAGGATAAAACCTCCCGATTTTACACCTAAGTATATTGTATTAAACTGCAGAAAACTAAAGAAAAAAGAAAATCTTAAAAGCAGCCAGGTGTGCACTTTAGAAGAAGAAAGATAAGAATTATACCAGACTTCTTTTCAGAAATCATGCAAGAAAGAAGAGAGTAAAATATTTAAATTACTGAGAGACATGCCAATATAGAATTCCATATTCAACAAAATTATCCTTCAAAAGTGAAGGAGAAATAAAGTATTTATCAGACGAACAAAAAGCTGAGAAAATTCATTGCCAATGGAACTTTTCTGCAGGAAATACTAAAAGTTCTTCAGAGAGAAGAAAAATGATACAGATTAGAAACAAATTTACATAAAGAAAAGAGCATCTAAGAAGGAATAAAGGTAAAATAAAATCTTTTCTTTCTAAAATTCTTAATTGATCTAATACGTTACTGTTCAAAGTAATAATAGTAACAATATATTAGGTAATTATAGAATATGGATAAGTGGAATGAATGACAGCAATGCAAAATATAAGGGATTCAACTAATGTGGAGGACGATCTAGGAAACCTATATTACCACGAGCGCAATAGCACACACAAGCTTTAACGGGTAACACTTTAACAGGTTTGCTTGCTGGGGAAGCCTCTTATAGCAGGAATCTGTCCAAAGATTACAGCATGGGGGTGGCTACTTAGAAGGGGAGAAGAACAAGGAAACATTTTGAGGAGAGGGAAAATGGAGAGAAGACTTACTATCCAGGTGATGTCACTCAGCAACAAGGAAGGGATTCTGTAGGTCAGAAAACTCCAAAGTGCCTAGCAGCTTGGGGTCTTACAACCACAGGCTTGCTTTTGTCAGTGGCCACCAAATGTGAGGTGAGGTTTCATTGGATATGCAAAGCAAGCAGTCTCTCAATGACTAAAAATCTGCTTGTTTGACTATTTTAAAAATAACTGGATATGTAAAAATTTTGAGTTTGGCCCTCGTGGGTCTTGCAGCGAATGGGTCTCAGCACGCAGTGAAGAAATAAGCAATCTGGGGAGCAATACACAGACATTATTTTTGACAAATTTATATAATAGTAAACAATGGAAGGAAGGAATTGGGAATGCACGATTATAAGTACAGTTACCTTAGAATAGTGTATTCCCAATTCCTTCCTTCCATCCTTTGTGTGAAGCTCTGTAATGTTATTCGAGAGTGAACTTAAATGCTTTATGTATATAGCAAACTCCATGACAATCACAAATTTGTGTGTATGTGTGTCTGTATGCTTGTATTTGATATGCTAACAGAGGAGAGAAAATGGACACATGTAATATGATCAGTTAAAACCAGAAGAGGCAGACAAAAAGGAGAAAAAAGAAAAAATATAACAAATAGAAAACAGTTACAAACATGGTAGATAAACCAACTCTATAAAAATAATAACTGTAAATGTGCAGGTCTAAATACATTATCAAATAGAAATTGTCAGAGTGGATCTAAAAATTAAATCCAATTATATGTTGTCTATAATAAATATGCTTTAAATATAAATACACAGATACATTAAAAGTAAAGGGATAGAGAAAGATAGATCCTGCTAGCACTAATCAGAAGAAGGCTGGAGTAGCTATATTAATTTCAGACAAAGCAGACTTCAGAAAAAGAAATTTATCAAGAATAAAAAGGATAATATAGAGAGGATAATATAAAGGAGCCAATTATCTAAGGAGACATAACAACCCTTAATATATTTGTGCCAAATAACAATGAATCAAAGTATGTGAAGCAAAAGTGTATAGAATGCAAAGAGAAATAGACAAATCCACTATTAGACTTGCAGACTTTTACAACCCTATTTAAATAATTTATAGATCATGTCTAACTTTTACTTGAGGAGACCAGAGAAAGGAAAGAAACTTAGGCCTAAAAGAAGCAGAAGAAAAGAATTTAGAGTAATTAGTGCGGAAATCAGTGAAATTAAAAACAGAAAATATTGGAGTAAATCAATAAAACCAAATGTTGGTTGTTTAAAAAGATAAACAAACTTGGGCCAGGCGCGGTGGCTCACGCCGGTAATCCCAGCACTTTGCGGGGCCGAGGTAGGCGGATCACGAGGTCAGGAGGTACACACCATCCTGGCTAACACGGTGAAACCCCATCTCTACTAAAAATACAAAAAAATTAGCCGGGCATGGTGGCGGGCGCCTGTAGTCCCAGCCACTTGGGAGGCTGAGGCAGGAGAATGGCCTGAACCTGGGAGGCAGAGCTTGCAGTGAGCCAAGATCGTGCCGCTGCACTCCAGCCTGGGTGACAGAGCGAGACTCCGTCTTGAAAAAAAATAAATAAATAAAAAATAAACTTGGTTAAATTTTAGCCAGATTAACCAAACCAAAACAAACACAAACAGAAAAAGAGGGAACATACAAATTGCTGATATTAGAAATAAAAAGGGACCATTCCTATTGTTCCATAGACATCAAAGGATGATAAAGGGATATTATGAAAAACTCCATGCCCACAAATGTGATGAATAGAATATTCCAATTCCTTAAAAGACACGAAATACCCAAAATCCCACAGGGAGAATTATATAATCTGAATACGTCTGTGTCTATTAAAGAAATTGAACAATAATTCAAGAAAGAAAACACCAGGCCCAGATGGTTTCACTGGCGAATTTTACCAAAGGTTTAAGGAAGAATTGATACGAATTCTCTTCAATCTCCTCAAGAAAATAGAAGCAGAAGGAGCATCTCTTATCTCATTGCTATGAGACAAGCATTACCATAAAACCAAAACCAGATAGAGACATTACAAGAAAAGAAAACCACAGACCAGTTTCTCTCATGATCACAGATAGAAAAATCCTCAGCAAACCAAATCCAACAATGTACAGTTATTTACCAGGACCAAGTGGGATTTATTCCAGTTATGCAAAACTAGTATTATATTTAAAAATCAATTAAGGCAACCCCTTACATTAATAGGAATTGATCATGGTAATACCAATCAAAATCCTGGCAAAATCCTATTTTATGGATATTGTGAAATTGAAGTTTAGAGTCAGTTTCAAAGTTGGAGGACTGACAGTTCACATTTTACTATAAAGTTGTACAGTTATCAAGCAGAGTGGTATTGTCAAAAAATAGACTCATAGATCAATGGAATGTGATAGAGTGCTCAGAGACAAATCCATACAAATACAGACAATGGATATTTGACAAAGGAACAAAGGCAGTTCATTTTTCAACAAATGCTGTTAAACAATTGGATGTCCAAATGCAAAAAAAAAAAGAATTCAACAGAGACTTAAATGTTTCATAAAATAACTCAAAATATGATCAGTAATCTAAATATAAAATGAGTACTGTAAAACTTTTAGAGGGCAGATGCAGTGGCTCATGCCTGCAATCCCAATGCTTTGAGAGGCCAAGATGAGAGGATCACTTGAGGCCAGGAACTTGAGACCAGCCTGAGCAACATATGGAGACTCTGTCTCCCCAAAAAATAGAAAATAATAGCCAGACGTGGTGGCCCACATCTGTAGTCCCAATTACTTGCGAGGCTAAGGTGGGAAGATCGCTTGAGCCAAGGAGTTTGAGGCTGCAGTGAGCTATTATGGCACCACTGCACTCCAGCATGGGTGACAGAGTGAGACCCTATTTCAAAACAACCACCAAACAAATAGACTTTTAGGAGAAAACATAGGAGAAAATCTACATGACCTTGGGTTTGGCAAAGCTTTATTATTTTTTTTTAATATACAGCACCAAAAGCATGATCCATGGAAAAAAATGGATAAATTATACTTTATCAAAACTTAAAAAAATTCTGTTCTGCAAAGGTGACTGTTAAGAGAATCAAAAAGCAAGACACAGACTAACAGAAAATGTTTTTACACCACATAACTGATACAGAACTTGTATCCAAAGTATACAAATAACACTTAGACCTCAACACTAAGAAAACAAAAACAAAAAACCAGAAAGCCCAAGTTAAAAATATGTCTATCTATTCAATGCAATTCCAGTAAAAATTTATTCAGGTTTTTTCTTTGGTAGAAATTCACAAATTCTAAAATTTGCATCAAAAGAAACTGCTGAAGTAGCCAAAATAATTGAAAGAGAAGACCAAATTTGGGGGACTTATACCTCTTGATTTCAAGATTTATTATAAAACTACAGTGAAAAATATAAAAAAATTAGCTGGGCGTGGTGGCAGGTGCCTGTAGTCCCAGCTACTCGGGAGGCTGGGCAGGAGAATGGCATGAACCCAGGAGGCAGAGCTTGCAGTGAGCCGAGATTGTGCCACTGCACCCCAGCCTGGGCGACAGAGTGAGACTCCGTCTCAAAACAAACAAACAAAAACAAAACAAAAAAACTACAGTGATCCAGACCCTAGTATAAAAATAGATGATAGTTCATTGGAACAGAATCAAGTGTTTAGCTATAGACACATAATCACACTGACAAGAAAATGAAAAGCATTTCATAGACTGGAAAAACATTTGCAAAATGTATATCCAAACAAGGATCTATATCTAGAATATATGAAGAACTTTTACAGCTCATAAGAACACAAACAATAAGCCAGTTTTAAGATTGGCAAAAGATTTGCTCAGACACTTTACCAAAAAAGATGTACGGATGGCAAATAAGCACATGTAAATTTCCTTGGCATTATTATTCATTAGAGAAATGCAAATTAAAAGAAGTTACCAGTATACTCCTACTAGAATGGCTAAAATTAGAAACACTGATCAGCCTAGAGCAACTACAACTCTCATGTAGGGCTGGTGGGCTTGTGAAATGGTAGAACCACTTGGAAAAAGTTTGGGAGTTCTTAAAAGTGAATCATATAACCTAGCCATTGTATTTCTAAGTAGTTATCCAAAACACTTGAAAGCACATTTCTGTACAAAAAATGAGTTCATAAATGTTGTTTTATTTGTAATAGCTAAAAACACAAATGTTCATCAGCAAGTAAATAAATTCAAGCATATCCATACAATGACATATTGCTTATTAATAAAAATAAATGAACTCCATATGCTACAACATGGATAAATCCAAAAGTCATTATGCTGACTGAAAGATGCCAGAATACCTACTTCATAATTGCATTTATATAACATTTTGGAAAACAGAAAGTAATCTGTAGCATCAGAAATCAGATCATTGGTTGTCTGTGGGATAGATGGGGTTTAAAAGGGTGGGAGGAAAGGCTTACACAACAACAGGTGGAAACTTTTGGGAATATGAGTGTGTTGTTTATGGAGATAGTTTCATGGATTCATACATATATGTCAAAACTTATCAAATTGTAAATTTAAATAATGCAGTTTTATGTGAAGTCTTGATAAAGGTTTAAGAAAAAATAGATATGTTTTGTCTTTTTAAAGACTTGCTATTAGAATTTTAAATTGCTATTATTTAATCATTTTCCTCTTTTTTAGACTATAATCTTTTCAAAGTCAGGATTCCATTCTATTTTTTTAACCTTTATTTTTAGTTCAGGGGTACGTGTGCAGGTTTGTTACGTAGATATTTATCACCCATGTATTAAGCCCTGTACTCATTAGTTATTTTTCTTGATACTCCCCCTCCTCCCATCCTCCAACCTCATGTAGGCCCCAATGTCTATTGTTGCCCTCTGCGTGTCCATGTGTTCTCATCATTTACTCCACTTATAAGTGAGAACATGCAATATTTGATTTTTTGACCGTCTTAGCTTGCTAAAGATAATGACTTCCAGCTCCGTCCATGTCCCAGCAAAGTACATGATCTCATTCTTTTGTTATGGCTGCAAAGTATTCCATGGTGTATATGTACCACATTTTCTTTATCAGTCTACATTTTCTTTATCACCATGCCTGGCTAATTTTTTGTATTTTTAGTGGAGACAGGGTTTTGCCATGTTGTCCAAGCTAATCTTGAACTCCTGACCTCAGGTGATCCGCCCGCCTTGGCCTCCCAAAGTGCTGGGATTACAGGCGTGAGCCCCCATGCCTGGCCAAATGCTAGTGATTTTTGCACATTGATTTTGTATCCTGAGACATTGTTGAGGTTGTTTATCTCCTTAAGAAGCTTTTGGGAGGCTGAGGCAGGAGAATCGCTTGAATCCAGGAGGCAGAGGTTGCAGTGAGCTGAGATCGCTCCATTGTACTCCAGCCTGGGTGACAGAGTGAGACTCAGCCTCAAAATAAAAAAAAAAAGAAAATTAAAAAAAAAAAAAGCTTTTGGGCTGAGATGATGGAGTTTTCTAAATACAGGATCGTGTCATCTGCAAACAGGGATAGTTTATCTTTCCCTCTTCCTATTTGGATGCCCTTTATTTCTTTCTCTTGCCTGATTGCCCTGGCCAGAACTTCCAATACTATGTTGAATAGGAGTGGTAAGTGAGGACAACCTTGTCCTGTGCTGGTTTTCAAAGGCAATGCTTCCAGCGTTTGCCCATTCAGTATGATATTGGTTGTGCATTTGTCATATGTGACTCTTATTATTTTGAGGTATGTTCCTTCAATACCTAGTTTATTGAGAGTTTTTTTTTTTTTTTTTTTTACCATAAATGGATGTTGAATTTTATCAAAAGCCTTCTCTGCATCTATTGAGATAATCATGTGGCTTTTGTCTTTAGTTCTGCTTATGTGATGAATCACATTTATTGATTTGTGTATGTTGCACCAGCCTTGCATCCCAGGAATAAAGCCTACTAGATCGTGGTGCATAAGCTTTTTGGTGTGCTGCTGAATTTGGTTTGCCAGTATTTTGTTGAGGATTTTTGTACTGATGTTCATCAAGAATAGTTGCCTGAAGTTTACTTTTTTTTTTTTTTTGTATCTGCCAGGTTTTGGTATCAGGATGCTGCTTGCCTCATAAAAGAGTTAGGTAGAAATCCCATCTCAATTTTTTTAAATAATTTCAGTAGGAATGGCACCAGCTCTTTGTACATCTGGTAAAATTCAGCTGTGAATGTCTAGTCCTGAGTTTTTTTAGGTTGGTGGGCTATGTATTACTGCCTCAATTTCAGAGCTCATTATTGGTCTGTTCAGGGATTCAATTTCTTCCTGGTTCAGTCTTAAGAGGGTATATGTGTCCAGGAATGTATCAATTTTTTCTAGATTTTCTTGTTTATGTGCGTAGAAGTGTTTATAGTATCCTCTGATGGTTGTTTGTTTTTCTGTGGAGTTGGTGATAATATTCACCTTGTCATTTCTGACTGTGTTTATTTGGATCTCTGTGTTTTCTTCTATTTTTTTCCTTCAACTTTTAAGTTCCGTGGTATGTGCAGGATGTGCCAGTTTGTTACATAGGTAAATGTGTGCCATGGTAGTTTGCTGCCCAGATCAACTCATCGCCCAGGAATTAAGCCCAGCATTTATTAGCTATTCTTCCTGGTGCTCTCCCTCCCCCACTCCCCCCACAGGCCCCAGCATGTGTTGTTCCCCTGCCATGTGTCCATGTGTTTTCATTGTTCAGCTCTCACTTGTAAGTGAGACCATGTGGTGTTTGATTTTCTGTTCCTGCAATAGTTTGCTGAGGATAATGGCTTCCAGCTCCATCAATGTTCCTGAAAATGATATTATCTCATTCCTTTTTATGGCTGCATAGTATTCCATGGTGTATATGTACCACATTTTCTTTATCCAGTCTATCATTGATGGGCATTTGGGTTGATTCTACGTCTTTGCTATTGTGAATAGTGCTGCAATGAACATACATGTGCATGTATCTTTATAATAGAATTATTTATATTCCCTTGGATATAATACCCAGCAACGGGATTGCTGGGTCAAATGGTGTTTCTGCCTCTAGGTATTTGAGGAATTGCCACACTGTCTTCCACAATGGTTGAACTAATCTACATTCCCACCAACAGTGTAAAAGTGTTCCTAATTCTTCCCAGCCTTATCAGCATCTGTTGTTTCTTGACATTTTAATAATCACCATTCTGACTGGCATGAGATGGTATCTTATTCATTATTAGTCTAGTTAGTGGTCTTTTATTAATGTTTTCAAAAAAATCTCCTGGATTTGTTGATATTTTGAATGGTTTTTCATGTCTCAGTCTTCTTCAGTTTAGCCCTAATTTGGGTTATTTCTTGTCTTCTACTGGCTTTGGGATTTGTTTGCTCTTGGTTTTCCAGTTCTTTTAGCTCTTATGTTAGGTTGTTAACTTGAGATCTTTCTAGCTTTTTGATGTGGACATTTAGTGCTACAAATTTCCCTCTTAACACTGCTTTAGCTGTGTCCCTGAGATTCAGGTATGTTGTATCTTTGTTCTCATTAGTTTCAAAGAGCTTCTTGATTTCTTCCTTAATTTCACTATTTACCCAAAAGTCATTCAGGAGCAGGTTATTCAATTTCCATGTAATTGTATGGTTTTGAGTGAATTTCTTAGTCTTGATTTCTAATTCTAACTCTGGGGGACTTGTATTGGGCCCTGACTTTGTTCTCTGGCTCCTTGAGTTTTGCAGTCTACTGCACAAGGGGGACCGAGGTGTGGCAGCTGCAGCTGACTGCTAGTGAATGCAGGGATTCCTGCCTCTCTGTGGACATTCACCACACTGGCTGAGGCAAGGCAGTTGTAAGGGGAGTGGAGGACCCCTGCTGGATACTGTGTGTGCCGTTGCACTGGAGGTAGTGTTGGTTTGGGGCAGGGTGCTGGCCAATGCAGGTCTGGATGCCTTCTCTGTGCCCCACAAGCAGGAGTGATTGCTCAAGTTGTGAGATGATCCCCTGTCAGTGTTAGTAGAAGAGCAGGGTGCTAGTGGGGGCTTGCTGGCTCTGTGTTCGCCAAAGCTCCATCTGCAATGGTGGTCAGCGGCGGTTGGGGGCATACTGCACTTCCGCGTGCTGGCGGGGAAAGTAAAGTAAAACCTGCCTGGGCAGACATGTGCTAGCAAAGTGATGTAGGGAGTTGCCATGGGCTTTGGGGAAGCTGCAGTATGGGGAGGGAATGTGCAGGCTGGTGTGTGACTGTAGAGGCCTCCTCGCTGGAGATCTCCACTGGTCAGGCACAGTCTACTGGCACAGAAGCTAGGGTGTAGGTCCCCAGGGCATTGAGACTGCCCCATAAGCAGGTGTGGCCAGGCTGGAGTCCTGGGTGAGACCAGCAGACCAAAGAGTGCTCGGGTCAGAACAGCCCTGTCTGATATACAAGACTGTCTTGCAGAGACAAGGGTCCAATAATTCCCCTAGGGCTAAAGTCTCTTACATGAGCAAGTCAAGCCTAGAGGGATGGCTGTCCCTGGCCACACTCTGTTACGGATGCTCCTGCACCAAACCCTCTGATCTGCACATCAGCTGGCTTGCTGCTCCACCACTTTGCTTGTTTCCTGGGGGTTCCACCCCACAGACATGTGGGTTAGCAGTTGTTCAGTGCAATCAACCCATGGTGGAGGGTCTGTGCTGTAAGCCAGGGGTTCCCTGTCTGGTGACAAGTAGTAGGGGGTGTGTTGGAGCCATGGGAGACAGACTCACCACCTCTCCTTGGGTCAACTGCAGCTTTTTGGAGGTATGGATAAGGCACTTAGGGTCTTTGCTCCTTTGTTAGTCTGAGGGTAGCAAGGACAGTTCCACTGCAGAGGCAGTGGCAGAGAGGTTTTCAGGTGCCCCTGGAGGCTCTGTCCAGGGAGTTGCCAGGTTGCTACTTGTTCAGTAGCTCTGGTGAGGGGGGTAGCTAGAAGATCAGGCCTGGAGGACCTGCCCAGTGAAGAGATATGGGAATGGGTACCCATGTAACAGTCTGGCCACTTTTCCATAGGGCTTCTGTGCTATGCTGGGGGCCCGCTTTAGTCCCTAGTTGCCTCGGATTTTCCAGTACCTGGAGGTGTCACCAGTGAAGGCTGAGAAACAGCAAATATGGCAGCCTGCTCCTCCCTCTGGCAGCTTCGTCCCAGGGAGGTATGGGCCTGTTGCCAGCCCTAATGCACCTGTAGGAGGTGGCTGGAGACCCTAGTTGGGAGGTCTCACTCAGTTAGGAGGAATAGGATTGAGGACTGGCTTAAAAAAGTAGCCTGGCCAAATTTTTGCAGCTGTGCTATGCTGGGGGTCTGCTTCAGCCCAAGGTTGCCTTGGACACTCTGAAGCCTGAAGGCTGAAATGACTAAGGCACCCAAACAGCCTTCCCCTCCCTCTGGGAGTTCTGTCCCAGGAGGAATTTAGATCCCTGTTGGCTGGAGAACACTGGTAGGGGTAGCTGGATATCCCAGTTTGGAGGTCCTGCCCTGTGAGGAGGAACAGGATTAAGGGCCCACTTAAAGAAGCAGTCTGACCATGTAGAACAGACTGCGGTAGAGCAGCTGTGATGTGCTAGGAGATTCCTTTCACCCCTGGTTGGTTTGGACTCCCAAAGCCCAAGGCTGTAATGGCTAAATTGTACAAAGAGCAGAGATGGCAGCTCATCCCTCCCCCTGGAGCTCCATCTCAGAGAGGCGCAACACTGGTTTGCTAGCTGGAATTCCAAGCCAGTGGTCTTATCCTATGAGGTGCCATGGAAGTGGTGCCTGCAGACCTTTGCTGCTCAGCCCCCTGGATTCAGCCTGTTTCCTAGAGGTATGTACCAGGATCTAACCTCCTGCCTTGCTGTAGTTGCAGCTACTTTTGCCAGGATGCCTGGAAGTAGAACTCCTGGGTTTCTGAATTTAGAACTCCTGGGTTTCTGCACGTACCTGAGCTGCTGCTCTGCCGAGACTCCATGCAACTCTTTATGTCAGACTGAAGGCCCTGGTGGAGAGGGTTCACAAAGGGATCCCCTGACCTGAGGATTGCAAAGATCCGTGGGAGAAGCGTGGGATCCCGGGGTCACACATTCACTCACCACTTCCCTGGGTTGGTGGGGAGCTTCCCTTGGCTCCATGTCGCCCCTAGGTCGGCCATCGTCTTGTCTTGCTTTTCTCTGTTCTCCGTGGGTCAAGCTGTTTCCTTGATTAGTCCCAATGCGAGTCAATGGATGTTTCCATTGAAGGTGTATTTACTCGCCCCTTCCCTTCCTCTGCGTGAGAGACACACACGTTAGCTGCTTCTAGTCGGCCATCTTGGCCACTCCCCTCATTCTATTTTTGCACCAAGTGAGTAATATAAGAACTATTGAATGCATATGTAACAAATAACAAGAAAAATAGTGTAAATTAATTAATGACTACATATTACGGAGCACATACTATGTGCTAAGGTCTTTAGGAAATTTCGTGAAGTCTTATTTGAGGTTAATATGCCTTAGTAAATGAGAAAAGAAGGGAACAAAAAGCCCAGTTTGTTTGTAAATGTGCAGCAGAGTAAACTCAGCAAAGGTAACTATGTTACATTAATCTGAAAACCCTAAAACCCTGACCATAGTAATATTTTAATTACTAATGCTAGCAAGATTTTCTCATCACAGTTGAACCCTTCTTGATATGAGTGTGCCTTAGATTAAATAAACTAATGCTAAGTGAGATTCCACTTCGGATGGCATCAGCCTAAATAAGGTTGGGCAAGATAAGGGGACCCATAAGAGATTTAATGTGAACAGTACGAATATTCTCATTTGGGTCTAGGAGTTTGTCTTTACTCAATGGACCTAAATAATAGGCCTCTTCATTATTTTTAAGACCCTAGAGTTCAGAACCTGATACAATTGGTTGATGTGATTGCATTAAGAAAATGTAGGATAAGCCTCCAGCTCCCACATCTACCTCTTTGCATATGCTAATTTCTCTAGATACCCCTCAGATACACAACCATTGTGCTTTGTATTATGTGGCAATATGAAGTGGGACTGTCTGAGGAGTTTATAGCCTAATTAGAGAAAATATAGAAACATGACAAAAGTACCTAAACCACTAGGAAGTGGTAAATACCGAATGACAGCATGGGAAGTTTCTACCTTTTGGCAAGAGAAACTTGATTAAAAAGGTGGTATTTTAGTTCAATCAAATAGAACTACAGCAGACTAAGGGGTGGACAAAGGGCACTGAGGGTTTAAGAAACAAGAATGAGATGAGGAAAAAGAATAGGAAAGAAAAAATAATTTAGCAAAAATAAGCAAACCAATGAAATAAAGATAAACATTGCATTCAGCCAAGCAATTTGGTCTTTTGAGGAGGGAAACACAGTTTTGAAAGCTGACTTAATTTTTTCCTATTCTTTAAGCCAGCCCTTATTTATATAGTATTTTTAAATTTCATAAGTTATCTCTTAAATACTGACATCACAATTCTCTAAAATTTAATTTGTAATACCTAATCCAGATGGTAGAGATGATGATACTTAAAAATTATATTCACAAATTGAATTCTATATGAGGGGATGTTCATCGAGTCTATTTAGGGAATGGGTTATGTCAAGTGATTGAAAATGATTCTTCATATTATTAATGTTATATATAGTAAAGTTAGACATATATTAATGTTATACACACGTGTGAGGGCTGGGTTTGTCAACTATGAAAACATAGGGTTATTAATCAGATTGACTAGTTGATGTTTGCTCTATGCTATGACTGAATCATATATAATAAATCAAGGAAGAACCCTGGCATTAGGATGAAATAAATTATAAAAAAAATAGTTACTTGGGATGCCTGAATCAACTCATGGTAAACTGTCTTCTGTACCAAGTTGAATAAGTTTAAACCTATCCAACAATGCACGGTTCCTGGGAGAAAATCCTCAGCTGAAGAGATGATAATGTGGGATAACTTCACTCTCAAGGAAGGATAGACAACTTCTGGGAAACTTTGATATCACGTTCGTATCACTTTTCTGAAATTATCTTCCTGTAGCATTACTCCTTGAAATAAAATGCCATAACAGCAAGATTTTGGGGCATTCTGTCACTACAGTAACCTTAAAAATGGAAATAAAATTGAACAGTGTTTGCATTTCACAAGGAATTCTACATTTCCCATGGGTCCACTAAGCTCAGAAAACATCTTCAGAGAAAAACACTTCTCTTTTCTAGTACAAAAGATGTAAATTATAACAAATCAAATGGAGTGGGAATGACAAGGTCACTTAAAAGAACTTCTGTGATTAAATAGTCTATATTGAAATTGTATTGTGACAGATTTTAATTGACACCTTGAGTGAAAAGTGTTTTTTTTTTTCTGTAAAACTTTTCTGCAAAGAAAGCCTGTTAAAAGAACATAGCTTGTCTCACCCACTCTTTAGACAATACTAGAATAAGATGCACACTTACACATGAGAGGAGTTTATGCAATTTTAGAGCATGAAGTAATCCTAGAGATAATCTATTTCAACCATCCTGTGTTGCAAATGAGGATACAGGCCTAGAGGTCAAGATAAGATTTACGTTTAAGAAAGATTAGTCTGGCAGCATGGACGAGACACTGCGGCTATAGTCTCAGGGGTTGGTCTAGGTAAACTTGGTTCAGAATGAGTTGTTTCTCCATTGGTTGGAAGTGCATGTCATCTGAAGAATGACTGTGACTTGAAGCTCAGGTTTAGACAAAAGAGGCAGAGTCTGGCAACAGTTCCAGAAAGCAGTTAAAAAAGATGCCACAGATAAGATAAGCAACCTTCTGAGAAATAGATTCCAAGGCTAGAAGAAGTTATAGGATGAATACCAGTGCCTACAAAGTAAGAATGCCAAGGACATAGTGTTTTATGACTTTTGCCTATGATGTGAAAAAGGGCTTGGCCTATAGTTTGGAGGTCCAGAGTTGAAATGCAAGAGATCAGTGCAAAGAAGATTGAATAAACTTGAGTGATATTGAGGCCATAAAAAAGCCTGATAAACTCTCATAAGCTCATTTGGCTCTTCCTTTTCTAGATTCATAGAAATCAGGCCTCAATGTTGTCACTTTACTTTGGGGGCAAAAATGCCCCTTTCTGAGAGCCCTTGTAACAACCAAAAAGAGTATATGAACTTAGGAGTAGAAACAAAGTGACATTTAATTCTGACTTTGATGCTGGCCAGACAAATGACCTTGGACAAATTACAAATCCTCTCTGAGATTCAGTTTTTTACTGGAAAAACAGAGATTAAACTACCCTTTAATTCAAAAAGTTATTTGAGAATAATATTTCTAAAATCCCAAGCAAAGAATATGCTTTCAATAAATAGTGTTTACTGTAAGGCTAGATTTGTTTTAAAAATTACATCTTTTAGAAAATATATACTAGTTTTGCTCTTTCTGAGAATAGCCTGACTCATCCACTAAATGTTGAACTTATAATTTGACTCTCAAAGGGATACCATTGTCTACAAGTTATGAGAGTATTTTACTATATCCCTCTAAGTACATGGCTATAAATTAGAGTGATCAGTCTAATCCTAGGATTTGGCAAATGTATTATTCTTTTATCAGCATGGCTCTTAGTGAGAGTGGCAGGAGGCAGCCAAATGCCTAGGCAGATGGTGCGGGTCCCTGGTAAAACTCCGCCTCCAAGCTGAAGACAGTTTAAAGCCTGAAAGCCAAGCTACAGCTGAAATCCTTGGACCAGATTGAGAACTTGCCTTCCTGTTTGGTGCACTTTCCTCTGATTTATCCCCACCCTTCACCTATTTTACATATAACTCCCCTTTCCTCATTGGTTTTCTACACTGTCATGTCCACCTTTGAGTGGTGTCTTTGCTTTAACCTTTTTTGCATATTCACAAACTAATCAGCACACACTCCCCATTCTGAGTCCATAAAAGGCCCCAGACCCTTTCCCACCTTCGTGTATGAATATAAACCTCACATCCCATCTCCATTGAAAGCTGTTTTCATCACCCAGTAAAATTCTTCTCTGCCTTCCTCATCCTTCAACGTCCCATGTTTCCTCATGCTTCTTGGGTGTGGTACAAGAGCTCAGGAACTGCCGAATTCAGGTACAAGCTATAACACAGGCGAGCTGGGGCACACCGGTATGGCCTAGTGAGGCCTGGGTGGGGGGTGTCGCTGGCTGGGGGTTCCTCGCTTGCAAAGTGACAGAGAAAAAAAAATCCTACATCATTAGTTTTTTTTCAATCCAATGACTGATATGTATTTGTTGACCAGATGCTCAGAGAATGCAAGAAACTAGCAGAAAAGGAAGAACCAAGAAGCCATCTCCTAATGAAAAACATCAGTTACTTAAACCCCCATGCAATGAACCAATCACCAATACAGGAAAATTTATTCCTAGAAAACCAAAAGTGAAGACAATGATTATGACTGTATATACACAGCAGCCCCATAGCATTTTGAAAACAGAAAAATTAGGAAAAGATTATTTGATGATTATCCTAAAAGCTAAGGATACTTTTCAATGGATTCACAAACTTTCAGTTTTGCTGTCTCTTTTTCTTTGTCTTTTCTAGACTTGCAAGCTGGATAGGGCAATCCAAATGGTAATCTGTGTCGTTGTGAACACAGTAGAATAAAATCAGTGAGCTCTGAGAGCCCAAGAGGATGATTTAATCTAACATTTCAATTTATAAAGAAAGGAAATTAAGTCGGTAAAATTTCTCACTAAGATCATATGCAGTGATTCCTCGATTTTTAGATTTCATAGGCCAGTACTTTTTTAAAAATTGAGAAGTGGGTGTAAATTATTTTATTGTTGGTGCTTGTTGTTTTGGTTTAATATCACTGTATGTTCACATATAGTGATCTATCACATCTAATATCACTATATGTTCATAATTGGTGGCCACTAACTGTTGGTTAGGTGTTTAGGAGTTACTACTGTGTCACTGAATAAACTTTGAATTTAAGCCTCAGTAACAAAAGGAAGCATTTTTCAGGCAGTTGGACCTCATTGGAACATCTTTAAAGTTTATTCTAGTGTATGCTTAAACTGAGGAAGCCACTCACAATAAGCTGCATTGACTGAGAAGGTAGTAATCTGGGGTAAAAGAAATCTTACATTAGAATAAAAGTGATAATATCTATTAATACATGGCTATTTTTTTTTTTTTGAGACAGAGTCTCACTTCATCACCCCGGCTGGAGTGCAGTGGCACGATCTCAGCTCACTGCAACCTCCACCTTCTGGGTTCAAGCCATTCTTATGCCTCAGCTTCCCAAGTAGCTGAAATTATAGCTACATGCCATCATGTCTGGATAATTTTTGTATTTTTTTTTTTTTTTGGTAGAGATGGGGTTTTTCCATGTTGGCCAGGCTGTTCTCAAACTCCTGACCTCAAGTAATCCATCCACCTTGGTCCCCCAAAGTGCTGGGATTACAGGTGTGAGCCACTGTGCCTGGCTGCTATGTTTGTTTTTATGGTTATGACTACAGCATTAAAATCAGCTCTGTGGAGTTTGACAAGTCATTATTACCTTTTTGAATTTAATTTCTATCATGTATATTACAAAAGAAACCCTCCTACAGATTAAACTCTGGAAAATACAAGACCCTGTAGAGTGAAAAAGAGTAGACAGATTCTGAAGAGATGTTAACATTTGCATGAAGGAAATGACATAGCATGAGTTTCCTATTTTTTGTTGCTTTTAGCCTGAGAGTAGGATGAAGCCAGCATACATGGAGCAGCTAACAACTTCTATAGAAATCCTTGGTATTTCTGGCATAAAGAACCAAAAGACAGAATTGGGGCAACCACAGTCATACAAAGGGTAGGTAGGGGAAGTCCTGGAAAAGAAAAGAGCCCTAGAGAAGGTAAGCAACACATTCTGTGTGTAGTCTGTGGAAATCTCTAACTGACTTTTGAACTATACATTCACAGGGAAGACTGCAAACAGCCAGTCTACGAATAAGAGAACTGAACTGATATTTGAGTTGCTGCCGAAGAGAGAGTTTTATTTTAGTTTGAGGCAAGTCAAGTTACTCGCCAAAGCAACAAAAACAATCAATAATCTTTGCAAGAACATAATATAATCCAGAGTCTCCACAAAAGCTCTCATAGTTAGCCAGAATATAATTTAAAATTTAGAAATCTGGAAAAGATATTCATTTTCAAGAAGGAAGACAAGTAATGGAGACCTATACCATGATGAAAACTCAGATGTTGGGATTTGTAGACAAGGATTTTAAAGCAGTTATTATAGCTGTGCTCAGTGACATAAAGCAATATAAGCTCATAAAGAATGAAAAGTTATAAAGGTGTTAACTCATTTGTTCAGATAGTCTGTGGCTATGCTTTTCAATGCCTTTGAAGAGACACAGTTCTTGCCTTCTTAGAGTGTATAATTTAATAGTAGAATAATTAATGGGGTATAATATGGTTCTATAAATATATGATTTCAAAAATAAGGAATGAAGGAGAATTCTTCATAAATACACATATGTCCAGACATTCTTGCCTTGTACAACAGGGACCCAATTGAATTAAGGCTGGAGATATGATTTGACTTCAAATTTTCTATAGGCATGGTCCACAAAGCCAACAAATTGATAAAGTTAGGTCCTCACACCTGTTGAGCAATCATCATGATCATGACCATCATCACAGCAATAATATTAATAACTGATAATAGTAATTAGGTGCAATTACTTTTGTAACTGGTGCAATTACTTTTGCACCAACCTAATAACGGATATGTTTAGATGTTACTTTTACAAAAGAGCTTACACATTTTATTATAAAACTTGAGCCTTCCAACCAACCTGTAAAATATGGCAGCAATTATTCACATTCTGAGAGTACATGCAGAAGTAAAAATAAGGGGAGCATTTTCATATGGATTTTTTCTTTGCAAAAATAGAAATATATTAAATATATTGCAAGCATTCACTCAAATCTCTATGTCTAGTGAGCTTTCAGTAGCAATCTAGGTTTTATAGGAGGAAAACAAGCTTTACCTACCACGAAATCAATGATGAACATTTGGGATTATCAAAGCTTTCTGGCAACTGTGTTTTTCCAGAAACCTATCTTAAGAATGAGTTCCTCAGTGATGATTAGAGAGTGAAATGCACCCAGCTTCACATTTCAATGCTCCTTCCCAATTAGAATGGCATTAGAGTGAAAGTGTATCTATATAATTGTATGAAGAATAGATCTAATTTTCTCAATGTCACTGCAATATCACCTTTCAGGACTAACAGCACTGAATGATTACGCATATCATTTGGTAATTGTATTTTTATCCATTCCACACTGGGAGCTGATTTTTAAAAGTGGACATGCAATTAGATTATAAATGAACACATATCAACCAGCCCTCAAAGACAGCAATATGTCAGCATTAAACCAGCTGCATTTTAACTACTGTCAGTGTCACTGTCAGTGTTTGTGGCTTGTCAACACTCAGCAGTGATGGACATAGGGATTCTGAGTTTCACCTTTAAAAATAAAAAGGAAAGTGACTGAGAAACTCGAAACTCAGAGAGAGTGGCCTTCACAAAGCGAGAGCTTCGCTGGCTGTTGGATATAACTTAAAAACAAGCTGTGATAGAGAATCAAGATTAAATGCCCACCATTGCTGTGAGATGTTACTTTTTGAATGCTGCAGAGAGTGTGTATTGGTAGAGAAGAGGCTATCATTCTGTCTCACCGGCTACAAAACAGAGGATCCCCAGGGAACAAACAGAGCTCTGAAGTGCCAATTAATCATAGCATACATTGGTGAAAATATTTCAGGTCAGGAGTTGAAATTTATATAGCTATCTGCATTTAAATTACAGTTTCTAAAAGTAAAATGTATAGAAGAAGGTGAAGTTGAGGCTGTAAGTTATGGCTTCAAGACCTCCTGAATAGTACTGAACTCACTAATGCACAATCATACATTTTAATAAATACAATTATTTGGTGTGCAGTTGAAGTCTCATTATCATACTAACTAAAGGCAAATTTGTAGACCAATTCTGATCCTTGGACTTGGTTGGGAGCAATCACGGGACATTTAAAATGAGGGTATTTTTCACATGGGACAAATGATGAGAAGTAATTTTGATTTCCCTGTGCTAATAACACAGCAGTTAACAACCACACTCTGCCTCATTATGATGGAGTATTCACTCCATGGCATGAAAATGTCTGTCAAAAACTCCATTCTCTTTTGCAGAGTTGCTTATGCAGGCTGATGAAATGCATCATTCCTAGATAAGACCTGAGCCAGAAGTCAAAGTCTATAGCATCTCTTACAGGTTTTCATGAAGGGATACTGGACTTTCTTTAAAGTTTCAAACATCGACATGTAGATGGGCTGTGACTGCACCTGCAGATGTAAAATGCATGCCTTGGGTTATTGCCTTAGACTGTCTTTCCCTTCCTGGAGGAACATGGCCTGCAGTATTCGATGAGGTCCTGGAGTGTGTAGAAAGAGGATCTCTTACTGCGCTGGATATAGTGGGTGGGGTCAAGAGAAGCCAACCAAAAGCCTGTATCTGGAGAGAACTGTAAATTAACTAGAGAGATTATCAACCCAGGTTACCACTCCATTGGCCTCAGATTAAGCAGACAAACATATGAGAACATTGTACGCAAATGGAAAAACTAAACGACTGTTGGAGAATTTGAAGCAGAAGTTCAGAGGAAGAGCCTGAAAAATTCCTTAGGTGGAAAGAATAGGTGAAGCCATTTACTTCACTTAGGAATTCCTTTCTCACTGTTGATCCTGCTTTAGCACTCGATTCCCCCTATTACAGTTGGTTACGTCAAGAATGGTCTCATCTGATAGCCTGTGTATATCTTGAAGCAAGAATTATTAATATTTTGGGGTATCCATGAGTGGCCATGGGCTAGGCTAAAAACAGGGGCTCAGTAAATATTTCGAAAGTCTTCTTTTAAAATTAGGCAATGGTTTTCTACTACATTTAGATACGACCCAGACTTCTTAGCAGGATCTATGATGTAAGTCATTCCCGCCTCTCACTTTTTATTTCAACTTGCCATCTACCGTGATCAATATGCATTAGCTAAAATAGCTTTTTATTTTCAGTTTTCTAAATATCCCAAGCTTTTGGCAAATAAACTATTCCTTTTGCTTGGATTTTCCTTTCCTTTCTTTCTTCGTATGACTTTATTTATTTATTTATTTGGTTTTGTTTTTTCCTAACTTTCAGTTCTCAGCTTAAATGATAATTCCTTAGAAAGGTTTTTTAGGCATGAAAGTATATGCTATTTGTTACTCTCTTTCATAGCACCTAGTTTTTACCCATTTAGAGTGATAAACTATTCCTGTTTGCCCAGGACTGGGGGGTTGTCTGGGATGCAGTTCTTTCAGAACTAAATCTAGGATAGCAATATGCAAAAAAGAATGGCTGGTTATTCTACTCATAGAACTTACTTATTTTGAACTATTTTTAAGTATATTTTTGTTTACTTGTGGAATATCTACCTCTTCTATTAGGCACTAAGGTCCATGGAGTAGAAGACCACGTCTTTTTTTGCTCACATCGTGTACTCTATATCTCTCATAGAGCCAGACACTTAGTAGGTACTCAATAAATATTAAATGAATGAATCAAAAAACTAGATGCTGGGAGTTCAGAAAAATAAATTTACATTTGGAGTCAGCTACACAAAGTTGCGGTTGTAGGATGTAGAGAGCTCTTTGAGTTCTATAAGGAAGTAGAGAGAGACACAGATGCTTTGTTTCTATATATAGGTGGTGGGAAGGGGAGACATGACTAGGAGAGAGAATAGGGATCAGAAGATAGGATAACCGAAATAAATCATGCCTCAGAAAACAAAGAAGTAATCTCAAGAATGAGATTGCTTCTAGGTTTCTTGTATTCCTACCCAAAGGTTCAGGGAACATGCATTTTAAAGGCATTCTTCTGAGTGCAGATTAAGGGTTTATAAAGAAGTCACAATGACCATATAGGATATCTAGTTGGAGACAATTAATTTCCTTCAGAAAGAAATATTTGACAATTGTGCTAAATCAAGCAGTGACTTACAAAAGAAGTTGAAGACAAAAGCAGTAAAAGTGGAGAAATCCTGTTTATTCATCGTCCAACCATCCATACCTCCAACCATCTAGCTATAATATAACACATAAGAGGCAATAAGAGAGTAATAACTATGAACATCTTGACATTTGTTATACCAAAACATATTCCCAAATATGCCAAAGTTGTTATACATGAGATAATTTTGGGTTATTGTAGAAAAATAAAAGGCTGGAGATAAAATACTGTTCCTAGATTTATAGCAACATCAGCCCACATCTAATCTGTGATCCTTTCTTCCTGCAGGGCACTGGGTCCTAGTGAGAGTAATAAGGCTATGTGGAACGTTAAATACACTGTAAGCCATTGTTTCCCAAAGTGCAGCCATTGGAAAACTCTTCCAAAAGATTACCTGAAAAATAGTTACATGGTGAAAACCATTTGGAAAATGTCGCATTGCCTTGAGGATTCATAATACATCCTAACGATACGGATGGCATTTTAAGACACTTAATCTACTTTTTTCTATCCTGTAGCTTCCAGTTCCTCCCATGGAATTAGGTCCTGTTATCACTGTCTCAGGGAGATTTATGAAGGATGGAAAGCAGAGATAATCCAAAGAGAGAGGAAGGTTTGGAGTTATTGTCAAAATGTGAAAGGAGACTAATTTCTCTGTGAATTAATTGACACTTGAGAAGGAGGTGAAAGGTAGTGAACACTTAGAGAAGTCTGGAGGTCTTAGAAGAAAACAAGCCTGTACCCTATTCCCTGAATAGAGATGATGTGGTGGTAGGACCTCTAAGAAGGAATGGCTGTGGGTATGTTCCGGTAGATGAGACCATGTGAAATCTTGCAAGCATGGCACAGAGCGTCTTGGAACCAACCATGTAGACCAGAGGCTGGCAAACTGCAGCTTGCAGGTCAAATCCAGCCCAGAATTTGTTTTTCTATAGGACACAAGCTAAGGTTAGTTTTTATATCTTAAAACTGTTTTAAAAAGTTTTGTGCATATTACATATTGTATATGGCTACTTTTACAAAACAATGATAGAACTGAGAAGTAGCAGATAGTTACAACAGTCTAAATGGCCTGCAGAGCCTAAACGATTTTCTGTCTTGTCCTTTACAGTAAAAGCTTGCTGATCCCTAATGTAGACCACTCTAGAAACAAACTTGGTGGACTGATGACTTAGGACAGGATAGGCTACCCATATCTGTGAAGATTCTGGAATCAAGACCCCAACATTACTGAAGAGAAGATTATCACCTTTGGCAGGTTGAGATCTAGATAGCATAGTTAATTTTATTATGCATCAGAGTTTGTGACTGAGATTCATATCCATGAAACAGGTTGAGATAATACAGGCTCTAGAAAGTCTTCCTGTCAACAGACATATTAAACTAGTGTTTTCCAAAGCTACTCACCCATGATTTCTTTTGTTATACCTATTAATGTCTCATGAAAGTACTTTTCTAAGGAACACACTTTGGAAAATGCAGCTGTAGTCCAACCTTCTCATTTTACAGGGGAAAAGGCTAAGAATCAAAGGCTGGTAACTTGGACAATGTCATACAACTGGTAAATAGAACCTGCTTCCCCTAGTATATTTCTAAACCTCTACAAATCATTTTGATTTAATCAATCAAAAATCTCTCAAGGTGGGGAGAAGGAGAGATTGGTCAAGAGGCACAAAGTTACAGTTAGGAGGAATAAGTTCTCTGTTCTATTGCATAGTAGGGTGACTACAGTTAACAATAATGTATATATCAAAACAGCTAGAAGAGAGGATTTTGAATGCTCTCACCACAAGAAATGATAAATGTTTGAGATGATGGATTTGCTAATTACCCCGATTTGATCATTATACAATGCATACATATATTGAAATATTATTATGCATCCCATAAATATATACAATTAGGATATGTCAGTTAAAATAAAAAATATCTATCAAAATCAGATATTTGAAAAATGCAATAGTGATTTTTGGAGTGATTTGACTGGGTTTTTGACTGGCAAATCAAATCTATGTGGTTTTCATGGAATGTATCAAAACTCACAAGCAGCAGGACTTAGATTCCGCATTTTGCAACTTTTTAAAAACGATTTTGGATAAAATGATTAATCAATCCAATGTAAAACATAGTTCTGCAAAACAATACATTGGATTGAATTTTGATGGAATTGACCTTCTGCTTCAATTATCAGGCCAATTCAAATTGTGTCTAGAGAACAGTCCAAAATAATTTTTGAGAGTAAACACAAAACTTTTTGTAAAGTGAGGAAAAAATCAAATTTTCTGATCAAGTGGAAAGATGTAGATTTAGTCAATCTCTGCCTTCAAAGTGGTCCCTTTGCTGAAATTGGCAAATTGGTTACTTTCATCAGTTTCAGCCTCTGTCAATTTCAGCAGCATGGAATAGTCACACAGGCACATCAATTTCAGCCCTAGAAGCTTGTCTCTTTTGAAACTGACAGAAAGTAAAAAGAAGGAAAGCCAAAGTGTCAGGTTCTCTGGAGGCTTTGGGAAGCGCTTGATACTGAGTGACCTCTTTAGCAGGCCTGGCTTTCCAGGACCCTGTCACTGCTGGCATGATGCATTGGCTCCATACCAAGTTGCTGTCCCTGGGATCCTGTAATGAAGGCTGTTCCAATGGGGCCACATATCCTCAAACTTAGGTCTTAAAGTCAAGTAGAGTTCAGAGTCAAATTGGCATAGTACAAAGTGAGATGGTTTCAGAATTTGAAATGAAGGTTCTGAGGCCACCACTTAACAGGCAGTGAAATCATTTAACGTTTTGAGGCTCTTTTATGATCTATAAAATGGAGTTGGTGATATCTGTGCTACTTACTAATGATAATAATAATGGTTAGCATGTATTGAGCACAGTATTTTTCATGCATTATCTTAATCTTTGATCAACCTAATATAATTTTAGAAGAGGAAACTAAGGGACAGAGAGGTTAAGTAATTACCTGTGTGACATGGCTAGTAAGTGCTCACTCAAAGATTTAATAAGGTTTAAGTAAAATAATATTAAGTCATTCTGGAAACTATGAGGTGCTGTGAAGTTTAGATGTTGTTATCATTGGTAGCACAATTCCCACCAGATTCATAGTATCCACTGTTTTACTTCAACACTTAAAATATGTTATCACTACTTGCCTGTGAATAGCCACTGCGCTCAAACCTGGGCAACACAGCAGGACCCTGTCTCTTAAAACATGGGTTATCATTGTATAATCCTATGTAGTCAATACACTCATATTTGATTTAAGTAGGGACGTGAATAAGAGTGATCTGATCTGAATAAAATGTCCTGCAGTATAAAATGTGGATGTTCATTCCAAACATATGTGATAAGAACCACAAGACATCCAAGGATAATTTTAAACTTTCTGGGTATGGTCTCTGAATAGGCTAAAACCCACTCCAGTCTGACTAAAATATTCTGATTTCCATCATCTCTTTATGAAATTGATTTCAAGACCAAGGCTGTAAATACCTGGCTATTGTCTTTGAACTGCCAAATGTCCTTGGATGCCATTCAATGATATCTATCCTATCATTGTCAACTTAGATGTATTTTCTTCCTCTTCCTTTTCTCTTCTTCCTCCTTAAAAAATGTAGAATTTGTTTAGGCATCTCAAGGAGTTGAAGGCTTTTATAGAGGGTGCTAAAGAAGACATGCAAAAATAGAGAGATGCTGAAGATTGTTCCTCATCCTTTGGGTCCTCCCTTGGTCTCTTTCCTTTTTTTTTTTTTCTCACTTTATTCATCTTCTTCCTTTATTCTTTTTTTTCTTTCCACAAATATTTACTGAGCTTTTACCAGGGGACCAGTATTTTGCTAAGTGCTGAGTATACAATGGTAAGCAAGATATATACATCTTTTTCCTCTTCATGTCAGAATTTAGTGGGGTTTGACAGATATTAAATGAAAAGTATTTATTCATGACAAGGTAATAAGTGCTATGCAGAAAAAATACAGGATTTTTTGAGGTAGAATAACATGTCCCTTATTTATATTAGGGGATGAGGAAGGCTAGATTTGAGTCCTTAGATTGCTAACATTCCTTTGATGTGTACGTAATTTCCAACGTTTTAACATAAATGCCAATCCATGCTCATCTTTCCTTTGATAACTAAACATCATGAGTGGGATAGCTAGCCCTGGCTTTTCAATTCAGATTGGAAAATGGAAAGAAAGCAAAAAGTCTATCATTTCTTAATCCAGTTGTCTTGGTTGTCTTAGCCAAAGCTAATAAACAATTTGGCAATTCAGTTAGTTTATTGGACAAAGATATGGAAAGAGCTAATCTTATCAACTGTACACATTTTATTTTAACCTGTTTCTATTTCAGTCTCATTTTGAGTTTTCACAGGTGACTGTGTGCAGAACTGGAACATAAGCTCAAGATTAAAAAGGAAAGAAAAAAATGGGAAGATAAAAAGAAAAAAAAGATAGGAAACCAGCCTGACACATGACAAAGCCTCAGAGTATCTGAGTTTACCACATTTAATGTGTTATGTCTGTCTAAACTGACCCTCCAATTCACGTGGCTGCTTCATAATTTGGCTTTTTTTTTTCTCTGAAAGCAGAGAGGTGAGCATTCTCTCAGGCCTTTCCAAGTCTCATTTGTTTGAAAGCTAATTTGTTACCTTGAGAATTCTCCTCATCAGTGTCCCCATCCATCGCCCACACTGAGAGCTTGTGGCCCTTGGTCACAATAATGTATTCATAGCAGCTGTAGTCAAATAATTTATTCATGGACTGAAATCACTAATCCCAGTTTGGGGTGGAGAAGTGTTTACTTGGTCACTCACACTCTGTTAAGCTGAGGCATTGAAGGGAGAGTCGCTCACAGCTGTCCTTCCCAATACAACTTTTGGAGCCGTGCATTGTAAGCCATTTTATCAAAGAGCCACTGGTAGCAGTCTGTGAGGACATATTGGGAATCAGCTAATGGACAGAAAGTACCTGCTCCGACACATTAATTCCCTTCCCTGTCAGCCTGCATCATTGTAGAGCGTACATGATGGGAAGCAAGGTCCCGTCACACCACAGCACCTGCTGCTTCTCCATCTGCCAGGCACAATAGCTCCTTTGATTGCCCATTTTTCAGCCTAATGGCTTATTTCTTTTCTCTTTGTAAAGTTTTTACATTTTTTATTGTGATTTTAATAGTCATTTAAAAAATGTCCTCATCCCTGTTGGGCACACCAAGGATGTTGATAAAAGAATAACATAAATAATATTCTAAACCATGCCCAAATTGAGATCACTCCAAGAGCTGCATTTCACTGTTTAGTCTGATAAAGTTGTCATGGCGATAATGTCCCCTGAGAATAAAAATGCCATGTGCATGGTCGATGAAAGGAAATCGCTCAGATGGCACACAAACTGGTAAATATTGAGCCTACGGATGATTATGCTGGCCATATTTTTTTTTTGTTTTGCTTTTGTTTTCTGTCCAGCTTTTTTCTTTTTTTTAGGTATGCTATGCTCAGTTATTGGCAAAAGAGTCTGATAATTCACGTCTCTCTCACTCTCTCTTTAGTTGAAGATTTATATTGTTAAAATCCCTTGGAATAAATATTGGCAGAGCTCCCAAACTGGCCTTTGGATTCTGTCTAAAGCTGCTGATTTGGCTGGATTAGTCAAAGCAGCAGATCATTATTACCTATTGAACATCTGTCAAAAATGGCACTAACAATTATCAGATGCATTTTCTATCATGAATATTTGGATTTGAGTGACTTGAGAAGAACTTTCTACAAATCCAGGTCGATAGTACTATATATTTTTACTCAAGACAATAAAAATGATAACCCTCTTAATGTGAGGATAAAATGATAGGCCTGCTCTATTTGGGTAATTTAAATGAAGATAGGTTGAAGTTACAACTTATTGAAGGGTAAGAGCCAACCCATCTTTTTTAGTCTCAGGCAAATGGAGAGGCAAATGGGTTATTTAGGGAAGGAAATGTGAGCCCTGGTGTTAAATGGAATATGGATTTTTTTCTCTGTAGAGAGTGTGATAAATTATCTGTAGAAGGGAATGTCTTGTGATCTATATGTTTATGTGTGACACTCTATTGATGAAGTGAAACAGCGGGATGCTGGAATACACGGTAGGAACATCTCACAGGCTATGGAAATGGGAAGAAAAATAGCATACAAATGTCTGTGAGAGAAATATGAAAAAACACTTTTGAAAATACTTATTTGTGTAGATATGTGTTACGGACCAAAACGTTCTGATCTATTAACCATGCACCAGAGAATTAATCCTGTCACTATGAACCTATCTAAGCCGTGTGGTCATAAAGTCCAGTAAGATGCCAGACACTGTCAGTCAGGGCTTAGAAGTAAGCTGGAATATAGCACCCATACCTGTGGACAAAACAACAACAATCGACACCTCAAAGTCTCTCTAAAGCTTCCGACCTTGAAATCAAAGAATTTCTGAAAAAAGATGTTAAAATGGCCAAAGAGATGGGAGAACCTAGTGCAACCAAAGGGATAATTGTTCATTTTGTAAATATTTACTCTTTAGCGGCTGAGTTTTTAGACACTAGACTAGATGCTGTAAGAAGAGGCAGAAAGGAATACAACTTTACCTTAACCCGAAAGAGGTTTACGCTTAAACAGAGAAAAGCCTTATATATACCTAAAGAACCCATGGGATTAAATGAAGGAGCTGGAAACAGAAATGCTGTTTGTGTTGAGCTAACTCCAAGTTTCTTAGAGTAGAGCAGTCAGTGATAATGACCTGTCACATAGGTTTTGCCAATCTAAGCTGCATCTGCCCTGGGCTAGAGGTGGCAAGGTATGGTTGAGCGAAAACTTGAACAGTGTGAAGAGTCAAAGGCTGAGAAGGGATGTGATAAAAATTTATAAAAAGTGGAGTGAGTGAGCACAAACATTTTTCTCAAATGGAGAAATGGGGAAGTGCTAGAAATAGGAAGGTTTCCTTTGAGCAATACATTAACACCCCCTCAAATAAAATAAAAGAAGGAAAGGAGGGAATGAGGGAAGGGGAGGGAGGGAGGGAGGAGAAAAATTTT
Organism: Homo sapiens; assembly: GCF_000001405.40. Lineage (NCBI taxonomy): Eukaryota > Metazoa > Chordata > Mammalia > Primates > Hominidae > Homo > Homo sapiens. The sequence continues at coordinate 46,280,377 of NC_000015.10, forward strand.
GCTTTCCATTTTTCCAGTCTTATGGAACTAGTTACTCCAAGTTGGTATGAGTTGGTTATGTTGTAAGTCTGAAAATTATAAAAGTGTCTGCATAAATTCATGGATGGTGGATGGCAGGTCCACATGCATTATTGAGACAATATAAGGTACAGAGGGGTAGGATACTCTAGTGCAAAAAGCACTGGTTTGAGAGTCAGAAAATTTAGGATTGAATCTGCCTTCATCAGCAACTGTTTTGTCTGACTTTGAGCAAGTTACTTTACCTTAGTTTTCTCATCTGCAGAAAAGGAGATGACCTGTCTATTTTACAGGATGATTAAAGGGGGCAATGGACGTAAAAGACTTAATAAACTTCTCATTAGCAAACACACATGCCTTGAGACTGAATATAGAAAGTTCGACATTATCTTCCCACCAAACTAGTCCTGTTACCTTGCCTTTTAAAGCCCACTCTTAAATTTATAAACAGTGCTTTTGGTGAAGAGTAGAGGGCATGCAAAATGGACATCAAGGTATTTCTCATACCTAACCATAGTGTAGTACTGCCCCCTGGCCCTCGTTTTGACTCCAAGCATCAGTGAAAATTAATGTCCTATGCAGTGACTTAGGTACAAGACCAGCAGAGGGAAGAGTACTCAGCCCCAGTCCTTTATATGCAGGAAGCAGGCAGGCTTTGTGTCTATAAGGAGACTTGGATAGATTGCAAGTCCATGCAAAGATTTCTCTTCTGGTTTTCGTTATTTTAAAAGGCAACTTACCTATGTAGAACAATTTGACAAGGTCATATATTATATCAAGATAAAATAATATTTTATAGTTCAGTTATCCTGAACTACAGACAAGAACTAAAATGATCTCTAATGGACAAAAATAGCTGTGTCCTTACTGTAGAGCTGTGATGGAGAGCTGCTGGCTTGACAGCTCCAGGTGGTTTCAGATGCATGACAGCTAATGACTTCTCAGCTCCACCCCTTTCAGGTGACGGAGCAGTAAAAGGCAGTGACTGAGATGCTTCTGACTAGGGTCATCCAGGAATAGCAGCTGCATTTATGCCATTAATTATTTAAAAGAGAATGGTAAAAGACTCTGCCCCTCATAGCTACTCTTATTTGTTCTTTGACAAATGGAAAAGAGAGGAATTTATTTTTTCCCCTAAGGATCTGTGCATTCCCTTGGTGTGCAGCTGTATATGAAGGTGGTATTAAATAGGTCCGAGTACAATACCCTTGAGAACCATTGGCTTTTCCCCAAATAGGTTATTCTATAACCAAATGTTCCATTTGATCATTGAATTAAAATGTTTATCTGGTTGCCTAAAGAGATTTTATAGAAATTCATTGATTTGTCTTGCTTCAGATGATAGACACTTAGAGTTTGGTTAGCTGGCTACCACCAAAGTCCAGTGTCTGGTGAAAGATCAGTAGTTTAAGCTATGGTCAAGCAAGTACCTTCAGTCTGCTTAGCTGTAAGTGAACTCCAAATTGAGCTAGCTAGATTTCTGGACAGTATTTACAGTATTTTTGTTTCAGAAATTTGACAACAATTAAGGGATTAAAGAGATGTGATAAATTTGTTCTTCCATGGGACTTCAAGCCAATTCCTGCTATCAATTAGGCAAAAGAGCCAACTGCTCAGGGCTTACTCTAATGGGGGAAGCTACTGTTTTCTCTTTCTCCTTTTCTTTTCTTTCTTTTCTTTCTTTCTTCTTTTTTTTCTTTTTCTTTTTTTTTTTTGCCTAGGAGGGGTAGTTAGTTCAGTGAGTAGGTATGTTTTGTGGGAATCTGAATGAGGGACTACATCCTCATCCTGAAATCAAATCCTTATTCTCCTACATTTTTTTTTCTGTAGCATCGTTTTTGGGGATGTTCTCCTGCAGTCCTCACTCCCTAGATGAGTTAAAGATATGCCCCCTATACTTGTCTTCAGTGTAAACAGTTTGCAACTGATTCGTAAAGGTTAGCCTGGAGTTGAACTACATCATAGAGAAAACCTCAGAATTTCAAAACTTCTGATAAGTGTAGAAATACCATGCTAAAGCATGAAAGATGGGTGCTCATAGGTTAGCTAGGCTGAGAATTGTGAATAGATGAATGGCATTGAATGCTTAGAACTTGAGAGCCAAAATTAAGTACAAAAAGTACATTAAAAAACAGGTTCGAGCAAATATTGGTAATTTTAATACAAAGCACCAAAAGATAAAGGCCAAAAATGGAAGTTTCAAGAAGGGAAAATCTAGTGGAGTCTGGGTTGGTCTAAAAACTTACAGAGAAGGTGAAGTTTGTGCCAATCCTGGAAGGACAGAAGTGTGGAGAGGAGCCAGTAAGAAAAGCACGGCACAGCCCTTGGGGTGGTGGAGAGGTTCTGTGCATGTATTTGGAATCAGTGAATAAGCCAAGCTGTTTTCAGGGTTAGGAAGCATTAAGGAACATAGCATGATTTCAGGCAGGTGGGTAGGGAGAACAACCTGGTTACTCGGGGTAGAATTCATTAATGATGGGGAAGGAGGAATGGAGGCAGGAGGTATTACAAAAGATGAACTGTCAGACTTGCCAAGATAAGTGGTTGGTTGTGGGCCGCAAGGAGCAGGAACTTTCAAGAACAACATTTCATGGGATGCTAGTGGAGTTATTTACCCTTCAGTTATGGAGCAGGAGCATGTAGCATCCTTGATCCTCAGAAGGGCTACTCAGAGGTGCTACTAATAAATTTGCTATTCTTCTAAACATTTTATGGTGGCTAGAAAATAAATGCTTTTTTAAAAAACATCAGATTTAGTGACATCATGTAATATAACTATAGAATGAACTAAAACAATATTTTACTTTGTCATCATAAAATTAATGTATTATATGAAATTTGTAAAACAGGAAAAATAGATCAAGGGAAAATTCCCATTTGGCCTTACCCCTTAATTGATTTTTTTCTTTTGGGCATTTTGGCAAATTTCTTCAGTCTTTCCTCTTTGTCTATTTGGGTTATGTAATTGTATTTCTATTGTATATACAATTTTCTATACAGGCTTTAACCCTTTTCCTGTTTAGAAAAAAAAAATAAGTGCAGCTCACTGCCAGAGCTCATTTATTTTTACATAAACACACTCTTTGAGGCTGTAGCAAATCTGACTGATTTTCAATGTGAAAAGACAAAAACTGTAATGGGAGTTATTTCTAAACAGAACTAGCATCATAATTGTCTGAATCATCAGAATCATCTATTTCGGAAAAATCAGATTCATCAAATGAATCTTTGGCCAACAACTGTTCGAGAACAATGTTAACATCACGTGTAAGAATGCGACGTTTTCTAAGATTTGACATTTTCAGTGATTGAAAATTATATTTTGTAAGTGTAAATACCACTACTAAAAACAAAATGCTCTAAATAGAATGATGTCTTTTGTTTTCAAAGTTGATATACTAGAATAATGCAAAAATAATCATAAAAGTGAGATATTTTGTGGCAAAGTTATCTTGGGGTAAATGCTGCAGCTGCAAGTATCACTGGCAAGTGTTCTCAGGGCAAACAGGAAAAGGGTTAAACTATACTTACTTTAATTAAGTATTAAATACTCATAATATTCATGGTCTTTTGAAGGTTTTAAAGGATAGTAATAACTCAAAGAATATGTACCTACCATCCTGACTAGGAGATACTGTAGGATCTCACCCTCCTCCGGCCCTCTACCCTCAAGTAGGCCCTAGTATCTATTCCCTTTTTGGTGTCCATATGTACTCAATGTTTAGTTCCCACTTATAAGGGTGAACATGCAGTGTTAGGTTTTGTGTTGCTGGATTCGTTCACTTAGGACAGTGGCCTTCACATGTCCTTTCCATCCATGTTGCTGCAAACGACATGATCTCATTATGTTTTATAGCTGTGTAGTATTCCATGGTGTATATGTACCATATTTTCTTTATCTAGTCTATGTTGATGGGCATTTAGATTGACTCCATGTTTTTGCTATTGTGAATAGTACTGTAATGAACATACAAGTGCATGTATCCTTATGGTGGAATAATTTATATTCCTTTGGGTGTATATCCAATGGGATTGCTGGGTTGAATGGTAATTCTGAGTTCTTTGAGAAATAAACAAACTACTTTCCACAATGGCTAAACTAATTTACAGCCCCACCGACAGTATGTGTGCATTCCCTTTTTCTCTGCAACCTCACCAGCATATGTTATTTTTGGACTTTTTAATAATGACCATTTTACTGGTGTGAGATGGTATCTCACTGTGGTTTAGATTTGCATTTCTCTAATGATTCATGATGTTGAGTGTTTTTTTCATATGCTTGTTGGCCATGTACATGTCTTATTTGGGAAAGTGTCTTCATGTCCTTTGCCCATTTTTTAATGGGATTGTTTTTGCTTGTTAATTTGTTTAATTTTTAGATAGATTCTGGATATTAGACCATTGTCGGATGCATACTTTGAAAAAATTTTCTTCCATTCTGTGGGTTGTCTTTTTACTCTGTTGATAGTTTACTTTGCTGTGCAGAAGCTCTTTGGTTAGATTTCATTCATCAATTTTTGTTTTTGCTGCAATTGCTTTTGGCACCTATGTCCAGAATGGTATTTCCTAAGTTATCTTCCAGGGCTTTTTATAATAGTTTTAGCTTTTTCATTTAAGTCATTAATCCATCTTGCATATATTTTTATATATGGTGAAAGGAAAGGGTCCAGTTTCAATCTTCTGCATATGATTAGACAGTTATCCCAACACCATTCATTGAATGGGGAGTCCTTTTCCCATTGTTTGTTTTTGTTGACTTTGTTCAAGATCACATGGTTGTAGACATGCAGCATTATTTCTGGGCTCTCCATTTTGTTCCATTGGTCTGTGTTTCTGTTTTTGTACCAGTATTATGCTGTTTTGGTTACTGTAGCCTTGTAGTATAGTTTGAAGTCAGGTAATGTGATGCCTCCAGCTATTCAGGCTCTTTTGGTTCCATATGAATTTTTAAATAGTTTTTCCTAATTCTGTGAAGAATGTCACTGGCAGTTTGATAGAATCTGTAAATTGCTGTGGGAAGTATGGCCATTTTAACAATCTTGATTCTTTCCTGGCCAGGCGCGGTGGCTCACGCCTGTAATCCCAGCACTTTGGGAGGCCGAGGTGGGCGGATCACACAGTCAGGAGATAGAGACCATCCTGGCTAACATGGTGAAACCCCGTCTCTACTAAAAATATAAAAAATTAGCCAGGCATGGTGGCGGGCGCCTGTAGTCCCAGCTACTCGGGAGGCTGAGGCAGGAGAATGGTGTGAACCCGGGAGGCGGAGCTTGCAGTGAGCTGAGATGGTGCCACTGCACTCCAGTCTGGGCGACAGAGCGAGACTCCATCTCAAAAGAAAAAAAAAAAACAATCTTGATTCTTCCTATCCATGAGCATGCAATGCTTTTCCATTTGTTTGTGTCATCTGTGGTTTCTTTGAGCAGTGTTTTGTAATTCTTATTGTAAAGATCTTTCACCTCCCTGGTTAGCTATATTCCTAGGTATTTTATTCTTTTTTTGTGGTTATTGTGAATGAGATTGTGTGTTTGATTTGACTCTCAGCGTGGATGTTGTTGGTGTATAGGAATGCCACTGAGTTTTGTATAGTGACTTTGTATCTTGAAACTGTGCTGAAGTTGTGTATCAGATCAAGGAGCTTTTAGGTAGAGACTATGGGATTTTCTAGGCATAAAATCATACCATCATCTGTAAAGAGAGATGGTTTAACTTCCCCTCTTCCTATTTGGATGCCTTTTATTTCTTTCTCTTGTCTGATTGCTCTGGCCAGGACTTTCAGTACTGTGCTGAATAGTAGTGGTAAAAGAGGGCCTCTTTGTCCTGTTCTGGTTTTCAAGAGAAATGCTTCCAGCTTTTGCCCATTCAGTATGATGTTAACTGTGGGTTTTTCATAAATGGCTCTTATTATTTTGAAGTATGTTCCTTCATGCTTAGTTTGTTGACAGTTTTTAACATGGAGCAATGTTGAATATTATTGAAAGTCTTTTCTGCGTTTATTGAGATGATCATGTAGTTTGTATTTTTATTTTTGTCTGTACAATGAATCACACTTACTGATTTGCATAATGAATCACATTTACTGATTCGCATATGTTGAACCAACCTTGCTTCTCAGTAATAAAGCCTACTTGAACATGGCAGATCAACTTTTTGAAGTGCTGCTGGATTCAGTTTGCTAGTATTTTGTTGAGGATTTCTGCATCTATGGTCATCAAGGATATTGGCCTAAATTTTTTTTTTTTAATGTGTGTCTCTGCCAGGTTTTGGTATCAGGGTAATGCTGGTCTCAATGAATGAGTTAGGGAGGAGTCTCTCCTTCTCAATTTTTCTTTAGTTTCAGTAGGAATGGTACTAGCTCCTCTTTATACATTTGGTAAAATTTGACTTTGAATCATTCTCGTCCTAGGATTTTTTTCTGGATGGTAGAATTTTTATTACTGATTCAATTTTGGAACTTGTTATTGATCGATCTGTTCAGTGATTCAGTTGCTTCCTGGTTCAATCTTGGGAGGTTATATGAGTCCAGGAATTTATACATTTCTTCCAAGTTTTCTAACTTGTGTGTATAGAAGTAATTATAGTAGTCTCTGAGGGTTTTTTTTGTTTCTATGGGGTGGTAGTAATGTCCCCTTTGTCTTTTCTTATTGTGTTTATTTTGATCTTCTCTCTTATCAGTCTAGCTAGTGGTCTAGTAGTAGTCTTTCAAAAAAACCAACCCCTGGATTTGTTGGTTTTTTGTTCTCTCATGTCTCAATTTTCTTCAGTTTAACTGATTTTGGTTACTTCCTGTCTTATCCTACCTTTTGGAGTTGTTTTGCTTCTGTTTCTCAGTTCCCCTAGGTGTGATGTTACATTATTAATTTGAGATCTTTCTAACTGTTTGATGTGGGCATTTAGCACTCTAAACCTCCCTCTTAACACCGCTTTAGCTGTGTCCCAAAGATTCTGGTATGTTGTATTTTTGTGCTCATATGTTTCAAAGAATTACTTCAATGAAACAGTAAAAGTTTACTCAAGAGTCATTCAGGAGCAGGCTGTTTAGTTTCTATGTAATTGTATAGTTTTGAGTGATTTTATTTTTAGTATTGATGTCTATTTTTATTGTTCTGTGATCCAAGTGTGCTTGCTTTGATTTTTTTTAATTTGCTGGGGATTATTTGGCTTGTTTTATGGCTGATTGTGTGGTCAATTTTAGAGTGTGTGCCACGTGCAGATGAGAAGATGTACATGCTGTTGATTTTGGGTGGGAAGTTTTTGTAAATGTCTTTAGGTCCATTTGGTCAAGTGTCAAGTTCAGGTCCTGAATATCTTTGTTAGCTTTTTGCTTTGATAATCTGTCTAACACTGTCAGAGGGATGTTGAAGTCTCCCACTGTTACTTTGTGGTTATCCAAGTGTTTTCATAGGTCTCTAGGAACTTACTTTATGAATATGGGTGCTCCTGTTTTGGGTGCATGTACATTTAGGATAGTTAGGTCTTCTTGTTGAATTTAACGCTTTACCATTATATATTGCTATTCTTTGTCCTTTTTGAACATTGTTGGTTTAAAGTCTGTTCTATCTAAAATTAGAATAGCAACCCATGCTTTTTGCTGTTTTCCATTTGTTTGGTAGATTGTTCTCTATCTCTTTACTTTGAGCCTATGAGTGTTGTTGCATGTGAGATGGAGCTTTTCAAGACAGCATACTATTTGGTTGTGCTCCTTTATCGAACTTGCCACTCTGGGCCTTTTAATTGTGCATTTAGCTTGTTGACATACAAGCTTAATATTGTTATGTGCAAATTTGATCCTGTCATCATGCTGTTAGCCGGTTATTATACACACTTGTTTGTGTGGTTGCTTTATTGTGTTGATGGTCTATGTACTTAGTTGTGATTTTTTTTGTGGCTGGTAACAGTCATTCCTTTCCACATTTAGCACTTCCTTCAGGACCTTTTGTAAGATAGGTCTTTTGGTAATGAATTCCCTTAGCATTTGCTTGTCTGAAAAGGATCTTATTTATCCTTTGCTTAGAAAGCTTAGTTTGATATGGATGAAATTCTTACTTGGAATTTCTTTTGTTTTAAAATGCTGAATATAGGCACCCAGTCTCTTCTGGCTTGTAGGATTTCTGTTGCAAGTTCCACTGGTAGCCTGATGGAGTTCCCTTTGTAGGTTACCTGCTCCTTTTCTCTAGCTGCCTTTAACATTTTTTCTTTCATTTTGACCTTGGAGAATCTGATGACTGTGTTTCTTGGGGGTGCTTATCTTGTGTAGTATCTCCCAACGGTTCTCTGTATTTCCTGAATTTCAATGTTGGCTTCTCAAGAGAGGTGGAGGAAATTTTCATAGATGATATCCTAAAATTTGTTTTCCAAGTTGCTTTCTCTTCCTCTCTTTCAAGGATGCCAATGAGTCATATAGTTCATATCTTTACGTAATTCCATGTTTCTTGGAGGTTTCGCTCATTCTTCATTAAAATTTTTTTTTTAATTTTTGTCTGACAGAGTTATTTCAGACAACCAGTTATCAAGCTCTGAGATTCTTTCCTCAGACTGGTTGATTCTGCTGTTAATACTTGCGATTGTATTCTGAAATTCTTGGAGTTTTTCAGGTCTATCAGATCAGTTCTTTCTTAAAATGGCCATTTCATCTTTCATCTCCTGTATACTCTTATTGTATTCATTAGAATCATTGGATTGGTTTGACTTTCTCCTGAATCTTTATGATCTTCATTCCTGTCCATGTTTTAAATTCTATTTCTGTCTTTTCAGCCATTTCAGCCTTTTTAAGAACCATTGCTATGGAACTAGTGCGGGTGTTTGGAGGTAATTAGCCACTATGACTTCCACAGTTTCCAGAGTTATTGGACTATTTATTTCTTATCTTTGTGGGATGATGTTCCTGAAGTCTTTGAAATTGCTGTCCTTTGGATGGATTTTTGTATTTTCTTTTATCTTATTTGATATCCTCAAGGTTTGATTGTGGTATAAGGTGGGTTCAGTTGAGTGGCTTCATTTCTAGAAGATTTTAGGGGGCCCAGGCTCAGCTCAGCCCTCTTGGGCTGCATTCTCTAATTCCGAGTGGCTAGTATTAGGCCTCTATCTTTGTTGGCTTGAGATTAGGAACCTGGTACTGGAGGGGCCAAGATTGGGTTAGTGGTGAGGCCGCTGGCCTTTGTGTGCATGTTTGCACCAGTGGCAGTGTTGTGTGATGGTGGGATGCTGGCAGGTGTAGGGCTACCAGCCTTCATGCTCACATTTGTGGTGGCAGTGCAGGTCAGGGGATGAGGCCACTGGTGTCCATGTACATGTCTGTGCCAGTAATAGGGACCCAGCAGGGGAAAGGTGAGCTCATGCCTGCAGCAGTGGCATGGTAGGGTGCACATGCACGCTGGCATGGGAGGGGAGGCAAGGTCCTTCTTCTTGTTGGGGAGTATCCATGGGCAAATGCATGCCAGCAAAGCAGTATGGGGGAGGTTGCAATGGGAAGAGGGAGGGTGTGGGTGGCCTGGTATGCATCAGTGGGGGCCACTCTGCTGGAACTTTGTGATGGTCAGCCGCAGTACATTGGCAAAGGACCTATGATGCATGACCTCAGGAGGCATCCTGGTTGGGCATCCAAGGCTGCGCTTCAGCAAGGCTTGGACAGGCTGAGTCCCTGGAAGAGTCCAGCAGACAGGAGGTCACTCAGATCAGTCTGGTCCCATCTCATAGGTAAGACCACCCTGCTCTGTTCAGGTCCAACAGTGCCCCCAAGGCGAGTCTCCTAGAGGAACATGTCAAGCTTTGGGGGATGTGCATCACTGGCTGTGCTCCTCTACAGACATTCCTGTACCAAACCCTCTGGGCTCTGCACAGGCTGGAGTCCTGCCCCTACCACCTCTCTCAGCAGCTCTCCCTGCCAGCTCAATTTTCCGTGGGGGTTGTGGGGGTCTCTTGCTGGTAGGATTCCAGAGGTTCATATGAGGGCAGGTCACTCCTTGATTGTTCAAGTCACTCCTTCCCCAGGCGTCATTAGGGTCCAGGAATGAGTCCCAGTGCAAAGTACCCCATGCAGGCCTCCCAGCTCTCTCTCCCTTCAGCCCAATGTCTGTGTCCTCCCTCCTTCCTTCCAAAGATCTGCTCAGAGTGTACCAGTCTTCCTGATGTCTCAGTCCCCTGGTGGCAGATGTTTCTCCTGGTAGCATCTAGTTGGCCATCTTTTTCCATAATCCACCCCAGGTATTTTAACATGGATACTTAAAAAAAATCGAAGGCTAACGAGTGTTTTTAACTCTTTCCCCAATAAGAAGACATTAGAATGCTTCAGATCTAGTCGATCTTCTCTCAAATTATATGCTATTGTTGCCAGTAGTTGGTTTGATTTTTCTTTAATTTGAAAAGGAGATGTCATTTTATACAATCAGTATTTGTTCTGATTTAGCTACATACTTACAGAAATACTTGCCTACCATTTCTTTCCATATTGGAGGCTTTTCATTTGCTGTAACTTCGACATGAAGCTCATCTTTGAGAATTATGTTTAGTAAAACCTGTTGGTAGTCAATTCTGTTACTTTCTGTTAACCTGGGTATGTTATTTTTACTTCCTATTCTTGAAAGATAATTTAAAGACATATTTTATTGTTGGTTGAGAATTATTTTCACTCAGCATTTTAAAGATACCATTTGTCTTCTGTTTTTTATTACTTATATAGAAAAATCACACAATAAGGCTGTTTACAGGGCCTTTGTAGAAATGTCTTTACTTTCTAGCTGATTTACAGATCCTCTCTTTGCCTTTGAAGTTTTTCAGTTTCACTATGATTTATATCTAGAAAAGGAATTCTTTTTACTTATGTTGCCTGGGATTTTTTGAACTTCCCAAAGGTGAGGATCACTGTTTATTTAAAAGTTATGAGAACTTTCGGTCATTATTTCTGAAACTATTTCTTGTTCCAAATTCTCTTTATTATTTCCTTCTGAAACTTTAATTAGACATACATTAGAAATTCTCACTCTGTCTTCGGTGTCTCTTAATCCCTTTCCACATTTTCTACTTTTATTACTCTATTGCATTTTGCATAATTCATTCAGGTCTGTATTCTATTTCACTGATTTTTTTCCCCTTAGTCACATCTGATCAGTTATCCCATCCACTGGAGTTTTCATTTTTGTGATTACATTTTTATTTCTGGAAATTTCAATTTAGTTATAGTCACATCTGTTTAGATGACTTGTATTATTTTTTTCTTTCTTGCTTATATTTTTAAGCTTCTTTTTTTCTTTGGATATGTTAGCATTCTTTTTGTATATTTTGTTTGATAATATCTTAATTCCTTGCAAGATTGAGTCTGAAGTTAGTTGTTTCTGGTTGGAAATTCCTCATGATATTTTGTGATATTTTGCTGTAAGTGCATATTCCTTGAATCTTTATTTGTAGAAATTGTCTAAGAATTGGTTTGAGATTGAGTCCCTTCAGAGAAGAGTTTTTCTTTGCTTCTCATGTTGACTGGTGTATTGCCAGTTCATAACTCAAATAACTTCTGACCATAAACCTGTGTGAAAACTGGCTTGTGGTTATATATTTTGAAGGGAGATTTATTTATCCTCATCTTGCTGTTTACTTTTCTGCAGAATGAGTCTGTTTCTCATTTACTCTTACACTGAGATAAGAGTGTAGACCTTTGGGATTACAGATTAATGTTGGAATCTCCCATTAGATTCTCTTCCATCAGTGGGTCATAGGCTGTATCTCCTGTCTCCCATACTCTGTGACCCTGGGCAGCTCTTAAATCAGAAGCTCAAGGTCACCAGGATTTGGCAGATGCAATTAGAGTAAATGCTGGGCTACATACTGGCTTACTTAGCAGGGATTGCCTCTTTTACTTGTTTTTGGTCTCTGAAGAATCATTAAAATTAAAAAAGAATATTTAGACTTTTTGTTGTTTTCAGTGATTACTGAATGGTTATTGAGGAGGTCTGTTGCACTATACTGCCAGAATCAAAAGTCAAATCAGAAGTCAGCTTTAAAAAAAATTACTGAACATCATATCAAAAGTATTTCACATAAGATTCGTGAGCATTACAGTAACAAGTTGAAGTACTTAACAATTCCCTCAGAGTTATATATTTTTTGCATTTATTTACTATTTTTAAGTCCTGCTATAAACACATTTTTAAATAATGCTCTTTATATGTTTAAAGTTATTTTCATAGGATAAATTGCTTGTGGAACATGGCCAAAAGAGATGCATGTTTTTATGTCTGTTGATATACTTCACAAAAGCGCTTTTCTAAAGGGTTCTACCAATTTACATGATCATCAATAAAAATGACAGTGCTCTGTAGCCTCATCAATAGTTGATGTTATTGTTAATATTTTATATTTGCTAATTTGATAACGAATTGTCTTTGAAAACAAAAATGTATCTTTGTTGTCTCAAAAGTTATTTGTGCTTAAAAAAGCTTTTAAGCTTGAAAAATTCTGTTTTCTAAATTTGCCTATGTATACATAAAATTATATTAGACAATACAGAAAAAATCACCTGATTTGAGTGAAATAAAAATAATGTTTATTTGACAACTCTGGAATACATGGTTGTTTAGAAGTAAAAACGTATTCCCCAACCTCATCCCCTTCCCCCATGGTGTTTAAGAAAATGTTTTTAAATATATAATATACTTTCTCAATAATCCCTTCTTCTGGAGGTGTCCGGAGGCTACCCAGTGTCCCCATATCAATCCTGGTGAGCTCCTCCCTTTCTCTCTTTAACCCACTCCATCTGGAAATAAACAAGTACTTCTTTTTTTCGTAACTCATTTCCAACTTTAACACAAGAAAAGAGAAAAAAATAGAAAACACGTGTCTTAAAAAAGTAAAAACTATTTTACCCTTGGGATTTTCTTTTAACTGTAAAGTCAAAACACTTTGTGCATATAGATGACAGCCTGAGAGGGAGAAATCTGAGCACTCAATATTGTGAATTTTCTTTTTTCAGAGAATAAACACACTTTTTCCTACTTAGAGTAATTTTTATGTTCAGGCAGTGCAAGACATTCCCTTGAAGGTGAGTCTTTGTGGCAGTAGCAGGAAGAGGAGGTTGCTTCTCTGAACCCTTTGGTTCCCCTAGAACCTGCTGCTCCCTTCTACAGCACCTGAAACTGTTCCTCAGAGCCTCAAATCTTTATTTTCAGGTCAGGTGCCTCTTTTCCCCCTGCTCTGGGAGTCTGGTTACTTCTCAAGCAAACCCCAGGGCAGTCATGATGGGCGCCTCTTTCTGAGAGCTCTCCAGCAAAACTAGCTCCCAACAACTTTCCAGCTTTCTTTGATTTCCTGAAGTGACTGGTACCAAATCAGCAGCTGCCTGCCTGGTCTTGCATTCTCTGTGTCCCAAGCGGGAAAGTCAGGCTCAGGAATGATTCCCACACAAGGTTGCAACAGGTACTGCAAGGGCCACCATGACTCCTACCGTCATTCTGAAATAATTGCTATTTTTTATTTAAATTCAGTTTTTAGAATACCCTGAAAATTGCTCTATTTGAATTCTGACAGATTGATTTAAAAAACAGTTGATGATAATTAGCCAATCATTCTGTTTTTTTAAAGGTCAGGTTTGATGGACTTTACCCAGAAGGACACCTGCATCTTCAGAGGGGAATTGTTGGAAGTGTGAGTTGTCTGTACGTGTTCAATTTATTTTCTGAAAGCCAACTGCTCCCTACCCAGGCCATTGGCTGTCTCTTGGTTTTTATCACTTCTTTCAGTTCAGGATGAAGGAGATTATTTCAGTTCACACCCTCTGAGACTTAGTAAATTCCTTTAACAAGTTTTAGCACTGGGGAAGGCAAAGTCAGCTGCCTTTTCAGGTTTGGTTCATCTTTGGGTAATGTTACTTGGCATGTGGTGCCTGTCCTGTGCTGTGACTAGACAATTTAAGAGGGGACCATGGGACAGGCATTAGTTTTCAGGCCTCTCAGCTTGATTGATTTTAGCCTTTCTGTCTCCAACTTCTCTCCCCATTATGATGGCCAATGATACCCCTTGTCTTTTTGTTTTGCTTTTTTTATTTAAAGGGAGAAATAAAAGTTTGTTTCCTAAGGAAGTGTAGAATGTGGAATAAGAAGCTAATTTAGATTCTTGACATGCTTTAAAATAAGCTTCCTACAAAAGAAGCTGCAGAATACTCTAGCCAGAAACCACTGGTGAAAGGCTTTTAGCTAGACAGAGCAGAGTTGAAGTTCAACTCTGCCACTTCTTAGTTGTGTGAGCTTGGGCTGCTTCTCCATCTGTAAAATGGGATGGTGACCACTAGGTTCCCTACCACTATTCCCATTTATAGAATTATGGCCACTGCTGTATTTGTTAGCAAATTGGGTTCTTAGGAATATCTGTGCCAGAACACTTAAGATATCTTATCTTATACAGGTCATTAGCTGTCTCAAAATGCTTCTTATATTCTTAGGCATTTAGAGAAACTAGTTAAAACTTCTACTTTTCTGCATTAAGAAAAAGGCCTTAAGGTTATAGGCTCTTTTAATTTTTCAAGAGCAATAAAAAGTACAACTATATTATTCTGATAAAGAATGATCCAGGTTCAAACTCTGGGAAATTTAAGAGGGAAGGGTGACTTTATAAAAAGATTTGCATCTGGGAAGTCAAGACAAGCATTTGAAGACAGATTATATAGATGTAACCCTGCATGCCTGCCCACCCAATTTATTTTACCTAATGTATTTTATCTTAATTGCCAGAAAAATACAAAATCATGTTTTGACCTCTATCGTCTTAGCGTCTAGCTTTAACATTAGAGCCAGAAGCTCTTTTAAAAATATTAAGTCAGATCATGTTACTCTTCTGATGAAAACTCTCCAAGGAGTCCCATCCTACTTCACATAAAAAGTCAAAACCTTCACAGTGAGCTACCAAGTTCAATGTGACCCCTTATGCATCTCCCCCTCATGCATTGTTCTACAGGCATGAACTCTTCTCAGGGTGCTTGCTTGTACTTTTCCCTCTGCTTAGATCATTTCCCGCACTGCCCCGCACCCCACCTTCCCCAGGTAGCCACATGTCTCATTCCCTCTCCTTCTTCAAATGTCATCATTATAGTGAAACTGTCTTGTTCACCCCATTTGAAATGAAACCTTCCCCTTCCTCAACTCTCTAACCTCCTTTTAGGATTCATTTATTCCCATAATGTTTATCACCTTCTAATACATCAAATAACTTAATAATTTATTTGTTTTGTAATTTGTCCTTGCCTGGAAACTCCCTGAAGGCAGAGATTTGGTTAATTTTGTTCATGAATGATTCCTCAGTGTCTAGAACTATGCCTGGAGCATAGCAAGTAGTCAATGAATATTTTTTGAATTAGGGGAAAAAATTTAGAAGCCTATGATGGATTGCAGAAGATGGATTTTTTAAACCTCATTAGACAAAATAATTTCTTTCACAAAACAAGGTAAAACTTCAATGGGCATACAAAAAGTAGAGTTTGTAAATAAAGGGTATGTGAAATGACAGAGGCTTAAAACCAGGTGCCCTCTTCAATGTCTGTTTTCACCACATTTAGAAAGCCCTGCCTAGGAAGCTGCTCATCTCAGATTGTGAGCAACTCGTACTCTAGGTTCTACCTTCTCTCTTGCAGTAGAGTGGTAGAGCAGAAATTTCCAGTCAAAATGATACGAGAGTACTGGGAAGGGAAGAGCATGGTCCCTTTAAATAATAAGGAAGAGGGGGAAGGGAAGTGCTGGGTAGAGAAAGGCGGGCCCCTGGCTAGGGTTCCACCCCTACGGGCCTAGGTGAGGACAGGAATTTCCTGCCCAAATGTTGTATTTCCCAAGATCACCCTGGTGGGCCACATCCGCATCCTGGGCCTATAAAAACATGAAACCCTAGCAAGCACTCACACAGGAGGCCAGATGTCCAGAGGAACACATCTGTGGAAGAAGAAACAAGTGGTCGTCGAGAGGACGTCGAGAGAAGCTAGTGAGCAGAAGAACACACTGACAGAGGCTGGCCCACTGACAGGCCATCAGCTGGCAGGATGAGGAAGAGTTCGGCCAGGGCAGTCCGAGGCGAGCCGGGGCTGCTGAGTGGCCCAAATCCAGGGGAAAACCATCTCCCTTCTGGCTCCCCCATTGGCTAAGAGCTACTTCCACTTAATAAAACTTTGCACTCATTCTCCAAGCCCACATGTGATCCGATTCTTCCAGTACACCAAGGCAAGAACCCGGGATACAGAAAACCTTCTGTCCTTGTGACAAGGTAGAGGGTCTAACTGAGCTGGTTAATACAAGCCGCCTATAGACGACAAACTAAAAGAGCATCTTATAATACATGCCCACTGGGGCTTCACCTGTAAACTTTCACCCCGAGACACTGCCGTGGGATTGGAGCCCCACAGCCTGCCCATCTGTATGCTCCCCTAGAGGTTTGAGCAGCGGGGCACTGAAGAAGTGAGCCACACCCCCATTGCATGCCCTGCAAGGGGGACAAGGGAACCTTTCCTGTTTCAAAAATGCTGGCTCTCTTAAAACAATACTTTCTATGTCCTGTGGGTACTACACAATTTCTAACAAATGGAGCTGGAAGAAAACATCACCTAGGAGATAAGGAGTGAGCAACTCTAGATTTTGCCAATTCTGCATTTTTGGCTTGAAAACCATTCAGTCTGCATGTCTTCTCTCTCTGTGGCCACATACGAGACCCACATTTCCTAACTTGCAATGTTCCCACAGGAGAATGCATGCTCAATTTGCTGATGCAACTTCCAAGTCAATGTCTCCATTTCCAGGAAATGCTATAAAAGAGGCTGCTGCTCTAGATCCTGGGAGAGTTTGTCTCTTTGGAAAAGTGATCTCAGCTTATAAGATAATTAGCTCCTTAGTGCTAATCCATGTGCATTTACAAAAGCACTTTTGGGTTAGGAGAAATAAAGAGTTGATTAATCTCCATCACTGAGGTGTAACACCAGGGAGCTCTTACCTGCTAGTTGTATTGGCAATAAGGACTCCTTAGGTTTGCTCACTAACCCAGCTCTCCTTCTTTTAAAAACACACAAAATATGTGAAGCTTGCAGAAAACCCTGTAGTCATGGGTTGATTTCCTCTAGAATGTTATTTTGTTATTTATATTGTTGCTTCTATTGGGCTTTTTGGCATTTCTTTCTTTGTTCTTAGAAGTTTTAGGGGGTATAAAAGCCCCACAGTCCGTCTTTACACCTTGCTTCTAAGATGCTTTATTTGTTAATCTAGGGCACTTATTTCCAAGTCTGTAAAGAGCCATGGGTATGGTTCCTAGGCTCTAAACAGAGGTGTCCAATCTTTTGGCTTCCCTGAGCCACATTGGAAGAAGAATTGTCTTGGGCCACACATAAAATACATTAAAATACATTAACACTAACGATAGCTGATGGAGCTTAAAAAAAAAAAAATCCCAAAAAGCAATCTCATAATGTTCTTAAGAAAGTTTGTGAATTTTTGTTGGGCCTCATTCAAAGCCATTCTGGGCTGCGTTGGACAAGCTTGCTGTAAGATATCAAAAGAGGAACTGAGAAAGCAGAAATGAAGACAAGAGAGGACAAATTTATGTCAATGAAATCCCGTGACAACTTACTTGCATTTAGATATCATGCACGTTTTTTTCCTTGATGAAAGGTTTTTTTAAACTCTTCTGAAAATGCTAATGAGACAAGTTTCAAGAAATTGACAGTAATGGAAAACCTGAATGTTACAATGATAACTAAAAAGAAAGAAATTATTTCACTCATCTTAGTCTTCCTGGAGAGAAGAAAAAAAATGTGAACAGAGAAATAAGACAGCTGGCAATTAAAGCCTTGGGATTCCTAAACCTTCTCTTTTGTGCTCCCAAATGAACAAGGTTTAAGCTGCCTTCAAGAGAAAGTCAATCTAAAGTCCATGATGACTTTTCAAAATGAAACCTTAGGGGGCTTTTAAAACTTCAAGCTTCAGCCCAGCAAGGTCACTTTCTAAAGTGAAAATTCTTTTTAAGGTAATGATTGTGGGGTAAGAAAAGGAATGAGGGAGGGGTGGCATGTCAAGGTTTGAGCTAAAAGCCATGTCATTGCATCCTCAGAAGTAGCTATCCTCCCTGCACAGATCCTAGGGAGACGCATTATCCAGCTAAATAAATAAAGAAGCCCTGTGGGCTTCTTTTGCATACTACCTGCTAAAAGCATATGGGCTTGTTCATTGGTCGGTAGTTAGCTAATCTGTATTGAAAGTCAAAACTCTGGCCACTGGGGAGGTTGCATTGCTCTGGACTTGTCAGTAAGAGGAAAGCTCAGCTGTCACCAGGCTCCTAGAAAATAGCCTAGATTTATGTTGAATTCCTTTGAACTCTCTGCTTCTTTGTTCAATCTTCACACATTCTCAATGTTTACAAGCTGTCTTGGTATTGTGATCTGTTGTTTCGCAAATCTGCGTTTTGAATTTCTGGTTATGCTGTGAGCTTCCAGGGGAGGAGATCAACTTTCAGATTCCATGTTCTCTACCCTGCCTTGTAAGTGGGAAGAGAATATGAGGGAGTGGCCTAGTGCTGGACTGGAGTCCACAGCAGTATGAGAATAGATATCTGGAAACTAGGAAATGACTGGAGAACAAACCCAGCTAGCAATTCTGAGGGCTGGATTGGCCGGGAAGACAAGGAGGAGCTTGGAGGTCCAAGCAAGTCCAAATTCAGAGGCCAGTTTAAAGTTACAGTAAGAATAAGGGCATGAAGTCCAGGCACAGTGGCTCATGCCTGTAATCCCAGCACTTTGGGAGGCCGAGGCAGGTGGATTACCTGAGGTCAGGAGTTTGAGACCACCCTGGCCAACATAATGAAACCCCATCTCTACTAAAAAAAATATAAAAATTAGCCAGGCGTGGTGGCACATGCCTGTAATCCCAGCTACTCAGGAGGCTGGGGCAGGAGAATTGTTTGAGCTGGGGAGATGGAGGTTGCAGTGAGCTGAGATAGTGCCACTGCACTCCAGCTGGGACGACAGAGCGAGACTCTGTTTCAGAAAACATAAATAAATAAAAATAAGGGCATGAAACAGAGGGCCATGCAGAATCTTGCCAGATGGCTCTGCCACAGCTGCCTGTATCTCAGCCCTCTCTGAGGTGGATGTCCACCTGCTATTAAATAAAGAAATGAGGCAGCAGGAAGATCAAGAGATCAAGAGGCTTCTTTGATTAGCATCCATTTTTGTGTTCCTGATGGTATCAGGGTTCCAGATGGTCCGTGCATTCTGGCTCCATTACTTCCTTACAGAGTAACCTTGAGCACATTCTTTAACCTCTGCTTTTTATTTCTGCAAAGAAAACAATGAAACTGGAATTAAAATAGGGATAAAACTATCTATGTCATTCAACTTAATGTTAAATTTAGGTCAGTATGCAATAAGGATTTGTTTCTTTCCTCCTCCGATTCACATGCTCAGAGTAAGTAATTTATAAATATTTGTTTAGAAACAGTATGTTGGCCAGGTGCGGTGCCTCACGCCTGTAATCCCAGCACTTTGGGAGGCTGAGGTGGCGGATCCCAAGGTCAGAAGTTCAAGACCAGACTGACCAACATGGTGAAACCCCGTCTCTACTGAAAATATAAAAAAAAATTAGCCAGGCGTGGTGGCACACACTGGTAATCCCAGCTACTCATGAGGCTGAGGCAGGAGAATTGCTTGAACCTGGGAGGTGGAGGTTGCAGTGAGATGAGATCATGCCACTGCACTCCAGCCTGGGTGACAGAGCAAGACTCCATCTCAAAAAAGAAGCAGTATGTTGGTTTTGAGAGTAGAGTGTAGTAGCTGTGGAGCCAGAATGCCTAGGTTCAAACACTCTTAATAACCAGCTACGTGACCTTGGGCAAGATATTCAGACTGTCTGTGATTCAGTTTTCTCATGATAAGAAAATAATAGTGTCCCCCCAGTAAGGTTATGTGGAGGATAAAATAACATAATGTGTGCAAATGTTAACACAATGATGATGATGTTAGCTTTCCTAATCCTCATTCTTGTTGGGTATATCTGCCATCTCTTTCCCAACTTCCCCACAAACAATTAAATGCACTCTATTTTTCATGAGAAAAAGTGAGAACAAGAAAGAACATTTAAAACAAATGTGATTTAATTTTATAGATGATATATTTTTAATGTTACCTAGGGAAATGTTGTCAAGGTAAAAAGCCGACACTCTGGAGTGTGGTAATTCTTCCATAATGACTTCATAGGAGTGTTGAGCTATATGCTGCTGAAATCTTCTCTTTTCTCATTCCACAAAATATATATAAGAATGAGCTACGTGCAATCCAAAGAAAGACTTCTGGAATGAAAGTTGTGACCTCAGAATCCCTGTTCTAGCTGGGGCCTCCCGGCGTCAGAGGCCTCACACATCTTCCAGGGCACCTTGGCATACAGTGGTGGTTTCACGTATCTGCCTTCTTAAGCATCTCTTTCCTGGAGTGAACATTTTGGGAAGGAGTTTGCCAACTGAAAATTGTTATCTAGGATGGCCGTTTTGAGCAACACTGTACATTTGCTCCATATGTACTTCTTTTGGTAGCAGGTTTCCCTGTGAGTTAGGGAAGCTGTTTAGATTTCCTAAGAGCTATGGGCTGCCAACTCTGGAGGAGGCTCTTTGATTTCTGAAGTAGGACGACGTTCATCCAAACAATATTCACTTTTAAGGACTGAGCAGCAGTGCATTGTGAACATTCATGCTGTTCTCAGCAAGGAGTTACCTGGCCAGCTTGATAGAAGAGAACCTCATAGGCTGGCAGGAAAGAGTGGAGCACATTGATCTCTAGTGTTCACATTTTCAAACACAGGCGTTCACATATAATCAGGATAAAAAGGAGGGAAGGTAGAAGTGAGGAATAGGAAATTCCATTTTAGGTCTCTATATGTGTGTTTCTCCTGAAATACAGCTGCAGTGTTACGAAAAAAAAAATATGTGTAACTGAACCATACATTCTGAAGAAAACTAACTGTGGACAATTATTTTCCTGCAAAGTGGGAGCTTTAAATTTGTAATCCACAGATCTTCAGGGAAACTATGAAATTTGAGCGTCTGTTTACTCAGGGATGAGGATGTTGTTTAAAACATAGATTTTAGTGCCAAACTGCCTGGGTTGGAATCCGTCCAGCTCCTCTATTTACTGGATGACTTCTCTGTGTCTTGCCATCCCTGTCTGCTAAGTGGAAATAATAGTAGAACCTACCTCATGGCGTTATGAAAATTAGTGATATAGTATGTGTGAAACTTTTATGATAGTGCCTGCCATATAGTTAGCACGAATAAGTAATAGCTGTCATCATCATTGTTCTTTTTTGTTATCTTCATTTACATTTACAATCAAATAAAGTTCAGATTCACTGCTCTAGAACTTGATGAAACAAAATGTTAATGATGAATTTCTGTAACATCACCAATTAGCAGTTTAATAAATTAGTCTGGTAGTGATGAGGAAAAACAGTCATACTCTAGGCTTATACAGTGATTTAGAGTTTATAAAATCCTTTTGTATATAGTGTCCTCAAATTGATCCTCACACTCACTGCGAATTGAAAAGTATTACCTCCATTTTGTAGATGAGATAATTTTGCTCAGGGAGAATAAGTGAGTTGCCCAAGTTTCCACAGGGAGTTAACTGCAAAATCGAGGTCTGTTCCAATTTCGAAACCAATGTGCTTTCCTTCACATTATCCTGCCTTCCGCATGCAAGAGATAAACATTCTTATAATTAGACTATTGGCTGCATATTACAAATACTGTAACTAATTTATCAAGGAAAAGCCGAGGGATTTAAAAACAACATTGCAGGTCCCTGAAGCAGTATCAAGTGAGCTTGTACGTGACTACCATTCAATCACTGTTCACATTTGCTCTCCAATCACTCATTAGCTGTGGATTCCACAGAATGCTCTGCACTGAGCCAACCCAACATAGATTGCTGTCTGGAGAGCTTTTGGAAATACATGCTTAGAGGTGGCATTCAAAAAATTCATCAAAAATGGGGGACAAGGTGACAAACTGCAAATCGAAGGATTTATTTATGTGTTTATGATCTAAGCATGCAGTAATATTGGGTCTTGAATAGACTGATTTGGTCCAGTCCTAAACTTGACCTCCAGGGTAGCTCTGGAACCCTGAAGGATTTACTCACTGCTGCCCAAACCCTACCATATTACCTCATGGTTATTTTGTTGTATTTAGCAGTCCAGGATCTATTCTTCAGGCAACAGACTATTTGAATGCTACCTATCTTGCAGATCTACATCAAATTTTACCTCTCTAGCTAGAGCCCACATTTATAAAACCTGCTTTGAACTCCTAGAGAACATATTTTCTAAATGACTTATTTTGTAGTTAGTGCTAATTGCTGTACATTCTCTTTTCATATACATGCACCCTGTTCTTCCTGCAGTACTTTTTCTTGAGAGCCAAGAATACATTCTTTTTTATATTCCTCACAGAACCTTGAATTGTGCCCTGCCATCTGAGAAGCACAGCATACTCAATTATCAACTGATTACATAAAATGATACATTTATACAAACATATCAGCTATGTACCTGATTAAAATAGGAAAAACCAAGAAGCTGCATAAGTCAGCAATAAATACATTTTAAAAGCTCCGATTCTGGAATAGTACTTTTTCTCCCAAAGTTTCAGTGCTTCTGCTGGCATGGAACCCAAGATCTGAATCCTAGTGCTTTTTTTTTTTTTTTTTTTTTGAGGACTTATAGGTGGCTAGGATAAAAAAGGGATATGTGAGATATCAGATGGTTGGTTGGTGCTGTTATCTAATAGAGTAACATCAACAAAAATGATAAATTCACCTGTAACCCCTACTTCTCAGGGCTGTCATTCGAAAATAAAGCTAAAAGGGCCAAAAAGAAAATGTGATTGTCACTCTTATAATTCTTCCAAATGTCTTTTCTGGAAAGTAATTTCTGATAGGTAGGTTCGGGTAACAAAGGAAAGCAGGGGAGTGGCTCATGATTTAAGTGGGCAGAGTCCTGTCAGAGGTTCACGTAGTTGGTAGGGGAAAGGAGGTATCCCACGGAGACCCCTTGGTCCTCATGAAGGGGAATTGATAGAAGATTTGCTTTCTTATGCTGGAAGTGTGGATGGGAGGTGAGGTGAATTCCCAATAATGAAGAAAACTGGACCTGGACAGTTTGTCCTTTGTGCTGGATAGAGGGTAGCTTTGCCTTCTTAGAATGCTTGGATCCTGACTTGAGGCCTCTGACATCATCACAAATCACAGACCCAGAACCGTGTTAGGAGTTTCAATCTATCTGAAACTGTATTATCCCTTTTTCATTAGACTGCACTCACTTTATGAATAGGGACTCTATTTCCTATGTTTCAGTTTCTGCCTCACCTGGACCACCTCTGTGTGTATGTGTACATACTCACACATACAATGTCATAATTTTATTTGGCACATGAGTATAATCCCTCAAAAGTTCATTGCTGGAAGCCATTTCTGTCAACGAGAATAGATGTGTATGTGGTTACCTAGTGGTAGTGGTGATAGTGAGATTGGTGTTTAAAATATAAAACCTTGGGCAGCTAGGAGAAGAAAATATTATTTCAGGGTTGTATGCTTATAGTGAATCTGTAAGGCCAAAAAAAAAAAAATGGCAGCAGTAATAACAAGCCTCAGCAGTCTT
Source organism: Homo sapiens (assembly GCF_000001405.40). Classification (NCBI taxonomy): domain Eukaryota; kingdom Metazoa; phylum Chordata; class Mammalia; order Primates; family Hominidae; genus Homo; species Homo sapiens. Next base: position 46,304,046 of record NC_000015.10, read on the forward strand.
CCACCTGGCATCCTACATGAGTGTCTTACACACTGTGGTTGCAACCCGATAGTGACTCATGAAGTCAATTTAGAAAGTTATATCCACATTTAAATAAATAAATACAATACCATATTCACTAAAAATATATATTTAAAATGAGATAGAATGGAAAATATCAGAATACATTGTGTGCTGTAAGAGCATCATTTTGTAAACTTTTATTTGTGTAAAAGCACATACTGATTCATGATAAAAATATGTTTCTTAAAGCGAGTCATGATCAAATGTGTTTAAAACCCATTGTTCTAAGGTGTTGTGAGGCTTTCCTTGATTTAATTAGGTAATAGGTGATGAAGTATATGATTTAATGGATACTTCTGCCTTATAGAAAAGGATTTTTAAAAGACACAGAAACTGCTAAGCCAAAGTGAAAGATCTTTCCTTAGAAGAAAGCGGGTGTGAGCAGTCAAAGACACCATCCTGGAGCTGCCAACAGGGGGAGACATACAGGTAACTAAGCAATTTCCCTGCTAGGTCCACCTATTACGGGACTTTTGACAACAGACAATAGCTTACGCGACTCATAAATAGAGACTTGGATAAACAAACTACAGCATATATTAACAAATACATCCAACCATTACACATGAAGGTGTGGATCTACATTTACTGTCTTCAAAAGATGAGGGTGACATACTGTTGAGTAAAAAATAAAAGTAAATTACAAAAATAGTAGAAAATCATATTTGAATAAATTTATGTGATTGTGTATGTGAGCATGTGTTTGTGAAGAAATACATAATTGTCTGGTAGCATGTTTGCCAAATTATTAAAGATATTTATCTCTCTGAGGTAGAGTTTCAGTGCATTTTTTTGTTCATTTTTGTTCTGTTTAAACTTAAGAAGTACTTGTTTTATAATATATATGATAATATATAATATATAAGTAATTATATGTAATATATATAACCATATATATTTCAAATACATATATATATTTCAAAAATATGAAAGACCATTGTTACAATGCAGTACATGTTAACATGCAGGCACAGGGAATAGAGGAGACTAACTGCTGGAAATGCGTCAGAGAAGAGAGAGCTCATGAACGGAGTCTTGAAGGAGAAAATGTGTTCATTAGGCCTAACGAGGGTAACCCAGGTGGAAGCAACCACCTAGACAGATGAGTGAAGGTGTGACAGAGTGTGACATTGTCAGTGGGTATCGCTGTCTGGGAGTCGGGTAGAAGATAATCTTACAAGGTTAGACAGGAGACAGAATTTGTAAGCAAAGAGAAGGAGCTTAGCTAAATCTTAAGTTGGTGGAAAACCTACGGAAGGATCTTAGGCAGGGGAGTGTCAAGCAGGTGCTGGTATCGTCCCGCCCATCTCCCACTGCCATCCCCATCTTCTACATGACTCTGGCTTCCTATGAAAGGACCTGCAACTCTCAGCTCAAGAGCTTTACTGGATTACAGGAGTGCATGTGGCTCATGCACAGAACAGTTCAGAAGTGTCAGGAATTAACCTCCTAGGAACAGCCCTTGGCCAAAGTTAAACAAGAGCCAGTGGATGAATAACCCAGCTAGTAACCCATAGGTGTGGGCAAACAACTGTTTGATAAGGAAATTAGTGTAGATTGTCCAAGTGCTAGTCATCAGGACACTGGAAGAATGACCCCAAAGACATTTCAGAGATCTTTGAGGCCACCAGTCCCATCAAAGGACGAATGTGCAAGAGCCTTGGGGGCAGAACAGTTTCAAAGGAGGGGCCCATGGAACCTTGGACTCACTGTCCAGTGCTTTTTTAAAGTTCTGCTTCCTGATTTCCACCAAGCACTTCTTCACTATCTCAGCTCCAGCTCCAGCTGGCCTAGGTGCAGTGGTGGTTGCCCCTCAGGACAGTACAGGCAGAAAACCTTGGTAACACCCATGTGGTGCCATTTCACACAGTGCATGAGCTGGCAAGACATGGCTATCTCCATCTAGATTTCAAAGGATGGAGCTCTCAGAGCCTCAAGCACTAAACTAAGGCAGAGGGCTGCTGAGAGGGCAGGGCCCCTGCAGAGAGTCTTCAACTATGACAGTGCCTAGTATAGCCATGAGGGAAGTGCTACCCCAGAGACCCCAGACTGGAAGAGCCACTTGCTTGGGATTCCAGCCTGGGAGAGATACAGGCACCCAACTGCAAGCCACCCAACTGGAAGCCATAAAAGGAGAAGTGTGGGCTGTGCCCAGCTAAGCCAGAGGAGACTAACTTCTGTCCAAGTGTGTCCAGAAGACAACACATGAAAGCAAGGAAGATTATTCTCAAGTCTTAAGATTTAATGTTGCTTGCCCAGTTGGGTTTGGGACTTGCTTGGGACCTATCACAATTTCCTTCTTTCCTGTTTTTCCTTGTTGGAATCGGAATGTCTGTCTTGTGTCTGTCGTTTTATTTTGGAAACACATAATTTGTTTGATTTCACAGTATTAAAACTGGAGAGCAGTTTGCCTCAGGATGAATCATACCTTGAGTCTCACCCATTTCTGATTTAGATGATATTTATATGACACTCTGGATTTAAGTTGTTTGAATTGATGCTGGAACAAGTTAAGACTTCAGGGGCTATTAAGATGGAATGAACATATTTTTAATATGAGAGGGACATGAGATTTTTGGGGGGAGTCAGGAGTGGAATACTATGTTCTGAATGTTTGTACCCCCCAAATTCATATGTTGAAATCCTAACCCCCAAGATAATGGTATTAGAAGGTATTAGGAGATGCAGAGGTGATCAAGTCATGATGGCTCTGCCCTCATGAATGAGCTTAGTGTCTCTATAAAAGAGAACCCAGAGAGCTAGCTAGCTCCTTCCACATGTGAGGACATAGCAAGAAGACACCACTTATGAATCAGGAAATGGGTCCTCACCATACACTTAATCTGTTGGTGCCATTACCTTGGACTTCCGTCTCCAGAAATGTGAGAAATAAGTTGCTGTTGTTTATAGGCTATCCAGTCTATGGAATTGTGCTATAGCAACCTGAAAGGATTAAAATACTTAGTTCGGGCCAGGCGTGGTGGCTCACGCCTGTAATCCCAGCACTTTGGGAGGCAGAGGAGGGTGGATCAATTGAGGGCAGGAGTTCAAGACCAGTCTGGCTAACATGGTGAAACCCTGCCTCTAATAAAAATACAAAAACTAACTGGGTGTGGTGGCGGGTGTCTGTAATCCCAGCTACGTGGGAGGTTGAGGCATGAGAATCGCTTGAACCCGGGAGGTAGAGGTATCAGTGAGCTGAGATCTTGCCATTGCACTCCAGCCTGGGCAATAGCACGAGACTCAGTCTCATAAATAAATGAATGAATGAATGCCTAGTTTGGCTCACAGATGGGACTCAGTCACAGTTACTGTTAGGAATAAAGACAATCTCTGGGCCTCCAGAAAGTGAGAAAGGCAAGGATCTGACTCAGGGCTCTCTCTTTGCTCTGAAGTGGGAAATTGCCCTTAATATTTAAGATGTATCGAATCCTGGAGCTGTGTGTTTAGTCCAATGTAGTTTAAGAACCATAAAATCAGAGAAACACTTCTGAATTAATAAAACTTGAATGAGAAAAAAATTATTTTAGTCAGAACAGTTAAAACAAATACATCTTTTAAAAATGGTAAGAAATGGAGGCTTCTAAATTTGACATTGCTCTAATGATTTAACTTAGCTGGAGGGAAGATGAAGTCTTCCTGTCAAGCATAGGTTGTTCAGCCAGGAAATGTAAAAAAGCCACACACAGAAAGAACAAAGTCTGGTGTTCATGAGAGGCGATGGTCTTTTCTAAAATGAAGTTCCAGCCAAAATATAGGACGTGAGTTAGAGGCAATGATTCCAAAAGTTTCTGAGGAAGGTGTCAGAGAAGACTGATAGAGATGATGCAAATTTCAAGCTGCTGGTTCAGCTCCAATTTGGCAGAAATCTAGAATGAAGAACTGTTTCCTCAAGACCACAGTGCCTGCCCATCTGGATTAAAAAATGAAAACAGTACGCAGGAAAATAGCGTCCAATTTGGTGGTACTTTGAACTATGGCCAGAGGAAGGTCACTCAACTGCATATTTCCTATTAAAGTCCAGAGACATTATTCTCTTGAGCCCTTTATTCCCATGTTCCCATTCTTCTTCAGGAAAGTTAAGTCAGCCAACAGGATCGTCCTCCATTCTGGATAGTGGACCTAGATGTTTTCTAAGGAATTCCATTTAGTAGTGGAGAGTCTGTGAAGTAGATAAAAAAGCACCACTCTCTCTCTTCCTTTATACATGTGAAATAAGCACACTGTTCCTCATCTGTTTAAGGAACACTACAGAAAAACGGATTAAGAAAAATAACTTCTGGTAAAGTTAATGGCTCAAGAAGGCTTCAAGTCCTCCTTCTCTGTCCCTGTTCTGAAGTGAGACATGGAGGGAGCTGGCTAGCTGGCCTTCAGCCATCCAATATGTGCTAATTTTTGATTTAAGAATTAGTTCAATTAAACCGTACCTGCCAGACAGATGGTCCTCATCCAGGGTCATGCACTGTTGCAACTGCTGATTATTGACTCTCATGTCCCCCAGTGAAGTGGCAATACCTGCTGTTATTAGCTGTTTGGCACCTTCTGTGTTGCCGCGCTGGCAAGGCAAGAAGGACCCAGGCATGTGCTAGGGGTAGTGCTGAAGGTTAAAGTGCTGTCCAGAACATGCAGCAGATCTGAGGGATGAGGCTAAAAGCTAATCTGTTCAGCCATAGAAGGAGACACACATATGCGTTTTGTGTGTGTGTGTGTGTGTGTGTGTGTGTGTGTGTGTGTGTGTACAGTAAGTAAAGGGACATAAAAGAAAGGAAACTGCAGTTTTCTATCTTTCTTCCCTTCGACTCATCTCCTAGTCCCTGGTCTTCCTGGGAGCCACCTGCCACAGTCCTGGACTCTGTCATTCTACATTCTAGGAACCCTGAACTATGCTTCCAGCCAACTGCTAGTTTCCTTGGATCCTTAAAAATATCATACCACACAGGCCAGTTTTATTCATACATTAAATAACTTGCTAGGATTGCAACTTTTGATCTTCCTTACTGAGAGAAAAACTGTGCAGATTCATAAGTGATTAAGCCAATAGCTAGCCTTTAATTGAGCACTTACTGTCTACCCAGCATTCTGCTAGGTGTTTTACCTGTAATAGTTCCAGTGAGGCAGGTTTTGTTTATTATCTCCAGTTTACAAAGGTCAGAAAGGTTAAGTGCCTGAGGTTAGCTAATAATTGGCCAAATAAGATTCAGATGTAGGAAGGCTGAGGCCAGCTGTGCTCTTCAATGCCCCATCCAAGCCCTTCCCTATGTGACTCCCACTGCTGCTCATTCCCCTTCCACCTCACCAGTCACCCCGCTGTGTCCCTGACGTCTTGGCTAGATATTCACTATGTGGCTATTTTTCTTGGCTTCGGCTTCTGTTGTATTAAGTCAAAATCTCAGTCAAATACAACACACTGCAACATTTTAAAAAAGTACCCCCATAGCCAGTCTTTCCATTTGTAAAATGAGATTGGGGTAGTCTCTATCTCTCGTGGATGTTATGAAGATTAAGAGACGGAATGCACCAAATTCTCAGCACGGTGCCTGACACAATAATAAGCATCATCTGAGTGCTAACTATTTTGGGATTTTGCTTACTGAAATGGCCCAGAGGTAATGTTATATTCATTTTGTGGATGTGGGACATGGAGCATAAGTGGCCAAAACAACTTGGCAGAAGGAAATCCTGCTAGTAACTGGCAGAGCTGGAGGAGCCTGTGCCTTAATACTCATTGCCTCTCTCAGCTCCCTGCAAACCCCTAACAACTAACCACATTGTTGGGCATCCCATTGCCTTTCTGTTTAGGATTTGGGAGGTCATTTCATATTCTCAGCTAATTTGAAGAGCAGAGAGAATTTGAATTCCATTTCAGACGATCACATTTTCAGATTCGTTTGGAGATCACTCAGTGGCTGTCAGACATGGGAGTGAGACAGCAGTGAGAAGAGAGAGACGAAAGCTCACTTCTGATGTTCCTGGGTTGGTGTGTCTGTCAAAGGACAACAGGAGAGGGCAGCAAAGACCCTAAATGCAGGGAACTTTGAGGGTGTTCAGTTGGTTGTGTGGACACCTGGGAGAGGGGGACTCCACTGCACAGGAAGTAAACCTGCAACAGAGAAACCTGGCAGGCTATAGCAGTTCCCTGCCATAATCACAGAGCTGGGGTTTGCCTGGAGTTGGACAGCTTAGTGAGGATCAGATTTCTCTATGTACGAAGCACACACAACATCCCAGGGTCAGAAATAAGCTGTAATGGACAAGAATTATAGGATAGGGATATGGGGAGCAGAGCCAAATGAAGTGTACTGCTTTCATTTCCTCTGGAAGGTGTACCTTGGGCAAAAGGTCTAACTGAATTTAAATAATATTTGTTTCCAGAAGGGGCTTTGGAATAGGTAGGTTTTGCCCTAAGAGAGCCTTTATTTTTACCTTAAAAATAGCAGGCAACGTTTCTATGAAAGGAAGACAAAGTGATATTGCTTTATGTAAAATTAACGCTTAGAGATTTTAGAAGATGAAGTAAGGCAAATTGCTTTCTTATTTATGTTTATGCTCTCACCCATATACCCCGCAGTAGCTTAAATGCAACAGGAACTAAGAATAATAGAGTAAAAATATGATGCAATGCCTGATTAAAAATGCAAATTCAAAGTTGCCAGTGATCTTCTAGCTAAGCAGAGTAAACACTGGAAAGGAGAAAAAGCACACTGAGGTTCGCTAAAGGATAGAAATGATCATCCAAAAGAAGTAAGAAATGGGTGCCAAAGGAGGTAAGAAACGTGGAGTCTAGCCTCTGAGGAATAAGAGATTATTGGGTAAGCACTGGTGAATTGGAAGGGAAAAAGCCAAGTGGCCAAGAAAGACAGATTTACCAGGATTGGGGTTTTATTTCTAAGGATTGAGCCAGTGACGCTTGGAAGAAATCCAATCAGTAAATACTAACTGAACACCCACTGTGTGCAAGGCATCGTGGTCTGCCTTTCCAGCGCAATAAAGCAGTATAAAGATGAGAGAGACTTGCAGTGTAACAACTAAAAATACAACATGTTAAGTAAGATAGAGAACTTGAATATCTTGAAGGAAAGAAAATTAAAGCATGTTAAATGCGAAATAATGGTACACAAGACAAGTACAAGTGGACTCTGACTAGGGAGAGGTGGAGCAGTCAGGAAAGTCTTTTGGGAAAGGGTGGTACTTATGATAAGTAGGATAGGATGGGAAAGACTCCAGCCAAGGCGAGAGACAATAGCTTTTATAGAATCAGAACATATTATTAGATAGAAGCAACATTAGGAGTATCCGAGAAAACAGTATTAGAGAGCCTCATTGTATCATTTGTTAGTGTAGCTCCACTTGTCTCCCCCACCCCAGGCCTTCACCATCTGGGTCTGCCCACAGAACAGGGGGCAGCACAGTCCGAGAGGGAAGGGTGTGTTGCTTGGAGGGCATGAAGTGGTAGGGGGCTTCCCTGAGTGGGCTAAGACTGTAGTACTAGGGTGAAGGGGCAGTGCCTAGTCAGGAGGAGCCATGGATCCTCTGTGGGGGTCAGCATTAAAGATATAGTGCAAAACACTTAATGAGGCAGGAGGCTGGACAAGCACAGAAGGATGGCGGTAGGCCAGAGAACAAAGTCTGGTCAGGAGGATCTGTACTCTGAAAGTATAAACCAAAGCACCCTTTTATGTGAGGTCTGCTGCTCTTTACAAATATTCAAAAATTGTCTATAAAATGTAAGTGTGTCATTTAATATTTTCCATAATATGACAGATTTTAATTCATATCTCATATTTTATAGTCTAAACAAGGAGCTCTTAACAGTCATTAGAATCACTAGGAAGATTATCAAAAATATAAGTAATCAGGAATGAACTGGAGTAGGACCCAGAGGACAATATTTCTTGAAATCTTTCCAGCTAGACCTGGGAACCACTAGTTTAGCCAAACTGGGGTCCTCTTTCTTCTTTAAATTTACTCTAAAGTTTCTCTCCTCTATTCTTATTCTTGTGATTTTCATTCTGTTAGAAATGAAACTCTGTTAAGGATGTGATCCTTCTATATTTCTGTTGAAATTCTTACTTAGAAAATGCTGATAAAAGTAGTAGATGCCCAGTTCAGCTTGCTAGTTAGATTACCTTTCTAGGTCTTTGCAGATCAAGGGTCTGTGATTCCATTGGTTTGGCTCTTCAAGCGCTGATGTGAGCACAGTGCTAAAGAATGCCAGGAGAGGGCAGCAGAGAGCTGGGAAGCCCTTTGATAGAGGCTAGAGGAAGTGAACCAAATGGGAGAACCTGTATGTAGCAGGTGGAGGAGAAAATACTTGATCTTTTATGGGGTGCAGGGTATGCCAGTTGTGTGTCCTTCATAAATTAACCAAAGACTATAGTCATTACTCAGATCAGAAACTGAAATCAACAGGGGATGCCACAGGGAGTGGTAGTTTTAAAACAGGAAGGGATGGAAATAGGCTCTAAGATATTGCTGGGAGCCACCAAAGGTAAGCCAGCTATGGCAGGATGTTGGGCCCCTGATAGCTCCTGAGACACTGGCCCTGTCTAGGCATAGATTCATTAGACGTGGACCCAAACCAGTAGAAAAAGCCTTTATTTAAGGACTGAGCAAGTCTTTGCAACCTAGGGGTGCAGGTGAACAGGATAAAGGAAACATTTTAGAGTAAGATTTCAGGGGACTGAAGAAACACTGACATTCAGGAAAAGCAGAAGAGATTCTTACAAGTTCAGTGCCCACATCATAAGGAAAAAATTCTCTGAAGACCAGGATGGGATTCAAGGGTGTTATGTTGAATAGAGGCATGCAAAGGAAGTACTTAACGTGCAGGCCAGGACCAGAGACGGTGCACTAGGTAGAGTGCGGCATCCAGCAAAAGTATTTCAAGGTAAGTTCTGCAAGGGTTTGGGAATATCACAAGGCTTTGTTGGTAGTGCCAATTTAAATCCACCTTAGGCTAAAACTTCCAGAGTATGATCTAGCACCTTGCTACTTAAAAGTGTGGTCTGTAGACCAGCAGTCCTGGCATTGCTTGGGAGCTTATTACAATTGAGAATCTCAGGTCCTGCCTCAGACCTACAGAATCAGAATTTGCATTTTAACAAGATCCCCAGGTGATTTCACTGCATATAATGCATATTAAGGTTTAAGAAACAGCAGACTAGCATCCAGTCCAGACAGGGCTGGGTGGCATTGATACCTGTAGAAGATTAGTAAGGGCATTCTGTAATAAGAAAGTGAGGGAGAATAGCTGCATTTGAATGACAGTAGCTGCAGCCATTAATAGTATGTGAACTCGATACTTTATTTTGGCTTATTTTTTTCAAACCCTACTAGATGCCTTATAGTTACATGCAAAATCAACCAACTGATGTATTTTTCAGAGGCCACAGTAGGGGAAACTGCATCCTACTGCAGTTTGAAAGAAAGTGTGAATCCAAATTAAAGGTGTTGCTTGGGAGGGCAGTGGGTTTCTTAGAAGGTTTCCGCTGTGTATGGTCCGGGGTCTGTGTGTCCAGAAACTAGATTTTTAAAACATTTTTAGGCTAACTCAAAGCAATTAGACCCTTAGACAAAGGACTATTGGTACTAATATCACAAGGGAGTTTATGTTTGTATTAGTTTATTATTGTTGTTGTAATAAACTAACACAAATTTAGAGGCTTAAAACAACACAAATTTATTCTCTTACAATCCTGGAGTCCAGCAGCCCAAAATCAGTGTCACTGGGCTACAGTCAAGGTGCCAGCAGGGCTTGTTCTTTCTGGAGGATCCAGAGAAGAATTTATTCCTTGACTCTTCCAACTTCTAGAGGCTGCTGCCAAAATTAATTTCCTTCTCTGACTCCTGGACTTTTCCTCCATTTTTTTTCTTTTTTTTTTTTGAGATAGAGTCTTGCTCTGTTACCCAGGCTGGAGTGCAGTGGTGTGATCTCAGCTCACTGCAGTCTCTGCCTCTCGGGTTCCGGTGATTCTCCTGCCTCAGCCTCTCAGGTATCTGGGATTATAGGCATGTGTAACCACACCTGGCTAATTTTTGTATTTTTAGTGGAGGCAGGGTTTCACCATGTGGGCCAGGCTGGTCTCGAACTCCTGACCTCAGGTGATCTGCCCACCTCAGCCTCCCAAAGTGCCAGCATTACAGGTGTGAGCCACTGCGCCCAGACTTTCCTCCATTTTTGAAGCCACCGGTGTAGCATCTTACTTGTGTTGTAAGATGCTTTCATTGCCTTCATCTTCTGTGTCAAATATCCCTCTCCCTAGCTCCCACCCTGATAAGGAAGGATAATCTCTCTGTCTGTCTCAATATCCTTAGTCACATCCACGAAGCCACTTTTTCTATAAAAGGTAATATTCACAGGTTTTAAGGATTAAGGCCTGAATATCTTTGGGGGCCAATTAGCCTACCACAAAGTTTAAACCATAATTTTAATTGATGAAATAAAATATGTTGTTCCATTGATTACACAGCCTAATCTCTTTCTTGGTATTGGAAAGTCAAATTAGTATCAGCAAGTGATTTGGAAACTAGAGAATGAATTTTGTATGAGCCAGACAGAGCCCTGATGAAGCACCCCTGACCACAGCAACCCCTCGGGTTGGGATGGCTCCTGCGAGTGATGGCTTCTCTCCTCTGCTCTGGTCTTGCTTATGCTGTCCTGATTTGCTCTCAGACTTCCGTGTCCTGCCCTGCTCCCCTCCCTCAGTTGGAAAATTCTCTCTCTGAATGTACAGTATTATAGATGAAGCCCAAGGTTTGGGGGCCACACACTATAAGTGCCCACCTGTACTGGTTCAGGGAAGACAGCAAGCTCAGGCAGAAAACCAGGCAGTACAGGTAAACTGCTAGTGGCAGAACCTTAGAAGATTTTGAAGCTTCAAGGCAACTTAGAAATTATCTAGTCCAACCCCTTATTTACTGATGGGAAATAAGTCCCAGAGAGACAGTAGCACGTCCAGGGCCACACTTGGATTTATTATTTAGTCAATGAAAATTAATAAAGCAGCTGCCCTGTGCAGGGGTTATGCAGAGGAATAAAATGTGAATGAAGGAAATAAGGAATGGTGACCATGGATATAACTGGCAGGAGGATTCAAGATGCTCACCAGAAATCAGGCTTTGGGAATTTCTGAATTCAGACTCTAATGCTCTGTAGGCTATGTGGACAAGTCTTACACATTTGGTGGTATTACACCATCATTGATAAAGTAGAAACAGTAGCATTTGTTTTCCAGTACAGATTAGAAAAATAAAGCCTGACCCTCTCTTTTTCAAGGTAGAAAATAAGTTTGTTTACTTTCCCAGGAGCAAGCTCCCATCTGGCTAGGCAGCAACCACTGCCAGGCTGCCCCTTGGGGAAGCAGCAGAGAGGCAATAAGCCAGCACCCTCCACTCCCATGGGCACCCTACAGGGAAATGCACGGGAGCTGATGGATGTGATTACTGTGATTACTGCAGCAACGTGGGTCAGGGTGAAGGGAGCTCTTCTCTCGCATGGAGCACCAATTTGCCTGAGCTGTAAGGAGAACTGAACTGACTGTTTCCCAAGGGGTGTGGGGCTGAGCAAATGATGCTGTTAACTCTCTCCATGTGCAACCATACATACCTTTTACCATATGTCTGTCAACCTGATGTTTGTTACTGTATGTCAAACACATTCAAAATCTTTTGCAGATCTCAGAATAATATGCTTAGGCACAATGTGATGGTGATGGCAGAAACACTGTGAAGTTCTGAGTGGTTCATCTGTCTCATTTTGATTAAAGTCATAATCCAGTGATCTTAGGTTTAAATGAAAAAAAATATAGATCTCAAAATACTTCAGATATAAAGGGATGCCTCAGGATTTGCTTTTTCTGAGGAACTCAAAGGAAATTAAAGTCCTTTTACAGTAACAAAAAAGACATCCAGTTAGCATCATAAAAATCACAACCCGATATTAAAATGTCAGTTATTCCCCCTTGTCTGGGAATTGAAAATGCAGGCTTTGTATGTTTCTTTTTGGGGACACTGTTGGCTAGCAAAACTGATTTCTACTATAATTGGAAGACCTTATCTCAAAAGTAAGAAGGCTGGCCAAAAGGTCTACTCAGCACACATGACAAGGTCATGGCTTGCAGGCACAGGAAGCCAGCACATATGGGCTCAGCTTCTATGAGGTGCTAGAACAAGAGGAGGAGGAGGGGGAAGAGTGGCTTAGTATTCCCTTGATCCTGACATGACTGTCCTGCACATGGTCCCTTTAGTCTGGTCATCTGCAGGTCCCAACTCCCCAGTGACCCTCAATCCATCTCCTAAGGGGAGGACAACTCACATCTCCTATTCTCTTTCCAATCCATTATTTTGTCTTAAATCGTATGGCTAGCTCCCCTTGGAGTCTTCTGCTTTCATCTTAACTGCCTATTTAGTAGATCAAGCTGACTAAAGTTTGCTAGTTTACTGTGTCTTTGCCTTCCTGCTCTAAGAACTCCAATTCTCCTGGAGGCCTGTGGATTTCTCTAAGTGGGGAAAGACTCAAAATAAGACAGCACAGGAAAGAAAACCTCATTATATTGTTAACCTATAAAAAGGCAAAGAAAACTACCTGAAAGGCCATATATCAAAATAGTAACAGGAGTTATTTCTGGGTGGTGGTGTTTGTTTTCTATGGGATTCTCTGTATTTTCCAAATTTACTTTTTATCAGAAACAAGGCATCAGAAAGAAAATGATATGAGTTGTTAGAGTAATTGTGCTTTAGTTCACTTTGTAAACTATAAGGTAGAGTGTGGAGAGAAAAACCAAGGGACGTCTTTGGTCACTGCAATGGGTCAGGATCACATTAGGTAAGTAAAGGAGAGAAATTGCTCCAACATCATTTTGAACAAAGCATAAAATCAAACTGAATTTGGTTTGGTAAATAAGATGCCCCAAGGCCAACCCTACTTAAGGTTACTTTATATTACTTCACATAGGCTTGGCTAAATGGATCGTCCATCACCCTCCAGACTAATTACATTTGATTAAGGTCTTCCTTAAAAGCTCTTCTTTCACAGTGAATTGAAAATGACCACTAACCTCCATTGACTGATGCTGTGAGGTCACCCTATGAATTGATTAGGGAGTGCTGCATTGTGCTTTTGCAATTCTAGTTCTGTGGGGCCCCTGGAACCTTGGCCCATACATCAATGGGAAGGAATGGTGATTAATATTCTGTTGCTACCTCTGTGCCGTAGCCCCTCTATGTGATGTCACCATCTTATCCCATTCCAAATTGGTGTATTCTCTGCTTACCTGGTTTTTCTTTACACTTCTCAAAGGTATCTTGCTCATAGCTGATTGCTTAACCTGGATCCATTATTTCCCTCATGTTTTGTTCCAGAAGGTTTTGTTTTATAGTTTTATGTCTGCAGAATGGATGTCAGGAGAGGGTGGGGATTGCTGAAAAGCAAATGGATTTAATTATTACAAATGTCAATTAAATTGAGACAGAGAAAATGTGAGGTGAAGTCTGGAGCTGACTAGTCGGAATTCATTTTTAAACAATATTGAAAATATATGTTATAAACAGAATGATGTTGATTGCAGAATAATCTTGTTCAATAATGTGTAAGTATTATACATATATTTAATCCAAATACATTTCTAAAGTTAACAAAACTCTAAGCTAACAGGCTTTGAAATAAAGATGATCTGTTTTTGGTATACAGATCTTAATCGAGATTTAGTCTTTTTTCTCTCCCTTTGGCTTCTAGCTCTAGCTATGACTCACACATAGCCCAGGAAGGGAGAATGAGAGAGAAGAAAGAAACCAAGGGTCACACCATTAAAGCTCATAGAAATGTAAGTTTCAACTAAAGAATCCTAGAGGAAATTAAGCTATAGAAAAGCATGGCTATCCATGCAATAGATGTGGGCTTCTGGGAAGAGGAGAAAATTTAATTTTACTTCATTGGAATAATAGAATTCTCTCAGAAGTTTTAATTAAGCAGTCACTGCAGCCTCATGCCTGTATTTGATTCCTGGCTCCTCTGCAAACTGGTTGTTTGGCCTTGGGCAAGTTACTTAACCGCCCTGTGCTTTTCATCAGTAAATAGGTTATAGTAACACCTACATTATGATATTATTATTAGGAGCAGTAAGCTGAATGTAAAATGCTTAAACAGCATCTGGATCAAAGTAAGTATGCCATAAGTGCTAGTTCTTATTATTTGTGTACCTTTTATCTTTTGCAGACATTTTGTCAAAATTTTCTTAAGAAAAGTCAGGTGTTGGTGTTAGAAGCTTTGTGTGCGGTTTGAGGTGGTTTTTGTTTTGTTTTGTTTTTTGTTTTTGTTTTTCTCATTAGTTTTAGCTGCTCTGCATTTTGACATTTCTTTGAGGAAATCCAGGTATTTTGGCTATCATCTTTTCCAAACATCAAGCAAGCCCTTGCTATCAGAATAATAACAATAATCTCAAATGTTTACGAGCACATTTTATGTGCCAGGCTTTATGCACATTACCACTTTGCATGGATTAATGCATCTGTTCCTTGTAAAAACCCTATAGCATTATCCCCATGTAACAGATGAAGAACTTGAGTATATGAAGGGTGAAGGATCTTGCCAGGGATTATCCAGCCAGGAAATGGCAGAATCACAGGCCAGGTCTGCAGGCTGGCTCCAGAGGCACACCTCACTCTCTGCTGTAACTACAACCAGCCACCAAGTTGATCGCTTTTAGTATTTCTTTGACCAAATAAGAGTTCCAGCCTTATCGTATGATTGGTAATCAACCAGAATTTTTGAGTCATGGCTCCTCAATGACTATGTGGAATTTACTAGTGAAATTCATAAAACGTAAGTATTGTTTTCTCCAACAATCAAATTGACTAGAGACACAAATGTTTTTCTAGTAGTGGTTCTTGCTGATTTGTCTCCATGTGATTTATCTGTAAGCTGCTCTTTCAGTATTAATGGCTTCACACATAAGAAGGGAACATATCTCACATTTTAAAATCTTGGTACCAGCAATAGCCGTGGATGGACACTTCTAATGTTGGGCCTCTCACCAATGCTACCGTTCCTTTGTTTCCCATGTTAAATTAACTGGTGAATATTCTCAATCCATCTGTCTTATCTCTGTGTTACGTGTAAGAGAGACTGTGCTAACTTGCAGAACCTGGGTAGAAAAAATTGGCTGGAATTGTGCTTATTAAAACAGTTTGCCAAATATGTAAAGGAGCCCAGGTGTTGGAAATGAAAGGCTTCTTTCTAAAGGACAATCTCTCAGGGGCCTCTGTCTCTTGGCGGTGGACCCTTTAGAGCCAAGCTCAGGCTCAGAAGGAGGATATGTGTCAGGGTGACTGCTGGAAACTGATAGGTCAGTCTGTCCCAAGGGTGAAGTCCGAACTCTGTAGTACTTTTCCTATCCTTTTAAAAAGGATATTCTTTTAGCTAAATTTGTCAACCTTAAATAGCTTATCTTCTTCTTATACTCTTTTAGTCAGTATTTGCTTATTTACTTTAATCTTCTTTAATCTTTTTTGTTTTATTCTTGCCTTTCTTACTATATTTTATCTATTCTGAATTTTTAGATTGCTATTTTATCTTTTTTATTTTATACTACATTATTGCCTTTTATCTAAATTGTGTTTGCTTTACATGTGTGGTTTCAATTTTATTCACACTTTATTTTATCTTTAATGGCGAAAGAAAGTACAGGCATGAGGTGATCAGCTGGAGAGAAACCCTTAGCCTAACTGAGAGTATTGGACTCTATGTCCTTCCAAATATCTCACTCAATAATAGCCCTCTAAGTTTTCCACTGAACATCTTTTTCTTTCCAATGATGAAACTTCAGCTTAAAATATATCAAGCTAATTGTATAGATTCACCTGTCAACTTCATTTTTGCTTACCTTTACCCCATATTTCCAGGAAGATAATATGTATTTTTAATATAAGTCACTTTGAGCTAGAACGGTGCTATCTCCTTACAGTATTTGCCCAAACTTTCTAAGTGCTTCTTGATCAAAATTTAGTTTTTACTTTTTACAACTGCTAAATAATGTCTAGGACTTGCACACAAATCATGGGCAATTGAGGAAAACATAGTGGGGAGGGTTGTTTAGAATAACCTTCTACTCCATGTTTAACCCTTCTCTAACATTGCAAGTGTTCCTTCCCTTCTTTTCCATGATCTCCATCCCATTATTATTCTCTAACCACTCTGATAACTGGATAGATGGTCTCCCCAGCTTGAGTCTCTTTTCCTATATTTCTTCGTTATGAAACTCTTCCGCATAGCTTTTCTTGAAATGTACCCATCTTCTCAAATGCCTCCACGGGTTCCCAATGGCCCGTGGAATAAAGTTCAAACTCCTCAGCCTGTCATTTTAAGGCTTCTGGGTTGTCCCAAGCATTCTTTCCCAAAAATGTCTCTAATTTTCTTCTTCACACTAGAAAAAATAACCAGATAGAAGGGTTGCTATTCTTCATTTATGACTCAAACATTTCCACATTAGTTTTTGTGCTTACATGCTTTCTTTTTTAAGATGTATTTTTCCCCATTTGTGAATGTCCATATTCTATTCTCTTTAAAGTTCATTTCCCACTTTTTGGCTTCCCTAAATGAAAATAACCAACATTTGTATGATCTTTCCTGGATAAATACTATTTTATGGAGTTAATGTGAGCTTCAATTCTAGATAAATCTCAGTTAAAATCTTTGCTACATGATAATTATTTCACCTAAGCAAGTGTTTTAACTTTCTGAGCCTTGTTTTCACATCTCTAAAATGAGGATCATATAACCTATCTCACAGTTATCGTAAAGAATAAATGACATGAAGTCTGAAGTACTGAGGTCTTCTTGGATTGAGAAAGCTTGAGGCTCTCATTGAGTATTTGAGGAGAAGGAGGAGCTGTGAAGGGAACGGCTGTTATGTTAAGGGTTGTAGAGAGAGGTACGCGTGCACACACACACACGAGGAGCTTCAACTCCTAAAGCTGAAATTCTCATTTGATATAGTCAGTTTTTCTAGCTTGTCTGATCATATCTGGATTTAGGGGGCTTTTTACACATGGAGATATACTTCTTTTTGTCTGGGAAATACCAAAGGGATCCTAGACAGACTATCTTGGAAACAAGTCAATTTGCATAACCACCTTTTAATAATTGAGGTCTATTTGTATGCAGAGTAAGTTCAAACTATGCAAATATACTGATAATCAGTATATTAAGTATCTAAAATACATTTAAAACAATAAAATATTAAACTAAAAAAGCCTTAAAAATGATGTTAGTTAAGTAAGCAATTCCAGCATATACAGGGAAATTGAGGGGACAAAAGACTTCTTAAGGAAAACGTAAAGAGGCTGGCAGTTAACAATAGGTTTGTGAAATCAAAGCATTTATCAGCACAAGGAAAATGAGGATGACTTTTATCTGGTTATTCCAATTTTATGATGGAGGCTATGTCATGAAAGGAATTCAGCCAATGTGACACAATTTACATGAACGCAGTCATCCCCAGGGCAGCACCATGTGTCGAACGCTATAAAGGCAGACGAAAGTTTGAAACAGCAAGCAAGAAAGAGAGTAGTATTTCAAGTGAAGACTAGTCTGGGGTGAAAGCTGGTTTTTACATTAAATCATACTGCTCTCTGATCTTTCTATGTTAATGTCACTTCAGGTTGAATAAATCAGATTGGAAAAGACAATACCACGTTTAAAAATTATTTATCCTTTATAGGATGTATTAAAGAATGTAGAGGTTTTCCTATTTTCCTTCTCTTTCTTCATAAGAATTGAGGCTTTAAGCTTCCTTATCCTAGGGAACCTAGAGAGACTTCTCATCAGCTGAGAGGAGAAGGGAGAAAGATGCAAAGTGACAAAACATCAGAGAGTGTGGCTGTTCGGGGCAAGCCCATTATTATATTTGAAGCCTTTTAAAAGTATTAAGCATTTATGTGTTACATATGTCAGAGACATAAAAATGTTACGTATATGCATGCTTAAATATATGGTGTGCTACAGTAATTTTAGTTTCTTAAAACTAAATGTATTATTTAGTGTCTAATGTGTGCTAGTTTATCAATATTATCTTGAATACTGAAAACAACTCTAAAAAATAGATATTATTTCAACTTCAGAGATGTAGAAACTACAGCTCAGGGAGCTTAAGTCCCTTAATGAAGCCAGCTCTAAGTGGCAGAGTCCTAAGGTAGGGTCACAGTTCTGAGCTCGGTCTGATTAAAAGCAAAACAAAACAGAACAAAAACTACTTGGCACAATACTGAATCATCCAGAATTTAAACAGTGCAAACTTTATAAACATCCTGTGTATCAGGAAACTTTGTGATTCTTTTTAGTCAATATTTTAGGTTTAATTATTATCATGTGGACTAGAATATTGGTTTGTAAATTCTCTAACCTTTGTAGTTGACTGAAACTATTATCTTTAATTCCTATTTTCTTAATGAGTCTAGTTCATGCAAATGCCAAAGTCACCAGGCTGCTCTATTACTGCTACTGAAGCACCTGGCTCTTGCCTGGCACCTGGTGACAGCGACATTCAAGGGATCAGGCATTGTTTTCCCAGTTAGGCTGCTGAAACTTTAGATAACAATAAGCACAAAAACGGTCAAAACGTTAATAAACAATACAGTAGTTGGCTCCTGTTGTAAGCAGTGCTGAATCCTGACACCTGAGGCTGAAGGCCAGGGAGTTTTCTTTTAGTTGGGCTATGCCTTGTGCTAATTCAGCAGTCTCAGGCTGGAGCTGGGGAAAAATATCCATAAATCTGGAGCCAGACAGGTGGTGAAAAAGGCCAAAAAGGGGAGGGCCAGCATCAGTGAAAGAAAGCTGAGCCATCAAGCTAGAATAGAGCAAAGACCCTCGAGAGAAAAACAAAGTCATCTGGTAAGGCACAATAGGATAACACTGCTATGTGTGCAAGCTGTCATGGACATACCACATCTCCTTCAGGTCCTCACATTGTCAGGGCAGACACGCACCTCTGAATGAACTGTATGCGCTCCTGGCTTGATTTTCCCCATTTCAGTCAAATTATTTTGTGAGTAGAGTCACACTCTTTACATACATACTGATGAGATGAATATATGATATATACTCTAAAATAATTCATCCTTTTTAGGACTGTTGTCGTTAATTTTAATGTTTGTCTTCGATGGAACAAACATCCTTCATCTTCTTTATACTGAAAGGCAGTTCTCCCAGCCTCTCTCAGAAACATGTATCCATTTATGTTTTCAATTTACTTTGCGCTATTTTTCAAAAAGTCAGGTCACGACCTAATTTCTGAAGCAATCTTAACAGTGCTTTTTTGTTCACCAGTGGCTTATATGATTAAGGAGACCATCGGGATTTTTTGTTGTTATGTTTTCTATAGCATCTCCTTTGCCGATATCTCATTCTCTGTGGTGTGCAGTTCAGCATCTTGAATAAAATTTCATGACAAGAAATGGGTGTTCTGCTTTGGAAAATGGCAGCTTCATCTCAATAGCTATATAATTTCTTAGAATTTGTGCTTTCTTATTGTGAGCTTCAATCATCTCAATATTAAAAAGTATTCAAACACTTGCAATACAACATCTACCTGAGATGTGACAAAGTACCATGGTTTCCTTTCAGCCATAACAATGGTACCCAAACATTCATTCCTTTAAAAAACTCGAATAATTCATCAAAACACAAATGAGGCTGGAAAGTTGACAATTAAGTTATTATATATTACTGAATAAACCACTTTGGTAGGAATATTATGGAAGTTGCTAAGATATGAGAAAAGAAGACTGAAAATATGACACGACTGTAGGTCCCTCTGCTTTTAGAATGCCAGTAAAGAGCAATTCAGTTCAAGGCATATAAAATACAAATCTTCTTAACTTCTCAATTTGCTAGCTACCTACATGCCTTGCAGCAGGCTTAGGAAGGAAGATAGGCACTTAAAGGGGCAGTAAATGGACAGAGGAAATGAACTTCTCATTAAGTTAAATAGCACTCATTTAGTATGAATGCTAATGGTGCTAGGACATGTCGAATCAGGAATCACTATGATATCACTCCTTTTAGAGCTCACGTATTAAAGTAACACTGATGTGGAAAACACAATAATTTTACAGTGGAACAGACAACTGCCATCATATGTGGATTGAAATGAACTGTCTATAAGACTGTAGTCTACATCTTAATATTTTCCTCAATTTCAGATCTTGTCTTAACCGTATCATACAATAAAAACCCAAACACTGAATAACATCTAAAAATTAAAATATATTAAATGTTCTGTAAATAAAAAAAGGGCTACCATGCCATAAGTTGTCAGTGCCTAGGATTGACCTCCCTGAAAGTAATCTATTGGTTTGAAATAATTCTATTATATGCCTACAAGAAAGAAACTGTAGACATAGGGGAAAAGATTGAGTGTCAAACTTAGCTACCATTAAATGTAATTTTTAATATGTCTTGTAGAATGCATTACTCTAAGTGAAATAGATTAGCTAAAATGGTCTCAAATGACTAAGATGCTTTACTAATAAAAAATGAATTAAGCAGATATACACTTAGTATTAACAATATTAATTTAATTATTTATATTGGTATATTTATTTCAAAAATGTCTATTAAATTTGCTTTTAATCCATTCATTCATGAATTAATTTTCTTATTTTTAATATTTTAGGTATCTTATAAAACTATATGTCATAATTTCAAAACTTTATTGACAAAAGGCCAAGAAAATATAGAACAGAAAGAAAAATAGTTTATATAATTAAATTTTTAAAATGATATAGAGCTTCCAAGTGGCCAGAGTAAAAGAGAATGAGATATAATTGATTATATAAGTTTTATTCATAATACAAAAAAAAAGTTCTATCAGTTTTTTTGGAGAAACATTTTTCCTTTGGACTTTGGTATGAATTATAGTTCTTAAGGGGATCTTCTCAAATGGTTATTGAGTAATGTATTGGTAAATACCATTAACTATATAAACATGGCAAATGCAATACCAATTTATATAGCATCTAGTGATTTGATTTCTATGTGTTTCACCATAGTCCTAGCCCTGTGATCACTCTTCCTAGTGACACTTACATTTGTCCTATGTCTCCCATCTTTAGAACAGGTATCAAGTACTCTTCCACACTCCCTCTCTCCTTTTCTAGCCTTTCCTGAAAAATGAGGTCTTTATCCAATGGTTGTATTGCAACACATGAAATACATGCTAACTTTTCAAATGATAAATGACATCAGAGAGTTGTGAAATCTCTTCCTAGCTACTAATTGTTGCTTTTACTATACAGTATTATTAAATTAATATAGCTTTTACATTATTAATAGCAGATTTCTAGAAAATCATAAATATATTCATGGTAGAGAGAGGCATTAGGTAAACTGGGTAAGTAGCCAGGAAGGAAAGCTTGTTGTGAAGTGGGGAGCAAAAACCAGCAGGAACACAGAAAGACAATCTAGAGTCCACATCTGTCTCTCATCACCTTCAGCCTCAATAATGCTGGTAACCTGTGGAATTAGCTAATGTCTTTTTACACAGTTTGCCATGTGTTTCTGGATCAGAATTTGGAGAAGCTGAGGGAAAAGATTTTGGAGGTAGCTACAGTAGTTGTGGATTTGGGTTCTGTCCACGTCAATAAAGTGAGCCAGTAGATCAATAAAAGTCTACATGAGCAGTCACAGTGCCTAGTGTCCTGCACTAGCCTTCAGAGCAAAAAATTCATTGTTTCTTCACTTCTGCCTTCCAAATCCTGCAGACAAGGTGAATGGCCAATTCTAAACCATTGTTATACGGGTAAGAAAAGTCTGGGACACTTAGTTCCAGTTTAGCTAAATTAACACAGGGAAAGCCATGATGTTCCATTCTTTGTTAACATGGCATCCAAAAACAGCTTTGTTGTTTATTATTAATCTCTTCACCAACCCTCTTCCAAAATAAGATACAAAGTCCTTTTATCAATCTTTGGGAGATGTTCATTAATCTTCTACATGAGCATATTTGCATTTAATTACTGAGATATAAAGTTAACTACTATTAACATATCTTATGGGAAATGGAAAAGGGAAAAACAAATGATTAATATATTCACAATTTGTTTATATCAAAATATAGAAGACATTAATAACTATTACACTTCTCATTTCTATTACTGGTCACATAGTCATAGCTGGTATTTAAAACTATCTTCTTTCACTGTCCATTTCATGTTCCCTTTGTTCTCAGCAAGGGCCTCAGATGTTAATGTTTTATTGCCTGGTGTGGTAACCCAAGACTTCACTCCAGAAAGGTGTGGACCTTTGACAGTCTAACATTTATTGCATTGTGTAGTTCTACATTAACTTTTACCATAAGACATGGAATTATTAAGATGTTCCTCAGTGTATCACCTGTAGGGGCAATTTAATTTCACTTTTGAAAGTCAAGATCCATCAGTCTAGCTGGCAAGGTAACCCCCTTCTTTGCTTATTTGTTGGCATGAGAACCCCAAAGTGGCCTGGTGGCAGTATCAGATTTCAGTTTTAATGAAACCATGGTTAGGGGATTCTTCCCTTGGGAGATAAGGTCGTTGGACTAGCAAACCCAAACTTGTGAGTTTGGGGTGAAAATACGTTGCTAGCTCATCACTAGGAATGAGAGGAGACACTCCCATTTTATCCTTAATTTCCAGAAATATTAACAGTACATATTCCTAAATATTTATTTCTGAGAGGTATTTTTATTTATTTAACTTTATGGATGTATTACTTATATGCAATAAAACACATAGATTTTAAGTATATGTTTTGATGTTTTTACAAATGTATACACTGTGTGGCAACTCCTACCATCAAAATATAGAGCACTTTTCATCACTTTTTCTTTCCTGAAAAGTTCTCTTATGCACCCTTCCTGCCAATTCCCCCAAACCCTGACCCCAGGCAACCACGGATCTACTTTATGTCAATATAGATTATCCTTGTATTTTCTGTAATTCATTAAAATGGACCATAGACCATTTACTCATTGGTATCTGACCTTTTTCACTCAGAAAGATTTTTTAAAAAAGATTTATCCATGTTTTTGTATATATGTTAGAAGTTCATTCTTCTTTTGAGTATTATTCTACTGTATAAATATATCATAATTTGTTTATTAATTCCTCAGTTTATTGAAATTTATGTAGTTTCCAGTTTTGGGCTATTATAAAAAAGTTGCCATGAACATTCTTGTACATGTCTTGTGTAGACATATGGTTCATTTCTGCTGATATGTTTCAATAAATCCCTCTACCTAGGAGTAGAACTTCTAGGTCATATATTAAGCATACATTTAACTTTATAAGAAGCCACCAAACTTCTTCAAAAGCAGATATTATTTTACATTCCTACCAAAATTTTATGAGTTCCAGTTTTTCCATATCTTCACTGACACTTGCTATTATCAGTCTTTTTAGTTTCATCTATTTTAACAATTTGACAGTGATCATTCATTGTGATTTTAATTTTCATTTCCCTTATCCCTAATGATGTTGAACATATTTTCCGTGTTTATTGAACATTTGAGTGTCATCTTTTGTGACGTGTATGGTCGAATATTTTACTCATTTTTAATTTGTTACTTCTTATTGAGTTGAAATAATAATTTATATATTTTGGATGCCAGCTTACTGTTATATATAGAGATTGTTATTTATTTTTTCATCATTTTGCTTGACATTTCAATTACTTAACCAGGGAATTCAAAAAGCAGAATTTTTCAATTTTGATGAAGTTCACTTTACCCAATTTATGATTCATGATTTTTTAGCTTTTATCTAAATAATTTGCCTATTGTAATCTCATAAAGAGTTTCTCCTATATTTTCTTCTAGTAGTATTAGAGGTTTAGTTTCACATTTACCTCTATTTTTAGAAAATTTTTGTTTATGGTATAAGGTAACTATTAAAGTTCAGTTTTTTCCATAAAGATATTTAGTTTTTTCTAGCACAATTTATTGAACACATTTTTCTTTCCTTTTTCTTTTTTCTTTTTTTTTTTTTTGAGACGGAGTCTTGCTGTGTCGCCCAGACTGGAGTGCAGTGGCGTGATCTCGGCTCACTGCAAGCTCCGCCTCCCGGGTTCACAGCATTCTCCTGCCTCAGCCTCCCGGGTAGCTGGGACTACACGTGCCCGCCACCATGCCCGGCTGATTTTTTTTTTTTTTTTTTTTTTTGTATTTTTAGTAGAGACGGGGTTTCACTGAGTTAGCCAGGATGGTCTCGATCTGCTGACCTTGTGATCCACCTGCCTCAGCCTCCCAAAGTGCTGGGATTACAGGCGTGAGCCACTGCATCCGGCTTATTTTTCTTTTCTTTATATAACCCATCCAATATTCTTATTTTGACTGTACACACTTATTTTCTTCCTTTTATTTTCAACTTATTGTATCCTTCTACTTAAAGTATATTTCTTCCAGACAGAATACAGCTGGTCTTGCTTTTTGAGCTAGTTTAACAATATCTGCCTTTTGATTACAATATTTAGTCTAATAATTAAAATTTAAAAATAACATTTAAAAACATACAAATATATAAAACAAAAAAATTTAAAAATACAAAATAGTTGGGAATACATTTAATAAGCAGCTTTAAGAAAAACTTTTTACTGACAAAACTGTAGTAGGCCTGCCAATTTCTAAGGCTAAACTCTAATTCTACAGGATAAAATGAAAGAAATGGTCAAATGGATAATATCACATTTTCTATAGGAACAAAGATTATTTGCTTTTCATTTATTTATTCCACAAATACTATTTGACAGCCTAGTAAAAACTATCTTTTTATAATATTGAGAGTAAAGAAATGCTTCAGACATGGTCCCTGACCTGAAGGAATGTACTGTTTATGGAAAGATACATAAGACATTTATAAAGTAAGTACTATATCAGGTTATGCTAAGTTATGCAGTGATAACACAGTAACCTCAAAATCTAAGTGGCTTTACATAACAAATTTTTATCTTTTTGCTTACGCATTGCCTGCTTTCAGTCTGAGTGTCTCTAGAAGGCAAGTATTCTCCATATGTTTCTTGTTCCAGCTGCTTCAATTTTGTAACAATCCTACATCAACAGGTAATTTCAGAATCCTCATGTCTAGGGAAGAGCTGAAGAGTAGGGCATCAGAATTAAATATTCTAACAGGAAGTGACATTTGGCACTTCTATCCATATTTCATTGCCCAAGCACGTTGTATAGCCATGCTTAATTTTGCCTCAGGACTATACAACCACCCTATGTGACTATAAATAGAGGAGAATTTCATGTTAGTGAAAAGTGCTAGTTTCTACTGTATGATGTATAGTAGAGGTATACTTAAGTATTACTCACTAGTCAGTGACAGTGGTCACTGCTTGTTATTTTCTTATAGTTATGGATTGGAAAAGTAGGTTAAATTCTGACATATATAGTAAAGAGGAAGATAAAAAATTAAAATTAGAATCTTGCCGTGCACTTTAAGCTCCAGTCCACACGATAAAAATATGAATTGTGCACCTATTTGGGCAAAGTC
Source organism: Homo sapiens (assembly GCF_000001405.40). Classification (NCBI taxonomy): domain Eukaryota; kingdom Metazoa; phylum Chordata; class Mammalia; order Primates; family Hominidae; genus Homo; species Homo sapiens. The sequence goes on from NC_000015.10 coordinate 46,329,630, forward strand.
CTATGTGAAGTGCAATATAAATAGGCATAATTCTGACTCTTAAAGATCTTACAATATAATGGAAAAGGTGAGGCAAACCTAAAGAAATGCAGTAAAAGTTGATTAATCTGATAACTTATGGGCTGGAAATCTTTATTACTTATACATATATAAGACCATGATAATGATAACCTTGGAACTCTGCAAAACCCTAAAGTGTTTTCGGAATCAAATAAAGGAAGGTTAAATTATTTTCAGTCTAGTTTAAGTTTGAGACTATATTGAACTTTAATACTAGACAATTGTCCATTCATGCATGGGATAGACTTCTTATTTCTAGTAACTTGAACCAGTGATGAACTAGAGTACACCATTCTCTGATCATTTGTAAACAAAATTAGAGAAACAGATAAACATTTGTTTCCAGCATCTGCACAGAATTGGTTATGTGTATTGTGCAATCATAGTGATTTATAATGAGAGTAAGATGGAAGTAGATTAGGGATTTATGTAAAAAGGCTATCTGAAGAGTATGTTTTTCAGGAGAGGCAAGAGGTGTTTTGGTGCATAGGAAGATGAAAGTGGGGGAAAGCATCCCAGAAAAGAGATAGTTTAGAGAGAGATGTGTGACCTTGATCACATTCATTGTTTTTGCGTGTCTGGAAAAGGCTATACAATGGAAAGTAGGAAAGGGAAGAAAGTTCCATTAATAGTCAACTTAAAGTTTATCATAAGGGTTAATTTATGTGGTTTAGAGTGCAAATTCAAGTCCATTCAGGTTCTCAAAAGCAGGCTTGGAGATAGTTCCTGGATTTGTTTGTAAGGTACTTGTACAAGGAAAAGCTGCCCAGATGGATGGTCCTGGAGAGCAGACATCAATGACTAGGAGCTGCCAGAATGGAAGGTAAACCTAAAGACTACAGGGAACCATCAGTAGATTGGGTGTTCCTTAGTTTCTGTCTGACATACACTTTTTTCACTATTCCAGTGATCACATTCATTGCAACAATGTCAACTATTCTCTATATGCTTATATAATAATTCTTACGTGAAACAGAGAAAATGCACAGTATAGTGTGCACTCTGGAGACTGCCTAACTTAGAATGTCAACTAGATCACTAGCTATCAGTGACATTCAGCAAATTGTTAAACTTTTCTGAGTTTCAGATTAGTTTCATAATTTGAAAACAAAGATAATTATGTCTTCTAAACTAACAGTGATATTGTACAGATCAAATGAGTTAATAGACATAAAATATTTATAACAGTACCTGGTATATGCTAAGTAATCAATACATGTTTGTTATTATATGTCTACCAAAATTTATTTTTTCTAAGAGAAAAATTTGTATGTCTATCTGCATTTTGGATCTCTCCATTTGGATACCCGAGAGAAACCCCAGGTTCCACAAGATAGGCACATCCTCTCTCTACCCAGGCCCACTCTTGTGTTGTATTCCTCTTCTATTCAACCTATTGAAAGTATCTCCAATATGTTCATCATTGTTTCTCCACATTGTTTCCCTACATATAGTATATGACAAAATAAATTCTGAATATTTCATATGAATAAAGACTCTTTGAGGGCAATAAAGGAGTTGAATTGTGAGCATGACTCCAAGTCCTAAACTTAGATAGAAATGCAGTTGGAAATTGGACGGAAAAGAATGTGGGCATGAAAAACAGATCTCAATTGTTGATATTACTTAACAGCTGCTTTCCTTAGCAAATGCTTTAAATTGACAAAGCATAAAGCTTAGAAAATGCAGGTTTTTCTACAAGCAATTATTTATTGCTTTTGAACATTTCCACACCTCAACAATTTTGTCTTCCACTCCCTTTGAAAAACAAAACAATGTTTGACAAAGAAAGAAGATAAAGCTCTCTTCCATCAAGGAATCACAGCATCTGCTTGGCTTATATTACCTTAAAGATAAGAGGTTACATCCTCTGGAAAGATTCTTAAAGGACACAAGTTGACATAATTTTATAGGAGAATAAAAGGGCATGCTTTCATGGATGGATGATAAAAGCATGGGGGAAGAAGAGCATATTTCAGGTGAAGAAAATGACAGATAAAAAAAGATTGGTGAAGGGTCAAAACAGTATATGAAGTTATCAACATTTATTGCACAATCATTCAATAAAAATGTCAACAAGCAAAATGCTGGCTGGCAATAATACAACAACCAAAATGGGTAATTTAAATGAAGGAAGTAGTCTAACTGAGCTCAACATGACTATTAACACTTATTTACTGGTCTCAGTGGAATAAAATACTGAAAGACAAGAGTTTGAAGTGAATAAAATTGTATCCAATTTACAATCAAATGAAAAGATGATGGGCTCAGAGCCAAAAAATATTCCTCAATTAAGCTTCTTTTCAATGGCTTCAGTTTAACCAGCTGGATTTTTATTTAAAATTTAAAAAATCTATATTATTCAACCTTTTGAAAAGCAGGATTTTCCTTTTAATGGGTAATTTGTTTCTTTTTATAAAATGAAAGTCAGCAAAAACTGGTGTTCTGCACACATGGAAGCACGATGAAACTGGCACAGAGAAATGGAAGTTGCCTCCCCTGGTCTCAGAGACATGACATTCTATGAAGAAATATGTGGCAAATGGGATATAAAGACATATAGGTCATGGGCAGGGAGCTCAGTGGACTTACCTTTCAGTTCAAAGGTTTGCCAGTCAACGTAGGTGATAAGTGATCATTGTGGTTCTATGCTTAATATAGTACAATGATTTTGAGGATAACTCCTCAATAAAAGGGTAGCTTAAGGTCAAATTGTTCCAATTCAATAGTTCTCTTGCTACATATCAATACATGCACTGCAATTTCATAAAATTCTCATTTCTAAATGTATAAAAGTAATTTAAAATTCTGGAACTCAAAGAGGTAAGCTTTTATGGAAGCTTACCTGGAAGATTCTCTTTCAGCACGATGCTGAATAAATTGAATGTTGCTATAGTAGGAAACATGTTTTATCTTCCACCCTAAAATTTCATAAATATGAATGTATGAAAATTTATATTTTCATAAATATAAATTTAATATATTTATATATAATATAAATATACATAATGTTCCTGTTTAGTAAATTCAGTATGAAGGGACAATTCAATAGGTTAAAGTACTGATTTTTTAAAATGTCAAATAATTAAACATAATGTTCCATCTCCACACATGTAAATGAAGATGAAAAACTAAATTTCAGGTAGTCCAGTCTAATCAACAAACATTTGTATGCCTGCCTTAGCAAGTTTGAATGCTCCAAATGCCATAGAGTAAAGGGCAATCTCCATCCTCACTGACTCACTCATTGGACAACCACTGAGATATTTCTAGAAAAAGAGAAAATATGACTTCCTCTTTTCCTAATTGAATACCCTTTATTTCCTTCTCCTGCCTAACTGTCCTGGCCAGAACCTCCAATACTATGTTGAATAGGAGTGGTGAGAGAGGGCATCCCTGTCTTGTGCCAGTTTTCAAAGGGAATGCTTCCAGTTTTTGCCCATTCAGTATGATATTGGCTGTGGGTTGGTCATAGATAGCTCTTATTATTTTGAGATACGTCCCATCAATACCTAATTTACTGAGAGTTTTTAGCATGAAGGGTTGTTGAATTTTGTCAAAGGCCTTTTCTGCATCTATTGAGATAATCATGTGGTTTTTGTCTTTGGTTCTGTTTATATGCTGGATTACATTTATTGATTTGCGTATATTGAACCAGGCTTGCATCCCAGGGATGAAGCCCACTTGATCATGGTGGATAAGCTTTTTGATGTGCTGCTGGATTCGTTTTGCCAGTATTTTATTGAGGATTTTTGCATCAATGTTCATCAAGGATATTGGTCTAAAACTCTCTTTTTTGGTTGTGTCTTTGCTCGGCTTTGGTATCAGGATGATGCTGGCCTCATAAAATGAGTTAGGGAGGAGTTCCTCTTTTTCTATTGATTGGAATAGTTTCAGAAGGAATGGTACCAGTTCCTCCTTGTACCTCTGGTAGAATTCGGCTGTGAACCCATCTGGTCCTGGACTCTTTTTGATTGGTAAGCTATTGATTATTGCCACAGTTTCAGAGCCTGTTATTGGTCTATTCAGAGTTCAACTTCTTCCTGGTTTAGTCTTGGGAGGGTGTATGTGTTGAGGAATTTATCCATTTCTTCTAGATTTTTTGTGGTGATTCCTCAGGGATCTAGAACTAGAAATACCGGTTGACCCAGCCATCCCATTACTGGGTATATACCCAAAGGACTACAAATCATGCTGCTATAAAGACACATGCACACGTATGTTTATTGCGGCACTATTCACAACAGCAAAGACTTGGAACCAACCCAAATGTCCAACAATGATAGACTGGATTAAGAGAATGTGGCACATATACACCATGGAATACTATGCAGCCATAAAAAGTGATGAGTTCATGTCCTTTGTAGGGACATGGATGAAATTGGAAATCATCATTCTCAGTAAACTATCGCAAGAACAAAAAACCAAACACTGCATATTCTCACTCATAGGTGGGAATTGAACAATGAGAACACATGGACACAGGAAGGGGAACATCACACTCTGGGGACTGTTGTGGGGTGGGGGGAGGGGGGAGGGATAGCTTTAGGAGATACACCTAATGCTAAATGACGAGTTAATGGGTGCAGCACACCAGCATGGCACGTGTATACATATGTAACTAACCTGTACATTGTGCACATGTACCCTAAAACTGAAAGTATAATAATAATAAAATTAAAAAAAAGAAATGTATAAACAATTGGGAATATCTGTTAAAATAATTATTTAGGTTACATATATTTCCAAAATGCAATATACACTATTGTCTTATTTTAAGAAATTGTCACAGCCAATATAGAATATAAATTAGATCTGTCTGACTACAAAGCCTGAATGAAGGACTACGTGAATGGATGAAGTCTTACAAACCGGTATGCCAAATACAAACATATACAAACTAAGGAATTAAGTACTGAAAGATGTCAAAGAAGAACCTAAGGCAAAACAAATTAATTTTCACTTGATATTAAATTACAAGTAATATATGTGAAAGTACTTAGATCCCAACACAGAAGATGTATTAAAATATTAGAACTTGAGAAAAAAAGAGAGAAAATATTATATACACTTACAAATAATTAATATGAAACAGTAAACTGTGAAGCAAAGTAGAAGGGAAACACATTTCATTGAAGAAAATGAGCAATGGCTCCATAGAGTTGATGGCATTTAAGAAGGGCTTTGAAAGATAAGTAGAAGTGACCATAAGATAGGGTGTTTCAGGGACTATAGCAGCATAAGAAAAACAAACAGGTGGTAAATAATGAGATGGATGGGAAATACTGAGGCATACAGTTCTAAACAAAGAATATTAAATAGGGAAATTGGTAGATAAGCTTGGGTAGATGGGCTTAACACGGTAAGACATTGAATGACAGACTAAGGCTTTTGTATGCCTTGTATGTAAAACATACTTGTTTTATCATGCAATTTGCCCTAAACCAGAGACTCTCAAAGTCATTTTTGAGTACAAATGGTTCAGGTGTCAGAGCTTTTACCAAAAAGCTAGGAGATGTGTATGATCAGGTTTCCATGGGTTATTAGTATTCTTAAATGCATTCAGGTGAATTATTTCTTTCCTTGCTGATTTATGTCCTATTCAACAGTTGGTTCATTGGTCTGTGTCTATTTTTGTACCACTACCATGCTATTTTGGTTACTGTAGTCTTGTAATAGAGTTTGAAGTTGGGAAACGTGATGTCTTTGGCTTTGTTCTTTTTGTTTAGGATTGCTTTGGCTATTTGTGCTCCATTTTTGTTCCATGTGAATTTTATAATAGTTTTTTCTAATTCTATGAAAAATGACATTGGTAATTTGATATAAATTTGTCGAATCTGTAGATTGCTTTGGGCAGTTTGGACATTTTAACAATATTGATTCTTTCAATCCATGATCATGGAATGTGTTTCTATTTTTTCTGTGTCATCTGTGATTTCTTTCAGCAGTGTTTTGTAGTTTCCCTTATAGAGATCTTTTACCTCTTTGGTTAGGTGTATTCCTAGGTCTTTTATTTATTTTGCAGCTACTGTAAATGAAATTACATTCTTTATTTGGTTCTCAGGTTGAATTTTATTTGCGTATTGAAATGCTACTGCTTTTTGTATGATGATTTTGGAACAAAACAGAGAACCCCAAAATAAAGCTTCACATCTACAACCAACTGATATTTGATGAAGTCTACAAAAGTAAACAATGAGGAAAGAACACTTTATTCAATAAATGGTGCTAGGAAATCTGGCTAGCCATATGCAGAAGAATGAAATTCAACCCCTACCTGTCACCACGTAAAAAAATTAACTCAAGATGGATTAAAGACTCAAATGTAAGATCTCAAACTAAAAATCCTGGAAGAAAACCTAGGCAGTGCTCTTCTGGACATCGGCCTAGGCAAAGAATTTATGATTAAGTCCTCAAAAACAAATGCAAAAAAAAAAAACACAAAAATTGACAATTAGAACCCAATTAAACTAAAGAGCTTCTGCACAGCAAAAGAAACTATCAACAGAATAAACAGACAACTTACAGAATGGGGAAAAATATTTACAAACTATCCGACAATGGTCTAATATCCAGAATCAATAATGAACTTAAATAGCACCCTTAACTTTGGGAGGCCAAGGCAGGAGGATCACTTGAGCTGAGGAGTTCAAGATCAGCCTGGCCAACATAGCGAGACTCTGTCTCTATTTAAAAAAAAAGGCAGACACTTCTCAAAAGAAGACTTACACAAAGCCAAGAGACATATTTTAAAAATGCTCAACATCACTAATCATCAGAGAAATGCAAATTAAAACCACAATGAGATACCATCTTATACCAGTCAGAATGGTTATTATTAAATTTTTTTTAAAGCCAGTTTTTTTTGGTGATATTGCAGAGAAAAGGGAACACTTATATACTGTTGGTGAGATTGTACATTAATTCAGCCCCTGTGGAAAGCAGTTTGGAGATTCCTCAAAGAACCAAAAATAGAATTACCATTTGAGCCAGCAATTGCATTACTGGGTGTATACCCAAGGAAAAATAAATCATTCTACCAAAAAGACATCTGCACTTGCATGTTTATTACAGCACTATTCACAATAGCAAGGTCATGGAATCAACCTAGGTGTCCATCAGCAGTGGATTGGGTAAAGAAAATTTGCTACATATACATCATGGAATACTATGCAACCATAAAAAGGAATGAAATCATGTCCTTTGCAGCAACATGGATGTAGCTGGAGGCCATTATTCTAAGTGAATTAACAAAGAAGTAGAAAACAAAATACCACATGTTCTCACTTATGGGTGCTAAAAATTGGGTACACACAGACATAAAGATGGCAACAATAGGCAGTGGGGACTCTAAAAGGAAGGAGAGAGTGAGAGGAGAAGGGTTGAGAAACTCCCTGTTGAGTACCATCTTCACTATTTGGGTTATGGGTTCAATAGAAGCCTAAACCTCAGCATCATGCAATATATCCCTGCAACAAACCTTCACATGTTGTTTCAGTGACACACTTTACAAATACTTATGAATGCAGTTTTTAAAAACAGTTTTATTGAAATATTATATAATTCACATACACAAAAATTCACCTTTTTAAGTTGTATAATTCAATTGTTTTTTGTACATTTACAGAGTTGTGGTACCCTCACCATTATCTACTTTTAGAACACTTTTTTACCACACCCAAAAGAAATTTCATATCTATTGGCTATCACATATCCATTCTTAGTACCCCCAATCCATGGATACCGCTAATCTGTATTGTCTCTATGGCTTTGCCTATTCCGGACATTTCATATAATAGAATACATGATGGAATTATATTAAATATAGAATATTTTTATATGATAAGAATTATGTAGAATTATATGATATATGGCCATTTGTGTCTGGCCTCTTTCTTAGCATCATGTTTTTAAAGTTCGTCCATGTTATAGCGTGTATCTGTATTGCATTCCTTTTTATGGTTAAATAATATTTCATTGAATCAATATGCCACATTTTATTCATTCATTGGTTGATAGACACTTGGGTTTCACTTTTTGACTATTATAAATGGTGTTGCCGAGAACATTTATTTATTTCTCCTTTGTCGCTTTTGCTTTTGGTGTCATATCTAAGAACCCATTGCCTAACTTAAGGCTATAAAGATTTATGTTTTCTTATGAGAGTTTTATAAGTTTTAGATCTTAAATTTAGGTCTATGATCCATTTCCACTTAAGTTTTCTTGTGAGATCAGGTCCAAATTTACTCGTTTACATATTTTTATCTAGCTGTTCCAGCACCATGGATGAATTGTTGTGGCTCTACAGATGTGATTATATATTTAATGGTCACCATACCTGTTTGAGCAGATACTTACCCTTTACCAAATTCTTTCATAAGTTTTACATTAAGTATACTATTTTCCAAGTGAAAGTTTATGAGAAACATGGATGCATTAATTTCTTGTATGTAACTTATGTGGCCTTAGAAATTGACATAAGAAATTTGGCCTTGTCTGCAACTAGGAAAGAAGACCCCTATTAAAATCCCAAAGGCTAATAATCTCTCTTTCAGCATTTGGTTCTCAGAGAATCAACCTGAGACATCTCCAGTGAGGGGATAGGACCTCTCAGTGGACAGGCTTAGACATGGTCAAGCACAATTAGGAGCCCATCATCTCTGTGGCAGGCCCACTCAGAAGATGAAGAGGAGAGGAAGGCTTCAGCTATGCCTGTCCTGTTTCTCCTTCCAAAATCACCAAGAGTAGAGTGGAAGATTGGAGGGAGACCAGGATTGTAATGCTAACAGATAATCTCTTGTATAAAAGGAAACATAAGAGGTAGAGAATAAGCACGTTCCCTAAATCATGTACCAAATACCTCAGGCAAGGTGGCAGGCTCTGGTGCAGGTCTTAATTTTTTCCTGCCCACCTCTCCACTCCAGAGTACTGGAGTACTCTGCACTCCAGTACAGAAAAATCTGTACTGAATACAGATTATTCAGTAAGAACAATCTGACACCCATCTTGTTCACCTATGATGTTAAGATGAGGGATTCCCACAAACACACTGACAGAGTTAGGCTTTGTGTCCCCACCCAAATCTCACCTTGAATTATAATCCCCATAATCTCCATGTGTCAAGGGAGAGACCAGGTGGAGGTAATTGAATCATGGGGGTGATTTTCCCCAAGCTCGTTTCATGAAAGTGAGTGAGTTCTTATGAGATCTGATGGTTTTATAAGTGTTTGGTAGTTCCTCCTGCATTCATTCTTCTTCCTGCCACCTCGTGAAGAAGGTGCCTTGCTTCTCCTTTGCCTTCCACCACAACTGTAAGTTTCCTGAGGCCTCCACAGCCAGGTTGAACTATGGTCAATTAAAACTTTTTCCTTTATAAATCACCTAGTGTCGGGCAGTTTTTGTTGAGACAGAGTCTCTATCACCCAGGCTAGAGTGCAGTGGCACAATCTCTGCTCACTGCAACCTCTGCCTCCTGGGTTCAAGCAATTCTCGTGCCTCAGCCTCCTGAATAGCTGTGATTATAGGCGTACACCATTATGCCCAGCTAAATTTTGGGGTTTTTTTTTTTTTTTTTTTTTTTTTTTTTTTTTTGAGACAGAGTCTTGCTCTGTTGCCCAGGCTGGAGTGCAGTGGCACGATCTCGGCTCACTGCAAGCCCCACCTCCTGGGTTCAGGCCATTCTCCTGCCTCAGCCTCCCGAGTAGCTGGGACTACAGGCGCCCGCCACCACGCCCAGCTAATTTTTTTGTATTTTTAGTAGAGACGGGGTTTCACCGTGTTGGTCAGGATGGTCACGATCTCCTGACCTCGTGATCCATCCGCCTCGGCCTTCCAAAGTGCTGGGATTACAGGTGTGAGCCACTGCGCCCAGCCTAAATTTTGTATTTTTAATAGAGATGGGGTTTCACCATGTTGGCCAGGCTAGTTTCAAACTCCTGATTTCAAATGAGCCACCCACCTTGGCCTCACAAAGTGCCAGATTACAGGTGTGAGCCACCGCATCCGGCCTCAGGCAGTTCTTTATAGTAACGGATGAATACACATGCTACAATTGTTTCTTCATTGTAATGCTTTTTGTACAAACAGTCACCTCAGGTGATGTGTCCTTCTTTCCTTTCACCCAATGAGCAATTGACTTGCCATGTGCTCAAAGCAAAGGAGAACTTTGTTAGGAAACTTATTTTTTTCTTAAACCACTGTAGGCAAAGGACATTATTGCTGACTGTTTGAACTAAATATACTCTAAATTTTGGATGAAAATTCATGGCAATTCTATTTTTAGCTGAGAATTCACTTCTGGGACCTACAAAATGACATTTTTGGCTCTACTTTCTATGGAGCAAAAACAAATACTTCATTAACATTTGCAAGCAGTTTCTTTGCATCCACGGTCTGATGGAAATGACTTGGGAGCCAGAAAATGTGAAATGAATTTCTACCTCTGTTATTGATTTTGTGTGTAATCTTAGAGAGAACTCCTAAGTTCCCTGAAGTTACTTCCTCTACCTGTAAAATGGGGACAATGATCTTGTAAATATTTGCTTCATTGCACAGTTTACTATATATGATTTTTTTTAAAAAGTCAGTAGTGAGAAGGATGCAATTAAGTTGCTCAGTTAATTTCATATAAATGGAAGTTTTTATGATAAACATATTTCTGAAAATTATATTTATATAAATATTTGTTATAAATATTTGTTTAAATTTTTGTCATATTTGTTACAAAATATAAATCACTCTTTTTCATTTTCAAAATGTTAATGTGTCCACATTAAAAATTATTGATTTTAGCACATAATAGCAGTTGTTAAATTACATTTTTAGCAACTTGGCTTTCTCATAAATCAGATGTATTCTTATTTCCAAAATTTCAGTGCAACCATTTTTAAATAACTTCTAGGTTGCAGCAGACTTTTGCTGTATTTGATTTTGTGTTTGAGAATAGCATAATAACATGATAGCCATTATGCAGTTCTACAATGTAAAAGCCCGTGAAAACAGACACATTTGGAGGTGGTTTTAGGATCTTTAAATATTTTTTAATTCAAAAAATAAGCTATTTTATGTCTTCTTTAGATAGCAAGCCCATCATTTCAACTAATGAAAAGATTCCAAGTTTGCACGGATTTTAAGAAACACATCTGTCATAAGACCAGGGCACACTCTACTCTAAAGTCACAAAAATGAAAACATTTCAGATTGCTTGCTGGATACTTGGGAGCAGGAGAGTCTTTTTAGATACAGCATATAGCTCTAGTTCTTTCAAGTCAACTTTCATTATAAAGATACCCAGCGTATAAAAGAAAAGCTCTTGATTATTTCCTCAACCATATTGTAGCATTTATGCATTGAAACTGAAGAGGTTTATTTTGGCTCCACTTTCATTTTATGATATTCAGAGATTGAGCAGAGTTCTTCATTCTGCATATTCTTTTAATTATGTTACTAGGTGGGTGTTTAGGCTAACCTTGTTTTTGCAGAAATAATGGTAGCAGGGCCACTCCAAGGGACTTCATTCCCCTCACAAAGCAGCTCATAGAGTAGATGACAGTCAAGTGGAGGCTATGTTGCTTGTTCAGCAGTCATTCTCAAATACAGAAGCAGATTTATTGGGGCTCTCCCATATTATTTAACTGGTTGGGGAGGTGATCTGGGAGTTTGAATTTAAAGAAAAAAAACCCCAATTCCCTTCCATTAATTAGCCTTCTCTTACCAGCAGCAGGAAAGTCAGCTCAATTCAGCCTCCATCCCTGACTTCCATCAGCCACAGAAGGCCCAACCCCAGTCTCAGATCTACTCCACTCCAGCGCTATAGTTGTAGCAGGAGTTTTCCTGCTCATCCACTTCTACCCTTTAATATAAAATAAACTATCAATCCAAACCTTCACATTATGTCTAGGGGCTATTACTAACCCTAGACATAGGGGTAGTAATTGAGATTATTTATAGTAATCTGTGCTATAACACAAAATGTTATCAACAAAATCTTTTCAGGTGGTTCTGATATCAAGCCACATGTGAGAATTACTGCCTTAGTTTCTTGAAGGCCTCCTAGATTCAGGGCCAATGTCACTCTGTGTAGTTTCTGTGTTACCCTGCAGTTCCAACGTCAATGTTCTGAATGCCCAGTCTGGGCTTTATGTGGGCTTCTTTCCTACCTGGACATGGTACTTGTACACAGTACCATGGTACCCCGTATTTGTACACAGCTGTTGCTTGGTCTCTTCACTTCCTTTTCATTTGTGTTATAAATACCGTATTTATTTTTCCCAATTATGATGTAGCATGGAAGAATTTGAGATTTAGGCCAGCATCCAAGTACTTAGTCCACTTATTAATTTGTTCTTTCAAAGTCTGTCAAGTACATAATATGTATTCCAGCAGGTACATTTATTACATACATGAGAATGCGGAGGAGGAGACACCCAACATCAGCAAATCTCTTCTACATCACACAGAGATGTTAAAGTGGGCAAGGTAGAAAGGGGATAAAAATCAACTAAAAACCAAACCCAAAACAATAAATGCCGGATGACAGAAAGGTATCTTATTCATTCTTGATCCCCTTAACCTCTTACACATTCTTTATCCCCTTAACCTCTTACCAGTATAGGTTGTACATATTCACCAGTTAATGTTGTATTTCTTATTTTTTTTAAAAAACTGTCACCTTCATTATTGAAGTTTATTTCAAATTCCTAATTCAAAATGCCTGGGAAATATTAATATCAAGCAGACATTTGGAGGTCATTCCTTAAAAACTACCAGACTGAGTAGCTCTGACTTCACTATGTTCTGCATCCTGCATATAATTATATTCTTCAGGACATTAACTGAAAATTATTTTCAATTTAAGTCATCCTTTTATGTCTTCAAAATAGAATGCTCAGATAGGAATCTTATTGTATAATTTTGTTTCTTCCGTAATATGCCACTCTTCCTATTTTTTTTTTTCTTTGAGACAGGGTCTTTCTCTGTCACCCAGGCTGGACTGCAGTGTTGCAATCATGGCTCACTGCAGCCTTGAATTCAGATCTGGGCTCAAGAAATCTTCCTAACTCAGCCTCCTGAAGAGCTGGAACTACAGCTGCATTTTTTTTTTTTTAACTTTTTTGTAGAGATAGAGGTCTTGCTATGTTGCCCACGCTGGTCTTGAACTCCTGGCCTGAAGAGATTCTCCCACTTTGGCTTTCCAAAGTGCTAGGATTATAGGCATGAACCACCGTATCAGACCCACTCTTCCTATTAACTGTGTTGCTGACTGTAATATTAATAATAGAGCTTGAGATTAAAGTGAAGTGTGAATATGATGACTGCTGAATTGAAATTAAATTCTGGTTCAGTTAAATTAGCTAATATATTGACTAAGCTCCCCACAATCTAGACTTCTTGAGAGCTTGTTCAGCATCAGTCCCTCAGGGCCAAAAGTTGTCTCATCAGCACGTTGGCTGTGGGGAAAGTCTTATTTTCTTTCCTTCTTGTAGATACGCCCCTGCTGAATTGAATGGCACTCCCTTTATTCCATGGATAATGAGATGTGTTTATCACAACAGCTTATTGGAAATAAAAAAGCCACACATTTGAAACTAAAATTATAATTAAAGGAAAAAAAGAAAAGACAGCTTCTGCACACAGTGCCAAAAATTCAAGGGACCAATCCTTGGAGGACAGAGATATCAGGATTCAGATTTGATGAGTAATTTTCCTAGGCTACGTGGCACCAAAAACATCATCTGACACACATCTTCCTTTGATTTCCACTTAGGTTTAATGGTTGAATAATCATGGCTCATAAGTTTATCTTTAATAACATTCACAGCAGACAATTTATTAGCAGATTCTGTAGGCTGCAGGGTTGTCATTTGCTGTTATAGTGATTGTCTGTTTTAAATATCACAGCTGTTGGTGTTTTTGTTTATTTATTCATGATTTGATTCCTGCCTCTCCCACATTTCTGACACTCAAAGGCAGGCTATTCTCTTTTGCTCTTTGAATTGTGAAAGACTGCTGTGACAGCCCCTAGCCCGGGCCGTGGAGTGTCACACAAGGTCCTATGGTACTGAACAAAAAGCCACGTCTTCCTGAATCAGGCAGAGCTCTTTATGAGAGCGGAGCCTTCTGGTGGGGGGCTTTCTCTGTCAGTGAGTGGCGGGCATGAATGGAATCCTATCAGGGGCTCTGGGCCAGTGAAGACCCTTCTTCATGTGTTTCTTGGCCGGGAGAGTGGAACCAAGAGGAAAAATGCAAATGCCTAGGCCTTACTTTCCTGTGCAAAATTAGACGCCACTGTGAATAAACATAGGAAGCACTGTAATCTGGAGTTTCTAAATTCAGCTGAAAAGAGAACTTGGTCATTATACATAGCACCTTTCATTGAGTTGTTGGGGGACAGGCTTGCATTGAAGAGATGACATTATTTCATTTGTCTTCAAAAAGGCCCTGTGAGGCAGGGTGTCTATAGAGTGATACTATTTTATAAAGAGAAAATTAGGGGTCTAGCAAGCATTACTAGTCTCTTGATTTCTGATTTAGCTCTGTCATGGGACTGGTGTCCTCATATTCACAGCATGACCTGGAATGAGGCAGGGAAGGCTGCTGCTGCTAGGCAGCTCATCTGGGGAGCTTGGACATGCCTCAACTAGCAAAATCCTCCTCCTCTCCCCTGAGGAAACATGCTATGCTCCCCAGATCCCCTGGGTAAATAAAACAGCACCCTTACCTGATGGCTAAGAGGGATACAAAGTCTGCTATTCCACAAATTAAGCTTGTAACGTGCATTCCCCAGATGGAGGGCAAGTAGTGACTGAAATTCACTTTGAAATGTTAATCACTAACCTCATTTAATTTCCTATGAGCAGGCTTGGATCCCTGGGAGGCCACTGGAAGCAGGGGGAAGAAATATGTAAAAGGAGAAGAATGAGGAAGGAATACAGGAGTCACCTCTCACTCATTTGTTAACCTTTCTAGGGACATATTTTGCTCACACACCCTGGAAGATACCTACCCGTTTCTTGCCAAATTCAGCAAAAAGGAGATTCAGGAGATTTCTATAACTCCTGTTGCTTTGGGAAAAGGGATGCCACAGTCTCGAAAGAGGCAATAGTCCTCCCCTTTACTACTATTAACAGAGTTTGTCCTCCCTACCTTTGAGTAAGTGCTTTTGTACAGTAACAGTAAGAGCTAACATGCAATCATATTTCAGAAGTTGATGATGAGTGCTGAGGATTATGAAGCCCTTTAATTTTACTGTTTCTTTGCTAATATCTTTATAAAAATAACTAGTGCCAGAAAATGGTATCAATTACTAAGCAGAGCCAACTCCAGGGCTTAGCACGGCAAGCCTTTCCACCTGGCTGGCTCTGACGTACTCTCCAGTGTAAGGCTGAAATCAGATAATGATATTTTTTTGAACAGGT
Organism: Homo sapiens; assembly: GCF_000001405.40. NCBI lineage: Eukaryota > Metazoa > Chordata > Mammalia > Primates > Hominidae > Homo > Homo sapiens. The sequence continues at coordinate 46,345,106 of NC_000015.10, forward strand.
GAGATACTCCCTCACAGCACCTGTCATAAATTAGTTTCAGTATCAGTATCAACATTCACACATGTAGGTAGCTTAGTGGTTACCAAACTCTCTCCCCGAAAAACCCTGAGTCAGTAAGCTGGGTGTCAATGTTCTGAGGCTGAAATAAAATAGTCATTGTCTACATAATATAAGTTTAATACATATCATGCTAATTTAACAAATATGGTTTTTGTTTTAAGTGTTTTTTTTTGCCCATAAATTGTTATTAAGCCTTTGGTACTTGATGATGATTGCCTGCTAATGAATATTGCCCAATATTTATCCATTTAAAGTATTTGTTGAATCCATCATAAAATTTTTTGGCTGTACTTCGATATATTTATCATCCAACTAATTTCCATCATGGCCACACCTACTACCTTGGTCTGAGCCACCAGATTATGGCAACCACCCCGAACAGGTCTCTTTACTGCTTCTGTGTTTGCCACCATGTAGTGGCCACATGGCAGCCAGAGTGAGCCTGTAAAAATGTAGCTCAGATGATGTGGCTCTCGTTCAAAACTCTACAGTGGCTCCCCATTTCACTGTGGAGGGAAGCACAAGTCTTTATCATAGCTTGCAAGGCCCTCCCTGGCCTGGTCATCCTGGCCTTGCCTACTCCTCTTGCTTGCACTCACACTGCCCCAGGCACCTTGGCTCCCTGGCTGCTTTTTGACATGACAGGCAAGCTTGCACCTAGGGATAGTGCCCTATTTTTCTGCCTGGAATGTTTAGCACCCAGATATGTGGTTTGTTGAAATCATTAGTTTTTTCAAGTTTTTGCTCAAACCTCACATTCACAGTGCAACCACTCTGCTTAATTCTACAACCTGTTTCTAACTCCCATTCCCCCTTATCCTGCTCTGCTTCTCTCCATTGCATCTATCACCTTCTAGCCTTTTAGCCTGCTAGAATTAGCATGTAAGTACTTTAAGAATGAGAATCTTAATCTTTTGTTTACTAGATCTCATGATTTCCAGTAAGTGCTCCAGGAATATTTGTTGAATAAATGTCTATTATGTGCCCAAATCTATTTTTCTCAAGATACAAGAATTAACAAGACACGGGTACTTGGTAATAGTTTAGTGGGGAAGACACACAATTAAGAGGATACAAGAAAACAGGATCACAAAATAGCAGGTGCATAATAATGGCAAAAATTACTAGGAGACAATTGAACTAAGTTTAATTTGTGTGTGTGTGTGTGTGCATGTGCATTATACTAATGGTTATATCATTCTGCATCACATTGTTATATTTTTTACCATAAAATGGTTCCTCTAATGCAATTCAGTACATCAGTATTCATTTTGGTCTCCAAGGACCACTATGACTTTCAGGTGCTCCACCTCTGGGGAAATTTAGGAATTGCTTTTTGATCGTGTGGTGGTTTTCAAAGGGCGTTCACGTATATTTTTCTCACCTAATCCTCAGAACAACCTTCAAATGTAAGTATATGTGTTATCTTCTTTAAGATGTTTTTCTTCTTTTGACTTTGAAGCACTAAGTGATGGAGTTTAAGGTAATTTTGTAAGTTAGGAGACAGATTCCTATATGTCTCATTTGTTAGTGGTGTGGCTGCTACCCTGTGTTCATTCTTTCTTCTTTTTTTCCCCCAATTTCAATCCACCATTATGGGTCTTTCTCTCAAGGTAAGAATAAATTCTGCAATAATTGCTAGGAGTGGGAAAAGTGCATCTTAACAGAAATTTTTGTTTTCTTACTGTGCAGTCAGTTTGACCCTGGACATTAGATCATCTTCTCTTTCAATTCCATGGACATTTATTCTGTAAGTATTAATAGGCATGGCCTAAATATCTGTAGGAGATACAAAGATGAATAAAACAACATTCTTACTTCAACGGTTTGTTGTCGAGGAGAGGTGTCGATGTCAATCTGTAGCAGTGGTGAAATGCACTGTGTGTGTGCACGTGCGTGCACATGTTTAATATTTCAATAAACTTTTCATTTTAGAATATATTTAGATTTATAGGATAGTTGTGAAGATAGTACTGAGACTTTCAATATACCCTACACCCAATTTCCCCTATTATTAACATATTGCATTATCATGTACATATTAAAGCTGATGAAACCAATATTGATACACTATTGTTAAAGTCTATACTATGTTCAAATTTTTTTGTCTTAATTTTTTCTCTGTTCCAACTCATCCAAAATACCACATTACATTTAGTGATCTTATCTTTTTAGGCCCCTCTTGGCTATGACAGTTTCTTAAACTTTTCTTGTTTTTCATGACCTTGACAGTTTTGAGGATTAATGGTCAGATATTTTGAAGAATGCCTCCTAAGTGTGATTTGCATAGTGTTTTTCTCATGAGTAGACTGAGGTTATGGGTTTTGGGGAAGAAGACCAAACAGGTAAAGTGACATTTTCATCACATCAGGTGTACATGCTATCAACATGAGTTATCACTATTGATGCCAACCTTGATTATCTGACTGAGGTCATACTTTCAGGTTTTTCCACTGTAGTCCATGTGATATACAATATTCAATCCACTGAATATTTGCATATGGAAGATTTCCTTCCGTTAAGTTTTAAAAAGTGGCTGACTCCAGTTGGAAATTTTAGTTAGGGGATTTATAATTTTTTCCTTTGTAATTATGTGATGAATATGTTTAATGCACAATTTGAGTAATCTTTGACTATATTTTTAATTATTTTCTTATTACAGTATCTGTGTCAAGCTTATAGTATCTGTGTCAAGGTGGGTTGAATTATATGCTCTAAAATCACAGAGTTTACTGTCTTCCCTGTTTGAAAACTAAGGCAACTAGACTGAAGTCTCTGAAAGAATACAATATGACGTACTGTTCTTCCACCTATAAGATTCCATGAGTCTGATTTTTGGCTACTTCTAGTTTTTAAAAATGAATTATTATATTTTATACAACTAGGTATATGTATAAATGAGACATATATATTCCTTAATGTGCATAATACCAACTTAGACTAGGACCCTACACAAATTAATTAAAATTTAAATATCCTTAGAAACTGAATACATTATTAAGCTTGATATTGCAATTGACATGTAAAGTATAATTCATTAAGGAAGAATTTGAAAAAACATTTTGGGGTTGGCAAATGGAACTTGAATGCAAGCTTATGTGATTCTTTCAGTCAAGTTATATATAAACATGGTTGTATAAGGTCTAAAATATGAGGTAACAGTCAATAACACATGCCCGCCATTCAATCCAAGCTCTAAAAGGCAGGCTTTGGAAATATGAAGTGATTCCTCCAGCATAGTTCATGTTGCTTTTGACTGCTATTGTAGTGAGACTCATTTTAACCCTATTATTGAGCTAAGAAATAGAGAACTTGGATGGGATCCAGAGGAAATGAGATAAAACAACAACAACAACAAAAGCAATTAGAGGGTTGACTGGGAAACAGAACTTATTGAGGTTGTTGAGTTTGGAGCAGTCTGAGGAGATAATAATGGCGGCTTCTAACTGTGTAGGTGAGACTTTGGTATAACTAACTGTGTGTACCTTACTTCAGCATCTACCTAGGAAGAGGCACACTTACATGAGTATGGATTTGCTTTGGTCATTGAAAAGATATTATGGGTTGTGAAAGAGCTGCAATTTGTTATCAACGCTAGGATACATCATAGCCAGGAGAAGAAAGGCTCACAGCTTGCTAGGAGAGGTTCCTGAAATGGATGGAATTGCAGAATAGAATAGTGGCTGGACAGGAAATGATCTCTGCCTCTCAGCCACACAAGTTTTAGTTGGCACCCCAAATAGTGATGAAACCTTCTGTTCATGAAAAACAAACCTCCCAATACTGAGCCTCACCCCACCCTACTTAGCCCTTTATAATTTGTTCTGGGGCTATTGAATATGGACCATGGTACTCTATTTTTCTGTGCTGGTGATTGAGTGATTTGCTTCTCATTACTGTGCATTAGCAGGAATTGATGGGAGACACTTCACTTTGTTTATAAAGACAGCTTCTGTGAATTGCCAGCGTGGTACTTTCAGCTCATGTAATATAAATACAAAATATGTATTTCTGTAAATCACACTGATTTAGAAAGTTCTTCCATGGTTCTCCAGTATAACAAATTACTCCTTGGGTGAATGTTAAACTCTTTTAGGAACTTCTTTTGGTCACTGGATCAATAATTTACTGTTTGAAAAAATAATTCCTTGATGTATATTATGTCAAGTTGGTGAGTTATACAGATAGGAAAATTGGGAGAGGAGTATTGTTCATTCCTCCTTAAGAATCTAGAATGTAGTATTATGAGGATAAAATAATGGTGTTAAAAATGCAGATTTTCTTAAAAGTCAGGAAATCTCTTTTTATTTAGATCAGAGTAGGCACAGCCCTTTTCATGATCTCTGGGTTTTCTCATTGCTCTCTGACTCCAACCATGACTCCTCCATTCAGACCATTCTCAGACTCTGCTTCTGTTTGTTTCCTCCAACAAATTTTTGCCCAATTTGCCTAATGGATTCTTCTTTTGAAACAACATAGTGAGGTGCTTGACCTTGCACTAAGGAGTTACTGCACAAGGTCAAGCATGCAAAACACAGGAGTGAGTATCAGCATTAGAAATATGCATAGCTTGCTATAAGAATTTGGCCTTGGAATTACTAGATTGCTATCTCATAACTCATCATATGTGCTTATTGATATTAAGTTATGGGGATTTTTAAAATGAGGATGTCAATATTTTGGATTCAGTATACTTCATCAGAGTTAAGTACTGAATTTGGGGGCAAATTGGGCTTAGAGGTCTGGGACAATATGCCGTACGTAAGACTGCTTCTTCACACTTATCCCATGCACCTTAGAACTTCTTGGTAGAAAAGCCACATAGTATATGGTAATTTAGGACAGTGATTTTATTGGGTTAAATCATAACTAAATTATTCAGTTATTTAAGGCTGCATACTCATTGAGCTATATCCTTTGGTAATGTTCCTTTAGACTCTCTGGGAGTAACCAAATTTAGAATAATATGCTATCATAACACTTTTAAGAAACATGTTGTATGCCATCCTTGATGATTGGTTAGAAATGCCTTAGAGAATACTGTTTGTGTACATTTCATTAATTATTTTACTTCAAACATGATGAAAGTGTCTTTAAATTTCAGATGATATATAAAACAAAACCAGATACAGTATGGAATTCAGAGCTGTGAAGGAGTTATGAAGTGTATCTGAAGTTTATAATTTAAATTATCAAGTATTTGTAAAAAATTATCAAGTATTTGTAAAGCTACTGCATTTAAAATATGTTAAATGTTTTTGTAGAACCCTTCAGGCATTTGGTATCAGAGAAAGCTAGGTTTAAAATAGCCAAATGTCGAAAATGGAAGTACTAGTTATTCCAAAGCTACCACTCAAAGTCTCACTGCATAATTTTGCGAGAGTTGTATGTTCCCTAGCGGATCCAAGTCAGCCATGTAATCTCACCTCCAAATTTATTTCTCACAGTCCTGTTGGCCATGGGGGCTTTAGGTAATCACCTATTTGTTTATAGTATCATGCTAGACATACAGCCATAGCATTTCTATAAGGACTATCGGTATTTTTTCTGAGTTTTGGGTTTGCCAAGCAAATAAATATGGATACTTTTCCTCTTCCCACAAGCTGTGTCTGCAATTCAGATAAATTATCAACAGGTGCATAGTGATAGCTTTACAACACTTCATGGTCCAAATGAATGGATATGGTTATAACCATAGTTAACTGAGACTAGTGTTAGAATCCACACTTCCTCATACTTTCAAATTTTATAAATACAACAAAAAATTACATGTTAAAATGACAAATTATATCCTTGAACCATTTATAATGAATAGTGATACTGTTCTGGGGGAAAGACTAGAACAAAATAAAGACACCCAAATATTAATTGTTAATCTTATTAATTGTATATGTTGATAATCACTGCTTAAAATAATTTTGATTTTACCTGATAATGGGTGAAATTAAGCCTCAAAATTTTCTTAGAGTATAATGCCATGCCATTTTGCGAAGATGTAGCTCTGATACTTCAGGGCTTCTGCATGGTTTTCTTACTCTTCTAATCATCTCACTATGTAAGTTGTTTCATTCTTTATATCCTTTTGCTTCTCCAGGGAAACTATGATGCAGATTTCCCAACTTGCATCCTCTAATTGTGGTAAAGTATAAAGTGAGAGGAAATGCTAAAACGTTCTGTTTTCCAAACAGGTTATATTCAGTTTGATGCCATTAATCCTGTCTCAGGTCACCCCTCAAAGCCCTGGGCTCAAGCAAGCCTCCTGCTTCAACTTTCCAAGGAGCTGGGACTACAGATGTGTGCTACCTCACCTGGATAGTTTTTATTTTTTATTTTTGCAGAGACGAGGTCTCATTGTATTGCCCAGGCTGGTCTTGAACTCCTGACCTCAAGCGATCCTCCTGTCTCAGCCTTCCAAAGAACTGAGATTACAGGAATGAGCTACCATGCCAGGCCTTCAGATTTCCATTATTCTTTTGTTAAAATTTTTTTTCCACAAATGTCTCAGAAGATATGGTGACTAAAGATACCTTCATTATCCAAAAGGAAATCAGTCAAACAAATAAAAATCATAGTTGAATCAGGACCCTATTCTTAAGAGCCAATCTTATTGTGATTGAGATAAAATGTACAAGTTCAGATATTTATTATTAGTTCTACTATTAATTTCTAGCCAAAGAAAGTGAATTTATTTCTCTTCTTCATAGTACATTCATTTGTTATTTATTTATTTTTTTTCTTTTTCAACTTTTATTTTGGATTCAGGGGGTACATATGCAGGTTTGGTACATGAGTATATTGCATGATACTGAGGTTGGGGTATGAATGATCCTGTCACCCAGGTACTGATCATAGTACCCAACAGTGAGTTTTTTAACCCTTGCTTACCTCCCTCCCTCCCCCTTCTACGAGTCCCCGTATCTATCATTGCCATATTTATGTCCATGAATACTTATGTCTAGATCCCATTGTAAGTGAGAATGTATGGTACTTGGTTTTCTGTTCCTGCATTAATTTGCTTAGGATAATGGCCTCCAGCTGCATCCATGTCGCTCCAAAGGACAAAAATTCATTCTTTTTCTAGGCCTGCATAGTATGCTATGGTGTATATATACTATATTTTCTTTATCCAATTCACTGTTGATGGGCACCTAGGTTGATTCCATGACTTTGCTATTGTGAATAGTGCTGCAATGAGCATTTGCACGCATGTATCTTTATGGTAGAATGATTTCTATTCCTCTAAGTATATACCGAGTAATGGGATTGCTGGGTCCAATGGTAGTTCTGTTTTAAGTAGTTGGAGAAATCTTCACACTGCTTTCCATAGTAGTGGAACTAATTTACATTCCCACCAAAAATGTATGTGTTCCCTTTTCTCTACAGCCTCACCAACATCTGTTGGTATTTGACTTTTTTAAAATGGTCATTCTGACTATTGTGAGACGGTATCTTGTGGTTTTTGTTTGCATTTCTCTGACGATGATAAGCATATTTTTCATATGTTTGTTGGCCACTGGTATGTCTCCTTTTGAGAAGTTTCTGTTCATGTCTTCTGCCCATTTTTTTAATGCGGTTGTTTTTTGCTTGTTTTCTTGAAGTTCCTAATAGATTCTGGGTGTTAGATCTTTGTTGGATGCACTATTGACAAATATTTTCTCCCATTCTGAAGGTTGTCTGTTTACTCTGTTGATAATTTCTTTTGCTGTGCAGAAGCTCTTTAATTAAGTCCCACTTGTCCATTTTTGTTTTTGCTGCAATTCCTTTTGAAAAGTTAATCATAAATTCTTTCCCAAGACTGCTGTCCAGACTGGTGTTTCCTAGGTTTTCTTCTTGGATTCTTATAGTTTGAGGTCTTATATTTAAATATTTAACTTGTTTCAAGTTGATTTTTATATATGGTGAAAGGAAGGGGTTCAGTTTTAATCATCTGTATATGGCTAGCCAGCTGTCCCAGCACCATTTATTGAATAGGAAGTCCTTTCCTCATTGCTTATTTGTGCTAACTTTGTCAAAGATTAGATGGCTGTAGGTGTGGCTTTATTTCTGGGTTCTCTGTCCTGTTTTATTGGTTTATATGTCTGTTTTGTATGTCCATTTTTATTTCTGTTATGTAGCCTATTAGTATAGTTTGAAATCAGGTAGTATAATGTGTCTGCCTTTGTTCTTTTTACTTAGAATTGCTATGGCTATTCAGGCTTTTTGGTTTCATCTGAGTTTTAGAATAGTTTTTTACAATTCTGTGAAAAAAATGACTTTGGTAGTTTGGTAGGAATAACATTGAATTTTTAGATTGCTTTGGGCAGCATGACCATTTTAATGATATTGATTCTTCCAATCCATGAGCAGGGAATGTTTTTCCATTTGTTTGTATGATCTTTTTCACAGTACATTTATGATCAGTAAATGAAATTTGTTTTTCCATCATATTTCTTACTTCAGGGCCTATTTCAAATCCTACCTATGTCCTGAATACTTCTCTGATAAGTCTAGCATAGCAAATTCCCTGTTCTGAAGTTGTACAATTATTTTCCAACATGGATTTGAGATCCTGACTACTAGCAATACTCTGCTTTCTCTGTGAATCCTTGAATATGCATATGGAAGTTGAGAGCTGAAAGATGATTTTTATGTTGAAAGGATACCTGGGTGGGGCCTCCCAGGCTGAGATCCCAGCCATCCTCACCCTGGGCTCTTGTAGGGTAGCAGCTCTGCACTTCCCTGGGATGACGCTTTCAGAGTGAGCAGGCAGGTCACTATTTTACTGCAGCCCTCACTCCTGTTGCCCTTAAGCTTGGAAGAGAGTTCGGTGATTAGGAACTAATGTGGACCTCTAGCACATCACAGCTACCTTATGGAAAAGCAGCCAGACTATTTTCCACATGGATCTCCAATCCTGCTACTCCTCCCTGGACAGTGCCTCTCGACTTGGGTTTCCAGCACGGCTACCCTGCCTCCTCCTGAACACTTCAGTTGGTGGTGGCTCTGTCTTTATCCCAGAGACAACCCACAGCCCCTCTGCCATTGCAGCTGCAGTGGTACCATCGTTGCTGCCCTTGGGCTGGGGGAGGAATAAAGGCCCTGGTTGCTATGGTGGCACCTCCAGCACACCACAGCCACCATATGGAGAGGAGCCCAGGCTCTCTTCCCAATGAGCCCCTATTCCCAACTCTACACTAGACGGGACCCCTGGCTCAGAACACAGAACAGCTGCCCTACCCTCAGATGAGGATTCCCACTGGTAGTGCCTCTGTCTTTGTCTGGGGTGGTACTCCCAGAGGCAACCAACAGCCCCTCTGCTATTGCTATGGCAGCAGATCTTCCTCTGCTGCACTTGGACTAGGGAAAGAGACTGAGGGCTTTACTCGTGCTTCCAGTATAGTCACCATAAGGAAAGGAGTCCAGTCTCTTCTCCCATAAGCCCGCGACTACCTGCTTTTCACCAAGTGGGGTCCCTGGCTCTGGCCAGCAACACAGCTGCCCCACCTCCTGGCTGAATATTGTCAGTAGCAGTGGCTGTATGTTTCTCTGAGGTGGAGCTCCCAGAGTCAACTGAAAGTCCCTCTGTACTGGTATTGCCCTGGTTGCCCTCAGACTGGGGAAGGAACAAAGACCCTGAGTGCTTTATCCATACCTCTAGCAAGCTGCAGCTGGCCTAAGAAGAAGAGGCCAGTCTGTCTCCCCGATGAGTCCCCCATTACCCCTGCTTATTAGTAGGCAGGTCCTCCCCGCTGACCATCTTGGGTCCACAACACAGCTGCCCTACCTGTGTGTTGATTGCACTGATTGGTAGCAGCTGTGAATTTCTCTGGGCTGGAATCCCAAGAGACAAATGAAAGACCCTCTGCCACAGCCACTAGCAAACTATCTTCCCCTGCTGCCTCCAAGTTGGAGAGGAAACATAAAGCCTAAGCATACCCCAGGACAGTGGCATGCAGCACAAAAGTGCCAAGCCAAGATCTGCAGGCAGCACTTGATTGAGAAAGAAGTCCCCACTTTCAGAACATTGAGACGGAGCATGGCTGCAGCCCTGAGGAAATACAGAGGAGCCATATGGCTAAGCAAAAACCTACCTACTGGTAATTACACTTAAGTGCCATCTACTATTCACAGCCTAAATGTCAGCACTAAAAATACTTTGCTAATATAGTGCCCTTTGAAACAAAGGACAAGAATTCAGCTACAAAGACCCTGCACAAAGCCTTGCGCTTCTGAAAACCTACAGAATAGAAGTCAACTGACCATACTCAAATTTCACCACAGTTAAAGGAACATTACGCACACAAATGAGAAAGGACTAGCTCAAAAACTCTGGCAACTCAAACAGCCAGAATGTCAGAATGTCTTTTTTCCTCCTAATGACTATTAGTTTCCCAGCAAGGGTTCTTAACCAGGCTGATATGGCTGAAATGACAGAAATAGAATTCAGAATATGGCTAGGAACAAAGATCCTCGAGATTCAGAACACAGTCAAAACCTAATCCAATGAATCTAAGAATTACAATAAAATGATGCAGAATCTGCGAGATGAAATGAGCATTATAAGAAATAACCAAACTGAACTGATAGAGAATTTTATAATATAACTGGAAGTATTAATAGCAGGATAGATGAAGTTGAGGAAAGATTCTCAGCGCTCAAAGACTGGATCTCTGATCTAAGTCAGACAAAAATAAAAAAGGAATTTAAAATAAAAATAATGAACAAAACTTTTGAAAAGTATGAGATTATATAAAGAGACCAAATCTACAACTCAGTAATATCACTGAAAGAAGATGAAACAAAGTTGGAAAACATATTTGAGGATATTATTTGTGAAAATTTCCCCAACCTCACTAGAGAGGCCAACATTCAAATTCATGAAATACAGAGAACCTCTATGAGATACTGTGTTAAGATCATCCCTAAGACATGTAGTCATCAGATTTCTCCAAGGTTGAAATGAAAGAATAAATGTTAAATACAGCTACACAGGAGGAGCAAGTCACCTACAAAGGGAACCACATCAGGCTACAGAAGATCTTTCAGCAGAAACCCCACAAGCCAGAAGAGATTGGGCCTATATTCAGCATTGTTAAAAAAAAAAAAAAAAAAAGAAATTCCAACCAAGAATTTCATATTCAGCTAAACTAAGTTTCTTAAGTGAAGGAGAAATAAGATTCTCTTCAGGCAAGCAAATGCTAAGGGAATTTGTTACCACCAGATCTGACTTACAAGAGATCTTGAATGGAGTGCTAAATATGGAAAGGAAAGACTGATACTAGTCATTACCAAAACACACCTAAGTACATAGACCATTGACACTAAGACATTGACCATTAACAACACGATGACAGGATCAAATCCACACATATGAATATTAACCTTGTAAGTAAATTAGTTAAATACCCAATTAAAAGACACAGAGTGGCAAGTTGGATAAATAAGTGAGAACCAATGGTGTGCTGCCTTCAAGAGAACCATCTCACATGCATTGACACGAATAGGGAATAGGTTCAAAGTAAAGAGATAGCAAATAATCTGCCAAGCAAATGAAAAACAAAAAAAATACAAGGGTTGCTATTCTAATTTCAAACAAAACAGACTTTAAACCAACACAGACCAAAAAGACAAGGAAAGGGCATTTCACAGTGGTAAATGGTTCAATTCAACAAGAAGACCTAACTGTTCTAAATTTATATACACCCAAAACAGGAGCACCAAAATTCATGAAGCAAGTTCTTAGAGATCTATAAAGAGACTTAGATAACCACACAATAATAGTGGGAGACTTCAACACCCCACTGAAAGTACTAGATAGATCATCAAAGGAGAAAACCAACAAAGATACTCAGGACCTTAACTTGACACTTGAACAACTGAACCTAAAAGACATCTACAGAACTCTTCACCGCAAACAACAGAATATACATTCTTCTCATCTGAACATGGCACATACTCTAAAATCGACCACACAAGTGGTCATAACACAATCTGCATCAAATTCAAAGAAAATCGAAATCATACCAACCACCACTCTGAGACTACAATGCAATAAAAATAGAAATCAATACTGAGAAAATTGCTCAAAACCATAGAATTACATGGAAATTAAACAACCTGCTCCTGTGTAACTTTTGGGTAAACAATGAAATTAAGGCATAAATCACGAAATTTTTGGAAACAAATGAGAACAAAGATGCAACATATCAGAATCTCTGGCACACAGCTAAAATGGTGTTAAAAGGGAAGTTTATAGTACTAAATGTCCCCATCAAAAAGTTAGAAAGATCTCAAATTAACAACATCATACCTAGAGGAACTAGAGAAACAAGACAAAACCAATCCCAAAGCTAGCAATGGAAAAAAAATAACCAAAATCAGAGCTGAACTGATAGGAATTGAGATGCAAAAAAAACAAAAGATCAGTGATTCCAGGAGCTGTTTTTTTAAAGAACAAATAAGATAGACCACTAGCTAGATTAATAAAGAATAAAAGATGATCTGAATAAACACAATCAGAAATGGCAAAGAGGACATTACCACTGATGTTACAGAAATACAAAACATCCTGAGAGACTACTACAAACACCTCTCTGCACACAAGCTAGAAAACCTTAGAAGAAAGGGATACATTCCTAGAAACCTACAATGTCCCAAGAGTGAACCAGGAAGAAACTGAATCCCTGAACAGACCAATAATGAGTCCTGAAGTTGAAACAGTAATAAAAAGCCTACCAGCCAGAAAAAGCCCAGGACCAGATGTAATCACAGCCAAATTCTACCAGATAGATAAAGAGGAGTTGGCACCATTTCTACTGAAAGTATTCCAAAAAATTGAAGAGGAAGTCCTTCCTAATTCATTCTATGAGGCCAGCGTAATTCTGACACCAAAACCTGGCAGAGACACAAGGAAGGAAAGAAAACTTCGGGCCAATATTGTTGATAAGCGTTGATGCAAAATACTGGCAAACTCAAGCCAGGAGCACTTCAACAAGCTAACCCACTATGATCACATAGGCATTACCCTGGGATGCAAGGTTGGTTCAATAAACACAAATCAATAAATGTGATTCATCACAAAACAGAACTAAAACAAAAATCACTTGATCATCTGAATAGATGCAGAAAGGCTTTCCATAAAATTCGACATCCTTTCATGTTAAAAACCCTTATCAAATTGGCATTGAAGGAACATACTTCAAAATAAGAAGAGCCATCTATGAAAAACCCACAGCCAATATCATACCGAATAGGCAAAAGCTGGAAACATTCCCCTCAAAAACTGGAACAACACAAGGTTGCCCTCTCTCACCATTATTATTCAACACAGTCCTGGAAGTCCTAACCGGAGCTATCAAGTAGGAGAAAGATAAAAGGCATCCAAATAGGAAGAGAGGAAGTTAAACTATGCCTGTTAACAGATGATATGATTCTATACCTAGAAAACCTGATAGTCTCTGCCCAAAGCTCCTAGATCTGATAAACAACTACAGCAACAGTTCAGGATACAAAATCCATCTATAAAGATTAGTAGCATTCCTGTACACCAACAACATCCACACTGAGTGAAATCAAGAACACATTCTCATTCACAATAGACACAAAAATAATAAAATACTTAGGAATATAGCTATCCAGAAAGGTGAAAGATCTCTGCAATGAGAATTACACACACTATTCAAAGAAATCAGAGAGGAAACAAACAAATGGAAAAACAAGCAATGGGGAAAGGACACTCTATCAATAAACGGTGGTAGGATAACCGGTTAGTCATATGTAGAAATAGAAATTGGACCCCTTACACCACGTTAAAAACTCAATTTGAGATGGATTAAAGCCTAAATATAAAACCTAAAACTATGAAAACACCTAGAAGATAGCCTAGGAAATACTATTCTGGACTTAAATTAACAAGTGAAAACAACCCCATTAAAAAAGTGGGTAAAGAACATAAACAGAAACTTTACAAAATAAAAAAGACATACAGGTAGTCAACAAGCATTTGAAAAAATGTCAACATCACTAATCGTTAGAAATATAGACTAAAACCACAATGAGATACTGTCTCACACCAGTCAGAATGGCTATTACAAAAAAGTCAAAAAATAATAGTTGCTGGTGAGGTTCAGAGAAAGGAAATACTTACAAACTGCTGATAGGAATGTAACTTAGTTCAACCATTGTCACAAGCAGCGTCATGATTTCTCAACTTAAAACAGAGTTACCATTCCAACCAGCAATCCCTTATAGGGTATATATCCAAAGAAATATAAACCATTCTACCATAAAGATACATGTGTGAGTATGTTCATCGCAGCACTATTCACAATAGCAAAGACATGGAATCAGTCTACATATTCATCAACGGTAGACTGGATAAAAAAATGTGGTATATATACACCATGGAATACCATGTGGGCATAAGAAAGTACAATATCATTTTCTTTGCTGCAACATGGATGCAGCTAGAGGCTAGTACCCCAAGTGAATTAACATAGGAACAGAAAACCAAATACCACATGTTCTAATTTATTAGTGGGAGCTAAACATTGAGAACACATTCACACAAAGACAGAAATAGACACCGGGACCTACTTGAGGGTGGAGAGTGGGAGGAGGGAAAGGATTGAAAAACTACCTAGCAGGTACTATGCTTATTACCTGGGTGATAAAATAATCTGTACACCAAACCCTTGTGACATGCAATTTACCTATTTAACAAACCTGCACATGTACCCCTGAACCTAAAAGTTAAAGAATATGATGAAGTTTTTTTATTAGAATGCCAACTACATTATAAAATTACACCTTATATTAACCAAATTACACCTTATATTGACTTCCATGTGAAATAACGCACTATTTCTTTTACATTCTTTGTTATAGGCCAATAGATAAAATGAAGGCACATCATCCACCAATGTTAGATCAAACTTTGTGAAACAGTGATCTTGGGAATCTATGAGACACCAAAGAACCAAGTCCACTGAGAGAGAGATATATATATGTATGTATGTGTGTGTGTATATACCAACATGTACATGTATATATACAGGTATGTGTCTATATACACATATACACACATATATGTATATATACACACACATATCTCATATGTGTATAGACACATACCTGTATATATATATACATGTACATGTTGGTACGTGTGTGTGTGTGTGTGTGTATATATATATATATATGTCTACATATACAGGTATGTGTCTATATACATGTATACATATATGTATATATGCATATATATGCATGTGTTTATATATGTATATATGTACATATATACTTGTATATATATACTTGTATATATGTACATGTATATACTTGTATATATGTACATGAATGTATATGTATACATGCATATGTACATATGTGTGTATGTATGTGTTGGTAAGTTGAAATTGACATATATATGATATATATGTATATCATATCTGGGTTTTGAGTGGAGATCAACAAAATAGTATCTATCACACAAATTTGATTTGAATTTTACTTGCTCACTGTTTATTATATCTATGTGTGTGGGTGTGTGTTGGTAAGTTGAAATTGGCATGCTCAGGATATAGATATGTCTGTGTATGTATATATGTATGTTATTCTTTTAGATTACACAGTTTATATCAAAATCAAGCATCAGTTAAATTATAACCCCCAATTACTGTGTAAGAAAGCCTGCCAAATCTACTCTGACATTATACTTATATATGGCCTTCAAGGAGTAGGGCCAGTGCTGATCCTCAAGGGTGCTAGCAAATTCTTCATAGTAGTCTAAAGTCTAGTAGTATGGAAGGATATGATAGACACAAAGACATATTTCATGCTGTTCTTTTAAATAAAATACCATTTGATCTCGGAGCAGAAATATAAGTTTTCTTAAGTTTTCATATTTCCCAATTAACAGGGTTACAAGGGGAAGTAGAAGAAATATTAAACAAAATTTTCCAAAGTGGCATTAATTATTAAAGTAAATGACACAAATGACTACATAAATAAGTAAAATACATAGGAATATCTCATCCTTCTTCCATTTCCAATTCTACCATAAGGATTAAAGTCCAGGCCTGCATTGCCAAGTTACAAATATCACATAAAATTAACCACAGTATTATTAAATTTATAACAATATGTATCAGTAGTTTTATAACATATACATGTATAGGGGATATAATTTATTATACATCATGTTATATAATGCATTATTACTGTGTGAGCCACTAGGCTTAGCATCCAAGACCACTTGATATATTGTATGTGCTCAATTCTCTATTTGTTAATTATAAAGAATTCAAATATCAACTCTTTGATGTATAAGTGTAATTAAACACACATATTTTGGAGCTGTTCTGCTTCCATTACAGTTTTAGCTCTATTAATACTAATTGCATGCCTTTGCATCTCAATTGCCTGATCTATAAAATGATGAAAATAATAACTATCTCATTAGTTTGTTGTGAAGATTCAACAAGATAACACCCAACCAATGACTTGCACGTATCAGGCACTCAAGAGTATGAGTGAAATGTAATAAGAATCATCATTATTTTGTTGTAATTATTTTTATTTTTTTATTTTTATTATTATTATACTTTAAGTTTTAGGGTACATGTGCACAATGTGCAGGTTAGTTACATATGTATACGTGTGCCATGCTGGTGTGCTGCA
Organism: Homo sapiens; assembly: GCF_000001405.40. Taxonomy (NCBI): domain Eukaryota; kingdom Metazoa; phylum Chordata; class Mammalia; order Primates; family Hominidae; genus Homo; species Homo sapiens. Next base: position 46,361,822 of record NC_000015.10, read on the forward strand.
CCCATTAACTCGTCATTTAGCATTAGGTATATCTCCTAAAGCTATCCCTCCTCCCTCCCCCCACCCCACAACAGTCCCCAGAGTGTGATGTTCCCCTTCCTGTGTCCATGTGTTCTCATTGTTCAATTCCCACCTATGAGTGAGAATATGCAGTGTTTGGTTTTTTGTTGTTGCGATAGTTTACTGAGAATGATGATTTCCAGTTTCATCCATGTCACTAAAAAGGACATGAACTCATCATTTTTTATGGCTGCATAGTATTCCGTGGTGTATATGTACCACGTTTTCTTAATCCAGTCTATCATTGTTGGACATTTGGGTTGGTTCCAAGTCTTTGCTATTGTGAACAGTGCCACAATAAACATACGTGTGCATGTGTCTTTATAGCCGCATGATTTATAGTCCTTTGGGTATATATCCAGTAATGGGATGGCTGGGTCAAATGGTATTTCTAGTTCTAGATCCCTGAGGAATCGCCACACTGACTTCCACAAGGGTTGAACTAGTTTACAGTCCCACCAACAGTGTAAAAGTGTTCCTATTTCTCCACATCCTCCCCAGCACCTGTTGTTTCCTGACTTTTTAATGATTGCCATTCTAACTGGTGTGAGATGGTGTCTCATTGTGGTTTTGATTTGCATTTCTCTGATGGCCAGTGATGGTGAGCATTTTTTCATGTGTTTTTTGGCTGCATAAATGTCTTCTTTTGAGAAGTGTCTGTTCATGTCCTTTGCCCACTTTTTGATGGGGTTGTTTTGTTTTTCTTGTAAATTTGTTTGAGTTCTTTGTAGATTCTGGATATTAGCCCTTTGTCAGATGAGTAGGTTGCAAAAATTTTCTCCCATTTTGTAGGTTGCCTGTTCACTCTGATGGTAGTTTCTTTTGCTGTGCAGAAGCTCTTGAGTTTAATTAGATCCCATTTGTCAATTTTGGCTTTTGTTGCCATTGCTTTTGGTGTTTTAGACATGAAGTCCTTGCCCATGCCTATGTCCTGAATGGTAATGCCTAGGTTTTCTTCTAGGGTTTTTATGGTTTTAGGTCTAACGTTTAAGTCTTTAATCCATCTCGAATTAATTTTTGTATAAGGTGTAAGGAAGGGATCCAGTTTCAGCTTTCTACATATGGCTAGCCAGTTTTCCCAGCACTATTTATTAAATAGGTAATCCTTTCCCCATTGCTTGTTTTTCTCAGGTTTGTCAAAGATCAGATAGTTGTAGATATGCGGCATTATTTCTGAGGGCTCTGTTATGTTCCATTGATCTATATCTCTGTTTCGGTACCAGTACCATGCTGTTTTGGTTACTGTAGCCTTGCAGTATAGTTTGAAGTCAGGTAGGGTGATGCCTCCAGCTTTGTTCTTTTGGCTTAGGATTGACTTGGCGATGCGGGCTCTTTTTTGGTTCCATATGAACTTTAAAGTAGTTTTTTCCAATTCTGTGAAGAAAGTCATTGGTAGCTTGATGGGGATGGCATTGAATCTATAAATTACCTTGGGCAGTATGGCCATTTTCACGATATTGATTCTTTCTACCCATGAGCATGGAATGTTCTGCCATTTGTTTGTATCCTCTTTTATTTCCTTGAGCAGTAGTTTGTAGTTCTCCTTGAAGAGGTCCTTCACATCCCTTGTAAGTTGGATTCCTAGGTATTTTATTCTCTTTGAAGCAATTGTGAATGGGAGTTCACTCATGATTTGGCTCTCTGTTTGTCTGTTATTGGTGTATAAGAATGCTTGTGATTTTTGTACATTGATTTTGTATCCTGAGACTTTGCTGAAGTTGCTTATCAGCTTAAGGAGATTTTGGGCTGAGACAGTGGGGTTTTCTAGATATACAATCATGTCATCTGCAAACAGGGACAATTTGACTTCCTCTTTTCCTAACTGAATACCCTTTATTTCCTTCTCCTGCCTAATTGCCCTGGCCAGAAGTTCCAACACTATGTTGAATAAGAGTGGTGAGAGAGGCCATCCCTGTCTTGTGCCAGTTTCCAAAGGGAATGCTTTCAGTTTTTGCCCATTCAGTATGATATTGGCTGTGGGTTTGTCATAGATAGCTCTTATTATTTTGAGATATGTCCCATCAATACCTAATTTATTGAGAGTTTTTAGCATGAAATGTTGTTGAATTTTGTCAAAGACCTTTTCTGCATCTATTGAGGTAATCATGTGGTTTTTGTCTTTGGTTCTGTTTGTATGCTGGATTACATTTATTGATTTGCGTACATTGAACCAGCCTTGCGTCCCAGGGATGAAGCCCACTTGATCATGGTGGATAAGCTTTTCGATGTGCTGCTGGATTCGGTTTGCCAGTATTTTATTGAGGATTTTTGCATCAATGTTCATCAAGGATATTGGTCTAAAATTCTCTTTTTTGGTTGTGTCTCTGCCTGGCTTTGGTATCAGGATGATGCTGGCCTCATAAAATGAGTTAGGGAGGATTCCCTCTTTTTCTGTTGATTGGAATAGTTTCAGAAGGAATGGTACCAGTTCCTCCTTGTACCTCTGGTACAATTCGGCTGTGAATCCATCTGGTCCTGGACTCTTTTTGATTGGTAAGCAATTGATTATTGCCACAATTTCAGAGCCTGTTATTGGTCTATTCAGAGATTCAACTTCTTCCTGGTTTAGTCTTGGGAGGGTGTATGTGTTGAGGAATTTATCCATTTCTTCTAGATTTTCTAGTTTATTTGCATAGAGGTGTTTGTAGTATTCTCTGATGGTAGTTTGTATTTCTGTGGGATCGGTGGTGATATCCTCTTTATCATTTTTTATTGCGTCTATTTGATTCTTCTCTCTTTTCTTCTTTATTAGTCTTGCTAGTGGTCTATCAATTTTGTTGATCTTTTCAAAAAACCAGCTCCTGGATTCATTAATTTTTTGAAGGGTTTTTTTGTGTCTGTAATTATTTTTAATTTGGGCTTCACTTCCCAGTCCAGTGAGATGTGCTCTGCTACTTTCATACTTTCTTAACCCTATTAATGTAGCCACAAATTGTAGCTCTTTGGATATATAATTTATTGCTGAACATTCAAGTTTAAAGTTTTAAAAATTTTCCTTGACCAGGGATTGTGCAGCATTGATCATAATCAGCATGATCATTATTTGCAGTAGTTAATACATAGAAAACACTCTTTTTTTTGTTGAGTCAATGAATGCATGTATGAATCAGAAGAAACAAAATAGTAGTTTCTATATCTGCTAAGAAAGCAAAATAATGTAACATACTATCACTATACTCAGCATCTGAGTTTATGTTTTAGTTTATTTTGATCAGTAATACTACATTAATTACCTAGGAGTAATAAGAAAAAAAGCTTGCTTAATATTTAAATGTCATGTTAATGCAAATGAAAGCCAAATGCCCTCATGCCATATAATAAAAGGGTCAGTTTTGCATTAGTTCAAATAAAAAAGAGTGATTGAGAATTGAGTCACCACAAGGAACACAGTGGGTTGGGCATGATAAACTCAGCAGAATCTCTATCGTAGTAGCCAATATCATTATCTGGGTTTTGAGTGGAGATCAACAAAATAGTATCATCTATCACACAAATTTGTTGATTTGAATTTTACTGGTTCATTGTTTATTTTATAAATTTCTTCGTGGTTTTAATTGTACAAGAGCTGATAAGTATAAGAATTTATATTTAAGTGCATAGTTTTTACCTGTGTGTAAGTATTTAACATATTAAAATAATTTTGGAGAGTTCATGAGACTTGTTTTCCTTTAAAAAGAAACCACGTCTTACTCAAACTTGCATAAGCACCACACAACCCAAGTACTTTCTCAGTAGAACTCCATTTGAGAACAGCTTGTTAGTGTGTAGATTTGGATATATGTGCCCTCAGAAACATCACAGCAACATACCAAAGCCCAATATATCAGAGTTAATCTGTGATGCAGGCATCAGTCCAGCTGGTACATTCTGCTGTGAGTGCTTCACTCTATTTTTAGTGGTAATTTATTTGGCATGCAGATTGAGATCTTTCGTGGGAATAACAAAATGACTCACGCCTTCAGCTGCCCGATTCTCCTAAGAACCACGATGTGAGGCTGCACGATTGTGGACCTGGGACAGTTGGTAATTGCCTCTTTTCCTCCTCCTCTTCTACACTTGTATGAACTCTCTCGAATAAATAATGAATAACTTCTTTTTTCCCCTACCCCAACAACTAAGTCTCATAATTAGAATTTGCTACTTCTATTAATACATTCAATTATGTGCTGATTCAAGCATCTTCACGTCAAATGCATTAGAAAACAGCTAATTATGCCCTTTCCCATGGGTAAGAAAATCTTTAAATTTAATTAAACGACCTTAACTCAACTCCTTCACATTAGGGTCTATATCCCGATGGATTTCCTACTGGGCGACTTAAAGAGCCAAGCTCAATATTAAAAGCAGCAGCAGTTATTACTTTTTATTCTTTAAAACAAAATTATTTTTGGTTGAAGAATTCTGACCATTAATTTCACTCTCAATCATGCTTCTGCATTCACTCCTAAAAACACAGATTAGTTGAGAAAGCTTGCTTTTCACTTTTAAAGTTGTTTACTTTCTTTTTCTTGCACCAATAAGATGCCTTAAATAGAGACTACCATTCTTCAGTCTTGATATTCTTTTTGACATACTAATCAACACACATAAGCAAAGGTAGTAGAAACAAATCTTAGAAAAAAGAAAACATGTTAAGCACCACATCTGAGCCATGCAGGGTTCAAATATACAGAATGTTCTGTCTTTTATGAGAAAGCCACAAAATATTTTTCTATTTCCTGTTTCTAAATTGGAAAATTGGAATAGAGCTATCTTAGTTTAATATTTTCCAGGAAAGCATTAAAGTCAAGCCAAGTGATTTGCTTTTTCTTTAGTTTTATAAATTTTACTTTTTGTTTTTACTTAGAACGAACTTGTTTTTTCTTAAAAATTGGACTTACACAAAAAGAGAAATCCAGATGTTCAAAGGAAGTAAGCAATCTGGAAAGAGGCAATTATATAATAGCCTTAGATGAGTTTCTTTCATCCGTTCTGTCTCCATCCTTCCCTTCCTCTTCTTCTCCCCAATCTATTCATTATTTTTCTTCTCTTTCCTCCTCCTCTTCTCATACTTCTTATTTTTCTTCTTGTTTGACCAAGTACTTCTAGAAGATGATTAATTATATGTACAACATACTGATACCTCAACATTCCTGTGATGGGCCAAACCCACTTCCAATATCATTTTTCTTGCTTGTTTGAATCAGTCATTAAACAATAATTAATGATACTAACTCTTCTTACTAATTCAACAATTAAGCAATGGGAGCCATTGGAGATTCTTGAAAAGGGAAATGATATTAAGAATCATCTGTCAATGATGGGCAGGAAGAACTGCAAGATGGTAGACTCATTAGCAGAGTTTGTAGTACTCAGGCAGAAGGTATAGAGGGTTTTGAATAGGTTAGCAGAGCGACTGTGGAAAGGACTTCACATTGAGAGGCATTCAGGAAAAAGAATTAACCAATGACATACTGGATATGAAAAATAAAGTATAGAAGTATGTCAAGGATTGTTTTTAGCTTTCAAACATGAACTACTAAGGAAAAATAGAAGTGTTAGAAATGAGAACTGATCAGGAGAGCAAGTTGGGTAAGGTAAATTCAGTTCAAGGTAAATTCAGTTTTAGGCATATTGCTTTTCATGTTATGAAACTACTTATAGGTAGAAATGACCTAATCAATTTGGAAAATTTTCTGAGAGTTGGAGAAATTGAGCAAATTCAAACAGACTAAAAGCACCTCAGGGGCTTGTTGACATATAGTCCCTGAACTTCTTGATAGCTTACCCATTAATATCCCTGCATTATTATTTATCTGTCTTTGTGTGATCAGAAAACAATAATGCTAATTCAAAAAAGTGCCAATTACAAGTCCTTGTCTGTTTTCTGAGGCAGGTGGATCCTGGTAACTGGAGGATCTTTTACAAACTTAAATATTTTCTTAAACAAGGGTTTGAAGATGCCTGTTTGAAGGAAAGAAACACGTGAGTAATAAATAGTGAATGCTACAGAGAAACCAGAAAGTAAGAAAGGTGCATAGGACTGTGGTCAGGGCAGCTATAGAAGCTATTGTTTTTTTTTTTGTTTTTTGTTTTTTTTATTATTTAAGTTTTAGGGTACATGTGCACATTGTGCAGGTTACATACATATGTATACATGTGCCATGCTGGTGCACTGCACCCACTAACTCGTCATCTAGCATTAGGTATATCTCCCAATGCTATCCCTCCCCCCTCCCCCCACCCCACAACAGTCCTCAGAGTGTGATATTCCCCTTCCTGTGTCCATGTGATCTCATTGTTCAATTCCCACCTATGAGTGAGAATATGTGGTGTTTGGTTTTTTTTCTTGCGATAGTTTACTGAGAATGATGATTTCCAATTTCATCCATGTCCCTACAAAGGACATGAACTCATCATTTTTTATGGCTGCATAGTATTCCATGGTGTATATGTGCCACATTTTCTTAATCCAGTCTATCATTGTTGGACATTTGGGTTGGTTCCAAGTCTTTGCTATTGTGAATAATGCCGCAATAAACATACGTGTGCATGTGTCTTTATAGCAGCATGATTTATAGTCATTTGGGTATATACCCAGTAATGGGATGGCTGAGTCAAATGGTATTTCCAGTTCTAGATCCCTGAGGAATCGCCACACATACCCAGGAATTGAACTCAGCTCTGCACCAAGCGGACCTAATAGACATCTACAGAACTCTCCACCCCAATTCAACAGAATATACATTTTTTTCAGCACCACACCACACCCATTCCAAAATTGACCACATAGTTGGAAGTAAAGCTCTCCTCAGCAAATGTAAAAGAACAGAAATTATAACAAACTATCTCTCAGACCACAGTGCAATCAAACTAGAACTCAGGATTAAGAATCTCACTCAAAGCCGCTCAACTACATGGAAACTGAACAACCTGCTCCTGAATGACTACTGGGTACATAACGAAATGAAGGCAGAAATAAAGATGTTCTTTGAAACCAACGAGAACAAAGACACAACATACCAGAATCTCTGGGACGCATTCAAAGCAGTGTGTAGAGGGAAATTTATAGCACTAAATGCCCACAAGAGAAAGCAGGAAAGATCCAAAATTGACACCCTAACATCACAATTAAAAGAACTAGAAAAGCAAGAGCAAACACATTCAAAAGCTAGCAGAAGGCAAGAAATAACTAAAATCAGAGCAGAACTGAAGGAAATTGAGACACAAAAAACCCTTCAAAAAATCAATGAATCCAGGAGCTGGTTTTTTGAAAAGATCAACAAAACTGATAGACCGCTAGCAAGACTAATAAAGAAAAAAAGAGAGAAGAATCAAATAGACACAATAAAAAATGATAAAGGGGCTATCGCCACCGATCCCACAGAAATACAAACTACCATCAGAGAATACTACAAACACCTCTACGCAAATAAACTAGAAAATCTAGAAGAAATGGATAAATTCCTCGACACATACACTCTCCCAAGACTAAACCAGGAAGAAGTTGAATCTCTGAATAGACCAATAACAGGAGCTGAAATTGTGGCAATAATCAATAGTTTACCAACCAAAAAGAGTCCAGGACCAGATGGATTCACAGCCGAATTCTACCAGAGGTACAAGGAGGAACTAGAAGCTATTGTTAGTAGACAGAGTTAAGTGCTGGTAGTGGAAAGTGAGGAATCTTGGGCACAAACATTGAACGACTAGTGATTAATTTTTGAGTGAAATGCTACATATGTGTTATGTAACAATTATTTCATATATGTCCCTATTATCCCTAAGGATTTTGAATAACATATGTATTTCTCATTAAGTATGGTAGAGGTTTCTTTTGTATGCATAAAAAATTGTTGTGAATCCTACATTAACGGTAGCAGAGAATAGAAAAAATTCTACCCGAGGGATCAGTCACGTGTGATTAATACTTGTGCATGGGTGTGTGCTGTGCAATAGGAAGTTAGAAATCCCAGATGGAGAACCTGCAAGGTGAAGTTGGCCTCTACAGCAGTTATGAGTACAATCCTTGTAGTGTAGAATGGGCTGGCTGAAGAAGAGTTGAAGAAATCGAGGGTGTGGATCTCCATGATCCCAGGTAAAATTTCTGATCAGAAAGAAGCAGGAGAAACTACTTTACCATGTTGCTGGACATTAACAGAGAACACTTGAAAACAAGTTAGTGACTTGGGGATATTCTCATATTTCAGTGAGACCCAGAAATCCCATAGTATTTTAAGGGGAGAGTGAAGTTTGAGGAGTTTAGGCCTAGATTAGCCACTGCTTCAATCTATGGGAAGGGATGTGGAGATAGGAGTAGATGAAGGAGTCATGATACTCATTGTTTGAGCATGCCATGTATTTTATGCCTCTATGTGGTTTATCCCTTAATCTGGAATTCCCATTTTTAACTGCATATGGAATAACCTAATGCTGGTATATTTTGAATGGGATATCCTGGGGGCCCCTGATAAAATGGAGTATACTTGTCAGAGAAAGCCTCAATCATATTGTGACTTATAGTACCTAATATTTGAGGCAAAGTGTTTGTTGTTCTTCGCAACAAACATATGAGGTCAGTGCCTTTATCTTTATTTCACCAATGAAAAATAGCTTGTCCAAAGTCACACAGTTGTAATTGGCAATGTCTATATTTCACTCTAAATCTCTCATATTAAAACTCCTTGTTCTTAACCATTATGCTTTCAGGAAACCACTTCTCAAATATGTTAATAAATATGTGAAATAACCAATGCTTAATCAGAATTGTATTGACCAGTTTGCACAACCACTTCTCTGGCTAATACTGTTACCAACACACTACACCATCGCTGTTTAGATCTAGTTGTGTGTTAGGGGAGGCTGAAGACAGGGAGCAGATCGTGATGGCTTTATCGCTCTCCCCAAATATTCAGCACATTTTCTCACTCACTTAATCCTAAGTGTCTCATCATATTTTTAGGCTATAATTCAAATTAGTTTACTGTCCAAGAGCTTTTGTAATTTGGCCCCACTTTATTAATCCAAATTTATACAGTTCATTTCAAAACCCACAGATACCTATGGAGCTCTAGGAGTGTACCAGGCACTACAATAGGGAGGAGAAACAAAACAAAAATAAGTACATTTTTTTCCTAGAATCCTAGGGACTTGTTAACTTTTAAAGGCAATGTAAGTGTTATATTAAAGAACATGCCAAGTGCTAATAAAACACAAAAACTAGCATGGGCAACAAAGTGAGGCCTCACGTCTACTACAAATAAAAAATTTGTGGAGCATGGTGCTGTGTGCCTATGGTCCCAGGTACTTGGGATACTGAAGTGGGAAGATTGCTTGATCCCAGGCTCTAGGTTGCATTGAGCCAAGATCACACACTGCACTCCAGCCTAGGCAAACACAGTGAGACCCTATTTCAAAAAAAACAAAAAACAAAAAAACAAAACCCCATAAAGATAGAAATAAAAAAAAAACTACGTGAAAAGGTACGATAAGGTAGAAAATGTGCCATTTGAGCTGGGTATTGAAAAATGAACAGAAGTGTGTCAGGCAGAGAAGGGATAGAAGGACATTTTGAGGAGCAGCATGAGGGTGTGAAGTAGTAAAGTATGTTCAAATACTGACAAGGAGCTCAGTGAAGGATGAACCAATTATGTGCATGGAGAAGAGTAGTTAAACAGAAAGGTTTAAAATGTAGCATGGGGCTAGACTTATAAACGTACTTGCTTGCCTTGCTAAAGATTAAACAGTTTTTTAAAAATTTATTTTGTTTTTAGCATTCACTTCCAGTTATGTGCAAGACAAAAAAAAATGTAGCAAACTTTAATTTGACCATGCCCCTTGGCTGTAGAGCAATCTCTTCTCTAGACTGCAGTAAGGCCCAAAGAGAAATTCTCTCATCTAGGTCTACTAATACGATTAATTTTGGACATCTTTACAACTTGAGTACTTAGAATTTTGACTCCCCAGTTTTCTGGAAGAAAGTAAAACAGATTAAATCATGAGTTTTATGTTTCTGGACACTGGCCTAAGCAAATAATTTATGACCAAGTCCTCAAAAGCAAATGTAACAAAAATAAAAGTAGACAAATGGGACTTAATTAAACTAAAAAGGTTCTGCACAGGAAAAGAAACAATCAACAAAGTAAACAGACAATCTACAGAATGAAAAAAATAGTTGCAAACTGTGCTCTGAAAAAGGGCTAATATCCAGAATCTAAAAGGCATCAAACAATTCAACAAGGAAAAAACAACCCCATCAAAAAGTGGGCAAAGGACATGAACAGACATTTCTCAAAAGATGACATACAAGCAGCCAACAAACATATAAAAAAAAAGCTCAGCATCACTAATCATCAGAGAAATGCAGATTAAACTACAGTATAAAGGTTTTTCAAAGAACTAAAATAGAATTACTATTTAATCCAGCAATCTCCAGTACTATATACCCAAAGGGAAAGAAATTATTCTATCAAAAAGATACCTGTACTCATATGTTTCTTGCAGCACTATTTACAATAGCAAAGATATGTAATCAACTTAAATGTCCATCAATGGAGAACTGGATAAAAAGAAAATGTGGTACATACACAACATGGAATACTATGCAGCCATAAAAAAGAATGGAACATCTATTTATCAACATGGATGGAAATGGAGGCCATTATCTTAAGGAAAATAACTCAGAAAGTCACACACCACATGTTCTCACTTGTAAGTGGAAACTAAACAATGGGTATACATGGATATAAATATAGAAATGGAGACTCCAGAAGGGGAGAGAGTGGGAGAAGAGTGAAAAATTACCCATGGGGTAAAATATTCACTATTTGCGTGATGGCTACACTAAAAGGCCAGACTTCACAACCACCCAATTATAATCCAGTGTAATGTTCTCTTCACTGTATTCCAGTACACCACACCAGTTTGGACTGAAGCCTTTTTGTTCCTTTTCTCATGTTGTTCATTTTACCTTCTCAGGAATAGGGCTCTTCTCCTTTCTCCCTTCCAAATCCAATCCTATTTCTTATTCAGGCTCCAGAGCAAGTCCCAACTCCCCAGTAAGGTGCATTATGTCAGAGTCTCCAGAAGCAAGCCTTAAGACAAGGATTCCTGAGCACATGATTTGTTAAGAAGTGTTCTCAGGAAAACTGGTAAGAAAGTGGGGAAGCAGTAGAGGGAAGAGGAAGAGGGCAAACGAGTTCCACACCCCACTTGATCCTGTGGGGAGCTCTGGAATATAAATTATACCTCAAATTTGTCCTGTCTTCATAGAAGGAGGCTGAGCTTTTATACTCCCACATGAGTCAATCATTGACTGTTGGCTTCTCCCAGGAAGAAGTTATTGGCAGTGCAAATTACTGTATATTTTTGATTCTTTACACTGCAGGCAAAGCTGTTTTAGCTGTCTAAGGCTAGGCCATTGAAGACAGTTGCAGGTGAAAAGCATTATAATTAAAGCACACCCAACCTTGGCGCTGGATACACAGAATGGGTAAAAGGGATTCTAGAGCATCTGGATGGAGCAATGACGGGGTCAAACAGGCTCTCCTCCTCTGCTTCAGCCAGACTAGTACGTCCTCTAAAGTTTCTGAATTATTTTGTCTGCCACTCAGACAAACCTGTGCTACTGAACCTGTGCTTCTTTGGGGTGTCCCTTGGTGCCTAGCTTACTGCATATAGAACAAAAGCATTTGGTCCCAAGTAGTTTTGGATATCTAGGAAGAATTTCAAACCAGTTTGCCTCCTTCAGATATTTCCAAATCTGAGGAATCAACCAAAGTCCTGGGAAGACCCTTATAGGATGAATATCAGCTTAAGTGGGCCCTTGTACCCATTTCACTCTTTATATGAACCCTATGTTATTCCTCAGAGTCTATAATGACTCCTAGAGTTCACAAGTGTGAGATAATATGTCCATCAATTCAAGTATAAAACCGTAGAAATTGAGACCAATTTAATCAGCTGATGGTAAAGTGTTGAGGGATCCTTGGTGGCTCCAAACTGCAGTTTGCCAGCATGGAACCTGATCAAATGTAATAGCTCTCCCAGAAATGCATTGGAAACTATCTCAATATGCACACTTTAAAATGAAAAGTATAGTAGAAAATTGACTGTCAGCCATGTGTGGAGACAGTAGGTCTGTTCTTTCTTTCATTTCTCTATTTTTCATGGAGGCATAGCAATCTAAGACATTTACCTGTAGAATGAAGCCTGGGAAATTTCTTAACTAAAGCACCTTCCAACCTACACTGGTAGGAACAAAGTGATGTCCAGTGATTTTTCTTAATCCAATTCCAAAATGAATATATTGTATTAATGCATATATGTTCTCTCTTACTTTACCTTTTTGAGGGGGAAAAAAAGCTTAGAGAAAAGTGTGTTGCTTATATACAATCTTCCCTTTTATCTGCTGTCAAGATTAAAATGACAATAATAGCATCTTATTTTTTGTGTTGTGTGAAACAAAGAGCTAATTCGGGAGCATATAGGCATCTGCTATCTGCTAGAGTGCAAAAGAGCAGCTTAGAGCAGCTCAGCATGTACCCTTGTAGCCCAACTTCTTTCATATTCCTCCCTAACCTGTCTTCTTACCTTGAACCATTTCTGTTTTAGAGATTTGAGATACTGACTTCTTAATGCTTGTCCAAACTCCTCCGGCTGGAATACTGAAGGAAGACTGCAGAAGCCATCTGATCCCGATTAGATACAATCTGCTTTTCAATCATCAAAATTAAAATACAAGGAAATTCTGCGTGTAAATGTCAACCCTCAATAACCTATAAATAATCTCACTAATTCCTCTTACTTTCTGCTACAATCATGAACTTATTTATTTATTATTTGTTGAGATGGAGTTTCACTCTCGTCACCCAGGCTGGAGTGCAATGGCATGAGTTCGGCTTACTGCAACCTCTGCCTTCCAGGTTCCAGCAATTCTCCTGCCTCAGCCTCCCAAGTAGCTGGGATTATAGGTGTGCACCACCATGTCCGGCTCATTTTGTATTTTTAATAGAGATAGGGTTTCATCATGTTGGTCAGGCTGTTCTCAAATTCCTGACTTCAAGTGATCCACCCACCTTGGCCTCCCAAAGTGCTGGGATTACAGGTGTGAGCCACTGCACCTGGCTGAACTCTCTTATTTTTTTAGTTGTTTTACCCACAGAAATGAGAATATCAGAAGTAAGTTTCAAGTGTTAAGAACATTAGAGTCCATATAATTTTCCATGGAATGCTAAGGTTATGCAGTTATGAGGGAGTCACTATTCTTTAGTTGATAGGGGTTAAAATCTGATAAATTAATTAAAACTTCCAAAAATGGCAGCAGAATATATTGGGGAGTTCAAACCATAATGAAGGTAACTATGACAAACATCTTAGCATCAGGCAGAAAAATCAAATAACCAGTCAGTTTTATTTTCTTATAAAATGTATTAAAATACATTTTCTAACAGCAAATGTTTATCTAAGATAATACTTTCTGTTGTTTGTGCAAAGGTTTACTATTTGTAGAAATATTTAGAAAAATTATTAGAATACCTCTTATTAGGATTATATTAATATCTTAATGCTCTTCCAAGTCTGATGTACTAGTTGTTATTGTAATTACTGAATCTCATTGGTTTTATGGCAAATATATTTCTCATATCAATGTCATCTATTCATTTACTTGTGAGACGAGCATTATATTGTGTGGTTTCTGCCTTCCAGGTACAACAGTATGTACTCTTGTGATAAGAGGCACAACCCTTCCTCTAAAATCCTTCAGAGTCTAGATGACTGTAACAGTAAAAGCTCTTAGTTGCAAGCTACAAAAGCTATGCTGTCTAAGATAAGTGGGAAAAAATTTACTAGAGGACATGAAGTAGCTCAAAGAATCTACCAAATAACAAGAGAATCAGATTCAGGTCAAAACACCAAAAAACAAGTCCAAAATGACATCACTGTAGAAGCAGCAAGAACATCAATGTTGTGAACACAAGCAGTAGACCCTGTGTCTTATCCTGGAGATACATCTGGTATTGGTCACTGGAGACTGCTACTTTCACCTCTGCCTCTGCTACCCTAAGCAACCTGATCTTGCTGCAACTGCTGACATCATCTGAAAGAGTTCCTCCCCATTTCTGCTTTCTTGCATTAGGAGTCTTGCTTTGTATTATTATTATTATGATACTTTAAGTTCCGGGGTACATGTGCACAACGTGCAGGTTTGATACATATGTATACATGTGCCATGTTGGTGTGCTACACCCATTAACTCGTCATTTACATTAGGTATATCTCCTAATGCTTTCCCTCCCCCCTCCCCCCACCCCACAACAGGCCCCGGTGTGTGATGTTCCCCTTCCTGTGTCCAGGTGTTCTCATTGTTCAATTCCCACCTATGAGTGAGAACATGCGGTGTTTGGTTTTTTGTCCTTGCCATAGTTTGCTGAGAATGATGGTTTCCAGCTTCATCCGTGTCCCTACAAAGGACATGAACTCATCATTTTTTATGGCCGCATAGTATTCCATGGTGTATATGTGCCACATTTTCTTAATCCAGTCTGTCATTGATGGATATTTGGGTTGGTTCCAAGTCTTTGCTATTGTGAATAGTGCTGCAATAAACATACGTGTGCATGTGTCTTTATAGCAGCATGATTTATAAACCTTTGGGTATATACCCAGTAATGGGTTGGCTGGGTCAAATGATATTTCTAGTTCTAGATCCCTGAGGAATCGCCACACTGACTTCCACAATGATTGAACTAGTTTACAGTCCCACTAACAGTGTAAAAGTGTTCCTATTTCTCCACATCCTCTCCAGCACCTGTTGTTTCCTGACTTTTTAATGATTGCCTTTCTAACTGGTGTGAGATGGTATCTCATTGTGGTTTTGATTTGCATTTCTCTGATGGTCAGTGATGATGAGCATTTTCTCAAGTGTCTTTTGGCTGCATAAATGTCTTCTTTTGAGAAGTGTCTGTTCATGTCCTTTGCCCACTTTTTGATGGGGTTGTTTTTTTCTTGTAAATTTGTTTGAGTTCTTTGTAGATTCTGGATATTAGCCCTTTGTCAGATGAGTAGGTTGCAAAAATTTTCTCCCATTCTGTAGGTTGCCTGTTCACTTTGATGGTAGTTTCTTTTGCTGTGCAGAAGCTCTTGAGTTTAATTAGATCCCATTTGTCAATTTTGGCTTTTGTTGCCATTGCTTTTGGTGTTTTAGACATGAACTCTTTGCCCATGCCTATGTCCCGATTGGTATTGCCTAGGTTGTCTTCTAGGGTTTTTATGGTTTTAGGTCTAACATGTAAGTCTTTAATCCATCTTGAATTAATTTTTGTATAAGGGGTAAGGAAGGGATCCAGTTTCGGCTTTCTATATATAGCTAGCCAGTTTTCCCAGCACCGTTTATTAAATACATAATCCTTTCCCCATTTCTTGTTTTTGTCAGGTTTGTCAAAGATCAGATGGTTGTAGATGTGTGGTATTATTTCTGAGGGCTCTGTTCTGTTCCATTGGTCTATATCTCTGTTTTGGTACCAGTACCATGCTGTTTTGGTTACTGTAGACTTGCGGTATCGTTTGAAGTTAGGTAGCGTGATGCCTCCAGCTTTGTTCTTTTGGCTTAGGATTGTCTTGGCAATGCAGGCTCTTTTTTGGTTCCATATGAACTTAAAGTAGTTTTTTCCAATTCTGTGAAGAAAGTCATTGGTAGCTTGATGGGGATGGCATTGAATCTATAAATTACCTTGGGCAGTATGGCCATTTTCACGATATTGATTCTTCCTATCCATGAGCATGGAATGTTATTCCATTTGTTTATATCCTCTTTTATTTCCTTGAGCAGTAGTTTGTAGTTCTCCTTGAAGAGGTCCTTCACATCCCTTGTAAATGGGATTCCTAGATATTTTATTATCTTTGAAGCAATTGTGAATGGGAATTCACTCGTGATTTGGCTCTCTGTTTGTCTGTTATTGGTGTATAAGAATGCTTGTGATTTTTGTACATTGATTTTGTATCCTGAGACTTTGCTGAAGTTGCTTATCAGCTTAAGGAGATTTTGGGCTGAGACAGTGGGGTTTTCTAGATATACAATCATGTCATCTGCAAACAGGGACAATTTGACTTTCTCTTTTCCTAATTGAATACCCTTTATTTCCTTCTTCTGCCTGATTGCCCTGGCCAGAACTTCCAACACTATGTTAAATAGGAGTGGTGAGAGAGGGCATCCCTGTCTTGTGCCAGTTTTCAAAGGGAATGCTTTCAGTTTTTGCCCATTCAGTATGATATTGGCTGTGGGTTTGTCATAGATAGCTCTTATTATTTTGAGATATATCCCATCAATATCTAATTTATTGAGAGTTTTAGCATGAAGCGCTGTTGAATTTTGTCAAAGGCCTTTTCTGCATCTATTGAGATAATCATGTGGTGTTTGATTTGGTTCTTTTATATGCTGGATTACATTTATTGATTTCTGTATGTATGTTGAACCAGCCTTGCATCCCAGGGATGAAGCCCACTTGATCATGGTGGATAAGCTTTTTGATGTGCTGCTGGATTTGGTTTGCCAGTATTTTATTCAGGATTTTTGCATCAATGTTCATCAAGGATATTGGGCTAAAATTCTCTTTTTTGGTTGTGTCTCTTCCAGGCTTTGGTATCAGGATGATGCTGGCCTCATAAAATGAGTTAGGGAGGATTCCCTCTTTTTCTATTGATTGGAATAGTTTCAGAAGGAATGGTACCAGCTCCTCCTTGTACCTTTGGTAGAATTCCGCTGTGAATCCGTCTGGTCCTGGACTATTTTGGTTGGAAGGCTATTAATTATTGCCTCAATTTCATAGCTTGTTATTGGTCTATTCAGGGATTCAAGTCCTTCCTGGTTTAGTCTTGGGAGGGTGTATGTGTCGAGGAATTTATCCATTTCTTCTAGATTTTCTAGTTTATTTGAATAGAGATGTTTGTAGTATTCTCCGATGGTAGTTTGTATTTCTGTGGGATTGGTTGTGATATCCCCTTTATCATTTTTTATTGCATCTATTTGATTTTTCTCTCTTTTCTTCTTTATTAGTCTTGCTAGTGGTCTATCTATTTTGTTGATCATTTCAGAAAACCAGCTCCTGGATTCATTGATTTTTTAAGGGTTTTTTGTGTCTCTCTCTCCTTCAGTTCTTCTCTGATCTTAGTTATTTCTTGCCTTCTGCTAGCTTTTGAATGTGTTTGCTCTTGCTTCTCTAGTTCTTTTAATTGTGATGTTAGAGTGTCAATTTTAGATCTTTCCTGCTTTCTCTTGTGGGCATTTAGTGCTATAAATTTCCCTCTACACGCTGCTTTAAATGTGTCCCAGAGATTCTGGTATGTTGTGTCTTTGTTCTCATTGGTTTCAAAGAACATCTTTATTTCTGCCTTCATTTAATTATGTATTCAAATTCAGGAAATACAGAGAACGCCACAAAGATACTCCTCGAGAAGAGCAACTCCAAGACACATAATTGTCAGATTCACCGAAGTCGAAATGAAGGAAAAAAATGTTAAGGGCAGCCAGACAGAAAGGTCGGCTTACCCCCAAAGGGAAACCCATCAGACTAACAGCAGATCTCTGTGCAGAAACTCTACAAGCCAGAAGAGAGTGGGGGCCAATATTCAACATTCTTAAAGAATTTTCAACCTAGAATTTCATATCCAGCCAAACTAAACTTCATAAGTGAAGGAGAAATAAAATCCTTTACAGACAAGCAAATGCTGAGAGATTTTGTCACCACCAGGCCTGCCCTACAAGAGCTCCTGAAGGAAGCACTAAACATGGAAAAGAACAACTGCTACCAGCCACTGCAAAAACATGACAAATTGTAAAGACCATTGATGCTAGGAAGAAACTGCATCAACTAATGAGCAAAATAACCAGCTAACATCATAATGACAGGATCAAATTCACACATAACAATATTAAGCTTAAATGTAAATGGGCTAAATGCTGCAATTAAAAGACACAGACTGGCAAATTGGATAAAGAGTCAAGACCCATCAGTGTGTTGTATTCAGGATACCCATCTCACGCAAAGAGACACATATAGGCTCAAAATAAAGAGATGGAGAAAGATCTACCAAGCAAATGGAAAACAAAAAAAGGCAGGGGTTGCAATCTTAGTCTCTGATAAAACAGACTTTAAACCAACAAAGATCAAAAGAGACAAAGAAGGCCATTACATGATGGTAAAGGGATCAGTTCAACAAGAAGAGCTAACTGTCTTACATATGTATGCACTCAGTACAGGAGTACCCAGATTCATAAAGCAAGTCCCTGGAGACCTACAAAGAGACTTAGACTCCCACACATCAATAATGGGAGACTTTAACACCCCACTGTCAACATTAGACAGATCAATGAGACAGAAAGTTAGCAAGGATATCAGGAATTGAACTCAGCTCTGCACCAAGTGGACCTAATAGACATCTACAGAACTCTCCACCCCAAATCAACAGAATATACATTCTTCTCAGCACCACGCTGCACTTATTCCAAAATTGACCACATAGTTGGAAGTAAAGCACTCCTCAGCAAATGTAAAAGAAACTGTCTCTCAGACCACAGTGCAACCAAACTAGAACTCAGGATTAAGAAACTCACTCAAAACCGCTCAACTACATGGAAACTGAACAACCTGCTCCTGAGTCTTGCTTTAAAAGTTAGTGTGGGTCTGTTTGCTGGTGAGCCTAGGTAATGTGCCTTGCTCTAGGTCCAAGAGAAGCTAGGAAAATGAAATTTTACAGAAGCTGAAATTTTCAGCTTCTGTAGAGTTCTCCAAACTTAAAAATGGTATAGGACCATCACAGTGACAAATATCCAGTACATCTCTGATTTTGGTTATTCTAAATCAATGTGCACTCTTCTTTCCTTACACAGCCTGCTTTGATAACATGTATGTCTATAAAGAAATAAGCTTACACGATTGGTTGATATGGGAATGATGTCAGTATAATACAAAAGTTTCATTGATCTATTTATGATTTTTCTCACCATACAAATGTTTTGTGCCATCAAGTAACACAGTTGAACACAGAAGACTGTGGAGGAGCACAATATTATAATTATACACAGTGTCCATTCCGATTACTCCCTTTTCTTTTATTCTGGACATGTATTGTGCTCATCAAGTGCTTATTGAATGGTTTTGCTCAACATTTGTGCATTTTGCCCATGCCTTTATAAGTTAGCAAACTTGATCCTTTTTTATATGTAACTTTCTTAAAACAGTATAAGATTTTCTCTAGTTAAAAATTTTATTAAGAATTATAACATCTTTCTTTTTAAATTGGACTAGGATACTTATTTTGATTGTGATTGCTTTGGTTACAAATGGCATAGGTTTTCAGTGTTTGTCGCAAACTATTTTTGATAAATCCTGTATTTATTTGAAAATGATTTTTCAGGACATGAGTTTTCCAGGAACATGTCAATCTGTTACAATAAGAACACTTGGACTTTTAAAAAAGTGCTTTCAGCAAAATGATGCAAAAATCTCTCCTACAGCCATAAAGCATATTACTCTCTTTCCAGAACTAAAATTCACGATTTTTGCTTCTAGCAACAAGCAAAGATCACTGGCTGATGTCCATTCTCCTTTAGTTCTGTCACAAGTCCAGATATTATGGACTAGACTGGAAAGTTTACTACCATCCAAAACACTGTATAAGACAGAGGGGAAAGGGAGAGAGAAAAATAAGTTAAAATTTCTAATTATATACCAGAGCAAGAAAGAAATATGAGTAAGAGCTGTAGTCTTCATTTCTGAAGTTGGTCTAGAGGCAATAATTGATTGCCACGATTTCCTTCTTTTATCACCAATTCTACATTCCCTTTGCTTTCAGCCACTTCTTCTGTTGGTTAGGGTTCTCTGACCAAGCTGTTATCACTAAAGTATCCGAATGCCTTGTGGTATTGCTTGTATAGATTTACTGTTGCCTTCCATTCAATTTTACCACTAGAAAAAAAATTATGGGGATTTTATATGTCCTATTCATTCTCCTCTCTTTTCCGTTTTGTAGCAGCAAACCTATTTCCTGTTTATTGTCAGCCAAGATAAGAGATCCATGATGGAAAGAAACATTTTGTCTTTGAGAATTGAGAACTTTAGCCAAAGTCACAGGGCAAGGGAAGCTAATTTTTTGAAGGAAATCATTAGCTCACTGGATCTAATAGTAAGAAGGACCTCTCCCACTTCCAACTTCTGGTTCCAAGACCCATATATTCTGGTGATGGGAGAAATAGCATTATATACCAGGTAATCAATCATTCAGAGAATTTACTGCTGGTATAGCGCCTGAGTCTTTTAATAGGCCATCCCATTGTTTTCCATGCCCAGCTGCTTTTAGAGAATGCAGTTCTAAGTCT
This sequence comes from Homo sapiens, assembly GCF_000001405.40. Classification (NCBI taxonomy): domain Eukaryota; kingdom Metazoa; phylum Chordata; class Mammalia; order Primates; family Hominidae; genus Homo; species Homo sapiens. The sequence continues at coordinate 46,382,235 of NC_000015.10, forward strand.
ACCGTCTTTACCTCATTTCCTGTAAAGTGAGTGTTCCTTGGTTAGAAGCAATGTTTGTGATGTACCACAATGTTTAATAGGGCATTCTGTGATTCTTCACTTGGTGATATGTCTTTTTAGTATCGTGTGTAGAGAAAACAAAACAGTCACCAAATACCCAGTTTCCATCCCTTCCATGTCAAGGATCCAGTGTAACTGAAATTCAATAAATGCCTGGCTCCTTTGAGACAGTATCCCATATTGAAGGGGGAGTGTAAGGGAGGCCACTCCACATTGGTTTCTGCTACTCACTGACTGATTACTTATGAGTGGAAGTAAACAGGTCAGCCTTAGGGAGATGAGGCCTATAATGTTAGGCTCCTACATCACTTTTATCCTTGACACCAAGGCTGCTTTGTTTCTGAGCCTATTGATTAGGGGTAAAAGAGATTATGGAAAGAGGCTGACCAACATTCACAAGGAGAGTGATGTTGATTATTGAAAGCCGCCTAATTATTGAAAGCCTTCACCACCAAGAAGGCCTTCTAATGAACAGTCATATCAGAACAAAGTTTCTTCCATTTTTTAGCCCATTCCAAGAGGTCCATCCATGCTCCACTAAGCCACTTTGACACCAATATTTCAATTTTGTTATCTATCTCAGGATGCAGAGTCTTCACTGAGGCCTTAATTCTTTCAAGGAAGAGTGAACAATCAGATATACTATTCAAAGTTCAGCCTCATCAGAAGGATTTATTTCATTATCTTTTAAGAAAAAAATCAGTTGCCTCACCTATCATCAGACAGGCTTCAGTTGTCACTTCCTTCGGGGTTTGCCTCAAGTGCAAGAGCCATCTTGTCCAACGACAAAACTAACTTTCTCCAGAGCAGCCCATGTTCAATGACTGATTGAAGTAGAAATATAAAGGCCTCATTATCTGGGCCCAAAGCAGGGTAATGGTGATGAATATGCTTTTAAGTTCTCCATGGGGTTGACCAAGTTTTGTGTATCTTGTATCACGATTTGACTTCTTCCTGTGCTCAGTCCTGCTTTTCATCTCTCCCTTTAGCAGGTATTGATTCTTAATAGACATTCTGCATTCCAGACTCCATCTCAGCATCTACTTCTGGAGAACCTAACCTGTGATATCACATGTAAATTGGGTTGAAATGTTTTTTTCTCAATCAACTAGTCTAGGGAATAACCAACAGGTAGGGGCTGAAGGAGGTTTGGTTATGTGGTAAGGTCAGTTGCACTGGGTCAAAAGCTTTCTGCTCATGCAAACTAATTATGCTTTCAGGACTTGCCTAAGCCAGGCCTTCTTTGTACCGCTTTCATATGATGATGGAGTGATTCAGGGATGCCCTGACTTGCTGGCTAGTGTATAGATGAAATCTAGTTTACAGTGAATTGCCCAGTACATAAAATCATCAATTAACCCATAATCATATGTCTAGTTACAAGGGGAAGAGCTGACTCTAACAAAGTCTTGTAACTTTTTCAAATGGGCATGACTTCTGTCTCAAACATTGCAGACCTTATTTGAAATTCTCTGTTGAGGCTTACCACTCTGTCTGGGCACATCCAAATCTTCCAAAGACACCAAACACAACTGGTGTAATGTATCGTAAAGAAGCAAGCTCTACTTTTTACCTACTCTTATAAGTGACTATGTGAAAAACATTTCTTAAACATTAAAAGAGAGCTTAGATGCAGGTGACAAATACACTACTACTAGGCCCATCTTACTGTTACATTTCAAAATAGTATGATTGATAGGTTTTTTTTCATAAGGCAAAATACATCAGGTTAAAGATACCCATTGTGGTGATGGTGGCTCATGTAAGCCAGCTTGGAGTAGAGGATGATTTGATTTAGGTAAAGGTCCCTGAAGGCAGTGACATCTGGGATGGGATTCGTGGAAACAGTTTGTCTTTGCTTCTTTTTTTATCTCCTTACTCATTCTCAGCTGAGAGAGCAGCATTTGTCAAAGCAATACGGTGAGAGAAGACAAGGCATATTCACTGTACTGCAAGTTTTGAAATCAGCCATTTTTCTCATCTAATGTACACGAACACTGGTCTGTCTGGGGAAAATGTAGCCTGTGTAGATAAAGATTGTTTAATATTAATGGGGAGGTTCCAGGAAAAAAAAAAAGTCTAAGGGTTACAAATAAATATTTTTTGGCCTTCTCCTAACCAACATGAAGACATATTTGTGGTAATATTGCACAGATTTTTATAAAGGAGAAAAAGAAATTGAAAGTCCCCCTTCTCCCCCTGGCCACATACACACAGCTTGCTCCCTTTCAGTCCTTGGGGGTTTTCCCTGGAAGGAGGTTTATACATGCATATGCTACCATATAATTGTCACAGCAATTAAGATATAGGCTCCGAGTTCACGGCTCCATAATTTATTGGCTATGAAACTCTGATCAATTTACTTAACTTTTCCAAACTTCAGTTTCCTTGTCTGTGAAATGGAGAGAATGTATCTCTAACTAATAAAGTTATTGTAAGAATTAATTGAGATGGGGCTAATAAAGTACTCAGCAAAGTGCTGGGATATGAAAATTGTTTCAAAATTAATATTTTATGATTATTACTTCTTTAGTCCTCTTTACCATGCTCTTGACTATTTCACTTCTTCCTATGATTCAGGATAACTACAGACAAGGTTTTAAGTGCCTATTATGATTATGAAGATAGTAGAAATTCCATTCTCTTATGCTATCAAATCATTACATTTACATATGTATTCAACCCTGCCAAATCCCAAATGAAGGTTAATGTTCATGATGGAGAAGAGCCATTAGCACATTTATGAATTTGAATTCCACTTAGCTTTATTGACAAAAATAACTGTGAAAGTATAAGTAACTAATTTATATTAATATCAGGAATACCAGGCGTATTTGTGATATCTGGACTAAACAGACAGGCATTTGTACTGTCAAACCCCTGCCCTCTGTATCTTACTGAGAATCAGGAAGCATGCCAAATAGGAAAAATAGAATCAAGGTTTCTCATGCATTGAGCCTTAAACACTGTTTTCCAAAGTGGGTTTATTTAAACTACTAGCTGTTGGAGAGTATGTATAATTCTTATGTTAAAATAAATCCCATGGTCAATGAGGTACAGGAAATACAGGTTTTAACCAAGTTAAACAGAATTTATTATTGTGAGACCTCTCAGAACTCTTATTATGTAATTATACATTGTAGATTTCCAAAAGAGACCACAGTGGTGCCATTCTGGAGATTTCTCAGTTATTTACAATGTGAGCCACATTTTCCAGAAGGCAAAATAAAAAAATTATAAATTTATTTTAATAATATTTTCTTAACCTGGTATATCAAAAATGTTATTTTAACATTTAATCAATGTAAAAATTATTGAGACATTTTATATTTTTCTGCATAGCAGGTGTTCAAAATCAGTGTGTAGTTTGAAGTTGCAGCACATCTCAATTCAAACTAGCCACATTTCAAGCACTCAGTGGCTGTGCATAGTGAGTGGCTACCACATTTAACAGTGCAGGACTGACTGGACTGCACTATTTCTCAAATTTACTTTTCCATAGTTAGTTTACTTTTCATGGAGCATATTAAGGGATCATGTTCCAGAAACAGTGATGAACAAACAGTGATGTATGAAGGGGACCAATGGAGAAATTTCCAGATGCAAGAGAAATGAGGATATGGAAAGTGCCATCAATGTATGAGATCTGAGTAAAAATGAAGGCTTGCGTCATGGTTACTGTGAACATTAACTTAGCATCACACTGGTATCATACCTTGGTAGATCTACCTATACGAAGGAGCAGATTGACATTCAACTGAATTAACTGCTGAGCAGGCAGAAGAAACATGAAATTGCAATATTAACAAGACAAGAGAGTGAGTAGTTCTCAGAGTAAAAGACTAGCGAGCAGAACAGCTTTACAAGGGAGATCCTGGTGTTCAAACAGAAGGACCCTCCAACCCACTGCCTCTAGAAGGGATGGTAACTCCCTCTAAATTGAGTCATTTTCCCAATCAAAGGGAAGCCTAGATTTTTTTAAAAAGGATCTATCTATCTCCCAGAATTTCTTATACATTCTGAGTCATTCCTAGACATTTTAGGTGAAATCTAGTACATGAGAGTTACTAGAGAGGCATTCTGAATTTTTCATCTCAAAGCTTGGCTTAGACCCATAGGGCTTTCTTTATTATTACTATTATTTTTTTTATCTTGAAGAATTCACAACCTCAGATGTTCACCTACCACCCTACAGTAGCTCAGTGACTGCCTTGGCGTTAAATTGTACCCTACTGGCCTAAATGAGTTCATTGTTTACCTCCCCAAGTGCCTATATTAGTCATAAGGTTTCAGGACCAAAGAGGAGTCATGCAAAATGATTAAAACAGGCTTAAGCATTCTTCATGTTTCCACCTCAAACAGGAATTACAAGAAAAAATTTTTCAGGGACTACACCAAAACCTTTTTCTGTTGAAAACAGACTGATTTAGCAAGGCAAATAAAAACAAAATCTTTTTTACAACAAACATTTGATTAGGAGGTCTTGAGTTTAAACTTAAAGAGGAGGAGAAGGAGGGGCAAGGTGAGGAGAGATGTAATTTGTATAATTGTATTGCTATGGATGGGAACACCAATACCGCCAGATTTAATTATTCCTTTCATCTTGCCTTATTTCACTCTCGAAGATCAATATGCTTGTTCTCTTCTTAAGCAGCAACGATTTCTACAATCTGAACATAAATTTAATCATGTGGTGCCATCTCAGTGTTTATAGACTCTGTCAAAGACATAGCTCATTATAATTATTTTCTCAATCATTCGCCACAAGAGAAACACTTTAGGCAACACAAAACTTTTAACTTAATCACTAGAAGCAATATCAGCTCAACAAATAGATCTTATTAGATGGCCCATTTTTAAAAAGAAAAAGCTCATTTCCTAATACTTTAATTTTCTGTTAAATGCCAAATTTTGTTTACATACAGGAATTGAGCTATTGCCATATTATATGTGAACCATAAATGAAATAGTATCATGAAGATTATTATTAAAACTGATTCCCAATGCAGCATATGCAAACTTCTAAGTCATAAATCATTAGGGGTAGTTTGTTTCCTTCCTCCCTGAAAAGGAAGTGTATGTTAATGCTAAAATGAATGCAGCCTATAGACATTACTAAAAGTGAGTAAATTGAAATGTCAGGAGACAAAGCACTTATCACAGAATTGGCAGCTCGGATGACCTTCAAAACTTTCAGATCTAAGAGGTTTTGAGGTAAAACGAATTAAATTTCAAAATGAATGTAGAATTGTGAAAGAAACCAATGGTGTTCTAGCTGTGAGCACATGATCCAGCAATACCACAGACATACCTCATCACAACTGTCTTACGATTCTGCAGTACAAACAGAATCAAACTCACTCAGATATGTATACATCAACAAAAAAGAATGAGAACATGTCCATTGCAGGAACATGGATGGAGCTGGAGGCCATTATCCTTAGCAAAATAACACGGGAACAGAAAACCAAATGCCACATGTTCTCACTTCTAGATGCAGGTAAATAGAGCAAATGGATACGAAGAGAGGAACAACAGACACTGGGGCCTACTTGACACTGGAGGGTGGGAGGAGGGAGAGGATCAGAAAAAACAACTACTGGATACTAGGCTTAGTAGTTAGGTGACAAAATAATCTATACAACGAACCCCTCTGACACAAGTTTACCTAAGACAAACCTGGACATATACTCCTGAACCTAAGATAAAAAAGGTTTTTTTGTTTGTGTTTTTTTAAAGGACAATAGTTATACAATTTTATGTAAAATAATGTGCAGTAAATACCACATTGCTATAGAGAAATTAGGAATATGTGTATGTGTGTGGATGAACATGTATATAGGTGGGTAGGCATGTGCATATGTGTTCACATATGTGTGTATATGTGAGTATGTTTTGTTTATGTAGGTGTGAGGCTGTTTGTGTGTTTAAGCGTGTTCTTGTTATTCTTCTATAAATAAAATAAATATTTTTCTCTGGAGGGAAAGGCAACTTGCTTGAAGTTGTTTTAAAGACAAAAGTGGCCAGGCACGGTAGTTCACACCTGTAATGCCAGCACTTTGGGAGGATGAGGTGGGCAGAACACGAGGTCAGGAGTTCAAGACTAGCCTGGCCAACATGGTGAAAACCCGTCTCTACTAAAAATACAAAAATTACCTGGGCATGGTGGCAGGTGTCTGTAATCCCAGCTACTCAGGAGGCTGAGGCAGAAGAATCACTTGAACCTGGGAGGTGGAGGTTGCAGTGAGCCAAAATCGCACCATTGCACACCAGCCTGGCTGACAGAGCAAGACTCCATTTCTAATTAAAAAAAAAAAACGATAAAAATATGATTTGTTAACATCAAATAGTTGTTTCTAAAACTATGAACTTAACAAAATATAGAAATTCATGACCAAATCAGATAAAATTCTATTATTAATCTCTATTCAAAGGAGTAAGGAAAGATTTCTTATTAAAATAACTTTAGAAGATGCTCTAAAGAGTACATTTTATTCTCTTATTAATTTTTATTATGACATATTTACAACTCACATGACATGTCTAGAGAAAATTAAAACAAATATCCTGAAACCACTGCCAGTTTTATTTAAATCTACCATTTTGCCCTATTTACTAAAGAAAAATGTGCCACATTTAATAGAAGTTCCTGTATATCCCTTTACAAAGCCATTTTCTTTTTCCCTTCCCCATAAAGTAAGTACTGTTCTGGAGTTTTATATCTTCCTGTCCATGATTTTGTACTTTTAATAAACAGAGGGTGCACGTTTTTACACCTTATGGAAATTACATCCTATTGTAAATACATTCCATATTTTTCTTTCTTCCCTGAAAATTACATTTTTGAAAATTATCTGTATTAATATACATTTGCATTGATAGCAATAGTGAATTTGTTTTAACTGCTATGTAATATTTACTGTGAAAGTATAACACATTATTTTTGTCTTCTTAAATTGATAAACATTTATTTCCAATTCTTTTGTACTTCTAATTAAGAAATGATTATCCTTGCACATTTCTGTTGAACATATATGCTATAGAACTTGACCAAAGGTAGAATTGTTGAGTTTCTGGGAATGGCATTTTTGACTTTATAAGGTCACCAAATTGCTTTCTATTGTGTTTGTACAATTTAAATTGTGGTATGTGAATTTCTCATTATCCCATAACCTTACCAAAGTTTGTTACTGTGGGACTTTTAAAATTTTGTCAATGCGAAAGATGTGAAATAATAAGTTAATTTTTTTGTTTTAATTTGCGCTTTTGTGATTGCCAATAAAGCCTTTTGTAACATGAATTCCAAATATTTTCTAATTTATCATTTGTCTTTATTCTTTGCTTACAGTGTCTTTTAGACCTTTTTTCTTTATTAATTTTGGCTCTTTTATTTATACTTTCTTCCTATCTGTTTTCTTTGTTTACTCTTGTGTCCTTTTTCTCCGGCTTCTTAAAGTGAATTCTTAATTCTTTTTTCCGCAGCCTTTATTTATTTTTTCTTTCTTTAAATACACATTTAAAAGAATGATGTCAGCAAGATAGCTGAAAAGTTGCCTGGCGCTCATCCCCTTTCCCATAAAAGGAACAAAACAATGAATAAACAACTATATTTTGAGTAGGTGACTGAAAAAGCCTGTTGAAAAGCACCAGAGGAACAGCAAAGTCCCCATAGGATGTGGAAGTGCAGGATAGCACCATAGCGAGGAGCACAAAGCAGCCTGCTTCTGCCACATTCTTTCTCCACTAGGATTGACTTGAGCCAAGGAGTACATCGTATGAGGAAAAGCTAAGCTGGAGACTGTCAGTGGTCCCCATTACTGTCACAGGTGCTAAGAATACTTGCTACGGGAGAATCCCCCAGTTTTTACAGGCCCTGAATCCTGTTTGGAGAGTTGATGACAGTGTGTGTGGCTGCACTGCCTGAGAGTAAGAGCCCATTTTACATCTCCCACTCCCATGACCTAAGCTCCTATGACACACTGCCATATCGAGAGACCCACTGCTAGAATGTGTCCTGCCCTCGAGGCCAGTAGCTGCTAACTCTCTCTCCATCCCAAAGATCCTGCCATCATTCCACCATGTTCATGTGGGTGGCTGCAGCCTCGTGACCCCAGCTTCCTGGCTTGAGGGAATAACCAAGACCCCAAATCCAAGTGGCACCCAAACTCCTGGGGCACATGTGCACCTGCACAGTGGGGAAGCTGCCACACAGCTGCTGGCCCACTGCATTCATACACACCCACATCAGCCTCACAGTCAATGCAATGGTGGTCCCACCCCCCAGAGAAACTGCCACACAGACGGCTAGACCATTGGGTCCGCAATTCTTGCCCAGCCTGACAGACAATGTGGCAGCAGCCCCACTCACCACAGAATCAACTGCACAGCCAGACAGCTGGTTGTGCCTACATATGTCCCACAGAGAGCCTGTTGCACAGCCGGCCATCCTGCTACACTCATGCCTGGCCTGGCAATCAGTCCAGTGCCCAAATTCTTTGCAAAACTGTGCCACCACCATCACAAACTCCCATAGCTTAGGCCACTGAAGCAACTACAGACATCACCGATGAGGATTATGGCTGAAGAAGCTGTACAGAGCCACATGACTGAATCCACCCAAACCAAAGCCAATGTACCACCATACCTAACCAACACCCTAACACCCATATACAGAAAAAACATTCTCTCCCTACTGAAGCTACTCTATAAAATTGAAAAAAGTAACTGTTCTACTAAATGCACACACATCAATATAGGGATACAAGAAACATGAAAAAGCAAGGAAACCTGACACCTCCAAAGGAATAATAATTTTGGAGAACAATAATTCTCCATTAACAGACCCCAAAGAAAAGGTTATTTACAAATGCCTGAAAAGGAATTCAAAATAATAATCCTAAGGAAATGCAGCAAGATACAACAGAATACTGACAAGCAATTCGAAAGAATCAGGAAAACCATTCACGATCTGAATGAAAAGTTCAACAAAGAGACAGAGATAATAAAGAATGAAACATAAATCTCAGAGTTGAAGATGTCAATGGATAAAATAAAAAATGCAATTGAAACCTACAATAACAGACTGGATTGAGCAGAGGAAAGATTTTTTGAACTTGAGAGGTCTTTTGAAATAACCCAGTCACAGAGCTAAAAAGGAAGTAAGAATAAAAAAGAATGGAGAACACTACAGGACTTATGAGACACCATTAAGTGAAAAAAATATTTGCATTATAGAAATGTCAGAGGGAGAAGAGATAGAAAAAGAAAAATATTTAACACAGAAAACATATTTAATGAAATGAAAGCTGAAAACTTCCCAAACCTGGGGAGAGATATGAACAACTAGATCCACGAAGCTCAAAAATCTCCAATTATATTCAACCTCAAAATATCCCTCCAGAGCACATTATAATAAAAACATCAAATATAAAGGGAGAATTCTAAAAGTGACAAGAGAAATGCATCAAGTCACATATAAGGAATCCTCATTACACTGGGTAGATTTTTCAGCAGAAATCTTGCAAGCCAGGAGAGAATGAGATAATATATTCAGAGCTGTGAAAGAAAGAAAGAATAAACCTCTAAGCCACAAATAATATATTCAGCAAAGCTATTGTACAGCAAAGAAGGAGAAATAAACACCTTCTCAGATAAGCAAAAGTTGAGGAACTTCACTGCTGCAAGACTGGCCATACAATAAATGCTTAAGGGAGTGCTACAACTAACAGTAGAAAGAAAATAATTACTATTGCAAAACATGTAATTGTATAAAACTTACATTTAAAGGTAAATTTATAATCAAACTCAGAATACTCCAGTGCCGTAATGGTGCTATGTAAAGCTTTCAATCCTCTAGTATGAAGAATAAAGGCCAAATTAACAATAGCTACAATTAGTGGCAAATGAACACACAATAGATATGTAAATTAATACAACCAAAATATAAATTGTTGGTGATAGAGGGTGAATGTCTATAGTATTTTTATGCAATCAAAGTTAGGTTGCTATCAGCTTAAAATAGTCTATTATTATTATTATTATTATTTGAGACAGAGGAGTCTCGCTCTGTCACCCAGGGTGGAGTGCAGTGGTGCAATCTTGGCTCACTGCAACCTCCACCTCCTGGGTTCAAGCGATTCTTCTACCTCAGCCTCCCGAGTAGCTGGGACTACAGGCGAACACCACCACACCTGGCTAATTTTTGTATTTTTAGTAGAGACAGGGTTTCGCCATATTGGCCAGGCTGGTCCCGAACTCCTGACTTTGTGATCTGCCTGCCTCAGCCTCCCAAAGTGCTGGGATTACAGGTGTGAGCCATGGCACCCAGCCTAAAATAGTTTATTATAAACACACAACTCTTTCTGTTCTGGTAACAAAAAAAAATGACAGCAAATATAGAAACAAGAACAAAAAGAAGACAAAGCTTAGCATCACAGAAAACCAAACCAAACAGGTAAACAATGAGAGAAAGAAAGGAACAGAAGATCTACAAATCAACCAGAACACAATAAAATGGTACAAGTAATTTCCTGCCTATCAATAATATCATTGAATTAATTCCTATTAAAAGATATAGCATGGATGAATGGATTAAAAAGAAAAAAATACCCCACTGTATGCTGCGTATATGAGATTCACCTCACCATTAAAGACAGACTGAAAGTGTTGAAATGGAAAAAGATATTCTTTGCAAACAAAAACTAAAAGCAAGAAGGAATAGCCACACTTATATCAGACAAAATAAACTTTAAGAGATCAATTTAATGATGATATAATAATTTAAACATACATGCACCCAAACAGAACTGGAGCACCCAAATATATAAAGCAAATATTATTAGATTCCGTGGAAGAAATACATTGCAATACAATAATACTAGGGAGCTTTGAAACCTGTTTCAGTAAGAGACAGATCATCCAGAGAGAAAATCAACAAATAAATTCAAACTTAAATGGCAGTATAGGCTAAATTTACCTAAGAGACATTTGCAAATTTCATCCAACAGTTGCAGAATATGCATTATTCTCCACTGCACATGGATCATTCACTAGGATACATATGTTAGTTCACAAAACAAATCTCAACAAATTTAAGAAACAAAGATCCTATCAAGTATTTTTTTTCTAACCACAATGGTATAAAACAAAATCAACAGGAAAAGTTTCAGAAAGTTTACAAATACATGAAAATTAGAAAACATGCTCATAAATAATCAATGGGTAAATAGCAAAATTAAGAGGAAAACTTGAAAGTTTTTTGAGACAAATGAGAATAGAAACACATCACACCAAAACCTATGAGACACAGCAAAAGCAGCTGAGGAAATTCATAGAAATAAATGACTACTTCAAAAATGTAGAATGATTTCTAATAAACAACCTAATGTGGCACTTCAAGAAACTAAAAAAGAATACCACAAAACTGGTACAAGAAAGTAGTAAAGCTCAGAGAAGAAATAAAGGAAATATAGACTACAAAAGTAATCCAAAGGCGCGATAAAATGAAGAGTTTTTTTTTGAAAAGATAAAAATGACAAACCTTTAGCAAGACCTAAAAACGAGGAGAGACTTAAATAAATAAAATTAGAAATTATAGAAGACATTACAACTGACATCACAAAAATTACAAAGAATCCTGAGACTATTATTAGCAACTATACCATTGTTGTTTAAGTATTATGAACTACACACGAAGAAAGTTGTTAACATAGAGAAGCTGATAAATTCTCAGATCCAACCTACCAAAAGTATATTATGAAGAAACAGAAAATCAAAACAGACTAATAATGAGTGAGGAACTTGAATCAGTAATAAAGTCTTTCGTCAAAGAAAAACTCGGAATCTGATGGTTTCACTGATGAATTCTACCAATTAAAAGGAAGTAATAACAATTCTCCTCAAACTATTACAGAAAGTTAAAGAGAAGGAATGCCTCCAAACTCATCTTACAAAGCCAGCATTCCCCTGATTACAAAACCAGTGAAGGACATAACACAACAACAAAAATTAAAAGCCAACATCCCTGATGAACATAGATACAAAAATTCTTGACATGATACTAGCAAACTGCATTCAACAACATAGTGAAAAGATTATTCACAATGATTAAGTGGGATTCATTGGAGGGATAAAAGGATGCTTCAGCATATGCAATTCAATGAATGCGACATACCACATTAACAGGAAAAAGACAAAAACCAGACCACCATTACTGTGGCTCTAGTGAGCAGTTTCCCCAGCCAGTGCTAGAGAGACCGGGAGGTTTGGACTGGGCATTAATCCTCAGAGCATAGCACAGTGGTTGTGGCTAATTGTTGCCAGACTGCTTCTTTAGGTAGGACCCAGATCCATCCCTTCTCACTGGGCAGGGCCTCCCTACAGGAATTCCAGCAACTCCAGCCAGGGGCTTTCAGACAGAACTCTCATCTCCCTAGGACAGAGCACCTGTGGGGAGGGGTGGCCAAAGTCTCAGTTTCAGTGGACTTAATCTTTCCTGTCTACTGGCTCTGAAGAGTCTGGGTGATCCTGACAAGGGGGGCTTCCCCCAGAACACTGCACCAGCTCCGCTAAGAGACAGTCAGACTGCTTCCTTAAGTGTGTCCCTGATCCGTGCCTCCTGACTGGGTGAGACCTCCCAACAGGGGTCACCAGACACCTCATACAGGAGAGTTCCAGCTGGCATTAGGTCAGTGCCCATCTGGGATGAAGCTTCCAGAGGAAGGAGCAGACAGCAAGCTTTGCTGTTCTGCAGCCTCCACTGGTGATAACCAGGTGATACCCAAATACGCAAAAATTAACTCAAGATGCATTAAAGACTTAAATGTAAAACCCCAAACTATAAAAACCCAGAAGAAAATCTAGATAATACCATATAGAACATAGGTATGGGCAAATATTTTATGATGCAACCACCAAAAGCAATTGCAACAAAAGCAAAAATTGACAGATGGAATCTAATTAAACTAAAGAGCTTCTGTGCAGCAAAAGAAACTATCATCAGAGTGAACAGACAACCTACAGAATGAAAGACAATTTTTGCAATCTATCTGACAAAGGTCTAATATTCAGAATCTATAAGAAATTTAAGCAGATTTACAAGAAACAAGCAAACAACCCCATTAAAAAGTAGGCAAAGGACATGAACAGGCACTCCTCAAAAGAAGACATTCATGCAGCCAACAAACATATGAAAAAAATCTCAACATCACTGATCATTAGAGAAATGCAAATCAAAACCACAATGAGATACCATCTCAAGCTAGTCAGAATGGTGATTGTTAAAAAGTCAAGAAACAACAGATGCTGATGAGGCTGTGAAGAAATAGAAACGCTTTTAGATTGTTGGTGTGGGAATGTAAATTAGTTCAGCCATTATGGAAGACAGTGTGGCGATTCCTCAAAGATTTAGAACCAGAAAAACCATTTGACACAGCAATCCCATTACTGTGTATATAACCAGAGGAATATAAATCATTCAATTATAAAGATACATGCATGTGTATGTTCATTGCAGCACTATTCACAATAGCAAAGACAAGGAATCAACCCAAACGCCCATCAATGATAGATTGGATATAAAAAAAAATGTGATACATATACACTATGGAATACTATGCAGCCATAAAAAGGAACAAGAACATGTCCTTTGCAAGGACATAGATGAAAATGGAAGCCATTACTCTCAGGCAACTAACACAGGAACAGAAAGCCAAACACCACATGCTGTCACTTACAAGTGGGAGCTGAACAATGAGAACACATAGACGCAGGGAGGGGAACAACACATACTGGGGCTTCTTGGGGGAGGGCAGGAGGGACAGCATTAGGAAAAAGAGCTAATGCATGCTGGGCTTAATACCTAGGTGATGGTTTGATAGGTGCACCAAACCACCATGGCACATGTTTACATGTTGACCTATGTAACAAACCTGCACATCCTGCACACATTCCCTGAAACTTAAAAAAATAAATTTAAAAAGATAAAAACCATATTATCTTTTCAACATGTGCAGAAAAAGCAAGTGACAAAACTTAACGTTTCTTAAAGGTAAAAACTTTCAACAAATGAGGTATAGAAGGTATGAACTTCACCATAATAAAGGCCATGAATAATGAACCCACAGCCAACATCATACTGAATGAGGAAAAGATGAAAGTTTCTCTCTAAGACCAGGAACAAGACAAGGTTGCACAATTTCACTATTTCTATTCAACAAAGTACTGGAAGTCCTAGCCAAAGCAATGAAGCAAGACAAATAAATAGAGGGCATCCAAATTGGAAAGTAGAGGGTCAAATTGTCCCTGTTTGCAGAGAACATGATTACACATGTAGAAAGTTATACAGACTCCATGAAAACACTGTTGGAAATAATAAATTCAGTAAAGTTCCAGGATAGATACAAATTCAGCATACAAAAATCAGTGTTGTTTCCACACACTAATAGTGCACTATATGAAAAAAGAAATCAATGAAACCATTTCATTTACAATAGCTACTCCTCAAAATAAGATACCTAGAAATAAACTTAACAAAGGATGTGAAAGATCACTATAGTGAAAACTATAAAACATTGATGAAAGAAATTAAACAGGGTACAAATGAATGATATCCCATGTTCATGGATTGAAATAATTAATAGTTAAAATGGCCATATTACCCAAAAAGAGCTATAGGTTTAATGGAATCCCTGTCAAAATACCAATGACATTCTTCACAGAAATAGAAAAAAAAAACTTCTAAAATTAATATGAAACTACAAACGACTCTAAATAGTCAAAGCAATCTTGAGCAAACAACAAAGCTGGAGGCATCACACCACCTGACTTCAAAATATATACATACTACAGGCTATAGAAAGAAAAAAAGTTTGGTACTGGCAAAAACAAACAAACAAACAAAAAGCAAACCAGACACATAGTCCAATGTAACAGAAAGAGGGCCAAGAAATAAATTCATGCACCTACAGCCAACTGATTTTTGATGAAGGTGCCAAGAACACATATTGATGAAAAGACAGTCTCTTGAATAAACGGTGCTGGAATAATTGGATATGTACCTGTAGAAGAATGAGACAAGACCCTTATGTCTCATCATATATAAGAATCAACTCAAAATGGATTGAAGACTTAAATGTAAAGCCTGAAACTATGATACTACTAGAAGAAAACATAGGCAAAATGCTTTGCAACATTGGGCTGGGCAAGGATATTTTAATAAGATCTCAAAAGTACAGGCAACAAAAGCAAATACAGACAATAATAATATATAAAAGAAACTATTTTGCATAGTGAAGAAAACAATTAACAAAGAGACAACCACAGAATGGGCAAAAATATTTGCAAACTGTATATCCGACAAGGGATTAATATCCAGAATATATATTAAATAACCCAACAGCAAGAAAACCCCAATGACTCAATTAAAAACTGGGCAAAAGACCTTAATAAACATTTCTCAGAAGAAGAAATACAAATGGCCAACAGGTATATGAAAAAATGCTCTACATCAGTAATCAGTAGGGAAATGCAAATGAAAACCATGATGAGATACTACTTCATTTCAGTTGGAATGGTATTGTCAAAAAGAAGAAAACAAATGTTGGCAAAGACATGGAGAAGAGAGAGCACTTATACATCGTTGGTGGGAATGTAAATTAGTAGAGCTATTATGAAAAACAGTCTAGAGTTTCCTTAAAAAATACAAAATAGAACTACCAAATGATTTAGCAATCCCACTCCTGGGTATATGTTCAAAGGAAACGAAATCAGTATGTTGAAGAGATACCTGCATTCTTATGTTTACTGAAGCACTGTTCTCAATAGCCCGGACATGGAATATACCTGTTTCCAATAATGGATAAATGGATAGAGAAAATGAGGTATATATACACAATGGAATATTATCCAGTCATAAAAAGAATAAAATCCTGTCATTTGCAACAACATGGATAAATATGGAGGACATTATGTTCTGTTAAATAAGCCAGGCAGAGAAACAAATACTGCATGATATCACTCTTATGTAAAATATTTTTTTGAAAAGTTTATTGCATAAAAGATAGTAGAAGAGTGGTTACCAGAGACTAGGGAGGGGGAGAAGGAGAGGAGAATCAGGAAATGTTTGTCAATGGGTAGAAAGTTACTATTAGATAGGATAGGCTGGGTGCGGTGGCTCACGCCTGTAATCCCAGCACTTTGGGAGGCTGAGGTGGGCAGATCACCCGAGGTCAGGAGTTGAAGACCAGCCTGGCCTACATGGCGAAACCCCATCTCTACTAAAAATACAAAAATTAGCCAGGTGTGGTGGCATGTGCATATAATCCCAACTACCCAGGAGGCTGAGGCAGGAGAATCACTGGAACCCAGTGGGCAGAGGCTGCAGTGAGCCGAGATTGTGCCACTGCACTCCAGCCTGGGCGACAGAGCAAGACTCCATCTCAAAAAACAAAAAACAAAGCAAAACAAAAAAAAAACAAACAAAAAAAAAACCCCAAGAAAGTTATTGTTAGACAGGATGAATACATTCTACTGTACTTTTGCACAGCAGGGTGCCTAGCTAACAGTAGAGTATTGTTTATTACAAGACAGCTAGAAGAGAGGCTTTTTAATGTTCTTACCACAAAGACATAATAAATTCATGAGATGAAGGATATGCTAACTACCCTGACTTGCTCATTATATAACATATACATGTACTGAAACATCAAATTGTACCCCATAAATATGTAAAATAACAATATGTCAATTACAAAATAAATAACACATTTAAGGCTCTATCTTGGTTTCAAGACTTTTTCTTGGAGGCAATAATTCATTCAGTGCAGTAATTTAAATAGTGTGGATTTTAAGAATAACAGACTGAAGTCTGTATCAGTTCTTTTAAAGTGAGAGGATTCTTTTGGATTCTTTGAAATCACATAACATGTGTGACTAGGCTGCCTAGAGGTTGGGGCAGGCTTTGCATACATAGTACAAATGTAATTGTCCCTGAGCTATCATGCCTAGTAATCAAGAACAAGTGCTTTTCTGAGTTAAGAAACTTCACCTACGCTCCTTTAAGGCTGTCTTATAAATTAAAAAGTTAGATTTCTGTTTAGTAAGGCCATCAGTGAACCTCAGTCAGCAGAACAACTTCTAAAAACGTGACTGTGTGACTAGGGAGTTATCCTTCGATGCTATCAGCTTGATCTGGTATCTCCTAATTATGTCTCTCAATACATGCTATTGTCCTTGGAGAGCAATCAAATACCCTAACTGAAAAACCTCCCTTTTGAGGATGTGAAAGGCCAGAATGGATTAAAATATGTATAAATATATGTAACATTTCTTCTTTAAAGCAAATGACATACCAGCAGGGAGTTGATGAAAGCTGATTCTACAGAGATGAAACCAAGCCCCTTCATTTACCAAACTTAATTTTTTTTTCTAAGAATAATGTTGAAGCTCTTTGTAGATTCTGGATATTAGCCCTTTGTCAGATGGATAGATTGCAAAAATTTTCTCCCATTCTGTAGGTTGCCTGTTCACTCTGCTGATAGTTTCTTTTGCTGTGCAGAAGCTCTGTAGTTTAATTAGATCCCATTTGTCAATTTTGGCTTTTATTGCCATTGCTTTTGGTGTTTTTGTCATGAAGTCCTTGCCCATCCCTATGTCCTGAATAGTATTGCCTAGATTTTCTTCTAGGGTTTTTATGGTTTTAGGTCTTACATTTAAGTCTTTAATCCATCTTGAGTTAATTTTTGTATAAGGTGTAAGGAAGGGATCCAGTTTCAGCTTTCTGCATATGGCTAGCCAGTTTTCCCAGCACCATTTATTAAATAGGGAATCCTTTCCCCATTGCTTGTTTTTGTCAGGTTTGTCAAAGATCATATAAATCATTCTACTATAAAGACATGCACATGTATGTATATTGCAGCACTGTTCACAATAGCAAAGTCTTGGAACCAACCCAAATGCCCATCAATGATAGACTGGATAAAGAAAATGTGACACATACACACCATGGAATAATATGCAGCCACAAAAAAAGGATGAGCTCATGTCCTTTGCAGGGACATGGACGAAGCTGGAAACCATCATTCTCAGCAAAGTAACATGAGAAGAGAAAACCAAATACTGCATGTTCTCACTCAAGTGGGAGCTGAATAATGAGAACACATGGACACAGGGACACAGGGAGGGCCTGTTGGGGGGTGGGGGGCTGGAGGAGGGATAGCATTAGAAACACCTAATGTAAATGACGAGTTGATGGGTGCAGCAAACCAACATGGCACATGTATACCTATGTAACAAATGTGCACGTTGTGCACATGTACCCCAGAACTTAAAGTACAATAAAAAAAAAGAATAATGTTGAAGCCTGAGGTTTATCAATAAGACCATTTGTCTTATGTACTTAATACCCACTATTTTTTTTTTCTTTTTCTTTTTCTTTCTTTTTTTTTTTTTCAGACGGAGTCTCGCTCTGTCACCAGGCTGCATTGCAGTGGTGTGATCTTGGCTCACTGCAATCTCAGCCTCCTGGGTTCAAGCAATTCTCCCGCCTCAGCCTCCCGAGTAGCTGGGACTACAGGCACACACCACCACGCCCAGCTAATTTTTGTATTTTTAGCAGAGACGGGGTTTCACTATGTTGGCCAGTATGGTCTTGATCTCTTGACCTCGTGATCCTCCCGCCTGGGCCTCCCAAAGTGCTGGGATTACAGGCGTGAGCCACCATGACCAGCCGACACTCACTAAGTTTTTAACATGTTTTTAGGCTTTTTTTCTTTTGACCTTTTATAAATATTTTACGATTCCAAGCCTTTATCCCATAGTCCATTAGAAAATTTCCCCATATTCCTCGCAGGTGCGATAGCCACGCATTACTACATCTTATAGAGAACTGTCTTTGCAGATTTATTTCTCATTTAGTAATTCCATTGAAACTGGTTTCCATTATGATTGCTTTCTGGGTTGCAAATTATTTTAATCTTTGAAGTCTTTATTTACCATTGTGTTCCAGAAAATAAGAAGTTTGCCTTTATTATGAGGGAAAAAAACATTTTTATTCCTCCTTTGTCTTATTCTTTTTTTTGTTTTGGTTTAAAGTCTGCAAATGTGGATAACACAGAGAATACATCCATCTACAAAACCTCCATTCTGTGGACCCCACACGTAATTTCTTGAGAAGAGATTATAAATTAGAAGTACAATCTTTATTTAGGAATGAAATATTTAGGCTGAGCATGGTGGCTCATGCTTGTAAGCCCAGCACTTTGCTAGGCCAAGATGGGTGGGTTATCTGAGCTCAAGAGTTCAAGACAAGCCTGGCCAACATGGTGAAACCCAGTCTCTGCTAAAAATACAAAAATTAGCTGGGCGTTTTGGCGGGCGCCTGTAATCCCAGCTACTTGGGAGGCTGAGGCAGGAGAATCGCTTGAACCCCAGAGGCGGATGTTGCAGTGAGCTGAGATCGCACCACTGCACTCCAGCCTGGGCAACAGGGCAAGACTCCCTCTCAAAAAAAAAGAAAAAAAAAAGGCCGGGCACTGCCCCACAGTGATGAGCTTCTTCAGCTAATGTGTCATGATGACGGACTT